>NC_000005.10:11263424-12516849 GCF_000001405.40 Homo sapiens
AAAAATGCTCATGAAATGATAGTCAATAAAAAAAGATATAAATCCATATTGGAACTATGATTACAAATGTGTGTGTGCATGTATGTGTGTGTGTGAGTGTGTGTGTGTGAGGTGGAGAAAGAGTGAAGACAGAGGAAAAGAATGAATAAGAAAATTAAGAGAATTTAAAAAGCCTGGGAGAGAATAAACGTGAATAATGTTATCAGTGGTGGCACCATGAACCACTTGTAAAATATATCTTTGTATTTTCCAGTATGAGCCTTGAATTCATGCCTTTACAGTTACTGTGTGTATCTCTGCACTTACACCCACCCTAAACTCTTTACAGTTAATTTCATCAAATACCCAGTATTCCTCAGCTGATGATTTTGAGTCTTTTGTCCTCTACTCTAAACACACTCCAGTTTGTGCATGTGTCTGTTTCTGGAACTGCCAATAACTAGACACAGCGTCCCAGGTGTGGTGTGAATAGCTCAGATGCAGTGGATTAGGGTCTCCTTTGCCCTGGACAAGGTCTTTCTTTCCATGCATTTGAAATCGTCTTCCCTCTGGTGGCACGTCATCTGTAATCTCACGTTCACCTTCGAATCAACTAACATAGATGTTCTTTTAAAACATGTTTTGCTAAGAGCATTCTGATAAGTCTTTATTCTTAGTTCTGGCCATCAGAATGACCAATTAACTGAAATACTTATTTCAATTATTTGGTCTATCTAATATATAGTTTAAAATACAAGGAGAATTGTCAATTTTCCAAAGGATAGTCATTTGATATTATGGGTTGAATTGTGTCCTTCAAAAAGCTATACTGAACTGGCGAATCCAGAACCTGTGAATGTGACTTTATTTGGAAACAGGGTCTTTGCAGATGTAAGTAAGTTATGAGGTCATATTGGATTAGGGTAGGCTGTGGCAGTGGGCATGGCTATGTTCCAATAAAACTTTATTTTCAGAAACAAACAGTGGGCCAAATTTGGCCCATGGGATACAGTTTGCTGATGACTGCTGAAACTGTTTGAGGAAGATAATGGTTTTACTGGGTTCACAGGTGAGGGAAGTGAGGTTGAAAGTTTACAATCTTGTAGAAAAATCACACAGTGAATACAGGGTAGCCCTGGAGTTTCAACTGACACCACATCTCCAGAAGCCGCCGTTGTAATCACTCGGCTACACTATCTTAGAGGCAAGAACAATTCTGCACTTTTGTTAAAAGTGTATTCATTGGCTGGGTGTGGTGGCTCATGCCTATAATACCAGCACTTTGGGAGGGCGAGGCAGGCGGTTGGCCTGAGCTCAGGAGTTCAAGACCAGCCTAGGCAACATGGGGAAACCCTGTCTGTACTAAAAATACAAAAAATTAGCCAGGCATGATGGAGTGTGCCTGTGGTCCCAATTACACAGGAGGCTGAAATGGGAGGATCACTTGAGCCTGGGAGGCGGAGGTTGCAGTGAGCCAAGATTGTGCCACTGCACTCCAGCCTGGGTGACAGAGTAAGACCCCGTCTCATTAAAAAATAAATAAATAAATAGCAAGCTTTTCCAATACCTATATTATCTTGGCAAAAGAACTAGATCAACAAGTTCAAAGCAAAACAAAGACAGGCTAAATTTTATTAAATCAAAAAAACTGCCATAAATTATATATTTTAGAACTATATTATCTTGGCAAAAGAAAGATATCAACAAGTTCGAAGCAAAACAAACACAGGCTAAATTGTATTAAATCAAAAAAACTGCCATAAATGTTCTAAAGAAGTTACATATGTTAGAAGATTCAGGAAATTAAAATTCAGAGTTATTGAACATTAGTGTCTCAAACAATCTGTGTATAGGACTGGAAAAAATAATGTACATGAGAGAACAGAGGAAACAAAAATCTTAGGGAATCAGTGAAAGCTTGATGTACATCTCAAAGTTTCTGGTGGTTTTCCTAGCTGAAAAAACAATTAAAGGGATTTCTTTCAAGTTTCTGGGGCACACAGGAGAAACCATGAGGGTGATGTCCCACAACACAAGCCCTTCTTTTGCAGGATGGTCCCACCCTCTGCAAAGCTCCTCTCCACACTGCAGACGGGCCTTTTACTTGCCCCCAAACCATACTCCTGTATTACTCAGTAGCGTTTTGCTGAATCTTTTATTCCCTTAATACAAAAGTACTCCAAACACTCTAGGAGCGTTTGACTGAGTGTTAAACTGTTCTGCTCAGAAGACATATAGCATTAAGTTGTCCAAAATCAGTTGCAAATCACTCAGCATCACTGTATGTATTCTCTATTTTTTTTTTTTTTTTTTTTTTTTTGAGATGGAGTCTCGCTCTGTAGCCCAGGCTGGAATGCAGTGGTGCAATCTTGGCTCACTGCAACCTCCGCCTCCCAGGTCCCAGTTCAAGCAATACTCCTGCCTCAGCCTCCCGAGTAGATGGGATTACAGGATCGCACCACCATGCTCAGGTAATTTTTTTATTTTTAGTAGAGACTGGGTTTCACCATGTTAGCCAGGCTGGTCTGGAACTCCTGACCTTGTGATCTGCCCACCTCAGCCTCCCAAAGTGCTGGGATTAGAGGTGTGAGCCACCAGGCCTGGTCATCTCTTTCTATTTTTTAAAGTACCTTTCATTTACTGGTTCAGGTAGTTTTGATCCATAAAGACAAAAATCCACATTACTAACAGAATTTAGAGATCTTTAGTTGACAAAATAAAATAACTTTTTCGTCACCTAACTACAGCATGATGTTGATGCCTCTCAGATCCTTCAAATTAATAACTCAGACTCAAAAGGTATTGCTACCACTTGGGCTTTGTTTGAATTCTAAGTAAAAATAATTTATTTCCCAGAATACAGCTTTAGTTGAGCATGGCAAAATCACACTGGGCCAATGGATTCTCGCCTCATTTCCATAATTATCATAAATACACACAAAAGCATAAATAAAGAATAAGGAATTAACTTCACAAATATACTTGGAACAAGACATAAAGCTGCAGAGTGTCACCACATTTAACTCTCTGCTGTAATAAGTGCCACAGACAAATAGAGTTAAATGGGTTAATTAGTCACCAGTGGCCATTTTAATTGCAGTATTGAAAATCAGGCACAAATGCTAGAAGAATTCTCATTACAGGGTTACCTGGGCTTTCATGGGAGGGTTCGCTTGGGAGAGCGGCATCTCTAAAACATTGTGGAACTGATTACATCTCTTCCTCCCCTTTACCTTTCATAATTAGCTGTACACTATTAAGTTAATGCACATTTATCTACAACAATTCAATTCAGACTGCAAGAGAGAATCTTTCTAGTCTATAATTACACTCCAGCTTAATTAGCATAATTTCCACTGCACATATTTTAATAAAGAAGCTGCCATTATGGGTTGGCTTCAGAAGTGGAAACTCTTCCAGGGAGATACAAATGCTTCCTACTCTCGAACTGCCACAAATGCAAAGAGACGACCTAAAGCTGACTTTCTTTTTTGAGACGGAGTCCAACTCTGTTGCCCAGGCTGGAGTGCAATGGCGCGATCTCAGCTCACTGCAACCTCCATCTCCAGGGTTCAAGCAATTCTCCTGCCTCAGCCTCCCGAGTAGCTGGGACTACAGGCGCCCGCCACCACGCCCGGCTAATTTTTGTATTTTTAGTAGAGATGGGTTTTCGCCATGTTGGCCAGTCTGGCCTCGAACTTCTGACCTCAGGTAATCCACCCACCTCGGCCTCCCAAAGTGCTGGAATTACAGGCGTGAGCCACCGTGCCCGACCTGAAGCTGACTTTCCATGAGACAGTACTGTTGGGAAGGGCATGCTTCTGCAGGAGGGGACCTGATGGATTCTCCCCACGTGGAGCTAACGGCTAATCCTCAGTGATGGCTGATGGCTGGTGATGGGTGATTTGGCAATTGGGCTACGTGGTGATGGGGTTTGACCTCATCAGTCTGTAAATGTCTCATCTGAGAGGCTTGAAAAACATTTCTACAGTTTATTTTGGATCTGCCTCTCCAGGGGAAAGCCATTTGAGTGCCTGCAATCCAGCCACCACTAGATGTCACCAGTCATTAACTGGGACACAGATAAATGAGCCCTTTAAGATATTTTTATTAACTTGAAAGACCTAAGCAACTGGTTGTCTTTTCTGCAACTCCCTTGTGTGGGGGCCTGTTAACAACGAGGGAACCAATCTATTTGCCCAGCCCTGAAATGGCAAATGCCCACCGTGTGATTTAAAAGGACTGCACACACTTTGCAAATGTTAGAAACCTGTCCTGATAATAACCAGAATTGTCTGATATAAAGGAAAATCTTCAGTTCTAGTAGCTCATTATATTTTGCACAAACATCTGGCTATTCAAATAAAGTTCGCAAAAAAGATTTTGCCAGTGGCATTAATGTTCTTACTAGATCCCTTAGAGAGAAGAATGAGAGGCATTTTGCCTCCTCTGAATTTCCTGATGTTGAACGTGAAGTCATAGTATGATGCACAAGAAGATGGGCTTTGAAAAAGAGTAGGAAATCATCGCTGTCATCCAGAAAAACTTTAATGAGAAAACTAGAAAGGAGGCAGATGGAACAAACCAATGATTGTTGCGAAGTCCCAAAAAACTGTTTCAAATCCAAAAGTGGCAATGGTAGAAGGTGTGATTCTACCAATGGTTGAAGAGACCTTGAAAGAAGTAGGGGTTTTTAGAGATGCTAGACACCAGCATCATTTCTGGAAAATCCAGGTAGGTGCCATGAGGCACGGAACATGTGTCAAACATTTCCTTTTCCACATGGATATTTAAAAATGTAAACATTTTTAAAAACCTATTTTGAGTGAGTTTAAATAGTAATTTCAGTAAGGTATCTTCTCAGTCACCAAAGATTCGATTTAAAAATAATGCAACAGCCCAGGCACGGTAGCTCATGCCTGCAATCCCAGCACTTTGGGAGGCTGAGGTGGGCAGATCACTTGAGGCCAAGAGTTCAAGATCAGCCTAGACAACATGGTGAAACCTCATCTCTACTAAAAAGTACAAAAAATTAGCTGGGCGTGGTGGCATGCACCTGCAGTCTCAGCTACTCAGTGTTGGGGGCTGAGGCACGAGAATTGCTTGAACTTGACCTGAGAGGTGGAGGTTGCAGTGAGCCAAGATCATGCCACTGCACTCCAGCCTGGGTAGCCTGGGTGATGGAGTAAGACTCTGATACACACAAAAGAAAAAATAACATAAAAATAACATAGCAAATATATATATAAAGTACTATCACACTATAATGGTGTAATGGATTAAAAAATGATGTAATGAAGACTCATTTATGCCATCACAATCTGCATTTTTTTACCACAACACTAACCATTTAGAGCTCATGTGCCTGCAGACAGTTACTTAAATTTGTACTTATGTCTTCAAAATTACGGGTAATTTTTTTTCTTTTAAAACAAGATGTTCATTGCAGGGAGCAATGTGCACACTGACCCTTTTAAACTCTGCCACTGTTGCAAAGGTTTTCAGTAGGATTCTCATAGCGGTCTGAAGAGATAGGGAATGTTAGTTAACAAAACTGAACTGTCCTCATTTCAACCATGCATAAATGCTCACTCTGTTCCTTTTACCGAAACTTTTCCTTTAGAAATACAACAACACAGCTAAGAGCATGGCCTCTGGAGGCTACCTGCCTTGGCTTGAGTCCAGCTTCTCTGCTTACTGACTGTGAGACTGTGGGCAAGCTACATTAGCTCCCCGGGATTTAGTTTGCTCAGCTGTAAAATGGAAAAATAACAGCAGCCAGCTTATAGAAGTGAAGAGGAATGAATGGGGGAAAGCGAGGCAGTGCGCTTTGAACAGCGCTTACCCCAAGCTAGTGATACTGAATCACTCATCTTTATTTGCTCCTTAGCCTTCAAAAATGTAAGAAAACAGCTTTATAACACTTTGGGGCCCTTGATCTGCAAAACTTCTCTTTGAAATCTATTCTCGTTTATTATAATAGAAATGCTAGAAAATAGTTTCCTCTGATTTATTGATCTTACCAAAATAGATACAGTCTTTAAAAACAGCACACTGTCTCTTCACTTCAGAAGGATCTAGATTTCAGGCTACATTTGCATTGTATTCATACCTAATATTCAACTGGACCACAGCACGTATTTAACTCATTGTACTGTAATGGGGTTGAATGAACTGACATAGATTGCTATGTTTAATATAAAGAAATCAGTGCTTCTGGCTCCACAAAGACCACATGAATAGGAAGTTCACAATAGATGGTTGGCATAAATGTCAATATTCACAAAAAAGGTGCCTCTCTTTGAAACTGCTGCCAGAGTTCCTCTCCAGACTTGTACTTTGGACCCCTGCAGAATGATTTTTACAGGAGTAAAATCCCTCCCCCCTCAGAATATGCAGGACATCATCTGTATTTACTTCAATATAACATAAACCAAAAGGCAGACCTGGTCAGAAAGTTAGATGCTTCTCTAGAAAAATTATGCTAGTGATTGAAAACGAAAAAAACACGGAGCCTTGAATTGCAGGATTATGTCAACCCTGGAAATATTAATCACATGACAATTATTTTTCAAAAATTTACACATGTATAAAACAACATTCACAAACATTGTATTTCACCAATTCTTAACTTCAAATGGGAAACAAAACTTTGTGGCAAACTTCAGTTAAATTTGTGTCTAAATCCTCAATGTTGAGTCCACTTCCCATGAATACTGAAATTTACTAGAATTAGTTCCTTGTAGAAGAACTTCCCCAAAGTGGGGCTGTTTTTATTTTTATTTCACTCACAAAATGTGTGAGCATGTTAGGATTTTTCCCTTTACATTATTTCTTAAGTTCTAACACGTAACACACACACACATATATAATATATGTATAGTTATATAGTTATATAGTTTATATAACCAGAGACAGACACATTAAGCAATGCATTTATATGTAATTAATATACATTGGCTAATAAGTATTGGTGAAATACCACACATAACAACTATGTAACTTGTCAGGAACATGATTGTGTTTCTATAAGCCTATTAGGATACATTCAAAGGAAAACAATGTGGTAAAAAAAAAAAAAAAATCCATTCACTGTAATATTTAGCCTGTGGGAATTTTCATGCTTTTGCAGTGTCAGATTTCTGTCTGAATTAATTTTTATTCAACAGGGAGACAATAGATTATGAAATGCTCATAAAAAATACAGGATCCCTGCTTCAACACATGGTACCATGAGAAGCAGCATTAGAAAGGATCAAGCTCTTTTCTCCCTAAATCAGTGTTCAGCATTATACTTCTAGGCTATGTCTCTTAATACTTCCTTTGGTTGGCATTATTGGATTACTGCAACCCAATCTTTAGCCTTATTATTGCAAGAAAGCTTAAAATAGCAGATAAAAAACCTTCAATAACCAGCAGATAGAAAAAGCTAACCAAATAATAGTTAGTTCATGTGAATGCCACGTGGAACCAAACATGAAAGTATTTATTGAAATTAGATTGTATGAAGAAACATACTAATTAGCATCCTTTAGCATTTGGCAATAAAATACAAACTAGGAAAATAAAAGGAACATGTTAATCATTAATGTCACTATGACTTTAGTTCTATTTTAAAAAATGTTTAAATAATGAGCCACAATATAAAATAATTACATGTCAAGTCAATTCACATACACCCAACACACACCTATGTATATGCATAATTAAGTGAAGAACAAGTTATCCTCGCAAAGGTAGATGCATTTGAATAGGTCCTATTCTTTTCTAGTCTGTTCTGTTCTATTCCATTACATTATTATTCTACAAACACTGTTCATGACCAATAAACGTATTTTACCACCCACTAATGGATCACAACCTGTAGTTAAAAAATGACTATCAAACATATGTGCATTTATAAATTAATGTATGAGAACTAGATAATCATGCATACTCATATCACATAAAGTATTGCATATACAATATTAACAGTTTGGCAATTTGGGTAACACTTAGCTTTAAAAGCTAAAACTAAACCAAGGGAAAAAAGAGCTTTCTTTCATGATTTTAATTTTATTTAAATTCCTGGTTTATTGGGTATTTCCTTTCTTCCCTTCCTCCAAATATATGGTCCGCTTTTCAAAGATGTGTGCATGTGATGAGGATGATAGCAATGTTGAGAATATCGCCCCCTGCCACCTGGACAGTAATCTCAATTGTCAGAATGGGTCCCACTGCCATTATGACATACTTCATATTCAGATAAAGAGGGAATGATGGGCTTAGATGATACGCTGCAAAGGATTATGTTGTACCTTTAAATATCTCATATCATCTGCAAATTTGGCTCCAATTACCAAGTGGGTCCTCACCAAGGACTGGCTGAATGAGAAATGAGTGGGAGGTTGAAATGGGGATGTCTGGGAGCGGGTGTGGGGGAAGGTTTCATTCTAAGATATGCTTCATCTCACTTAACATAAGGAGAAAACAACTTTTACTGGGTAGGATACAAATTGTGCATCTTAAGCTACAATTCCCAAACTGTTTTGGGAATTGTACAAATGAAAATATAAATGAAGTATAATATAAATATAGATAAGCTGTTTTGGGAATAATACAAATAAAAATATAAAAATGTTTTATAAAATGTTATAAAAATATTTCCTTTTACAAGTATAATTTCCATGTTTCTAAAAAAATACAGTCCATTATTTCTTAAAATACCAATTCCTGACAAATAAACAGAGAGTTTAGATAATTTTTACACCAAAATTTGTGGATTAATTCAGAAAACAATTATAGCAACGTGAGATTATTTTTGTGATAGAATTCTGTCCTTTCTTCATCTGATCGCTCACCATCTACTGTGAAACACACCACTCTATAGCCACTCAGATTATTTTATATCCATCAATTATGATATATTCATTAGTCTTAAACAGCTAGAGGCATTTGACAACATTCTTCCTGTGTCAGAGTCTAGGAAATTTTTTTTGAATATATTATTTTAGGAAAGATAAATGTTTCTAAATCAGTGTTTGACATGTATTTTGAATCAAGACCCACAATAAAAACCTTAGATCCACCCATGCCACACTCACAAGTCTGACTCTTTCCTAAAATGCCAAACAAAACCCAATTTTTCCTTACTATGGTTATTATAATTTATTCCATCCTATTCAATCCCCTAAATACTGGTGAAAACGCTCTGAACTGATTTTACAACTCCATCGTAGGTGGTCCCCAGGTGGAAAACAAAATTGTGCTAATCCAATCAGGTCATGGACTCCTGAACTGCAGTACAACTATGCCATAAAAATATCATCATCAAATTCTCATTTGCACTACTTAGACTCAAGGGGCAAAGGGCGACTTTACTAAAATATATTAGGGCAAAGTATCTACTTTTATAATTCAGAGAAAGACATTAGAATTTTATCCACGAGTATATAAAATTAATGATATATTAGAGTAGGGGTCAAAATCTGGCCCATGGGACAAATCTGGACCACCTCCTTTTATTGTACAACCTGTAAGCTAAAAGGTTTCTACAGTTGCACATTTATAATCTGTCTGATGACAGGGAACACTAACTTTGAAGACCAGCTAGGCATTCTCACAAAAAATAATCCCATTCTTACTGGCAGACCTGTATTACAAAACATTATTAATATTGATATTATGAATTGTTTTTGAATTTCATTAATAATAGTTTTGTGAAAATGTGTTTTCTCTCCTGTTATATAATTATCTACATATAATATTTTCAATTTTGCCTCTTGGCCCACGAAGCCTAGAATATTTGCCATCTGGCCCTTCACAGAACATTTGCTGACCCAAGTATTTGAGCTGCATGAAAAATAATTGTTATAATTATTATTATATGTACCTGTCAAATCAGAGAGTGATCTGGTTCTCAACCTCAACACACCCTGAGTCTCAAGTGGACACATGGGGAATACGCACATCAGGTGTGTAACTGGCTAAGTGTATGAGTCACGCTGCCTTCAGTGAGCCAGATGCAAAACCGTCCCCTTGGTTATAGGGAGAAGTGTCTCGCTGAAGAGCAGTCCCTCTCTTCAGTCAAGGAAACTCAGATGCCTTCATTAAAAATAACTTTGCATTTATTTTATTAAGTGCCATAAGCTTGAAGGAAAATTGGGCTTTTCGGTCACTGAAATTTCTTTTCACTTAATTCCTTCCATATCATGGGACCGTGTGCAGCTCTGCAGCGGGAGACATTGTACTTAATAAGCATTGCAGGGAGATGAGCTGTTCCCGTCTCCTTGCAACAGCAACTGCATTTTGCATAACTGACACTTATCGCCCAGATAAATGGTATTATTGGGCAACCTCATGTTTATTGCACTTGGGAAATTCACATTTGTTTCTAGGTTGACATGAAGCAGCGTAGGTTAGCTCCCTCTGTGTATATTTTCCACTAGAAGAAAAAAGTTGTGCGCCATCCTGATACACAGTAAGTTTTCCTAAAAAGATGTTTTGCTCTTTGAGATATTAAGATTTTAAAGTTTAGCACTGGAAAAACACAATTTGAATGAATATATAGATTTCCTGGGGCGGCCAGGGAGGGGACGGGTATTTATGCCTTCGCTTTTCATTTTTCCCATGTTTTATTTCGACTGCTCCTGCTTCATGCTCTCCTTGTCTCCTGCTCTCATAAAGACTTCTCTTCAGAACACGCTGAACTGAAAACCTTAAACAACAGTCCACGCCGCCAACATTCATCACTTGTTCTCATTCTAACTAGGGGCTGAGCCAAGGTACTTTCTATTGGCGTAATCCCTGACAGTTGTACTCATCCTAGAAGTAATATTTTACAACTTTATGAAAATCTTACTTTTCATGACATGTGTTCATCAAAGCCTCATTTCTTAAAGACTTTGGGCTTAAGAATGCATAGAGGTTTCTATGACTGCTTTGGGTGCTGATGAAATATCTTTGGCCATATGCCTATTTCAGCAATAACTAATAACTTTTTCATATGAAAGGACCATCTTATTAAATCCTCATTTCACATGAACACAGAATGGTAAACAACCTGTCTCAGCAAAAATGTGAGACAAGCCCAAGATAGAAAAAAAATGTTCAATATCACATTGAAAACACATTTGGGAGAGTAATTAGAAAATAAAACAAATAAAACAATTTTCACAGAAAGTTGATTTTGCTTTCGTTTTTTTTTTTTTTAAAAAGGCAACACCAAAACACAAAACACTTAAAAATTTTCCTGGAGCAAGATTTAATCTATTGGAAATAGATTATAAAACAATCAAGTCTAACAATTAATTATCTTCTCCGTGCATAAGATATTATAGTTTATTTTTGCTTGCTAACCGCTAATGAAAACAATGTTTTTAATCTAAGCAAAGGTTTATTGTTGTTATTGTTGTTGTTGGAACAAAGAACTGTTTTCCAAGGAAAAAGAGTGAGGCAGGTCTAGAACTACCGATCTACAAGAAAGTTCTAAAAATATATTAAATATTTCTTTGTCATTAATGAACATTCTAAAAATCTTTCTGTTGCAAGAAAAACAGTAAATCTGGGACTTAACTGGTACTTGGTCTTCCTAGGGTGTTTCACCAATGTTACTAACATAATTACGGGTATAGAGTTGGTAGGAAGCTGGAGGAGATGATTCAAATTCTCTCCATAGATAAACTTATGCAGGTTAATGCGTGGGTGGGAACAAGTGTCCTCAATAGGCCTTGCAAAGTGCCAGGCACCATTACAAGCGATTTATGTATAAATCACTTTATTTAATTCTCACACAATGCTATGGGGTAGCGGCTACTAATGCCAGCACTTTACAGATGGGGAAACTGAGTCACAAAGACACAAGTAAGTGGTCCAAGGTCACATAGCTAACAAGCAGCAGAGGCAGGATTCAAACCCAGAGCATCTGGTGCCTCCTAATCCCTGCTCAGAATCAACAACTGGTAAGCAGTGATGTCATGACTGGAAGCCAGCTCTCCCAGCTTTTGCTCCAACTGTCCTGATAGCAGCCAGTGAGGTGAGCACTGAGAGAGAAGGATGGAACAGAAGACATCTGGGTTCAAATTCTGCCCCGTGGATTCCCAGCTGGCCCACTGATGTACACATCTGCTTCTTAGTCTCTTCCACAATAAGAGGGGTAAGATCCTATCCACCACTCTGAGTTGCTCTGTTAATGAATGAGGTCCCCATTGCAAGAGCAATTTTAATTAAGGAGATGCTTAGTAAACATCACTTCTCTCTCTTACACTACACATATTCTCTCCCTTAAACCTTTCTCAGTTCCCTGCTTATTTATAAACTCCTACAGCCTTATATTCAAGGGAAGCAAGACTTTGAAACAGCTAGAATTAAAGTTTGACATGACTTCAAATTAATCAGGATTCTATTTTGTGCCAATCCATGGGGGAAGGTACTGAGTAGAATGTGTTTCTTCAAAAGACATTTTACTAATTGTGTTTTCTAGATGATTTAATGCCAGCCAGAGAAACATACAATTTGTAGATTGCTGAATACCTGATTTTAATTCCCAAGTCATTCAATACTTGCACATGATCTAAAAAATACAATTAAAACATGGTCTTAGTTGTTTCTTAGAAATTCAAAACAACCTTATTTCTTTATATAATTAAGTGATGTGACTTTTCCAGAACACAAATAATGATGTATTGATTTAAAACAAATAAATCATACATCTCAAATTACAAAACTATAGTTTTTGTAGACCTCAGTGAGGACGTGACATTCGAGAAAATGTCTCCCTGGCTTCTGACATGAGAGGAGACAGGAGCAGGGGATGTGGCTTGAAGATGGTGGCCACTTAGTAAGCTCAGGATATACATATGTGTGCATCATTGCAATACAGATGATAATCAAAGCCTTGAGTCTGGATGAAGGAGGGAAATAGATGAAGATGGGCAGAGAACAGATGTGAGCACTGTGTCTGGGGCATCCCCAAATCAGCCACTCCTCCTTGAAGCACTCTCTTCTGAAAACCCAACTCTCCTGGTTTCCTCCTACTTCCCAGGCCCCTTCTTGATCTCTTTCCACAATTCTCCCTCATTGCTTGATTTCTAAGTGATGGCAGCCCTGGGGCTCATCCTGGTCCTCTTCTCTTCTTTACCTTCACTCACTCCCATGGTATTCCCATCCAGTCTCACGACTTTAACTAGACTAGGGTATAGTGCATAGTGGGTTGCAAAGTGGCCCCCAAAAAGATACATCCAAGTGCTAATACCCAGTATCTGTTAATGTGACCTTATTTGAAAGCAGTGCGTTTGCAAATGTAATTGAGTTTAAGGATCTCAAGAGGAAATCATCCTGGATTCAGGGTGGGCACAAAATCCAATGACTGGTGTCCTTATAAGAAGAGAAAGGAGAAAGAGATTCGTGACATGAGCACACACAGAGAGGAAGGCCACGTGAAGATGGAGGTGGAGATTGGAGTGGTGAGGCCACAAACCAAGGAAAGCCAGGGGCCACTGGAAACTAAAAGAACCCAGAAAGGATTATCCCCTAGAGCTTTCCAAGGGCGTGGGCCTGCTGATTTCTCGATTTTAGACCTCTGGCCTCCAGAACTGTGAAAGAATACATTTCTGTTGTTTTAAACCACATATTTAGTAGTAATTGGTCACAGCAAAGCCCAAGGAAACTAATCCACTATATTTTTGAAGAGAAAAAGAAACGCATCTAATGAAAATTCTCCCTTACTATGTAGAACAGCTTGAAAATCATTCCCCCTTGCCTTTTTTTTTCTTTCCTAGAGCAGTGAGAGAAAATATTTTTAAAATAATCTTCACAGAATAGAGGATACAACTCAATAGAAGTTTTGGTTCTTAAATATTATCTAAGAAAATGTAAGCTTTTGAAACTCTCCCTTTTACTGAGAACAACAGAAATTACAGATTTTTCAAATTTTATAATTCACATCATCAATGAAGATGGAATAATTCTTTAGAAAAAACATTTTGAACTCACTTGTTAATTAAAAAAATAAAATAACTGCAGAACAGCTTAAGTCCCAGAAAGAAACTTCAATGGCCAGTCTTTAAGAGCTGCTTTTGAATAGTATGGGCTGCTCTGGTGCTTTAAGCTTTTTAAAAATATTTATTTATTTATTTATTTATTTATTTATTTATTTATTTATTTATTTTTGAGATGGAGTCTCTCTCTTACCCAGGCTGGAGTGCAGTGGTACGATCTGAACTCACTGCAGCCTCAACCTCCGAGGTTCAAGAGATCCTCCCACCTCAGCCTCCCGAGCAGCTGGAATTACAGATGTGTGCCACCACACTTGGCTAATTTTTGTATTTTTAGTCGAGTCAGGATTTCACCATGTTGGCCAGGCTGGTCTCAAACTGCCGACCTCAAGTCATCTGCCCGCCTCGGCCTCCCAAGTGCTGGGATTACAGGTGTGAGCCACCGCATCCAGCCTGCTTTAGGCTTTTATGCTGTCTGACTTGGGAAACAACAATACCCAAGTGCACTTCCCTTTCCAGACACCCAACCACCCCATAGCTCCGGTCTCTCTCTCAGAAAGCCAGCATATCTACAACATTGCTGCAAAGCCTCTTGTCTCCACTTTTCTGTACCGCACAGTAGTTACTTCTTTTCTTAGGGACTTTATCTTGGCTCCAACACCTCTGTCCTGCTCCAACACATTCTCTAAAAATCCCAATATCCCTCCAACTAGGATGTTCTTCTTAATTTCTTATAAACTCTGTTCTCCTCGTCCCTCCCCACCAGCTATCTCCATCAAGGGTCTCAAGGGACGCGCCAATCCAATGCTTCTCTACAGTCGCCATTCTACTCAACCTCTACCCACTACAGATAAGCTTTCCCTCTTGCATGTCTGGCCTTGCCCTTGAACTATGTTTATCTCTCTCCTGCCTCTGCTTCCTCACTGGGCTTCTTTTACAGGTCCTATTTCCTTGTCTTTCATTTATTTATTCAACAAATATTCATGGAGCACCTCTTATGTGCCAGACACTGGAAAGCATGAAGAACAATTTTGTCCTCCACAGTGCTTGCATGCCACGGAGGAGGAAAACAGGAGGGAAGACATCAAAGCATGTTGGGCAGCTCCAGGTGCTAGAGGGGACAAGCACAAAAATGACATAGGAAAAGGGGGAGTGGGAAAAGCTAGTGGCCAGGAAAGACCTCAGTGAGGATGTGACATTTGAGAAAATGTCTCCCTGGCTTCTGACATGAGAGGAGACAGGGGGAGGGGATGTGGCTTGAAGATGGTGGCCACTTAGTAAGCTCAGGATACACATATGTGTGCATCATTGCAATACAGATGATAATCAAAGCCTTGAGTCTGGATGAAGGAGGGAAATAGATGAAGATGGGCAGAGAACAGATGTGAGCACTGTGTCTGGGGCATCCCCAAATCAGCCACTCCTCCTTGAAGCACTCTCTTCTGGGACCCACCTCTCCTGGTTTCCTCCTACTTCCCAGGCCCCTTCTTTGTCTCTTTCCACAATTCTCCCTCGTTGCTTGACTTCTAAGTGATGGCAGCCCTGGGGCTCATCCTGGTCGTCTTCTCTTCTTTACCTTCACTAACTCCCCCACGGTGTTCCCATCCAGTCTCACGACTTTAAGTAGACTAGCGTATAGACTGGGGTAATAATATAATTTGCTGTCAAAACCTGATGCTTCTGGGACTGAAATGGGGTGATGTAAATATTTACACTGAGGAAAAAGGCATCCATGGGACTGTCTTGGGCAGATGAGAATACATGATTGCTCGGTTCTATAGACAAATACCTGTTGATTTTATAACACCAATCCAGAACCGTCCCTGTCTTCCAGACTGTGATGTCCATTCAAATACTTAAGAGACATTTGAAACCAAATATGACCAAAATTATGACACCCCCTCCAAAACTGTCCCTCTCACCATTTCCAGCAGCTCAATTAATGGCAACCCATCCCTGCCTAAAGCCTATATTCAACCCATCAACACTTTCTGTCATCTTTACCTTGAAAATATGCCTGTAATCTGACTACTTCTCATTCTCATCCCTGCACCCCTCTGGTGCCCCATCATCTCTGTTCCATATTACTTCAACAGCCTCCCAATTGGTCTTCCTGCTTCTGATCTTACCCCCTGGAGTATACTTTCAAGAGAGCAGGAATAGCCAATCCACTTCAAAGCTAAGGAAATTCATGTTACCCCTCTTAAGAGGTTGAATCCCTCTGGTGCCTTGCATTAGATTAGACGATTCATCCATTGCTATAAAGAAATACCTGAGACTGGGTAATTTATAAGAAAAGAGGTTTAACTGGCTCGTGGTTCTGCAGGCTGTACAGGAAGCATGGTGGCATCTGCTTCTGGGGAGGCCTCAGGAAGCTTCCAATCATGGTGGAAGGTGAAGTGGGAGCAGACACATCACATGGTGAAAGCAGGAGCAAGAGAGAGAGAGCATGGTATGGGGGTGGGATGCCACATAGTTTTAAATGTCCAGATCTTGCAAGAACTCACTCACTATTGCGAGCCCAGCACCAAGAGGATGGTGCTAAACCATTCATGAGAAATTTACCCCCATGATCCAGTCACCTCCCACCAGGCCCCATCTCTAATACAGGGGATTACAAATTCAACCTGAAATTTGGTTGAGGGCAGATACACAAACTATATCATGCCTGTTCACCTTACTTGCAATAAGAGTCAAAGCCCATACCCCAGCCACACTGAATTTTAAAAGTCTAAGGTCTTAAATTGTGTAATTTGTTTTTGCTTTCCCCAACCCATCTCTATAAGCAGCATTTATTGTAAAGCTCAGAACATTTAAAATCCAGCAACATTTTAACTCAAATGAACAGAGACACAGGACAGAAAGTGTTAATACCAACCTACTAAAAGAAGATCAAATATTAATGTGGTGGAATAATAAAGGAATAATAATAATAGTGTTTTAGACTGCTCTGCTGCCACACAAAATACCAGACTGGGTGGATTTAACAACAGAAATGCATTTTCTCATAGTTCCGGAGGGTGGTTAAGTCCACAGTCAAGGTTCCAGCAGGTTTTGATTTCTGATGAGGGCTCTCTTCCTGGGTTGCAGGTGGCAACCTTCCTGCTGTGCCCTCACATGATGGAGAGAGATCAAACTCTATTTCCTCCTCTTTTGCAAGGACATTAGTTCTGCGATATCAGAGCTCCACCTTTGTGACTTCATTTAATCTTAATCGCCTCTTCAAAGGACCTACCTCCAATACACTCATAGAGGGGAGTTAGGGCTTCGACATATACATTTTTTGGAAGGGAAACACAATTCAGTCCACAGAAACAGAGGGAAGCATTTACAGGCATGTTTCTCTCTTACACACACACTTGGCAATCCCTGAGCACTTTCAGTTTTGTCCTGTGGGCCTCTTCCTTCCCCTAGTTTTTCCCTGAAAGTTGCATGCTACTCCAGCCCTGAAGACTATTATCCAGCCCTGTCTCTTCTTCCCACAGACCCCTCCTCAGCTGTGTGTCCTTCAACTCCCTGGATCAAGGAGCAAACAGAGTAAGGAGTGTGGGTGGTGTACGAAATGATGGCCCTGGGTTGGGAGAAAGCCTCATTTCAGATCAAGGTGGGGAAGAAAAAAGCGAAAGAAAAAAAGATCAGACTTCACCTTCTTTGAATCAGCATGTAACATGTTCACCACACATGAAATCCTCCAGACAAATTAACGACCATGTAGCTAGTGTATTGCAAAAAATATTATATCAAACATTTTATGTTTTCGGCCTTTTAATGGCAGACGTTTGCTCCTTGGGTAAATGGTTTCTTCACCTTTAGGAAATAATTGCAGAAGCCCAGTAAATCCCAGAGAGGATAAGGTCACTGAGGGAAAGGAAAGGCTAAGCATGTTTACATTATTGACTAAAATGGCTTGGGGGAGCTACGTTTCTGGAAATGTTCACGAACTCCATCAATTTTTCTAAAATGTTCCTTTTGGTGACTAAAGCTGTTACCTCACGAGAGGTGTTAGTGCTACTGAAAGCAAACAGTTATAGGAAATAGAATTTCATGAAGCAACAGCAAATAGCCACAGAATTCCACGAAGCAATGGCCAATGGCAAAAACTTGAAAGAGTATGCAAAATAAAGTCAACATTTGTGGACTGAATCTGTTTTCCTATCATGTATATTAGTTTGCTAGGGCTACCATAACAAAATATCACAGACTAGGTGGCATAAACAACATAGATTTGTTTCCTCACATTTCTGGAAGCTTGAGATCACAGTGTCAACAGATTGGTTTATCTGAGGCCTCTCCCCTTGGCTTGCAGCTGACTGCCTCCTCCCCACCCACTCACATGGTCGTTCTTCTGTGTATGCGCACCCTTGACATCTCTTTCATGTCTAAATTTCCTCTTCTTATAAGGACACCAGGCAGATTGGGTGACGGCCAATTTTCACTGCCTCATCTTAACTTAATCACCTCTTTAAATGGCCCATCTCTAATTACAGTCATATTCTGAGGTACTGGGGGTTAAGGCTTTAACATATGAATTTTAGCATAACACAGGTCAGCCCATAACATAGTGCTGAATAAACTATCCCAAAACTTAGTAGCTTAAAACAACAGTCATTTATTTTGCTCAGAAATCTAATTTGGGCAGGGCTCAGCAGGGACGGCTTATCTCTGTTCCAGGCAGTATAACATGAAGAGACTGAACTGGCATTGGAGAATCCACTCTCACGGTGGTTCGCTACCATGGCTGGCAAGTCAGTGCTGGTTGGTTGTCAACGGGGCATTCAGGGACAGGGCCATGGGCTGAAAACCTCAGAATATCAGCACGATCAGTCAATGCTGTTGGGTATTGGAAAAAAAGCAATTCATGCTTCTCGTCTGACATTTCTAAGCTTCCTACCACAGCACTCAGGAGAGTGACTGGCATGAAGTAGGTGCTAAATAATTACGAGTTTTTAAGTGCCCAGAGAAGATGTACTCAACAGGGAGAGTTAAGAGGTTCCGGACTTGATACCCTCTCTCTCCTAGCATGCAGCATCAGCAACTGATTTCAAACATGATGTCGGGAAGATAATCACGTGTTGTTTTGAAAATCACTCCAAGGTGGTTCTGATAAGCTCCAAGCCCCCATAAAGATGAACGCTACAGCCTCGATTTACAAAAGGCCAGCAGCTCCTGCTAGAAATCCAGGAGATCCTCCTCTGATGCATACACTGTTAGGGAACGACTGTTTTGTCTTCCTGTAGATGCTAGGCAACCAACATTACTTAGATTATCCTAGGAGGGTATGATTTACATATCTTTTTTGAATCAATTAATTCTGATAAAAAGTGGGCTTTCATATGTAAACTTAAATCTTGCATTGAATATTTATAGAACAATAAGCCATGAGTAAGTGCAATGCTTTTAAATTATTCCTTTTTATCTTCAATTGTTTATACAGGTTTAACGGCAACAATCTTAACTAACAACAAGTAATGCCCTGGCTATTTATTGTACCATCGCATACTGATATATCTTTGCCAGATAATGTTTACTCAAAACTCAGGAAACTCATGTTAAAACTTGCCTCGTTCTAGCACTCCCTCTTCCTCAGATCTTTTTAAGACAAAAGATTTACAAATTAAGACCCTTCAGCTGACTCAAGCTCAGCCTGATTTAATCCTCAATAGCCAGTCTTACAAAATTCTCCTAAAATGCTTTGACACCCTTACCAATGTTATTTGCTTGCTTTTACCCCAGCCCCTATGCTTTACCATGTTTACTGAAGAAATTCTGAGTAGTTTTTAACCAGACTGCTTAATCCATGAGTTAACTCTCAGGAAAATCCTGTGGTTTTAGTCAGACAAAATTAAGATTTTTTTCCCATCCTGTATGGGAATTGAAATCACTTGCCCATGCCCAGTGTACAAGTAAAGACCACTGTTTTTGGTATTTTCTATGGTATAAGGAGTGTCATGATACCAAAGAGATATGTCAACTTCCTCGCTACTGTTAACATGGGAGGAAAAAAAGAGGAGGGAATCGGCTGGGCGCAGTGGCTCACACCTGTAATCTCAGCACTTTGGGAGGCCAAGGCGGGCAGATCATGAAGTCAGGAGTTTGAGACCAGCCTGGCCAACATAGTGAAACCCCGTCTCTACTAAAAATACAAAAATTAGCGGGGTGTGGTGGCACCTGCCTGTAGTCCCAGCTACACGGGAGGCTGAGGTGGGAGAATCACTTGAACCTGGGAGGCGGAGGTTGCAGTAAGCCAAGACTATGCCATTGCACTCCAGCCTGGGTGAAAGAGTGAGACTCCGTCTCAAAAAAAAAAAAAAAAAAAAAAAAAAAAAAAAAGAGAGAGACATGGGAATCTGTATATTTGGAATTCAAAATGAAGAAGCTAATTTAAACAAATACATGTTAGATTATTCATACATTTTTAGAAAATAAGTAAATCACACGTTAAATTTTTCAGAATTGAGGAAATTCATGTAAACCTTAGAAAAAGTAATTCCTTAAGTTAAACAGTAGCAGCCATGCAATGCGGACCTTGTGGTTCTGTTCACGTCGTCTGACGTGTATTGTGTTTTTCCCTTGTCCAGTGTGTCTCTAATACAGTCTTCAACATGTGGGCTATTAGCAACCACCACCATAAAACTGTTTCTCAATACTGAGATGGTCCCTTTACTGAGGAAAGCCCAGCACATTCCCACTGCTGCCTGGTGTGGGCTTCACGCTCCTCTCTATTAGGAGAATGTGGTTCTGAGCCGCATCAGGTGTTCTGGTCATGTGAATTCTTCAGCCACATGGAGAGCGTGAGGCACCATCTGACAGCACTCCAGGGTTGTGCAGGGCTGTCAGTACCGGGCTCCTGTTGTGGGGAGGTGAAGGTTATGCAGGGCCTATCTCATTATTTTTTTATTTTATTTTTTTAAGTTCCAGGGTACAGATGCAGGTTTGTTACATATGTAAATGTGTGCCATGGTGGTTTGCTTCACCTATCAACCTATCACCTAGGTATTAGGCTCAACATGCATTAGCTCTTTATCCTAATGCTCTCCCAGCCTGCCCCCTGGACAGGACCCAGTGTGTGTTGTTCCCCTCCCTGTGTCCATGTGTTCTCATTGTTCAGTTCCCACTTAGAGGAGAGAACATGAGGTGTTTGGTTTTCTGTTCCTGTGTTAATTTGCTGAGGATAATGACTTCCAGCTTCACTCAAGTCCCTGCAAAGGACATGATCTTGTTCCTTTTTATGGCTGCGTAGTATTCTATGGTGTATATGTACCACATTTTCTTTATCCAGTTTATCATTGATGGGCATTTGGGTTGATTCCATGTCTTTGCTACTGTGAATAGTGCTGCAATGAACATACATGTACATGTGTCTTTATAACAGAATGATTTATATTCTTTTGGGTATGCACCCAATAATAGGATTGCAGGGTCAAATCGATCTCACCATTAACTTTGGCTTCTAAGCATGTATGTGTTCCAGGCTGGAACTTTGCCTCTCTCACTGTCTGGACTGAGAATGGAGGCTGAGTGATAGCAGAAACCAGAAATCTGCTTCTTTTGTGTCACAGGGGTCTGGTGGCCTGACAGAGCCCCCCTCCTTGACAAAGCTTTAGTCAGGTTCCTATAAGCCTTCTTCTCAATGAGAGCTCAATCTTGACTCTGTCCTTGCTAAGACCAGTTTTGGCAAGAATACTGATAATTTAGTTTAGAGAGAACTCCCACCTTTGATATCTGATTCCCCTTAATGTCTGATCAAGTTCCTCATCCTTCACAATACTCCAGGTTATATCTGCTGCCCCAGCAAGAATCCTGTTAGATTAGCAAAGAACCATCTCCCCTTGAGGCCCCCTCTTGGTAATTTTTCATCCACTGACCCCACCCACCACTGCCTTCCTCCTTAGCTTTAAGTCCCCACTTTTCCTTGTTGTATTCAGAATGAAGCCCAGTTCTATAGTGAAATCTCTCTTCCCCTATTGCAATAGTTTCTGAATAAAATCTGGTTTTGCTGCTTTAACTACTGTCCAGCTCTGGTTCTTTCACAAGCCCCAGTCTAAAAGTGTTCCTGAAACAGAGCAGAAGATCAAAGACAAGGGAGAAGAGTTCTGGAAAAGACTAGAGGATAAACACAAAAGTGTATGAATACTAGTGACAGGTGCTGATCAATATCTACTACCCCTTAAATTTGGAGACCCAAAAGCCAGAATGAGGGGGATTTTTCCCACTTCCCTCCAGAAAATAGACAGCTGGCCCCTCTGCAACAACCTCTTATGACTGCAGTAGAATGAAACGAAAGAATGGCAGGTTTGGGTACAGGGAGCCTGAGATACCGCTCCTTCCTTTTGCTCCAATTCTTACCTCCGCTTCCCTCTCAACCAGAATCCTCTTTAGCTCCTATAAGCCCAGGAGGCCTTTCCTGCTACCCATAGGAACTAAGGAGGTGGTTGAGAGTTAAAAGCCAGGGGGTTTATTTCCAGGAACTGAGGGAGAGTGCACACATATATGTTAAATCCAAAGTGATTTTTAAATACATTAACAATACACAGTGTAATATAAGTGTTAATAAGAGAGCATAGGTGGATGCAGATCAATAATGATGCCACAGCATAAATGTAGGAGTAATATTACAAATTAGAGGACAAAGATACTGGAAAAATAAGTGCTTTTCCAGCAATTGATATCCACATGAAAAAAAAAACAGATCCCTACCTCACACTACACACAAGAAGTTGAAGACATATTTGGGAACAAATGTGAAAGGTTAAACTTAAATATTTAAATAAGAAAATAAAGGAGCATGATACTATGAACTTCATATAAGGAAGACTTTTAGACATATAAAGAACAAAATTTAAATGCTTTAAAATTTATAAGTAAAAAAAAAGAGACATGCCACCAGTTGGAAGAATTTATAAGAATCTAGATACCATCAATAATTTATAAATGCCTCCTATATAGTTAATAATGGTTTTCACTTATGAACAAATCCCACTGAAATACTTCACATGTCTTAAGTTATTAAAAACTCAGAAAAGCTCAACAAGGTAGGTGCTTGTATTAGACTCTTAAGCATAAAAAGACTACAGATATTAAAGATAAAAATTGCCCAAGATCACATGAATAGCCGATATGGGACCTGCACCCAAGTGCCTTAGTTCTAGCACTCTCACTCGAAGCCAACAGTAAAATGGGGACAGGACTGAGGAAAAAGCAAGTCACAGACCACTAACAATGCTGAACACGTGCTAAACTTCAGGGATAACTGGGGTAATGCAGAGGGAAACAACCAACCCATCAAACTGGCAAAGATTTAAAAGGCTAACAGGAGTTGGCACATACAGGGTGAAATAGAAACTGTCATAAACTGACAGTGGGAGTATAAAATGGGCCCAAGCATTTTAGACAACAAATGGAGAGTAATTCTTAAATTTGAAGATACACGTTCCTCTGGTTTAGCAACGTTCATGCTCTGAAAATACTCTTCCACATTTGCCCAGGACACATGCACAAGAACAGTCCTTGCTTGCTGTCTACCAATAAGAGCATGGAAACCATGTAAGCATCCATCAATCAGAGAACAGATGAATGCACTGTAGTCTATCCATGCAATGGAACACTACCAAGTAGGAAAAGAGGAATGAAATCTACATATACACACCCACATGGATAAATCTCAATAACACCGTTGAGAAAAAAAGCATATTTCCGGTATCTCTGTATCTCTGCAAATGTAGTATGACGCTGTGACAAATAATTTTATGTGTCAATTTGACTAGGCCACAGTACACAGATACAGTATTTGGTCAAACATTATTACAGATGTTTTTGTGAAGGTATTCTCTTAGATGAGATTAACATTTAAATCAGTCAACTTTAAGTAAGGCAGATAACCCAAAATGCGCATGGGCCTCATCCAATCAGTTGAAGCCCTTAAGAGAAAAAGACTGCCCACCTTAGAAGTAAAGGGGATTCTGGCTGCAGACTTGAACTCTCCCTTGAGTCTCCAGCCCTGCTGACCTACCCTGCAGATTTTGGACTTGCCAAGCCTCCACTATTGCAGAGGCCAATTCCTTAAAATAAATCTCTCTCTTTTTATATAGACATATTTTTGTTGGTTGTGTTTCTTTGGAGAACACTGAGTAATACAGATGCCAAAGGTGCCAATGTTTAAAACACATAAAGCAGTTCATGGGCAAACACATATATGAATGGCATCCTTAGAAGTGTTCAAGGTAGTGTCCTGCTTAATTCTCAATATGCAGGAATAACAGTCCATATACGACCTTTACAGTACTATAAAGGGATGATTTGAAAAGTTTTATTAACATGCAAGAAGTGCAGGGGACAGGCTTAGACAATTCTGAGAGCTGCATTTAGAGTACATTTCGTTTTTCTAGAAAGTGAATATGCCTCCTTTTCTAGCATAAGAAGATAAGTTGATTTTCCTCAATTATAATTTGAATCACTGGACCAGTTCCAAAAAACTACACAAAAATGCTACACCAAAATAAAAACTCCGCATCAGTCAGTTGATACAATAAATGCGAATTACCAATTTTCCTCAGCTGTAGTTTTTTTATTTTTATTTTGTAACAGCAAATAATTTATTTTCTTATGTGTATTATAATTTACAATGTGTTTTTCTATTATGAATTAGGGGAAAATTTCTGGACCATGTCAGACATCATTCAGGTATGACACTTATATAATTCAATGCATTCTAAGTTATTAAACTACTGTAGGCAGATGCATTGCGGCAGGTTATTTGTTTTTGCATAAAACATGCCAATATTTTAAGGTGAGGTGGCATGGGAGACGCCTGCTATATATTTAAAGTCCTATGAGATTAGGATTCCAAAAGTAACACAAACATTAAATGACACTGATGTACTGACAATCATCTACATTCATGTTCTTCTTTTTGTGCAGAAACTGCTTCTAAAATGTTTTCTAGTGTGCCTTCAAGTATTTTTTTTTTTTAAATACGACTTGGGAAAAACAACTGCTAACTAATTTTAACACCATGTCAATTATGCTAACAAAATTCTAATTGAATTACTTGTAATGTAAATCAGTCTTTCTTTGTGTTGTGTGAGCGCTTGCATGGGTGTAATTATTATACAGGCTGTCAGGTATCAGACACTAACTGTATCATAAACCTATACCGTGGGCTTGCTTGTCCACAGATCTTTTGATATATCTAGCTCTGTCTTCCATAGCTTTGGACAAACTAATGGGGGAAGCACAATTTTCAAGGTACCACAGAGGTAAACCAATGGATTCTCATTATGGAAATGCAGCAGTCTAGAAAGAAGGAAGAGACTGAGTGTTCAGAATTGACTTTTTTAAAGAAATAAGAGATCAGTGGATGGGATTTATGTCACAAGGAATTCAATTAGTTATTTTATTTCAGGCTGATTATATGAGATCCTATGATGAGAAAAAAAAAGAAAACCAAAAAAGAAAAAAAAGAAAACCAAAAAGGAAAAAAAAAAAGAAAACCAAAAGAGATTCTGTACTGCAAGATATAAGAGGAGGCACCTTTAGGGGTGCCAAGGATGTTGTAACTTCAAATGCTGTCAAATGTGGAAACCCCGGCAGAGCACATGTGGACATTTCAGCCCCTCAGCATATAGAATCCCCATGTGGCCTTTACCACTGACATGATCAGTCTCAGCTCTGATGTGGCCATCTCCCTGTAAGCCTTTTGCAGCCTGCCATCCCCCCCGCCTGTGCTCCCAGGCCACTATCTGCACACCTTAGCACAGGTCTCATGAGATCCTCGTGCTGTTCTCTGTGTGCATGCCTCTGAGTGCCTCAAGAAGTGCCTGTTTTCTCTTCCCAGTGTCCAGAGCATCTAACACAGTGTGTGACACAATGCAGGTGACCATGGAAACAAAATAATTCTGTCTTGCAAACTTTCACTCAGATGCTCTTAAGCACTCCTAGTCTGACCTCAGGCTCAGATTCCATATCCCAGTGGAGGAACAGCTACCGAGTAGCACAGGGGAAAACATTCTATGCTTTTTAACTAGACTGCGTATGGCATCTTCTCTTATCAAATTGGATTTGGCCAAAAGAACAACAGCTGAGCACTGGGAAAGTTATTCTTAGTATGCTCACAAAAGAGCAACTCCTCGCCTTCAAAATAGTCCTCTGCATCATGAGTACAGATGCACTCTCCTGCAGAGCCAACTGCTCAGACATCCCTATGGTATCAGTCAGACGCCTTTGGATCCAAGTGACAACAACCCAAAAGATTAAACCATCAAACAGACAACAACAGCAACTGCTCTCTGGGCCCAGGGGACCTTAATCATTGGGCTTCTGTAACCTCTAAAAGAGAGGCTCAGAATGAGTCTCAGAGATCCTCTTTCCACGGTTCCCATCTAAGCTTCTCTTTTAATGTCACCTCTCATCTCTTCTAAGGCCACCTGTGGCTCCAGTTCCTCACTATTAACCACCAGAGATAAATGCAGATCATTCTTTTTGGTTCCAAGCCCAAAAGTTCCAGGGAAGGGCTCCCATGAGCTCGGCTGGGGCAAGGTGCTGAATTCTGGAGTAGTTACTGTCACCAGAAGGTGGGGCACTATGGTTGGTGACCTCTGGAAAAATCACCAGGATCACGCAGCATCAGAAAATGGTTCCCTTTGCAACTACAAGGATCGAGTATAGAGCAACACATTTTCCGGAAGACAAGGAGGTAGCATTCTGGACACATAAACTAAGGAATGTTTACTTCATACTCCTAAAGAGTGGAGAATAGCAGCATTTTTACATGGTTTTACAATAACGATGTGTAGCAATTTCCACTCCCCTCCCTCACCATTAGCAAAGACCCACTCTCTTGCTACATAAGTCTCTAAGTAATTTAAAAGCCTTTGCATTCTCTCTTGAACTAGGTTATAAACCCTGTGAGAACAAAACAGGTTTTTAATTATGCTTATAACTACCTATGAGGTACCTGACGGGATGCTCATCGCATAAGAAGAGCTAAACCTAGCACACATATGATTGTGTTTCTATTTGTAGCTCACACAATGATAGTGCATTTTGTACCCACTTTCAGTTCCAACAAAAAAAGCCTTTGACCATTTCTACCTCTACCATGACTTTTCCTCCCTTAAATACCACTTTTATATTGAGAATTACATTTCATCCATAAATGAGTGACCTCATATGAATAAACACCCATCATTTCATGGAATCTGCTGAACAAATGATCCTGAATGCAACTATAATTTACCTTCAGAGAGAGCTTTTAAAAAGCTATAAAAGAATTATATGAAAAGGTACGTTTCATAGAGAACATCTGTTTTACCCATGATCGGTCCTTTTAAATGATCTCTGAAGTCAACTTGGTGCTTTGGTCTAAGTCTTGTGCTCAGATCCCTCTATCACATTAAAAGAGATGAAGCAAAATCTGAGTCTTTTTAAAAAACTCTGATGGTTTTAACATAAAGTAACCTTCGTTGTTTATTTAACTTCATATAGTCAAGCAGGACACACTGAGCCCCTAAGAAGGGACACGTGCTGGCAGCTGGCTTTGTGAAGTTTAATTAAACCGTTGATTTTAGCAGAGTCCTAGGGAGTTAACACGTCACCTATATTGGAGTCTTCATAGAGGAAATCATGCTACTGGGGAGAGAGGGAAATCAGATACATGAAGAGAAGTGAAGAGAAGTGATCATGGATTAACCATCTTCAAGGAATTGCGGGTCTCCTGGTTACTGCTTGGTGCTGTCCTGCCACTCCCACACTCCTGACTGCGGTCCATATCTACCCTGGGGATTCGTCCACCCATTGGTGCTGTCAACTAAAGGCAACAGCCTAACCTGGGAGCCACTTCTTCCCACAAATCCATTTTCCTTCGAATGTCTCTTTTCTTTTCTTTTTTTTCAATAATATTAAATATATTTTCCCATCATTCTAGGCTAGAAAACTTGAAGTAAATCTGAATTTCCTTCTCACTGTTTAGGTTGAGTCTCCAAATGCCATTGGATTTTTCTCTGCAGTTTTTCTCCTATTCATTGGTCCCAAGTTTGATCCTGTTCCTTCAGTTCACATGAAGTAAATCATTTTCCCAGTTTACTGTGTCAATGTCTGCCACTTCCAATTCCTTACACAATTATTCTCAGATGAGTCTCCCTCATACACACACTTGCACATGACACTCTCCTGCTCAAAGCTCTCAGTGGTTTCCTGTTGCTTTTTAGGGGCAGGGAACTAAACTTAAAGAAAAGAAACTCTGGTCCTTTCTCTCTGGTACCGCCCTATCTCCCCAGATTCTCCTGCCACACTTGCCAAACTAGCCTATTCAGTTTTCTCCAAACGTATCTCTAGCTTTATGACTTAGCTCCCCAAATCTCCCCAGTACCTGATAACATGGAACAGAAAATGCCTGAAACCTGGTACAAAATAGGCAGGCAATAAATGTCTGTGGAATTAATGAAAACATACAGACAAAACATTTATTTCCTGATGTCTTGCAAAACTGTATCATAGCCACATTTCTCTTCAGATTTGCATTTACCATAAATTTTTGCTTGCTATACAAACCAGCTATACAAAGTTTCCCTAAATTTAAAAAAAAAAATTCCACATCCTGACCTATCCACCCCATAGACCCTGCTCCTCCTTTTGAGTTTCTAGCTCAACTCATGGTAGCACTATGTTCGAATCTGCTTGTGAAAACTAGAGACCTCAGAATAATCCTCAGTTCCAAGTTCTCCTGCTTATGATTGAAGAGTTATCTGCATTGCCATGTAATAACGACAATAAAACAACAATAACAAACCTTACATCTATTGAGGATCTACTAAATTATGAGTTGTGTTGTATCTTTGCCCAACTAAAATTCATAAATTGAAGTTCTAGTGCCCAATACCTTAGAATGTGGCCCTTTTTGGACACAGGGCCGTAGTAGATGTATTTAGTTAAGATGAGGTCATACTGGAGTAGGGTGGGCCCCCAATCCAATATTACTGGCTGGAGTCCTTCTAAAAGGAGGGAATTTGGGCCCAGATATTGATATGGTTTGGCTTTGTGTCCCCACCAAAATCTTGTCTCAAATTGTAATCCCCATAATCCCCATGTGTGGAGGGCGGGATGTGGTGGGAGGTAATTGGATCATGGGGGTGGTTTCTCCCGTGCTGTTCTCATGATAGTGAGTGAATTCTCACAAGATTTGATGGTTTTATAAGTGTTTGACAGTTCCTCCTTCACACACTCTCTCTTGCCTGCCGCCATGTAAGACGTACTGGCTTCCCTTTCTGCCATGATTGTAAGTTTCCTGAAGCCTCCCCAGCCATGCAGAACTGTGAGTCCATTAAACCTCTTTTCTTTATAAATTACCCAGTTTGGGGCAGTTCTTTATAGCAGTGTGAGAACAGACTAATACACACATACTCAGGGAGAATACCATGTGAAGGCTGGGTGATATTGCCACAGCCCAGGAACTGCCATAAGCCAGCAGAGGCCTGGAAGAGACCCTTTCCTAGAGCTTTCAGAGGGAATCTGGCCCTGCCAACACCTTGATCTCAGACTTCCAGCATCCAGAGCTGTGAGACAATCAATTTCTATTGTTTAAATCCTTTGGAAGCCCTTAGAAACTCATACACCAAGCATCAGCCAATGTGCTAAAATCCTTCGCAAACTTAGAGTTATTTAATGCTCACAATGACTCTGAAGTCATCTAGAGTTAGAGATTCATATAATTATTATGCCATTATACAGCTGTGCAAACAAAGGCTGGCTTAGAAGTTAAGCACCTAGTTCAAGGTCACTCAGATAAGCTCAGCTATTTATCAATAGCAGAGCAAACCAAAACATCTGTGATTAGAAAGCCCAAGTTCATACACACTAAACTCCAGGCCTCTCCTGATACATTTCCAAGCAGGGACAATGTTATACAGGTGACCCTCATACAATTCCAGGGCATAATACTGTAGAATTTCCACTTAAGATATTCCCTTAAGGTGCTCTTTGGAAATAGAAACTTGAACATAATTCATTTCATTTTAGGTGAGATTGTGTTCACAAAAAGATATCCAAGGGGAACTTATTTTTATCTAATTTATCAGATGTGACATTTAAAATAAAATAACTCATAAACAAAGCTAACATGCTCCACTGCACATTTTTACTGTTTCTTTTATAATGCAAACATGGTATTACCCTTGTTAAAAGAAATTAAAATTGTAGCATCACACAGTGCACAAATAACAAAAATTACATTCTAAAAACATTTCGTTCACAGTTTATATTTATTCTTAATATGTGTAGAGCAACTGAATGAAAAAAGCATTCAACAGCCCCGACATTCCTTTGCTATTTCAAACAGTGGACTTATGTAAACTAATAAACACAGAATACAACCACCTTTTGTTTAAGCATTAACCACAGGCAAAAAAGACTCCAAGAAATGTGCCCACATTTCTTGGAGTCTTTTTTGCCTGTGGTTAATGCTTAAATATATATGTATATATATTTCCTAAGGCAAAGTTGTGAGTTGTGAGTTTTACTAAATTATGCCTGTGTATTGGAAGCAATAATAGAACCAGCCCAGCCCAGAGCTGGTCTAGAGCAACAGTTCTCAGAGTCTCAAAGTTTGGTTCAGGAACCCCAGGACTGCCTTCCAGGAACCCACAAGATGAGGACATTTTGCGTAATTATAGTAAGCCATGATCTGCCCTTTCAATTTTCTTGACATTTGCACTGAAGCTGCAGGAGCACTGGTGGGTAAAACTGGTGCTTGAGCATGAATCCAGCCAGTGACATCAACTCGTACATATAGTTTCACTGTCACAATCTCAAAAAAAAAAAAAAAACAAAGCCAGTTCCAATTAAGAATGTCCTTGATGTCGCAGTAAAAATGATTAATTTTATGAAATCTTGATCCTCAAATGCATGCCTTTTTAGTATTTGGGTGATAAAATGGAATACACATAAAGCCCATCTGTTTCCAATGGTTCTCTCCCAGAAAAACACTAATGTGCTGAGTTGTGAAATGAACTAGCCACTTTTTCATGGGACATGGTTATTCAGTCTTGGGTATTTGCAAGTGTTTTTCTTGAAAAGGGAAAAAGCAAGCTCCTCGCTTTATGGAAATCAACTAACCATATTTGTTACCAATAACAAATATGATAAAGTTCAAGCTTTCATGCAAATATAGAATGTTGGAAAACTTACATCCAACACTTTAAGCTTGACAGTTTCAATAAAATACTGGCAAACTGAATCCAGCAGCACATCAAAAAGCTTATCCACCATGATCAAGTCGGCTTCATCCCTGGGATGCAAGGCTGGTTCAACATACGCAAATCAATAAACGTAATCCAGCATATAAACAGAACCAGTGACAAAAACCACATGATTATCTCAATAGATGCAGAAAAGGCCTTTGACAAAATTCAACAACCCTTCATGCTAAAAACTCTCAATAAAGTAGGTACTGATGGACGTATCTCAAAATAATAAGAGCTATCTATGACAAACCCGCAGCCAATATCATACTGAATGGGCAAAAACTGGAAGCATTCCCTTTGAAAACTGGCACAAGACAAGGATGCCCTCTCTCACCACTCCTATTCAACATAGTGTTGGAAGTTCTGGCCAGGGCAATCAGGCAGGAGAAGGAAATAAAGGGTATTCAAGTAGGAAAAGACGAAGTCAAATTGTCCCTGTTTGCAGATGACATGACTATATATCTAGAAAACCCCACTGTCTCCGCCCAAAATCTCCTTAAGCTGATAGGCAACTTCAGCAAAGTCTCAGGATACAAAATCAATGTGCAAAAATCACAAGCATTCTTATACACCAATAAAAGACAAACAAAGAGCCAAATCATGAGTGAACTCCCATTCACAATTGCTTCAAAGAGAATAAAATACCTACGAATCCACCTTACAAGGGACGTGAAGGACCTCTTCAAGGAGAACTACAAACCACTGCTCGATGAAATAAAAGAGGATACAAACAAATGGAAGAACATTCCGTGTTCATGGGTAGGAAGAATCAATATCGTGAAAATGGCCATACTGCCCAAGGTAATTTATAGATTCAATGCCATCCCCATCAAGCTACCAATGACTTTCTTCACAGAATTGGAAAAAACTACTTTAAAGTTTGTATGGAACCAAAAAAGAGCCCGCATTGCCAAGTCAATCCTAAGCTAAAAGAACAAAGCTGGAGGCATCACGCTACCTGACTTCAAAATATACTACAAGGCTACAGTAACCAAAACAGCATGGTACTGGTACCAAAACAGAGATATAGACAAATGGAACAGAACAGAGCCCTCAGAAATACTGCTGCATATCTACAACTATCTGATCTTTGACAAACCTGACAAAAACAAGAAATGGGGAAAGGATTCCCTATTTAATAAACTGTGCTGGGAAAACTGCCTAGCCATATGTAGAAAGCTGAAACTGGATCCCTTCCTTACACTTTATACAAAAATTAATTCAAGATGCATTAAAGACTTACGTGTTAGACCTAAAGCCATAAAAACCCTAGAAGAAAACCTAGGCAATACCATTCAGGACATAGGCATGGGCAAGGACTTCATGTCTGAAACACCAAAAGCAATGGCAACAAAAGCCAAAATTGACAAATGGGAACTAATTAAACTAAAGAGCTTCTGCACAGCAAAAGAAACTACCATCAGAGTGAACAGGCAACCTACAGAATGGGAGAAAATTTTTGCAATCTACTCATCTGACAAGTACTAATATCCAGAATCTACAATGAACTCAAACAAATTTACAAGAAAAAAACAAGCAACCCCATCAACAAGTGGTTGAAGGATATGAACAGACACTTCTCAAAAGAAGACATTTATGCAGCCAAAAAACACATGAAAAAATGCTCACCATCACTGGCCATCAGAGAAATGCAAATCAAAACCACAATGAGATACCATCTCACACCAGTTAGAATGGTGATCATTAAAAAGTCAGGAAACAACAGGTGCTGGAGAGGATGTGGAGAAAAAGGAACACTTTTACACTGTTGGTGGGACTGTAAACTAGTTCAACCATTGTGGAAGTCAGTGCGGCAATTCCTCAGTGATCTAGAACTAGAAATACCATTTGACCCAGCCATCCCATTACTGGGTATATACCCAAAAGATTATAAAACATGCTGCTATAAAGACACATGCACACGTATGTTTACTGCGGCACTATTCACAATAGCAAAGACTTGGAACCAACCCAAATGTCCAACAATGATAGACTGGATTAAGAAAATGTGGCACATATACACCATGGAATACTATGCAGCCATAAAAAATGATGAGTTCATGTCCTTTGTAGGGACAAGGATGAGGCTGGAAACCATCATTCTCAGCAAACTATCGCAAGGACAAAAAAGCAAACTCTGCATGTTCTCACTCATAGGTGGGAATTGAACAATGAGAACACATGGACACAGGAAGGGGAACATCACACATGGGGGCCTGTTGTGGCATGGGGGGAGTGGGGAGGGATAGCATTAGGAGATATACCTAATGTTAAATGACGAGTTAATGGGCGCAGCACACCAACATGGCACGTGTATACATATGTAACAAACCTGCACGTTGTGCACATGTACCCTAAAACTTAAAGTATAATAAAAAAAAGAAAGTTTCTCAGTACTTAAAGACTTTCTGATGTGATCATTAATAATATTAATGAATATGACTTTAAAATACATTGTATAATGAACTGTGTCAACATTTAGAAGATCTGCAAGAAAGTCAGCCCAGTATGTGCCAACATCACAGATGTTCATAAAAGACAAATTTACAACATTCAAGGTCCATTCAAGGATTTGAAGTTACACAGTACAAAAAAGTTCATTGCTATATTTTTAAATTCCATATTTCAACTAACCTTTAAGGAACTAAAACTTGTAGAGTTTTGGTATAGTATCAAATAATAACCACAATTGTCTAAAAAGCTTTGAAAATATTTCTCCCTTTTCCAACTTTGCATCTGTGTGTAGCCAGATCTTCTTGATATACTTCTAACAAAACGTATTACCACAGACAGAATACAGAGACAGATATGAGAATGCAGCTGTCTTCCACAGAGCTGGTCATTAAAGACATTTGCAAAATTATAAAATAATGTTATTCTTCTTATATTGGAAAACATAGTCATTTTAAATAAAATATTTACATCAATACATAAATGGTTTATGATCATAACTCTAAATGAATACTTAAAGGAGATATTAAATTAAGCATTTAAACATTTTTAAATTTTAATATTAAATACAGTAAATATTAAGAGATGTAACTCATAGTAAAAAGCTCTTTGAGGGCTTCCATAATTTTTAAGAGTGTAAGGGAGGTCAGGAGGCAAAAAAGGTCAAGAACCTCTATCTTAGAGAGTTTGGACAGGAGGAGTGGGGTGACTAAGCTATGAACCAACATATTCACGAGTTCGGATTTTATCCTAGGATGCAAAAATCTATTCCACCCACCATTGTCTAACAAATTTCCATATCTTTAGTTATTTTCACCTCAAAAAAGTGACAAGACAAAATGAAAATACCATCATCCTAATGTTAAAGTAAAAATTAGCACCTTCAATATTGGGCTAATAGAGTACAACAGGGGTGAGCACAGCCCTGAAATGTCCTATGTCCTGTTTCTCTGCTTTCTCTTAATGACATCACATTTCAAAGTTAGTAAATTGTACATAAGGAACCATGCCAGTGTAACTGCACCTAGACATTAAAACTTTACGCCCTATGAAAACGATGACAATTTTTAAGTGACAACAAAATCCTCAGGAAATAAATGGCTGTCTTTTATTTAGTTGTTTCTTTTTTCTTTTGAGACAGGGTCTTGCTCTGTCACCCAGGCTGGAGGCACAATCACAGCTCACTGCAACCTCAGACTCCAGGGTTCAAGTGTTCCTCCCACCTCAGCCCCCTGAGTAACTGGGACTACAGGTATGCACCACCATGCTGGGCCATTTTATGTATTTTTTGTAGAGATGGGGACTTGCTATGTTGCTCAGGCTGGTCTTGAACTCCTGGCCTCAAGTGATCCTCCCACCTTGGCCTCCCAAAGTTCTGGAATTACAGGTGTGAGCCACTGCTCCCAGCCATCTTTTGTTTTATAACAATGCTAAAGCTTAGGAGTGAATGTATTAATCTGAAGAGTAAAATTCCTTTTCTCCCAAACCCTTTCTATTTTGCTTTTAAAATGCCTAAATCATTGGATTTTCTCTCATTTAGTTATGTCTCTCATTGAGCTAGTTCTATTACTTCTATGATCTTGGTTTCTGATGACTGCATCTACAAACATGTTTCCTAAGAATTTAAATGGTTCATGCACTGCCTGTATAGAAATGCACAGTCAGTATAGAAATGTGGCGTGTAGCACGGGCTATAGCTACAATCCCAGACTCCACCATTCACAGTCTTGGGATGCTGAGCAAGTTACATATGTCGGTTTGCCCCAGTTTCCTTAGATACAAAATGGGAGTAGTGATAGTACCTCAGAGGGTTTTTGTAAGAATTAAAATGATTTATACTTGGTAAACACTTTAGAACAATGCGTAATGATTGGTGGTGAATTATTATTATTATAATATAGCTGGTAAATATATTTACTTGGGTCACCTTTTTATTCCACTGTATAGAAACCCTTGTGGTACAAACACATAAATGCTCACTCTGGATATGAGTTACACAGAAGCTATTTGGAGAACTATTTTATTAGATAATAAAATGATAGTGACGCATATCAGTCACCTCTTTAGGCTACCTTCCCACTCACCTCTCTTCTTAACTTTAGTGAGGATCTGTTTTGTTTTCCTAGCTGTTCTTTGGTTTTGGACTGGCTTTTCTTCACGGTTTGGTCTAAATTTACCACTTCGATGTCCCACTTGTGGAGGTTTAGCTACCATTTGTGTATCTGTCATAGGCAAGCATATGTCAAACTCTTTGGTATATACTCTCTCAACAAGCTGAGACCTCGTTACTGCCATCGCCTTTTACCAGAAGAAACAAACTCTTAGAAGAGTCTCACCCAAGGTTACAAAGCTCAAAGTAGCAGAGTCAAGAGAGGAGTGGAGCTCTTGACTCCCAATTTCACATGCATCAAGGAGGCAGGCTTGCATGAGGTACACCCAAGGAGCAGCAGCCTCTCCCGTTCCCACCTCTCACAGGCCCTCTGAGGGTGTTTCTATTCTATCGCTCATCACCTTGACAGAAACCTCTGGAGAAGCTATGGTCATCTACTAGCAGGATCTGTGGGTCGTCTAAGGTAGAAACATGTAGAATGGCCATGTTATTCCTCCCCTCCGTGAAACTTTCCTGCCAAGGTGTGTCTGATTTTTGCTGAGTGTGTTCCCAGGCTAAGGATGCTGAGAACAAGTGCAAAACCATAACAGGATGCTGGGAGCCTGGGCCAGCCACAAAGAAGGCCTTGACATTTGCAGATCTGAAGTCTTGGACCTTCAGACTGCTCGGATCCTTAAATAACCAGGGGCTGGTAAGGGAGATCTGGCAAAGGCAGGTAGCACCAGTGTGCCTCAGTGCTCTGATATGCCATGTAGAAACACGGCCACTTATGTGTGCTAATTGATGGGCATGAAACATACATGTGAATACATTACACATGATCCTCTCAAAAGAAATGGGCAGCTTTCAGGGCTATTGTATTCATTTATATACATTTAGGTTTGAAGATCATAAGAGCCTCTGGGGGTGCAGGGACTCCATTTCAGGAGAGACTTCTAAGTTGCCCACATCCATGACACCATCAATCCTGTGGTTAACCCTCAGATCCCTTCCATGGGGAACGGATAGGATTTCCTGCTCTTAGGAAAAGAGACCAGGTTTGGTCTCCAGCAGAAACAGCTAGGAGAGTGGCCTGGAGAAGGGAATGAGGATAAGAACCAACCCCTCCTCCACTGAAAAACAGGGTAGGCAGAGGACACCCAAGGGAACTTCACAGCCTGGAAGGTCCAAGCAAAGGAAACTATTCTGGTGGCCCTCTGGTCCTCAATGGGCCTGGTCACCCCAGAAATGCCTATCACTCAGGCCTTTGCAATCCCTCAAGTCGGGTCCAGCTTCCTTGTCAGGGCTCCTTGTCCCCCAGATGTTCTGCCATCTCCACCTCCTAGTGTGAATAACAGGCCTGGGGCCCCAGTGACTACAGATCCGAAGTCCTTCCCACCCTCCCCACACACAGTTCCCAGATTTAGCAAGTAATACAGGACACCCAGTTAAATTTGCATTTTAGACAAACAACTTTTTTTTTTTTTTAAGTGAAAGTATGTTCCAGGCAATATTTGGAACTTATATACTTATACTAAAAATTTACCCGTTGTTTATCTGAAGTTCAAATGTGGCTGGACATCTTGTATTTTATCTGGCTACCTTAGACCCTCTCCATGACGAGCTAAGCCACTACTCTTTTGAGCACCCCCAGCCTCCACTCCCATCCCCTCAAGGGTGCCGCCTTTTGGAAACAGGAAGTAGAAAGGGAAGATGTCTTCAGAACACGGGCCTGCAGCACAACCTTCTCCTGGGATCAGAGGGCACAATCTGACACTGATGGGGAAGATACTGATGGGGAAGAAAACAAAACAGAATGAAACAAGAACTGGTATCTCAGTGTGTGGTCTCCCCTTCTGCTTTCTTTTTTGAGACGGAGTCTGGGCTGTTGCATGGGCTGGGCTGGGCTGGGCTGGAGTGCAGTGGCCCTATCTCGGCTCATTGCAACCTCCACCTCTGGGGTTCAAGCAATTCTCCTATGTCAGCCTCCCAAGTAGCTGGGATTACAGGCACCTGCCACCATGCCCAGCTAATTTTTTTGTATTTTTAGTAGAGATAGGGTTTCACTATGTTGGCCAGGCTGGTCTCGGACTCCTGACCTCGTGAGTTGCCCGCCTCTGCCTCCCAAAGTGCTGGGATTACAGTCATGAGCCACCGCGCCCGGCCCCCATCTGCTTTCTTACTCTAGGGTCCAGCAGACAGGAAACATCTGGAATGCCCTCAGCTGGAGTCACTGAAATGAACTAGGGAAAAAACAAAGGAGATTCCAACGTGTGTGTGTGATTCCAACACTATGTGGCAGGGTGTGCCATGAAGGAACTGTATCATGTTTTAGACTTAAGACGAACAACCACACATAGTGCGTTTTTGGAGAACTTCATCAAGCTTTACAATCTTTCTTGTTGTTTCTCTCCAATGACCCCCAAAATATCAAACATTATTTTCTTCCCCTGAAGTTTCATTGTTGAGAGAGAAGAAATTACATTTTAAAATTCGTATTCTTCACTCAGCATTGCAATATAAGGACGGTTTGCAAGCAGACAGGGAATGGGTGAAAACATATTTTGTGTTTTAATCTTAAGACATACATTTTTATACTAAAGTCACATACTACATTTCGATCACAAGCACAGAAATTCTGTTCTTTTTTGCCCCCTCCCACCCTGGGGGAAAAATAGATTCAAATTTTTGGAGACTTAATTGCCCTAAACTTTCATCTTTATGATGGAAATGACATTTTTCCTGGAAGATGGAACTTGGCCCTTCACTGCTCCATGACTTTCTCGGACTGAGTTGTGTCCTTGAGGAAGAGGGAGTGGGTAAACTGGAGGAGGGTGGGGGTCCTGAGAAGGAATGTGGGCAACTGGGAGTTGGATCCTTGGCACACCATGAGCTGGAGCTGAGAGGTAACTGTCGAATCAGAAACCTGTACCAAATTTGCTTTCCTTGACTTGTGCTTCTGGCTTTTTCTTCGTAATTAATTGATATCTGCCCTCTTTGCTTTTGAATACAATTCTTCCCCTAAGGTTGGCTCTTCCCATCAGTACTGAGAGGAAGGAAAGAAGGGAAGCGGGCTTGTGTTTTTCAGAGTAAGTGGTGCTCTCTGGGCAGCTGAGAATGACAGCCACTCCCAATCAGGAAGACCGCGGGGACAGGGAGAGATCCAGGGAATCAGAGGGGATGTTCCTCCAGAGTCTTGCACACCTGGAGACAGCTCTTACCGGGGAGTCCTCTTAGCTGAAGTCTCGGAGGGATGTGTCATCTTTCAACATAGGAAGTTATTCTCCTTTATCCCCCAGTCTGTTCCTTGTGCTACTTCCTTACAAGGGGCCACAGAAGAGAGAAAAGGGGTGATGCCAAAGGAACGCAACAAACCCGGTAAATGCCGCATGTGGGATTAAGAATTGAGCACCTCAGTTTAGGTGTGGTTTAGAGAAAGGCAGTGAAGAGAAAAAGATGCCTTCCCCAGGTCTCCAGTGATGCTTCACCTGCTCTCCACTGTCAGGTAATGGAGAAGAAACCATGCTGAGGAGTCACAGGACAATTTCAAGATGTGACCATGGCTTCCCAGCTCTGAGAAGCTGCCTCTGACTGATGATAGCAGCTGGCAGGAAAATGATCTCCTGGGCAAATAGAGGATGTAAATAAATGTTCAGCATATGCCACTTTGGTTATGAGGCAATGCCTGGTAGGTTTCACAATGTAGAGGGAAGTTAGGAGGAGGAGGACCATTTCAGATACCCTTTCTCCTCCAAGAAACCTCGCGTCCTTCCTCCTTTTTGCCTACTGCCCCAGAGTTATCCCAGAGTGTTCAGACCCACAGGCATAGCCAGACTTTGAGCCCTGGGTTAACTTGCTGTCTTAATCAGTCACTCCTCAGCACATGGTGCCTCCTATATGTAATGTAATGTTCCAAGTATGTCTTTTCTCCTTAAGACTGTGAACATAATCAAGCCACGGGTTGCCTCAGAAACTTCCTTTCTCTTCCACTCAACACTTAGTCCAGTACCTGGCATTTGGCAGCTTCTCGAAAATACAGCTAAACTGAATTCTAGCTTGGTGTTTGAGATATAAATTCAGTCTCTGATGAGAAAAAGACAATGCTCTTGACCTTAGGAAAAAGTTAATTCCTAATTATTCATTTCTGTCAGTACAGGTTGCTCATGGAACTCACAAGGGGCAGCCTAACACGGTAGTTATGCTATGGTTTCTGCACGCAGATGGCCTTGTTGAATTCAGACCTCCTCACACTTTCTCTATGGCCCTGGGTAAGTCACCCATTGGCTTTGGCCTCAGTTTCCTCCTTCTATAAAACATAGATGATACTATTACTCCTTTCACTGGGTTGCTGAGGCCTTAGTGATGTAATGGATGCAAACTGCTGAAGCGGATGCCTGGCACAGACTTCACCTTCAATGAATGTAGGCCATCAGTATTTATCTGCTGACCATAATGACCTGATCACTATTCCTTCTTCATTCAGGAAGAGCTCCAAGACATAGATTTCTCCTGGTGCTTTTTGATTCCATGAGGAGGAAGTATGTGGTAATGGGAAACCAACCCAGCTGTTTCCACTTTGTTCAGTAGCCTTGATTAGTTACTGAGGGTATCTTGAATCTCAGTCTTCATTCTAAAATGAAGATAACGTTGATATGGTTTGGCTGTGTCCCCACCCAAATCTCATCTTGAATTGTAGCTCCCATAATTCCCACATGTTGTGGGAGGGACCTGGTGGGAGATAACTGAATCATGGGGGCGGTTTCCCCCATACTGTTCTCATGATAGTGAATAAGTCTCAGGAGATCTGATGGTTTTATAAGGAAAAACCCCTTTCGCTTGGTTCTCATTCTCTCTCTTGCCTGCCGCCATGTAAGAGGTGGCTTTCACCTTCCACCGTGATTGTGAGGCCTCCCCAGCCACGTGGAACTGTGAGTCCATTAAATCTCTTTTTCTTTATAAATTACCCAGTCTTGAGTATGTCTTTATCAGCAGCATGAAGGGTATGTCTTTATCAGCAGCATGAAAACAGACTAATACAAATGCTATCTGACTTATTGGTTGTTGAGGATTAATACTGTATTAAAATACTTTGTGAAATGTTGCACAAACCGTTTCATTATTTTTTATTTGGCCTTTTGTATACATAAATGCATTACACACGGACACACCACACACACACACACACACACTCTTTCTCTCTCTCTTTTGTATACATTAATGTATTACACACAGGCACACCACACACACTTACACACACACACAAACTCTCTCTCCCCCATGCATAACACTACTTCCTCCCTCAATGGTGCTCAGCAATGCATTTCATTCCTAGATGTATCCAGGTTTTTGCAGACCTGAAACTTGTATAATAATTTTTGGTCCCTCTAAAAAATATAAAACTACAAATATAAAATCAGGTTTTGTTTTTTATTAAACTGAGATCAGGGACAAGGAACAGTGGTGGGAGGGATTTTGTTCCTTGCAAGAAAGGGGCCAGGGGTTTCCACTCTCAGTCTAGCCACGTGGCAGCCCACTTGGTTATACCACCCTTTTCTTCCAACCACCTTGTCCTGACACAACTGTGCTCTCGGCAGAGAGTCTGTTTCTTCCTGGCCACTGTGCTCAGAGTTCAGTCAGCTTCTTTTCCTCCTTTTCCAACATGTTTTGTGCATCCACCTGTTCTCTCCATCTGCTGGGAATCTCCACGTGTTTCCCACTAGTCTAAGCTCAATGCGGAAAAGAACCGAGTTTAAGAAGCACGTTATCCCAAGTTCCTTGCAGCATGGAGGGTTTATGTGCTTCCTTGCTTGCTTGCTTGCTTGCTGAATGAATGCATCTCGGCATTGCATCCACTGAGCCACCAGGCAGCAGTCTGAGAAATGCCTGTGGTCACTGCGCTTGCATCTCCCAGTCACCACTCTCACTGCCTTGCTCCCTTCAGAGGTGGTGTCTTACCAGGTGCTAATGTAGCTCTTACTACACACAAAACATTGTTCTGAGCGCCTTTCAAATACAAACTCCTTTCATCTTAAGCACCACCCGACAGGGCAGGTACTATTACCATCTCCGTTTGACAGATGAGGAACCTGGCACAGGAAGCATTTAAGTGGATTCCCCAGGATCGCCCCACTGTCAGGAGCAGAGTCAGAATGGGCCTCAGCATCAGGCTCCCAATCCTGGCTTCTAACTGCTGCGCTCTGCCCTTCTCTCTCCCCACCTCCCCACTCCAGTGCCTTTGGTCATGCCACTGCAGCTTTCAGGCCAATACTGGATTAGCCTCTTAGTGTTCTTGTCCCTGCAGCCATTTCCCCAGGCAGCAATTCCATGTGCCCTCACTGATGTAGGTGGCTCTTGTGTCATTTGTCACATCCTATTGAATTGTTTATGCATCTTGTTCACACTCACAGCACCCTCCCTCTCACACGTCCTCCTTATAAAAATGTCCCTCAGTGTCTGCTATGAGCCAGGTGCAGACTTAAGTGACAGGGCTGCTACGGGAAATAAAAAATTAACAAGGAGCACCTGCCTCTTAATGCACAGTAACAAACTATGTTAAGTGTCAGGAAGGAAAGGTTAAGGATGCCAGGAAGGCTTTTAATAAATAACCTGACTTAGATGGGCAGGTGGTGCTGAGGATTCAGAACGTGTTCTTCTCGAGCGCATCTGAGAGATGAGTAGGGTTGGCCAAGTGAGAAACATGGGAGAATGTCCTAGGCAGAGGGATGGCCCCCGAGGAAGGCCTTGCAGTGGAAACAAGTTTGGCCCATTAAAAGGTATTGCACGGAGGTCTATACAAATGGCTTACCATATGCAAGAGAAACAGTGATGGGACATGAGGGTAGGCACTAGACCCATCCCAGGTCTTAAGAGAGTTTTTGAAGACTTTATACTTGTTCTTAAATGTAACAGGAAGACAGTGAAGAATGTGAGCAGGGGAGTAGCACTCTGATTTCCATAAATGAAGGATTTATATTCTCTTTGCTGTGAGAAGAACTGATTAGAAGAAAGCAAGACTGAAAGTGCGGAGAAGCCAGTTAGGAGGCTCTGACAATAGAAGAGGCAAGAGATGATGCTGGCTTAGGATGTGCGTGTGGAGGTGCAGGCTGAAGATAAACAGATTCATGATATATTTTGGGGGGATGTTTGAAAATACAGTTGTTCTTAAGTATTTGCCATGTGAATTAAAGATTGGTCTATTTGCTTCACTTATCCCTTCTTTCTTTGCAACAAATTAAAAGTTGCAAGCTGCTTCCATCAAGGCTGTTAGAACATCTTTTGGGACAACTTAGGAAAACAGGCTCCAGGAGCTATCATGGGGTGGATCCGAGGATGTCTGCTTTTCTATAGCCATTTTCAGTTGAAAAGATACTGAAATCATCTTATCATCCATTCAACTAAGAGTCAAGTTATTTGTCATTCTGTTGCCTTGGAAACAAAAAGACTTTTGCTTTCTTGATCTGCTGTTTTTTCAAAACTTACAGGTTGACCTTGGGGACTGTTATGCAAGGCCCAACTATCTTTAAACTTTATGGATGTGCTTTTATCCACACATATGCATAGGAATGTCTGATGCTTTGATCTTTCACCATGTTGTTGAGTCAAGATGCCAAAATGCCTCAAAGGTTTGGCTTGCACTGCGTCCAAATGAAAAGGCAGAGAGAATGAAGTGTGATCTTAAATTCATACAATTCAGTGTGCTGTCCTTAGTGACAACTCCCTCATTCTGCCTCAAAACAGAGGACTGACACCTCTGCTCGCACTGTGCTTCCTTTTTGTGTGTCCCTGCGGGAGCATGCTCATGGTCTCAGTGCAGGGTTCCTCTCCACAACCTGGGGTTGTTACCAACATCCTAGGGGTGCAGGTTGAAGGGACCTCTGTCTTTCAGAGTGGCCCCCTGAGGTGGCCATGGGCTTAGTTAAATGAGGCTACTTTGCTCAAAGTGTGATCCCAAAGCCTTTTTTTTTTTCTGAATTACCTTCAGAGTCATTTATCAGTCTCTAAGAACAAGTTAGTTTTACTGCTATAGTAATTCTTTCCACATCCCATACCCAGAAATGTTTCCATCCCTTCTTTCTCTGCTCCTGAATCAGTGATCAAGTGAGGGTAGATCAGGCTATGCCTGTGAGATAATATCCAAACCACAAAGGTAGAGTAGTGTGTGTGTGTGTGTGTGTGTGTGTGTGTGTGTGTGTGTACACAAGGGAATCGTCACAGGGCGCAATACACAGGGGCACTAGGGGAAGCAACCTGGTAGGAGGAAGCCTTCTATTCTCAGCAGGAGACAGCAAGGCAAGGCCTGCTTTGGAGACTTCTTGTAAAAATATGACAGGGGCCAAGGGGCTGAAGAAAGTTTCGCTTGCTGAACAATGCCTATATTTTAAAATAACCTCTCACTAGTAATAATTTGTATCATATTATCTCAGTATCTAAAGGGATCATCTTATGCTCATTTTAACTGGGGCTCATGAAACAATTTTCTATAAGAAAAACTTGGTTTCATAAGAAAATATTAGTCTAATGATGAAAAAAGTATCAATTATAGAAGATTTTCAAGACAAACGAAACTTATTACTTTTAAGGGCAAACATGCATTATATTAGACTCATAGTGCTGCCTGTTAAAAGTCCTGCTTTAGTTACTGCATAATTATTGATTGTTATGGGCTGAATGTTGGTGTCCCTGCTCAAATTCATTGTTGAAATCCTAATTCCTAAGGGGATGGTGTGAGAAGATGAGGACTTTGGGAGGTGATTAGGTTATGAGAGTAGACCACTCATGAAGGTAGACAGTGCCCTTATAAAACAGATCCGAGAGAGTTAGCCATTCTCTTTCCACCATGTGAGGACACAGCAAAGACTGCTGTCCCTGAGCCAGTACACTGGCCCTCACCACACAACGAACGTGCTGCTGTCTTGCTCTCAGACTTCCCAGCCTCCAGAACTGTGAAAAATAAATTTATCTTGTTTGTAAGGCACCCAGTTTGTGGCATTTTGTTACAGCAGCCCAACTGGGCTGGGACAGTGTTTTAAATTGTATGCCTAAGTATGGTCAGCCTCTGCTTAGATTATAATTACTTTTTTTTTTTTTTAAAGCAAGCTATCTATTCAATTTGCAAACAGGCTCTTAATGTATCACATAGTGATTTAGAAACAAGGCCAGCAAACTTTCTCTGTAAATAACTGGATAGTAAATATTTTAGGCTTTGGAAACAGTCTCTCACAACTAGCCAGCTCTGCTGTTACAGTGCTGCAAAAGCAGCCATAGAATAACAAATAGCATGGCAATAAAACTTTATTTACAAAAAAAACAACAACAACCAAAAACACAGGTTGTGGGCCAGATTTGTCCAGCAGTCTGTAGCTTGCCAATCCTGATTTGGGGAAAGTAGTGGGTTCACTTCCCCTAACGTTCCACTAATCACAAACTCAAAATTAGTGATGAACTACACAAAACTTGAAGTCTATTAATTGTTTAAATGTGTTTTGGTTTGATTTTTTATTTTTAAACATAAACTTACCTTCGTTCAGGGCAAAAGTAATCAGAAGCAATGAATACTGATGCAAATCCAGACAACATTTTTAATGGCTTGGACCTTTCCATTCAGATGTACCACAGTCTATCTGTATTAGTCCTTTCTCATACTGCTATAAAGAACTACCTGAGACTGGGTAATTTATAAAAAAGAGGTTTACTCAGCTCACAGTTCCACAGAGTATACAGAAAGCATGGCTGGGGAGGCCTCGGCAGAAGGCGAAGGGGAAGCAGGCACGTCTTACATGGTAGGAGCACGAGGAAGAGGGCAAAGGGGAACGTGGCACACACTTTTAAACAACCAGGTCTTGTGAAAACTCACTCACTGTCATGAGAACAGCAAGGGGGAAATCAAACTTCGTGATCCAATCACCTCTCACCAGTCCTGTCTTCCAACATTGGGGATTCGAATTTGACATGAGATTTGGGCAGGGACACAAATTGAAACCATATCATCAGCACCCGCACAGAGTTCTCAATGGGGCACTGCCTAGTGGAGCTGTGAAAAGAGGGCCACTGTCCTCCAGACCCCAGAATGGTAGATCCACTGATAGCTTGCACTGTGCACCTGGAAAAGTCACAGGCACTCAACGCCAGCCCATGAAAGCAGCTGAGGGGGCTGTACCCTGCAGAGCCACAGGGGCAGAGCTCCCCAAGGCTTTGGGAGCCCACCCCTTGTATCAGTGTGGCCTGCATGTGAGACATGGAGTCAAAGGAGATTATTTTGGAGTTTTAAGATTTAATGCCTCCCCTGCTGGGTTGTAAACTTGAATGGAGCCTGTAGCCCTTTTGTTTAGACTGATTTCTCCCTTTTGAAACAGGTGTATTTACCCAACAGCTGTACCTGCACTGGATCTTGGAAGTAACTAACTTGGTTCTGATTTTTCAGGCTCATCCATGGAAAGGACTTGCATTGTCTCAGATGAGACTCTGGACTGAGGACTTTTGCGTAAATACTGAAATGAGTTAAGACTTGGGGGACTGTTGAGAAGGGATGATTGTATTTTGCTATGTGAGAAGGACATGAGATTTGGGAGGGGTCGGGGCAGAATGATATCGTTTGGATTTGTGTCGTTGCTCAAAATCTTGTGTCAAATTGTAATTCACAGTGTTGGAGGAGGGGCTTGCTGGGAGGTGATTGGATCATGGGGGCAGATTTCCCCCCTGCTTCTCTAGTGATAATCATTGAGTTCTCATGTGTGGCACCTTCCCCTTTGCCCTCTTCCTTCTTTTCCTGCCATGTAAGATGTGCCTGCTTCCCCTCTGCCTTCTGCCATTATTGTAAGTTTCCTGGGGCCTCCCCAGCCCTGCTTCCTATACAGCCTGCAGAACTGTGAGCCAATTAAACCTCTTTGCTTTATAAGTTACTCTATCTCAGGTAGTTTTTTTTTGTTTGTTTGTTTTAGCAATGACAGAATGGACTAATATACTATCTACATATGTCTTTATTATTTAACAAGTATTTGGTCCCTTCCAATGGGCTAGGTCCTGGGCTAGGCAGTGGCTAGGGAGAAATAAATAAAAACAGCCTCTCACAGAGTTCCTGCTCATGGGGTCTGACAGCTTTTAGTGTGTTGTTCATTACATCCTCAGTGCTGTGCACAGGCCTGGCACCTAGTAGGTGTTCCAAAAAATCCTTGTTGACTGAGAGAACTGCCATATCCTATTTGACACAATTAAAGTGAGCCCTTATCTTCCCCTCAAACTTAGTTTCTCCCTCTGCCTTCATCACTTCTATTTATAACTCTGTTCTCTAAGGTCTAAAACCCCAAAGTCATCTTTTGCGACAGCTCACAGATCTATCCCTTCACTCCATCCTACACGTTAAAATCACTGTAATCTTCCTGCAACTCAGCTCTGATTCTGTCAATCCTCATTCATAACACCTGGGGAGTTGTCCTTTACCTTCAAAAACAAAGGCCATGCTGTTTCTCAACATGGAAACACCCCGAGGACCCGGATTTACCGACCTCTCCTCTTTCTCTGCCTTTCCCCAGCGGCATCTCAGTAGATGCCTCTCTCATGTTCCTCCTCCCTGTGAGACATTCACCCTCACACACTCCCCAAGCACTCTCACCTCACACACACATACACTCTCACATACACACTCCCCATACACCCTCACCCCACATGCACTCACAGTCCCATGTGCCCTTAACCCACACGTACTTACACTCATACACTCACTCTCCATGCACCCTCACCTCACACGCAATACACTCACACACACTCCCCATACACCCTCACCCCACATGCACTCACACTCCCTATGCACCCTCAACCCACACATACACACACTCTCACACTCTCTCCATGCACCCTCACCCCACACACACAATACACTCACACACACACTCTTACCCCACAGGCACTCACGCTCCCCATGCACCCTCAACCCACACATACATACACTCTCACACTCTCTCCATGCACCCTCACCTCACATGCACATACACTGTCACACTCTCTCCATGAACCCTTACCTCACAGGCACACTCTCACACACTCCCCATACACCCTCACCCCACATGCCCTCACACTTCCCATGCACCCTCAACCCACACATACATAAACTCTCACACTCACTCCATGCACCCTCACCTCACATGCACATACACTCTCATACCCACTCACCCTCACCCCACATGCCCTCACACTCCCCATACACCCTCAACCCACATGTACATATACTCTAACATTCTCTCCATGCACCCTCACCTCACATGCACATACACTCTCATACCCACTCACCCTCACCCCACATTCCCTCACACTCCCCATACACCCTCAACCCACATGTACATATGCTCTCACACTCTCTCCATGCACCCTCATCCCACACATACACTCACACACACACTCTCACCCCACAGGCACTCACACTCCCCATGCACCCTCAACCCACACATACATACTCTCACACACTCCCTCCCCATGCACCCTCACCCCACATGCACTCACACTCCCGATATACCCTCAACTCATGTACATATGCTCTCACACACTCACTCTCCATGCACCCTCACCACACACTCCCCATGCACCCTCACCTCACATGCCCATATGCTCACACACTCACTCTCCATGCACCCTCACCTCACACACACACACACACACACACTCCCCATACACCCTCAGCCCACACTCACACACACTCCCCATACACCCTCACCCCACACACTCCCCCTTCCCACTCACACACTCCCCATACACACGCCCACACACACTCCACATACATCCTCGCCCCCCACACACACTCACACACACTCCCTATATACACCTCCCACACACACCCACACACTACCCATATATGCACCCCACACACACACTCACCATACACCTTCACCCCACACACACACTCACACACACTTGCCATACACCCTTACCCCATACATTCATAAACACTCCCCATACACACACCCCACACGCACACACACAAACTCCCCATACATCCTCTCCCCCACCACACACACACTCCCCATACACCGTCATCCCCCACACTCCCCATACTCACCCCACATACACACTCACACACTCCCCATACAGCCTCACCCCACACTCACACACACTCCTCATACATCCTCTCCCCCTACCCCCCCAACACACATACTCCCTGTATTAGTCTGTTTTCATGCTGCTGATAAAGACATACCCAAGACTGGGAAGAAAAAGGGGTTTAATCGGACTTACAGTTCCACATGGCTGGGGAGGCCTCAGAATCATGGCGGGAGGCGAAAGGCAGTTCTTACATGGCAGCGGCAAGAGAAAATGAAGAAGCAAAAGCAGAAACCCCTGATAAGCCCATTAGATCTCATGAGACTTATTCACTATCACGAGAATAGGATGGGAAAGACCGGCCCCCATGATTCAATTACCTTCCCCTGGGTCCCTCTCACAACATGTGGGAATTCTGGGAGATACAATTCAAGCTGAGATTTGGGTGGGGACACAGCCAAACCATATCACTCCCCATACACCACCATCCCACATGCACACTCACACACACTCCCCATATACCCTCACCCTCACCTCCCACAGCCTTAAACATTCACACCCACCCCGTGCTCTCACAGAAACATGCTCTTACACAGTCTTTCACACACACTCAAAGCCAGCCATACGTCCCTGGACAACTTGTCCTTTTCACATATCTGTATATTTTCTAAATGAGATTTTGCTTGTGGCATTTTACCCTTCCAGAATACTTTTATCTCCATTTCAAAACACCATTAAAATCAATTCAAACTGCACTTCCTCCGTGGAGAATTAGGGGCCTGGAGAATGCCTGTGGTTTGCAGCTCCTTTGGCCCTGAGCACATCCATTGGAGCAGGTCAGAATCTGAACATTACTCCTCTTTGGTGCAGAAAGGTGACTTTGTTTTTCTCTCTAAACTCCTGTTTGTTCCAGAGCTTCTGTGTGTTTGGACTGACACTTTCCCTCAACCCCTTCAGAACCCAGTGACATTCCAGTTAGAGTTGACTTGTACAGATAGGTCTGCTTTTCAACTCCGTCACAAGAAGAGTTGTTGTTCAGATTTCTTCCTGTCCCTCCTCCTCCTCCCTGAGCAGGATTTGGGGCAGCAGCAGGAAACAGGGCTAGGATCTTACAGGCCTGTGCAGGCTCCCCAGCCTCAGTACGGCTGCTCAGGGTGCTCAGGGACAAGGTTTTTCCAAGGCTCAGTGACAAGCTTTGCACTTTCTCTGACTTCCAGTCCCGAGATCCTCTTCCAAGTCCCCGACACTCTGGGCCCTTCTTCAGAGACCTGTGGGAACAACTGGAATTCCTGCCTGTGAGGTGCAGTGGAAGGGAAGTGGAGGCATTCCTGAGCCCCATTTCACCTGCTGCCTTTCTCCTCAACCGTGTTGGTGTTGGTGACCTGGCAGGATGGGTCTTCCCGGAATCCTGGGCATAGAGCAGCCATGTATTAGTATGTTCTCACACTGCACTTCCTCCGTGGAGAATTAGGGGCCTGGAGAATCCTGTGGTTTGCAGCTGAAATAGCTGCAACTGGGTAATTGCAAACTGGGTAATTTGCAACCGGTAATTGCAAAGAAATAGCTGAAACTGGGTAATTTATAAAGAAAAGAGGTTTAATTGGCTTATGGTTCCGCAGGCTGTACAGGAAGCATGGCTAAGAGGCCTCAGGAAACTTACACTCATGGCAGAACGTTAAGGGGAAGCAGGAACGTCTTACATGGCAGGAGCAAGAGGAAGAGCGAGCAAATGGGGAAGTGCCACACACGATTAAACAACCAGATCTCGTGAGAACTCACTCACTATCACTAGAACAGCAAGGGGGAAATCCACCCCCAAGATCCAATCATCTCCCACCAAGCCCCTCCTCCAACATTGGGAATTACAATTTGACATGAGATTTAGGTGGGGACACAGAGTCAAACCATATCAAGCCACCAGCCCCTTTCTGGGACCTCTGATAGCTTGGTACCTATCCAACCTGGCTCAATCTTAGGAGGTAGGGTCTGCGGATACCTTCCTAGGGTCTCACACAGCAGCTCAACTGTGGACTAGTCCCCTATGAATTTCCTGACTTTCTGATTCCTGCTTGATCATTTCTCGTTCTTTCCTAAAGTCTGGAAATGTGCTCTGTGTTATATCTGGATTCCTGTCTGCTCCCAAGTCAGACTCAAAGCTATGTTTTGGGGACCCTAAAAGTCTTCTTCCCCTAGAGACAGGGTCTCACTCTGTCACCCAGGCTGGAGTGCAGCGGCATGATCAGAGCTCACTGCAGCCTCTACCTCCAGGGATCAGGCAATCCTATCCCCCTGCCTCAGTCTCCTAAGTAGCTGGGACCACAAGCATGCACACCACGATGCCTAGCTAATTTATTATTATTACTACTATTTGTAGAGATGGGGGTCTCTCTTTATTGCCCAGGCTGGTCTTGAACTCCTAGGCTCAAGGGATCCTTCTGCCTCAGCCTCCAAGATTGCTGGGATTACTGGCATAGGCCACTGCACCTGGCCCAGACTGGCTTTTTAAAATCAAAGAATCTTGCATTCCTACCAAAATTTGGCTAACCATTTAAAAATTTCTGTTTGAACCTCAAAGCTGAGCAATGAGCTCTGACTCCTGGCTCCCACTACCCCTGAAGAAATGAATGTCTTAGCTGCAATGGGGACATGATTTGGGGAGGTATGGGGTAGCCAGGGGTGGCTGGTAGGGTGGCCAGGGAAAATAGAGAGTGCCCAGTTATTGTTGAATTTCAGCTAAATAATGCATAAAGTTTTTTTAGAATAAGTATGTTCCAAATATTGCAAGAAACATACTATACTAAAAACTTTTAATTGTTTATTTAAAATTCAATTATAACTGGGTATCAAGTCTTTTAATTTGCTATCAAAAATAATCATTAATTATAAATTCCCAGTTTTTTTAAATTAAGCTATGCTAGCAATGAGAACTTTAAAGAAAAACAGGAAACCCTAGTAGCAGAGGGTTCACCAGGAATGAAATCCATCAGTTTAGAGTTTTCAAAACTATGATCCTCTCCATACTACCTTGTACTAGAAAGAGTGGAGCAGTTAAAGGGGTAATTTAATATGGCAACTGATGTAATGCTGAGCACAGTTTTTGCCATCATTTTATTAGTTTAAAGGTGATACAGTCTTAGAGAGAGTGAAGATCTCAAATTCTTTTATACTCCACATCTGAACAATATTGAAATAATGTATAAACAATTCTGTACTGTTGATTCCATTGTTTTGTCCCATTTCTCTAACTTTTGCCAGTAAAAACTGACTTCACAGCACTTTTTATTTTAGAGTTTTATTTGTTCACACAACCTAGTACAATAACTGGGAAATTGTAAATGATGTCATTTAATTTAAGGTAAATTAACATATAAATATATGTGGATAGATGTTTATGTTAAACACAAAACTGAGGGATCAATTTGGTTTTTGTAGCTGGGTAATGAAAATATACAACTTTTCAACTTTTCCTGTTAATAATTCTGAGAGCTAATTAACTTTGTAGAACATGTTAGACTTTTGTTATGAAAAACTCCATTTTTCAGTGTTTCATTTCAGTGCCATAGTCATGGGTCTGCAGGCTTTACCCTACCTATGGAAGTGGATGGCTACAATTCTTTATCTTCTTTGGTTGGTCCTACATAGTAAGCTTGATAAAGAGTTTGACTTTTATGAAAATATAAATAACATTGTTTTGGAATACTCTGATGTCTTATCACCAGTAGATAGAAATCAATTTCATATAATACCCTGAGCAGTGACTAAAAAGGACAACTTTTGGCCATTACCAACCTGGATTAAAATGCCTGTTGAGACCAAGAGGAAAAGAGCATTTATCCTGTTAATTATGATTTCTTTCACAATACATTTTATTAACAAGGTTTCTAAATGTTAATCTGATTCCAGACCTAAATAAAAGGCTACAGCTAAGAAAAAACAAAAACAAAAAATCTAAACTATCACTGGAGCTTATAATTAGGGTAAATCAGGACTAACACACACCATTTATTGAACAATTACTAGCCGCCAGGTATATTCTAAACACTTTGTTATTTATTTGTTTGTTTTTTGAGACAGAGTCTCCCTCTGTTCCCCAGGCTGGAGTGTAGTGGTGTGATCTTGGCTCACTGCAACCTCTGCCTCCCAGGTTCAAACAATTCTCGTGCCTCAGCCTCCCGAGTAGCTGGGACTATAGGCGCCTGCCACCACACCTGGCTAATCTAAGCACTTTAGATGTATCATCTCTTTTAATCTTTTGGGGGCTCCGTGAGGTAGGTACTCTTATCCACTATTTTTTATTATTATTATTATTATTATTATTATTATTATTATTATACTTTAAGTTTTAGGGTACATGTGCACAATGTGCAGGTTTGTTACATATGTATACATGTGCCATGTTGGTGTGCTGCACCCATTAACTCGTCATTTAGCATTAGGTATATCTTCCAATGCTATCCCTCCCCCTTCCCCCCACCCCACAACAGTCCCCGGAGTGTGATGTTCCCCTTCCTGTGTCCATGTGTTCCCATTGTTCAATTCCCGCCTATGAGTGAGAACATGCAGTGTTTGGTTTTTTGTCCTTGCGATGTTTACTAAGAATGATGATTTCCAGTTTCATCCATGTCCCTACAAAGGACATGAACTCATCATTTTTTATGGCTGCATAGTATTCCATGGTGTATATGTGCCACATTTTCTTAATCCAGTCTATCGTTGTTGGACATTTGGGTTGGTTCCAAGTCTTTGCTATTGTGAATAGTGCCAGAATCTACAATGAACTCAAACAAATTTACAAGAAAAAAACAAACAACCCCATCAAAAAGTGGGCCAAGGATATGAACAGACACTTCTCAAAAGAAGACATTTATGCAGCCAAAAAACACTTGAAAAAATGCTCATCATCACTGGCCATCAGAGAAATGCAAATCAAAACCACAATGAGGTACCATCTCACACCAGTTAGAATGGCGATCATTAATATCCACTATTATTTTATCCGCATCTTACAGGTTAAGAAACTGAGGCTCAATGAGATTTGTTACCGAGCCCAGGGTCACACAGCTAGTTAGTGGAAAACTAGGATTTGAACTCAGTCTTACCCTAGATACCATCATTTTAACTGCCATACACCATATACTATGTCCTCTCCTCACTGATAACAGCATTTTGGTGGCTATGGCAGCATAGTTAGCTGAACAAATAATACTTTAATGCCCAGAAAACACACTGAGGTCAGTGCATTCTTGCATGATTTCTAAATATCACTTCTTCCCATTTTGCTTTTTCTCTATAATAAACTCCCAATTATCCACTGTTTTGAATGCTGAATATCTTATAAACCTTTAGGTGTCCCACTATGGTACTTTGTCCACTGAAAGTATATTTCTTGTGTTAATTATAAGTACTTTTCAATGATTTTTATATTTTGATTGGTTCCTTTGAGTAAAGAGAGTATCTTTCAGGGAAAGTATTTTCCAGTTACAAACATGATTATTTCTTTAATTCAAATACTATTTTTTTTTATAATTGATATAGGTAATGCAGTCTTTGAAAGCCTTGATCCTTAACCTGAGGTTCGTAGGTCCACAGACAGGATTCTCTCATGCTCAAGTAACCCTAAAATTAAATGCAGAATTCTACAAGTATGGATCTATGCAAAGATGGAAATGTGAAGATGCCCAGAGCTTCCATCAGATGTCTGAAAGGGTGCAGGGCTTCAAATGTAGCACCACATGGATCACGGTACTAAAATAGTATCTGGATTTTTATGCTTCTTTGTAGTGGAGCCCCTGCCATGCTGAGCAGAGTTCCAGAGTTAGGTGTTGAACCATGTCCTTGCCCTCCTGCCAATGAGCATGTGTGGCATGCTCAGAGGTGCTCAGGGAACCCTCAGTCCCTCTGGTGAAGTACAGGACTGAGCTGCATTCTACTGACTTTGGTAGACTCAAGGAATCTGAATTCTTTCTTTATGAACCCAAAAGAAACTCCAGTACACGGAACCACCACCTTCCCTCTGTCCATCACTCCCTCATTCTCTGGCTCTCCCCACCAGGCTAGACCCAAAGTCCCCTGCTATCATCCCTTCTTCCTGTCCCTCCATGGTGTTCACCAGGCAACCTCAGAGGAGGCCTGACTCACTGCCTCCTTTGTCCCAGGTCCTGAACGTGACCAAAGACAAACATCAAGCCATGCTGAAGGTTGTCCTCTGAATTTACAACCACTCCCTTCAAGTGGGCACTCAGCCCTGTGTGGCAGGCAGTTCCACCTCCCTCTCCAGTCCATGCCCCCTCCCACGTACAGGATGGGCACCCCAATCCTAACCCTCAATCCTTAGCTCTTAGGCCCCTCCTCATGCTCAAGCAAGAACCTGATTTCTTTTCTCAGTGAGAAAACAAAAAGTCACCCTCTCCTCACCAGATCCTTCAACCCAACTGGATTTGTTCTCATCTACTGTGCCTTTGCTTTTGTGAAAATGTAGACAAATCGTCCCCTTTCCCTTTGACACCACTAAATCCATTCCTTTTCCCATAGGTAAGATCCTTCCTTACAACGATGCCCTCTTTCTTCCGCCCCACCAAGTTTTATCCTTCTTCGGTGGCATTCCCACCTGCATAAAAACATGCTGTAAAAGCTCTTATCTGAAATAGAACAAAGCAAACAGTCACAACACATGCAACCACTCTAGGTGCTGCCCCATTTTTCTCTCTCTAACCCACCCCTAGAAAAAACATATAGAAATGTCTATAATAATAATAATATATATATTAATAATGAGAGAACATACTTATATAATGTCAGGCACTGTTTTAAGCATGCTGTATATTTAACTCAAATTACTCTACACAGCAATTGTTAACAGAGGGCTGTTATTATCCTCATTTTACTCTTGAGCAAACTGAGCCACAAACTCACTTCTATGGCTTTCCCTGACCACCTCATGTAAAGTGGCACACCTCTCATTCCCAATCTCCTTACCTTGCCTCATTTTCTGTAGAACCTTCTATCTACTTAAGATTGTGTTTATTTGTTGCATGTCTCTTTCTTCTGACTACTAGATAAGCTTCAACAGAACAGAAACTGTGCCTGTTTTCCAATACCTGGAACAGAGCCAAGCCCATGGTTTATACTCAATAAGTATTTGTTGAATAAAGAAGGTTAAAGACCTACACAATAATTTTGTGTAAAATTAGAGAGTTTTAAGAATATGTAAAATAAATATTTATAAATTAAAATGTCTATTCAACGGATATCCTATTTAAAATCATCCTGTGAAGTCATTTGCAAAGTTTTTGTGTGTGACAAACCACAGAAGTCTATAGTGTCTTTATTTATTTATTCGTTTATTTTTATTTATTTATTTTTGAGACAGAGTCTCACTCTGTCGCCCAGGCTAGAGTGCAATGGCACAATCTCAGATCACCACAACTTCTGCCTCTTCTGTTCAAGCGATCCTCCTGCCTTAGCCTCCCAAGCAGCTGGGATTACAGGCTCCTGCCACCACACCTGGCTAATTTTTAAATTTTTAGTAGAGACAGGGTTTCACCATGTTGGCCACGCTGGTCTCGAACTCCTGACCTTAGGTGATCCACCAGCCTCGGCCTCCCAAAGTGCTGGGATTACAGGCGTGAGCCACTGTGCATGGCCTGAAGAAGTCTACAGTTATCTGTATTTTTTCATGTATTTGTTTTTTTGGATTTTCTTCAGCTGATGATCAGAATATTTTAGCCTGTCATATTTTAGTGTGAAATGCATAACGTGTTTCCTGTTTCCATGAAGTTGTCAGGCCCGCTTTGGCAGGCTCACAAATGGACACTGCATATACACAGGCACTGAGCTGAACTCTGAGAACACTAATCACATTTGAAATGGAAACGACACCCAGCGGTTCTGACCATTCTGCACGGAGTTTACATTCCAGTTCATTAGTCATAGGCACTGCTCAATTGCATTCAACTGGCATAGTTCACTTACAACACAGGTAAATATCAAAAGGAAATTAAATCGATGCTCAAATACAATATTTTGTGTAACTCTCTTTTTTCTTTAGTTTCTGTAAATGTGGTTGGCAGGTTTTGACAGGAAAAAAGTTGTTCTTCATAAACATTAATATATTTCACTTTCACTCACATAAGTAAAGTTGCTTCAGTTTTTTTTCTCCACTAGGTTTCTTGTTTATCTAAACACTGGTGTCCTCAGACAAACCAGCTACTATGTCATGGTTTAAAAAATCCTCTGTGGGTGAGAAAATAGTACAGCATACCAAACACCCAATCAGCTGAAGAACTGAAAAGGAAAAAGTATTGTATTAGTCCATTTTCATGCTGCTGATAAAGACATACCCGAGACTAGGAAATTTACAAGAGAAAGAGATTAATTGGACTTACAGTTCCACATGGCTGGGTGGGGGCCTCACAACCATGGTGGAAGGCAAGGAAGAGCAAGTCACATCTTACGTGGATGGCAAGAGGCAAAGAGGGAGCTTGTGCGTAGAAACTCCCATTTTAAAAACCATCAGATCCCATTCACTATCATGAGAACAGCATGGGAAAGACCCGCCCCCATGATTCAATCATCTCCCACCGGATCCCTCCCACAACACGTGGGAGGTATGTGAGCTATAAGATGAGATTTAGGTGGGGACACAAAGCCAAACATATCAAGTATCTTAAAGCAAATTTCTAAAATAGGCCCTGGTTAATCTTAGAAAATTAGGAAAGTGACACCAATTCCTACGATTAAAGAAACAGAATTTAACATAGCTTTACACAATCTATTTTTTGAATTTGATAAACATCAAGATGTTTTTAAAATGTTATGCAATAAATAATATTTTCTAAGTTGAAAATGTATGCATATGACCTTTTTTCTCAAATAAATGCAGAGCTAAATAACACATTCTAAAGACCAGTTTTATCATCTTTCTACTGTTCGTAACATAAAACTGAAATGGTAATGGATCTACCACCAAGCAAAAGAGAATTAAAACAGTTTAAGTGATCGGGAAAATTGACATAAAAATGGATAATGTTTTATACAACAGTGAGTTTCTACATATGTGTGTTGCAACATTAAAAAGGAATTTGATTTTCCATTTTTGTCACTTGCAGATATTGTGTTGATAATAAGATTATTACGTCAAATCAACATTATACTGTGTTCTCCACCATGCATGCTGGGCCCTGCTCTGGGATCACCTCCATGATTTGCTTGGTTGATGGTGGTAACTGGACAAGGTTGGAAGGTTTAAACAGTAGCCACCAAGCCAGGGACAAATAGCTGTGACTTACTGCCAACCTTACAACCTTCTCCATCATGCCTGCACATATTGCTATTTAAGAAAGCCCTGTAATAGCTGCAAAAGTCATCCTTATCAACCCAAGGCATCTTGAGAATGATGTATTAAAAATGTGAAGTAGGGATTGTGAGAAGTTCATAAAAGATGGAAAGTAATACAGCTGCAAGAGAAAGATGGGAAACTTGTGAGGGACAGTCCCTGTTTCAGAGACTGGAGAAATAAATAACCCCCCAATGCACATATGCACCACACACACACATGCATGCACACACATCACACACACACAAACACACTAACGTAATGAACATGGTTCTTGGTGATTCTTTCCTAGAGATTTTCAGCATGAAGCTTGGCTTATAGTACTGTCCTCCCATGTCTGATTCTAAAGCAGAGGTGAGCTTCCTAAAGCTTAACCCTATCTCCCCACTCCTTATGGCCATGATTCCAAGCACAATGAATACATCTGGTTATGTTACCTCCCAGGTCCAAGCCCCCAGAAAAATGGAAAGCCCTGGGGAGCTCTGTTGGAAACTGGGCCTGCCACACAACGCCTCTGGTGGTGTCCTGTTCTATCCCTCCCTCCACACGACTGCAACTCCCATGATCAGTAACTTTTGCTTCTCTATACGCATCATACTCTTTCTTTTGCAGAAACCCATCATGAACCTCACTTAAGTAGCCTATTCTTCAATTGCCTCATGCAGCTTGCTGTAGAAAGCCTCTCTCTTCCTGCCCATGCTAACTGCTCCTGCTCAGCCTCCCATGATATCAGTGCCCAGCATTTTCACTTCATGTGTTGCAGTACTGAAACTGCAGGTCTGTCATTTTCCCGCAGAGGTCCCAAAGTTTCTTGAAGATGCAGACGTATCTTACTCATCTTGGTAATTTTAATGTTACCACAGTGCTTGCCACAGAGAATCTCTGTTGACATAATGAAAGCATAGTTGCATAATAATATTATGCAATAAGCATTTATGAATTGCCTCCAAAAAAGACTGGTGATATAAATGCACTATCCCACACAAGAGTTCCACTGAAGTGTCATTTCACTCTATATATAAAAGCAACAAAGCTACACTGGGTTGATTCATTTTTCAATATTTTATGAAATTGTTCTATAATATATATTTTGAGTGGCTTCTTGGATACATTTGTTATGTAAGCTTTTTTTCATTTTGACAGCTATAGGATAAAAAGTGCCCTATTACAAGTGAGATACTATAAAATGTGCACAGTATAGAACAAAATATATTTGTCAAAGTCAAAATAAATTTTTACAAAAGTATGGGCATTCTCCTTCGGCAGGTAACAAAGCACATGCATGTATTTTTTTAAATAAATACATTTAAAGAGATTGTATGTATACTTGCTCTGTGTACGGAGATACCTGCTCTAAAGGGGAGGCTACAGGGCAATTTGTTGAAAGAAACAGATGTAAATTTAGAGATCAGAGGCAAAAAGTAACATGGTCTTTAGTTCTGTGGGCAGATGTGGTTATCTGACAAATTATGTCTGTGACATGGCTTATTTCATGAATATGTGAGGCACAAGTTTACCACACATTTGTTTGTTTGTTTGTTTGTCTGAGTCAGGATCTTGCTGTCTTGCCCCGGCTTGAGTACTATGGCACAGTCACATCTCACTGCAGCCTTGAACTCCTGGGGTTAAGTGATTCTCCTATCTCAGCTTCCCGAGCAGCCAGGACTACAGTGTGCACCACCACTGCCCAGCAAATTAAAAAACAAAAACATTTAGAGATTGGGGGGGGGGGTCTCACTATATTGCCCAGGCTGGTCTTGAACTCCCAGCCTCAAATAATCTTCCTGCCTTAGCCTCCTGAGTAGCTGAGAATACAGGCATGAAACACTGCATCCAGGGTATTTCTGACTTTTTTCCCACATACTCTGGCTCTTAAATTCAAAGCATCCCAAAAGTCAATGAGTCACATGATCTATGATGATGAACTAAGTTGGGACACAGTGAGGAGCAGGCAACTGAGCAAGTCATTGGGGTCTTATCCTTCCCTCCAAGCAACACCATTCTGAAAGGGAGGACTTGAAGATGATGCTAGTGTTTTTAGCTTAGGAAACAGACAGCCATGACAGGGTACAGGATCCTGGGAGCAGAACAGATTCAGGGGTCTCTGTTGATGGGATATAATGAGTTCTCTTTTAGACATGTTGGGTTTGAGATGTCTGAAACAAATATTAAGTTGAGGCAATTGCAATTATGGTTTTTGCCATTGAAAGCAATGGCAAGACTGCAATTACATTTGCACCAACCTAATATCTACTAGGTGTAAATATGACACTCTGGAGAGAGGCCTGGCATTGGGGACATAAAGCTGAGCAGGTGAGCAATAGGTAATTAAGCAGATGCCATCAGAAAATTCTGAGTAGCAAAGAGTGAGGTCCTAGCCAGGAACAGGATTCCCCAGCGAGGAATGGGGAATCACCCTTGCTTTAAGGAAGCTGAGGTGCTTGGTGTCAGGGTGGGGCCCAGGCTGATGGAAGCACGTCACCATCTGGTCATTAGCAGGAGGGAACTCGATGGACACTCAATCCAGAAAAGGCAGAAGCCTAGGTCCTAGGTGACAGGTGGAACAGTGTGAGGTTGATGTTCAGTCCTTGGATCGCTAAGCTACTCTGTCTTAGGTATTTTCTGACTATGGTCTGGCTTGACTCCAAACATGCAGAGGTTGAACCTCATGGTGAGGGCAGCAGGGACCCAGAGTAGGCCCTGGTTACCCTTTTCTCATGTTTATATGCCAAGCAGCAAAACGAGCCAAAACAATTAGAAATAATAATGCCCACACCATTTTACAGGTAATCTTCCCCATCAGATTGAAGCCTGCTGAAATGTCCACTCCCTGTACACAGAACATTTTCTAAGTCACAGCTTTGCATATCATTCTCTAAATGTTACCACTTGAAACAGCAGAGAAAACTTTAAAGGGTGCATTTTAGTAAGCCATCATATACTCGTTTTTTGTTGAAAGTTACCAAAGAAACTTTCCCTATCAATTCCAACGACCATCTAAAGAAAGTATGCCTTCACTTGTATTCACAATCTGGGAAGTATTTGAGACTATTTCCCTTGGCTTCTCTTTGTCTAATAATAACGATGAAACTGAATGGTGTCTATCCTAACAAGGTCGGGGGCACATCAGGTTATTGGCAGAGCAGAATTCTGGCTTTCTGGAAAAGATGAAATGCCTGTCTTCTCAGCCGAGGGCAGCCTGCCACCTCCACCACAGTGTGCCATTGAACGTGGAGAGGGTAACAGGATGGGAAAGTGTATAGTTGGCCCATTGTTTAAAAGCAACTCCAGACATCCTTATTTGCTGTGTATTAATTGAAAGAAACCATTTGTTTGGTGGCTAAGTTTGCTTCTGAAATTTACTAAGAACTGAGTGCTGATTTCTCAGAAAACTGAAGGCCAAGTTTAATTTTTCCAGCTTTCAACTTAATGCATTATCCTTTTTTTTTTTTTGTCTAAAGAGTGAAAGCCTTAAATGGAAATCAAAGTCTGTAGTGCAAGAATGAACCCTCTTTGCCTGAACTGGTGTTTAAGGAGAGCTGAAACTCTTCATTTCCTTTCTTGTTTCTGAGAAACTGGTTCAAAGGTCAAGCCTAATGGAATGTTTCAGAAGTTTTATTTTCCTTTGCAGGCTTACGAAAGGCTTGGAGCTGACCCAGTAAAATTGAGATTATGAAGCATTCAGTTGTTAAAGGAATTTCCATGGTTTTTCCCTTTAAAATAAATCCTATATAGATCAAAAGACAGTGCCTTGATATTTCATTAAACCAACACACATATATATATAACATATATATATCCCTTTTTTCCTCTGGCCATAAAGCTGTAACTGTTAATTTTTCTTTTGGATTGAGTTATCATCATGTGGGCATCATTAGTACACAACTGATCAAGACATATATAATTATAATATACAATTATTAAAGCATACAAATTGTGATATGCAATTATGAATCTTAAACATTATTTTATTGAAAAATACATCTCTTAATGAGTGGAGACAGGGTTTTAAAAATTAATTTATGTATCCATGAATGAATGCTATTTATTGCTAGACTAAGACAGGTCCATATCAATCTCTAAACCTAAGATAAAATTCTAAGCCCTCCAACCGACTGAACTGACCTCCTCTTGGTCAAGGGGACCCTACAGGAGCCTTGAAAATTGAATTCCTGGCCTCATTATACCCCCTCCCTAGCTAACCACCATTAGGCTTTCTTTCCCAAGGGCTAAATAGAAACCAGTACTTTGCAAAGACTCACTCCACCACTCTATCAACCAGCCACCCGATGCTGCCCTTCCCTTTTGTGCTTTTGACAAAGCAACTGGCCAGCATTCCTTCAACATAGGAGACCACTGGCCATGGAGTGGTTCTCGCCAGTCTATGAGGACTGCACCCAAATGGCTTTTGTGTCCTGTTTCACATTCTGATGTTCAGAGCCTAACTGTAGTACATTTAAATGTTGAGTCTCCACCACAAAGTGAACATGGGATGTGTGCTGCATATATGTTAGCCTATTACACACACATGCGCCACCTCTTCGTGAATTTTCATAGCTTCAACTGAAACCTGCTGAATATGTACACCAAGCCACCCTCCCAGCATCAATTCCTGTTCCTTTTACCCCTCCCTTGAAGTGCTTGCTTTTTGGTTTCAACAGGATGCTCTGCTTCTGGCCTGCAGGTTGTGGTACCCTCTTTCACAAATAAAGCCTTCCTTACCAAGTGTATAGATGTGTGACTTCTTTGGTCAACGAATCTATTTCTATCTTTGGTTTTTATAGATGCAAGAGTTGAGAAGGTTTGTCCATAGTAATATGTAGTGAGGTTCCTGGGGAGTCAGAGGCTGGCCTTTATTTGAGAAGAGGGTGGGATTACTGTGAGAGGGACATGGAAAAGAGAGTCAGGGAAGGGCCAGTAGACATTGGCCAAGTGAGTGTCTTGAAACTGATTGGCAGGACCCCTCACCCCTGGGACACACCATCTCAGCCTGAAAGCCACTGATCTACAATGTAAAGGGTACAATTCCTATCTCTAACCCTGTGAAACCATCCTGAACAGAGTTTGCAGTACTGCTGCCTTCTAGGTGTACATTTCTCTCTTCTCCCTCACGAGGCCTGTAATGAGCTGTGTGCCTCCACATCCTCATCCCTTTGCTCCCTGACAGCTCAACCCCAGGTAAGGGTGCCAAACTGCATGACAATGTGTAACAAATGGGAAGGCCTTTTTCAATGAGGCAGAAGGAAAAGAGCTGGGCAACACCGACCTTCAGATCAGGGCATCTTTAACATTGATGTCAATGAATCACAACTGGGGGGTCTTGCTAATGCAGATTCAGATCAGTAGGTGGGTGGGGGCACAGCTGGGATTCTGCATTTCGAACAGTGAACTCTAAGTTTCAAGGTGATGCAGAGGCATCTCCTGGGACGCATGCTCGCTGTAGAGAATGGTCTTACATCTGTCTGTGCATTGGTGACTTCTGATGATTGTCCTCCTAATTGGTAAGGAGCACACACAAGGCACCATCCGATTCCTTGATGACAACCACACAGCATGAAGTGCCTATGTCCAGGGTCCACGTTGAGGCATCTCAAGCTAGAGGGTATGCTACAGGCTGAAGTTAACCAGAGAAGACAGCCGGGATGTGGCTACTGCATTGGGTCAGGTGGAGGTCAAGGGCCAGTGGGAAAGGACAAAGAAGGGTGAGTCAAGCAAGGGAAAGAATAAAGCTTTCAGCAAGTATAAGTGATTCTGGGATGAACAGTCCAGATCCCCAAAGGCAAAGTGGGACAAAGGCTCAGTGGGAGAAAAAAGAGAACTTAGGGGGATTTGGCACGGGCTGGAAAAGGGGTAAGCATTGTTTGAAACCTATGAAAGGCAAGTTGAAACTTTTGACTTTTTAAAGGGAATAGTTCCTGTGAGAAAAATCTAAAAGGTAAATTGTCTTCACAAACTCTATTACAACCTTCTAAAAAGTGAGTGTAAATTTTGTTGATCACATTGTCAACTATATTAAACACCTGGATTCTCAAATCCAGACTTCTGATCAAATAAACGAAAACTCTAAGACTGTTAAGGTCAAGTGATCCTGGGGCCTTATTATGCCACTGATGTTATAATTACAAGCAGATTTACAAGGTCAAACAGGAGTAACATCATAACGTCATAGCTTGGTTTCTAACTTCTGCAATAAACTAAATGTGGTTGTTAAGAGATGTTTCTGATGATAAAATTGGTGATTCAGACATTAATGCGTGCAGAAATCACCCAGGGATCTTGATAAAATGCAGATTCTGATGTAGTAAATGTGAGGCAGGGTCTGGGATTCTGCATTTCTAACCAGCACCCAGGTCTTAGAACCTTATTTCAGATAGCAAGGATCCAGAAAAGGTGTTAACAAGTTTAAGTTTTGGTCAGTCTAGTGTTTGTAATTTTTTAAGTACAATAATATATTTTATGGAAAAATTCAAGATGTGGTAGGCTAGATTTCATTTCTGTGATTTTAAAACCAAAGGAATAAAATGGAAATGACAGTGATTCTTATTCTGTAGAAACCATTTCATTCCCATAAGTGAGTACGTTCACTTTATCAAAGCGCTAGTGATTTATTACATTAGGTTGATTTATACATATGTTTAATGACTTATATGGAAAACTAGAAAAATGACTCTTTTTTCCAAATCTCATTTTCTACATCTTACACAAACCTTTCAAATTTAGAGCAGATAAATGTATATGTGTTGAACTGCATGTTAAATTTTAAACACTACACAAAATTCTTTTTTTTTTTTTTTTTCCTCAAGACAGTATCTCATTCTGTTGCCCAAGCTGGAGTGCAGTGGTGCCATCACGGCTCACTGCTGCCTTGACCTCCCCAGGTTCAGGTGATCCTCCTACCTCGGCCTCTGGAGTAGCTGGGACTACAGGTGCTTGTCACCAGACCTTTTTTTTTGTTGTTGTTTTTTGTATTTTTTGTAGAGATGGGGTTTGTCATGTTGCCCAGGCTGGTCTCAAAATTCCTGGGCTCAAGCAATCTGCCCTTCTTGGCCTACCAAAGTGCTAGGATTTTACAGGCATGAGCCATTGCGTCCAATCCAAAATTCATCTTCAGAAAAGATACATCTATATGAGCAGAATGAATGGCCACTTAATATGCCTCCTTCTGGGCTTTCTCTCAGGGGCTACCATACTCCCAACAGCCCCTCTTTGAAGATCTACACGTGCAGATTATTGCGAAGTCCCACTTCAGCTGAATGCTATGGGAATTCCCACTGACCCACAGACAGCTCTGCCAAGAGCAGGTGAGCTGTGTCCAGTGTGTTTCATACTGGACACCCACTCATGGCTCCAGACTGAGCCTCTTGTATTAGTTTACTGGGCCTGCCCTGCAAAATATCCCAGATTTGGTGCTTAAACAGGAATTTATTTTCTCCCAGTTCTGGAGGCTGGAAGTCCAAGATCCAAGTCCTGGCAGCTTACATGTTTCCTGAGGCCTCTTTCCTTGGCTTGTAGATGAACAAATTCCCACTGTCCTCATGAGGTCTTTCTGTATAACCACATCTCTGACACCTCTTCCTCTTCTTATAAGGACACCAGTCCTATTGAATTGGGGCTCACCCTAATGGCCTCATTTTAAGTTAATCATCCTTCTTTAAAATTTTTTGAGACAGAGTCTTGCTCTGTCACCCAGGCTGGAGTATAGTGGTGCAATCTTGGCTCACTGCAACCTCTACCTCCTGGGTTCAAGCGATTCTCCTGCCTCAGCCTCTGAGTAGCTGGGACTACAGGCATGCGCCACCACACGCGGCTAATATTTATATTTTTAGTAGAGATGGCGTTTCATCATGGTGGCCAGGCTGGTCTCAAACTCCTGACCTCAAGTGATCCCCATCCCTCGGCCTCCCAAAGTGCTGGGATTATAGGTGGAAGCCACCATGCCTGGCCAAAGTTAATCATCTCTTTAAAGCCTTATCTCCAAATACAGTCACATTCTGAGGTACTGGGGGGTTGGGATTTCAACATATACATTTGGGGACAGAATTCAGCCCATAACACCTCTCTTAAGCCAGTCTGAATTCAGAGTGCTACAGTTACCCACACTGGAGAGATGCAGATCTCTGCAGAAGTCCTGTGCAATAGCAGCCCAGGAAGTCAGAGATTGGAGACCAGGAGAGAAGAAGGTGGTCAGAGGGAAGCGTCAGGGTGGCAGGGTCATGAGTGCAGAGGCAGAGACCCACACTGCCAGGCTCTGCAAAGGGGCTCAGCAAATGCCCGATTCTCAGCGCCATCCCCAAGGCTCCTGCCATGGTCCCAAAGCAGCTTTGGTATCCAGCACCGTGATCTGTTTTTCAATGAGACTCGTCTGGCTAAGGTTGCTGAAACAGCTTCCTGTCTCTTTCATACCCCTCTGGAAACTTACAACAAGCTCCTATTGACTGAGATAACCAGAGCTTATTTCATTCCTTGTAGTCTGTAAGTGATTACTGCAGTGAATGAGCTAATGTAGCATGTTACATACAGGAACTTCAGCAGACAGTATGGGCCTGAATGATACACACATCACATGTGGATGTACATAAAGGTCCTGTTGTACGTTGCCTGTGTTGCCTTGATTTTTATTAAAGCAATAGTGTAGGATAATCAGACAGAAACTTGTTTCCTTTTTAAACATGAAAATCTGGCTGGGCACGGTGGCTCACACCTGTAATCCCAGCACTTTGGGAGGCTGAGGCGGGCGGATCACGAGGTCAGGAGATCGAGACCTTCCTGGCTAACATGGTGAAACCCCGTCTCTACTAAAAATACAAAAAAAAAAAAAAAAAAATTAGCCGGGCGTGGTGGCGGGCACCTGTAGTCTCAGCTACTCAGGAGGCTGAAGCAGGAGAATGGCATGAACCTGGGAGGTGGAGCTTGCAGTGAGCCGAGATCACGCCACTGCACTCCAGCCTGGGTGACAGAGAGAGACTCCGTCTCAAAAAAAAAAAAAAAAAAAAAAAAAAGAAAGGAAAACTTATGGTTACAGAGTTCAGGCTGGGTGTGGTGGCTCATGCCTGTAACCCCAGGATTGCAGAAGGGCGAGGCGGGTGGTGGATCACTTGAGGTCAGGAGTTCCAGTCCAGCCTGACCAACATGATGAACCCCCACCCCCTGTCTCTACTAAAAATGCAAAATTTAGCTGGGCATGCTCACTTGAACTGAGGAGGCAGAGGTTGCAGTAGGCCAAGATAGCACCACTGAACTCCCACCTGGGCAACAGAGCAAAACTCTGTATCAAAAAAAAAAAAAAAAAATAGAAAGAGTTCAGCTAACTTATACAGAGCAAGTCCAGCCTGTGTGTGTCTGTGTGTGAGCCTAAGTGTATGGACACTGTTTAGCAAACATACGCAGTGTTTGAGTTCCTAGAGGCCCATTTTACAATATTAGCAATATTGTCTGTTACTTTCAAGCTGATTTATAGTAAATTTAAGTCTGTTAATACTTCAGTCATCTTCAAAACAAAGAACAGCAAATACATAGCAAGGCACCCTACAGAAACGTTTCCGTTTATCTAAAAAATCCCATGCTTTGTATTTTCTTCTTTAATGTCGAAAGCACTTTTACTGCAGCATAGATGTTAATTGCCACTTATCTTAATGAGTTCTTTTCTAATATAACTGAGCCTGGCTTGAAATATAGCAGACTTCTTTGTCAAGAAGAGATAGGGACAAGAGTACTGTTGGTTCCTGGAAGAAAGGGTATGCTTATTTTTTATCTGCTTTCTTTGTGTTGGTTGAAAGCCTTCTGATTTAGCATTTTTGAGGTATGAGTTACTGCTTTCCTCCTCAGTATGAGGGGAAATTAACCCCTGTAGAAGTCAGGAAACAGAACTTTGGTTCTAAAGGCAAAAGGCACAGTAGGAACTCCTGAGGTTGTTAAAATATTAATAGAATTATGTGGTAGCTCATATAATCAGTTACTAAGGGTAATTTTTAATAAAATTTTGGCAGGTCGCTTTCATTTAAATGTGATCTATTTTTAAGTTTATGTAATTTTAAACATGATTATTTTTTATTTATTTCCTAGTTAACATTCCTACCTCATCTTCCCTATGGAAAAGTTTTCAGGGTCCAGAACATACCTGACTATTTGTACTTAGAACATATTTGTTGAGTGAATGAATGAATGAAAATATCTAAAACCCCAAGGCGAGATTTCCCAAATAGCATACACAACTATTTTTATTTTATAGAATAATATTATGTCATTTAATTTAAAAGCTACTTTAGTGGGGAGGAGGGATGGGCAGAGATTGGTCAATGAGTACAAAATTACAGATAAGAGGAATAGGTTCTGGTGTTCTATTGCACACTGGGGTGGCTACAGTTAACAATATTATATGGTATATTTCAAAATAACTAGAAGATTTTGAATATTTTCACTACAAAGAAATCATAAGTGCTTGAGGTGATAGGTAAGCTAAGTACCCTGATTTAAGAATAATGTAGGCCGGGCATGGTGGCTCATGCCTGTAATCCCAGCACTTTGGGAGGCTGAGGTGGGCGGATCACCTGAGGTCGGGAGTTCGAGAGCAGCCTGACCAACATGGAGAAACCCCGTCCCTACTAAAAATACAAAATTAGCTGGGTGTGGTGGCGGGTACCTGTAATCCCAGCTACTTGGGAGGCTGAGGCAGGAGAATCGCTTGAACCTGGGAGGCGGAGGTTTCGGTGAGTGGAGATCGCGCCATTGCACTCCACCCTGGGCAACAAGAGCTAAACTCCGTCTCAAAAAAAAAAAAAAAAAGGTGGGCTTTCGAGCTTCCTACATGGTAGTGGGAGGCACTGTTTTGAAAGGATCAGGATCCATGAGGCCTGGGTGCTGCCTCCCTGGGGATTCATCTCCTGCTCGTCCATGCAGCCTTGGTTTCTGTCTATAGGAGGCAGTGCCTGGCCAGCCTGTAGTTGTCTCCTTCCTTCTATTTATGATGGTAAAATATACATAACATAAAATTTACAATTTTAACTATTTTTAAGTGTACAGTTCCATGGCATTAAGTACATTCATACTGTTATACAGCCATCATCACTAACCATCTCCAAAACTTCTTCATCATCCAAATTGAAATTCTATACCCATTACACACTTCTCATTTCCCCTTCCCACATCCCCAGGAAACCACTATTCTACTTTTGGTCTCTTAGATTTGACTATTCTAGGTACTTCATGTAATTGGAGCATACAGTGATATAATTAAACTGTGTCCCCACACAAATCTCATCTTGAATTGTAGCTCCCATAATTCCCACGTGTCATGGGAGGGACGTGGTGGGAGATAATTGAATTCCCTATACTGCTCTTGTGGTAGTGAATAAGTCTCATGAGATCTGATGGTTTTATAAGGGGAAACCCCTTTCGTTCATTCTGTCTTACCTGCCGCCACGTAGGACATGCCTTTCACGTTCTGTCACGATTGTGAGGCCTCCCCAGCCACGTGGAACTGAGTCCATTAAACTTGTTTGTCTTTATAAATCACCCAGTCCTGGGTATGCCTTTATCAGCAGTGTGAAAATGGACTAATACATATTCATCCTTTTCTATCTACTTTATTTTACTTAGCATGATGTCTTCATGATTCATCCCTCTTGTAGTATGTATCAGAATTTCCTCCCTTCTTACAGCTGAATAAAACTCCATCATATGTATACTGTATACTACATTTTGCAATGGACATTTAGATTGTTTCAACCTTTTGACTTTTTTCTTTTCTATTCTTTTCTTTTTTTTGTTTTTTTGAGGCAGGGTCTCACTCTGTTGCCCAGGCTGGAGTGCAGTGGTGCAATCACAACTCATTGCTGCCTCGACTTCCTGGGCTCAAATGATCCTCCTGCCTTAGTCTTCACAGTAGATAGGACCACAGGCATGTGCCACCACACCCAGCTAATTTTTGTATTATTCTGTAGAGACAGGGTTTTGCCATATTGCCCAGGTTGCTCTTTTTTATTTCGATAAGCAAAGGTAAAGGGAATTCCCCAGATGATATTAGAGGGAAAGATGGATAGTTTTGTGAGATGATCAGTCAGATCAGACATAACAAATCATCATCCCACAAACTTAAAGGCTGGAAACAACAATCTTCACTTATGACACCTCACAGGTTCATAGGAACACCAGATAGGGAAGAGTAGGGATGACCTTCTCTGCTTCACCACGTCTGGGAGCTGACCTGGAAGATCCAAAGGCTCTACTGACCCTGGCGGATTTGCTTGAAAGGGTTTGCTCACTTGGCAGGCAGGTTGACTCCTCACCATGGGCTGTTTGGACGTCCTTAGGACGTCAGCCTGGCTCCCTTACCTTCAGAAGCCACACACTGCCACCCCTATGGCATCCTACTGGTCATACGGGCCAGCTCTGCTTCATTTCGGGCGGGAAGACAGAAAGGTGTGAACCCCAGGAGACCGGGGTCATTGCGGCCATCCTACCACACACTTTATTACTTTAATTCTATGCTGGATGCTAGGTATTGGGAGATTTTTCAGAAATTATTAAGATTTAAATATTATTGCTACTTTGAAAAACTTGAAAATATTGAGGAGATATTATAATTCTAGTCACTCATTCATTTAGCAAACACATTCAAAATGGTAAACATAGGTAAGGTAAAGAAGATAAATGGCCAGGATTTCTTTTTCACACTCACTGGGACACAAATTTTGAATGTTTTCACTGCAAAGAAATCATACACGTTTGAGGTGATGGATAAGCTAAGTAACCTAATTTAATAATGATGTACTATATATGTATAGAAACATCACACTGTAACCCATAAATATATACAACTATTCTATGGCACGTGAGTATCTTAAGGTAATTTTACATTACTCGTTCAGAAAAATAAAGGCTCCATCATTGTGGGTTTCTAAGTCAGTGTTCCAACCACCTGTCTGTAAACCAACTTTCATTTTTTTCATAAGGCCTCTTTTATTCAGTTGAAAAGACTACATCCCAGGCTGATTTCATATCTGTCTTTCCAGTATATTAGGAAGTGCTGGAGGAAATCCTTTGTCAAGTGAAAGACTGGACGCCCTCTGCCGGCATCTCACCTATCCCTTCATATGTAACTAACTTGTGTCTGAATTCCGAAAATGTTGGGAACCACTGGGCTGCATTTCAAAGATGGGGGAGCCACCCTAGGGTCTCACTGTAGCATCCTTCAAGAGCAGATAGATAGGGTAGATGGAGGCCCTCACTTTGGGGGTTTCTTGCAAATGTCTCAGTTAACAAACACATTCCAAACTCCTTCATGTGGAGCTTCATCTCTAAAGAGGCCCCCAAACTAAGGACCCTCCGGTATGGAATTTTAAACAATAAACACATTCAAAGAACAAAGCATATATTGAAGTGTCCCTAGAATACTGAAAAGGTACAATAATGAAAAAGTGAGGATACTTCTGTCATCTTACTCTTCAATGCACTTTAGTACATAAAGCACTGTGTGTGTCAGAGTATAGCCTGCTGAATTTCCCACTGGTATCTTCTTCTCTTTCTTACCTTTCCTCCTTTCCTCCTCCTTCTTGTCTTCTTAGTAGAATTAAGTGCCTGCTAAAGCACACTTGGTTCAGCAACCCAGTTATAGTCGCTGAACATGTTCTTCAGTAGATTCAGTAATTTAAGTTACTAGGATTGTCAAACTTGAAATGCACCATGAGCAATGGGATTTCTGTTTAAAATATATTTTTTACTATAAAATGCTAATCTTCTCCTTATCAAGGTCAGTATCTCCAAATTAATGAGCACTATTAGCTGCAAAACATCTCAAGAAGCAATGGAAATTAATTTTCATTAGTTAAACACTGACAGTCAACTACAACCTGCTTTGTAAGACAATAAATATTTTGAATGCTCCATTTTTGTCCTCAAATGTTCAAAGTCAGATGGTGAAGGAAAATGACTTAGGACATCAAGCCAAATATCAAAACTGGTTTGCACATGAAATAACCAAAGGAGATTTCAGAATTCCACTTGTGGTAGAATAAATAAGGACTTTGAGGATGGATTAATTGAGATATGCTAAAAATAAAACACGTTTCCCATAGTAGTACACATTGAAGAATAAGGGAAGGAAGCTCTTTTAGGAACTGAGGCAGGAGAATAGGGTCTGGCGGCGGGGAACCTAAGGCCAATTCACACTGACTTCCTAGGACTAAATCAAAAGAAAAACCTCAACTTTTCACACCTAAGTAACAAAAGGACCAGAGCCTACTCCCTTTGCAAATTCCCACTCCCTTTTCTGTGTGCCAGATGGAAAATTGAAAATACCTCTGATTGGTTGCTTTCCACAACCAATCAGACTGATTGTGGGCCAAGTCTTTGTTTGCACAGAGGTGTAACTTTGGAAATTCACTTTAGCCTCTGATTGGTTGCTTTCTACAACCAATCAGACATTTGCATAGGATGTAACCTTTGTAACTTCAGCCTCTGATTGGTTGCTTTCCACAACCAATCAGAGGCTGAAGTGGAGTGACAAAGGTTACAATCAGATTTTTGGCCACTATTTCATTTGCATTGGGTGTACACCAAGTGGCTGATGGGAAACCTCTAGAGGGTATTTAACCCCAGAAAATTCTGGAACTGGGCTCTTGAGCCCCTATGCTCAGCCCTGCTCTCACCCTGTGGAGTTATACTTTCATTTTCAAAAATCTCTGCTTTTGTTGCTTCATTCTTTCCTTGCTTTGTGAGTTTTGTCCAATTCTTTGTTCAACATGCCAATAACCTGGACGCTCTCCACTGGTTAACAGAACTGGCCAAGGTCTCTGAAAGGCATAGTGTACTTTGAACAGAACATGAGTTCGAAAGGTTGAACGTGGGTATGTGGATGCCTATTAAATACATAAACACACAACCAGAATGGGCTTTTCAAAAATTTTATAGCTACTATGACTTATCCATACTTCTATAAGGAAAACAAGTCTTGTGTCTAAGTCTGTGAATTTATACTTTTAGTTTTCAACACCCTATCAACACTGATAAATAGAGAAGACAGAAAATCAACACTTTGTTACTGTGTGCCCTTTGTAGCATTAACAAACATGTGCTTATGCAAGGTTTGTATATCTTATCTTTGGATAAATGCATGCAGAGCCAATAAACAGATGGATTACATGTATATATAAATACATGTGTTTATACACATGTGTACACATACTACATAGATACATATACACACATTATTTATCATCTGTATGCCACATAGACAAATTATGTGTGTATATGTATGTATACAAATAGTATATCTACATATAATTTATGTGTACATACAAATGCTCATATCACACAAATACACTCATAATCTATATGGCACAAACACACACACACACACACATAACTTTCTTTAATAAAAGTCTAAGGCTGTCAAGATTATCCCTAGAGGAAGACAGTCCCTGAGGAATGATTGACCCAGTGAGCCAATTTTGTCACCTGAATTTTTTTGGTTTCCCTCTCTCTGGTGAGGGTTCCACAACGTGGGAACCAACTTTGGGTAGCAGGGGTGCTGTCCTCCATGTTCACAATCTTGTTCAAGACTAGACCCACAAAATCTTCCTTTGATACCTTTTGAAGCACAGAACCTTCTTTGCATTCCTTCGAAACCACTTCCCAGAACTCTAAAAGATATCAAGCAGGAAATAAATGGGAAGCACACGGATTTTAAATACAATCTGTGCATCCAACTGGAGTGTTTAGATTTCACAACTTCCTCTCTGGAATTACAAGCCACTCTAATTCTCCATGAGATTCCAGGGAAAGAGGCTCCCTTGTTTTTGGTTCTCAGCTGACTTCCAAGAGGTGCCATTTTTAATATTCACTCTCCTTTTGTGCTCTTAAACATTCTGACCATTTTTTTCAAATGCAGATGAAGAGAGAGATTTACTTCCCCCACCTACCAAGGACCTTTCTTCTCATTTGCAGTCTTTGATATCTGTTTCATCACAAAATGGTACAAGGAACAATTCCACCTGCAAGACCCCATTCTCCTTCCAGTATGAGAATATCTAAATCCCATAGATAACACATGCATATCACACATACATCATATACAATATCATCAGTAAAATGACAGAGATTAACCACGAAAGAGGAAGTAATACAAATTACTGATAAAGCTATAAACTTAAAGCATAATGACAACATTGCGGATAATTATTTGAGAATTCAGTAGATTACTCCTTTAAAGCACTACCTGCTTTTTTTTAATGTGTTATCACTGTACTTAGCATTATTGGGGACCTTAAAATTCATTAAGTTCTGACTTCTACTGATCCAAGATACCCTTGATACTGGACATTATCATCAGATTTAGTGTCTCCAATAAGCTTATTTTGTAAAAATTTCATGCTACTTTAATTATTGCATGGTACTTCTCAGTTGCTTTAAATTAGAGGAAAGATAATATATCTGTTCCTGGAACAGGGGATATAGTGGACTTCAGGTAGAAAGGTTAAAAAAGAAAGTTCTGGAAAGATGGAATAAGCAAATATGATGGATCCACTTGTAATTCATCAGAGACACAAGCTAAGTGACCCAGGACATCTTAGTTCCTGGCTTTTTAATGGAGACCAAATATAAGAAACACAACCACAGGTAGGGAGTGAACAAGGTGTGTAGCAGGGGTGTTAGGGAGGGTGAACTACACTGAGAAGGAGGCGAACATGTGAAAGTCGCTTTAGCTGCTATATGTTGGCTCTAGCTAGCTTGGATTTGGCTTTTTGCCCCCAAGTGATGTAGGGAAGCCCAGAATGCCTGGAGCCCACTTTAGAGAACTGGAACATGGGTCTCACAGACCTCTCTGCAGTCCTCGAGGCCCTGGCTAGGAGTGGGGACCCCATGGGTTGTCAGCTCTTGGGCCAAGTATGAGATCCACACTCACCTTCTGAACTTGGGGTACAGTCTGTTTTACTGATAGCACATGGATTTGGAAGAGAAGAGGCTCGTTCCCTAGAGGAAGGTCTGTATACGAGAGCACAAAACGGATTTCCACCATCGCAAAGGATGGGGTATTTGCTAACGAGGAATTAAGTAACTAGTACTTTGGGTAGGACTATGCATCAGGCATGATTGCCTGTCTCTCATTACTCTTGACCACATGATATCATGGAGGCCCCTATGCCAGAACCTGCCTTAGTATAAATTAGGTGGGTATATTTAGGTAGCATTAGAAATGAGTTGTTATTTTGGAATGCAATTGTTTATTATAAGTACTGAAAAAAATCAATATTATCACAGACAAATACTGTGTGTGAACATTACTTTCTTTTAAACTGATAAAAGAACTCTTGAAAAGGAAGTTTTATAAAACAAAAAGGTCTTTTTGCCTTGGAGTCTTCTCTCCCTTCTTCCTATCTTCCCTCTTGGCTATGAGGGCTGAGTACACAGTTCCTTCATTTTTTTTTTTTTTTTTTTTTTTTTTTTTTTTTGAGACGGAGTCTCGCTGTCGCCCAGGCTGGAGTGCAGTGGCGCAATCTCGGCTCACTGCAGGCTCCGCCCCCTGGGGTTCACGCCATTCTCCTGCCTCAGCCTCCCGAGTAGCTGGGACTACAGGCGCCCGCCACCTCGCCCGGCTAATTTTTTGTATTTTTAGTAGAGACGGGGTTTCACCGTGTTAGCCAGGATGGTCTCGAACTCCTGACCTCGTGATCCACCCGCCTCGGCCTCCCAAAGTGCTGGGATTACAGGCGTGAGCCACCGCGCCCGGCCCAGTTCCTTCATTTTTTAATGAGCTTTCATTAAACAGCCTCATTTTTTAAACAGCCTCATTTTTTAATGAGCTTTCAAAGTTGTGTGAGAGGGAAAGGGACATCTACAAATGACCATCATGCTATGGGGAAATAAGGCAGATGTGACAAAAGCAGTACCGCGGGAGGAGGTGAGGGCTGGTACATGGTGAGGAACAGATGGTATTGCCACAGGAAAAACTGAATTTGAAGGGAAATGGTCCTGCTGACACCTTGATTTCAGACTTCCAGCCTCCAGAACTGTGAGATGATAAGTTTCTCCTGGTTTATGCCACCCACTTTGTGGTAATCTATTATGGCAGCCACTATGGTCTGAATGTTTGTGACCCCCTAGATTTGTAGGCTGAAACCTAATCACAAATGTGATGCATTAGGAGGTGGAGATGTTGGGAGGTGACTAGGTTATGGGGGTATAGCTCTCATTGATGGGATTAGTGCCCTTTTAAAAGAGACCCCACTTTGTGAGGACACAGAGAGAAGGCACCATCTCTGCAGAAAGAGCCCTCACTAGACACACAGTCTGTTGGCACCTTGATCTTGGACTTCCCAGACTCTGGAAGTGTAAGAAATAAATTCTTTTCATATCAAGCTACCCAGAGATATTTTTCTTATGGTAGCCCTAATGGGCTAAGACAGCAGCCCTAAGAAATTAATACACTATGGTTATAATTTATAAGTTAAACAAATCCACATATTGGAAGTGCAAGCTTTCAAGTTACCACTTTGTCCTGATTTGGGTGGGTGGACAGGGCATTCAGAGACAGCTGCCCTCTGTAGCCCAATATCCCAACTGAGCCAGGCCTGAGTGTTCCCACTGGCTACCCTCCTCCATTTCCAGACCTCTTTTCTTTTTAACTGTCCTCTTTACCTGGAAAGCTTTATCTCAGTTCTTCCTGTGGCAATACCATCTGTTCCTCACCATGTACCAGCCCTCACCTCCTCCCGCGGTACCGCTTTTGTCACATCTGCCTTATTTCCCCATAGCATGATGGTCATTTGTAGATGTCCCTTTCCCTCTCACACAACTTTGAAAGCTCATTAAAAAATGAGGCTGTTTTCAGGCTCTTAGATCTGCAGCACCCACTCTGGAATCTTCCATGGAAAAGCCATCTAGAAGATAGTAATGCCTTCAGATGGATTCAGAGGGAGAGGTCCTGAGGAGTGAGGGCTGCAGGCTCCATCCTGGGGCCAGGATGTACCTGGATACAACCTCGCTGAGGACACATATGTCTGATTTTCCCATTTCAAAGGATGTGGAGCAGTGTTTATAATTATACTGGATAACAAAATTGGGACCCAAAAAAGATTTCTATAGTATCAAATAATGGAATCACTCTACAAGAAGTGAATGTAAAGTTCTTCATTTATGTTAAAAAGAAAATTCCAGATAAGATCAGTGATTCATAGTTTTGCAGAAGTTGCCTGTGAAAAGACTTGGCATTTTGTTTGATTCTACAGCTCAAATAGGTATGAATGTCCATTACAATTAGAAACACGAGACTGAAAGTCAGATTTGGGTTCTGTTTCCACCTCTCTGAGCCTCAGTTTCCCCACATGTAAAATAGGTATTATAAAAAGTCATGTGATAGAGATTTTGGGATGATTAAATTAGATAACGAATATAAAATATTCAACACTGAGCATGGAACTTAATAATTAACTTTCATCATCATTGTTATCATCAACACTGTTATAAACATTGTTGTCATCTTACTGTCAAGAAACCCTAAAGTGAACCCAGGTTTGCCCAAAGTAACACTTACTCTCTTTCTATACTTGCTGGTGATGTGTGAAGCATAATTTGGAGGGACATCAGCCACTGTTGGGCCCAGAAGTGACAGCTCATGGAACAATGGCAGCTAGCACAGGGGCAGGAGCCTTGGGCCTGGGAGTGAGGTGCAGGAACTGTCTCCCAAGGCCACTCTTTGAAAAAGGGATAGGTGTATTCTCAAACGATTTCAAAGGTCAGAAACAAGATCAGTGAAGGAACTTACAAAAGATGCAGATTTCTGTATCAATATAAACTAGTGCATAAGGCTTGGATTACTCAAAGAAAAATAAAATGGTTCAAGAGATGGTGAGGGGCCTGTTGCTCAAGGCATTCAAGCAGGGGCTGAATGGCAAGGTTTTGGGATTGCTATTAGCTCAACTGATAAACGACCTCCGGCACTCTTCAAACTCCAGAAGTCTTTAAGTTGTGAATCCAGTATTTCTCCCCTTGGATATTTCCTCAGTTAAATAAATAATTAGTGAGCATTTGAAGTTAAAAGCAAACTACCCAGAGATTCATCACCTGAGAGAATTGGACCCTGAAAAATATGATATGTGGTTTACTGCAAACATTTCAGCCATGTTATTTGAGTTACATGGTAACAAGTTACATAATACTGTTTAAACTTTAATATTTAAAAAATATTCTTCAAGTCTTCATCTTTTTAAAAGCATTTTTATGCCAGGCACTGTAGCTCATGCTTGCAACTCCAACCCTATGGGAGGCCAAGGCAGGAGGATCACTTGAGTCAGGGAGTTCAAGACCAGCCTGGGCAGCACAGCAAGACCCCTTCTCTAAAAAAAATAATAAAAACAATTTAACCAGGCTTGTGGCCAGCCTGTAGTCCCACCTACTTGGGAGGCTGAGGTGGGAGGATCATTTGAGCCTGGAAGTTTGAGCCTGCAATGAGCTAGGATCACACCACTGCACTCCAGCCTGGGTGACAGGGCAAAACCTTGTCTCAAAAAATAAAAGCATTTTTATAGTATATTTTGTTTCCTGAGCTTTCAATTCACTATATATGCATGCGCGTGGGTGTGTGTGTGTGTGTCCACATGTGCACATGCGTCGTGAACAGTTAAAAAAAGAAAAAGCAGCATTTGGAAAACATTCTTTACCAAGGTTTACCTAGTAGTAAAATATTTATAAGTAATATTCATTAATGAGATTTAACAATAAAGTGTCCAACAATAAGATAAATGTTGTTACTATTTCGAAACAGCACACAAAATATAGTGGAAATGTATACATAATTCCTTAAAAGTGCATATTGTCATACTCTTAGTCAAATTTTGCGGTTTGAAACGGAACAAATCCATGGAGTGAGTTTGATAGAGCCGACTGAAAGTGCAGCTGCTATAATTTGGGCCCAGCATCAGCATTAAAAATGTGCCATTGTATGTATTCCTGTTATGATGAATAACAAAATAGAAGATAGTGTTCTATTGCAAATCACATTCATAAAAAGTGAGATTCTTTAAGCATGTTTGAAAAACTGCTTTCGAGATAGTGTACACCAAGGATTACAACATCTCAAAAAGGGATTAATCAAACACGATTAAAAGTTGCTATTACTGCTACAATTTACACATTATGTCAGTAATATATCTTAACCATGACTTTTATTATTTGATAGACAAGACAGTTATAATACCCTTAGTATATCTGGGTATATCAGTCTTGCTGTGTTTTTTTCCATTTGTTTCATCATCAAATTTTCAAAATGAGAATGCTTTTGTGACTTATCACTACCAACATGACTGACACTTCTTTCATATAATTTAAGAGTTATATTTGACTTTCATGTTTAAAAACAACAGTATATAGAACTCAATAGCTGGTGTAGTACCTACAAATATATTAGCTATGATAACAATCCTTAAGAGATTCACATTTTATGGAAAATAACATACAATTACAAATAAAATCTTCTTAGCAAATGGGGCTGTAAAGGGAATTTTACAGGTTTAAAAATGATCTCAGTGACTGCTGGCTTTACAAAGAAAATTGGATAAGACATTTCTGTGGGTTTTCTGTTGGCATATAGGATGACTAGTCAAAAGAGAAAAGACCAAAGCTTTGCCACAATCCAAATGACTGAGCCAACCATCAACAAGAAAATCCCAACCCCTCAGAACCAATCCTTTTGTATCCTATGACTTAGAGTCACAGAAAGTCAATATGGCTTCTCTGGTTTCAAGTCTAATGATGAAGTGGAACTGCCATGACTTCAAATTATTATTTCAAAATGCAGTATTTGCTTAAACACTTCTCACTGAATAATACTAAAACTCTCTAACAGAGAAGAGATACTGGTCTACAATAAGAAAAATAAGGTAGATGCCGGAAATGAAAAATATAACAAAGACCACACATCCAATAAGCAATCGATCAGGGATGCCAGAACTACTTAGACAATTTCCTTCATTCTTCCCAACTCCTACACAGATACTGGTACTGCCATTCATCCTCTGAAAAAAAATCATAAATATACTCTTTCTTTTTCCTTTTTCTTTTTTGTAAAGAAATAAAAATGTTCGTGCCAACATGTGCTGCAGTATGGATTCAATATGTGCTAACAATGTAGATGTAGGTCCGCACACTCACCTGGCACCAATGCATTTTCAAGAAGTCATTTAACATTCTGATTCTGCATTTATTTAAGGCATTAAATATGGGATATCAGTTTCTGCTCACAAAGGAGGATTACATCAAAGATGTAAGTAAGCCTACTTTGAAGATTGTAATGTGCTATAAACATATGTTTATAATGATAAAGAGGCTTACATAGCCTGGTGTTTGGCAGTAAATAAAATGTTAACAAATTCTCTTAAATATATGTAAATATATTTCAAAAGCTTGAAAACATTGAAAAGATTTAAATAATAAGCCATAACGCCAAAATAAATAAGTGTGAGCCCTAGAAGTTAAACATATTAGTTCTGGTAATATTCACCTATGAGGAATCAAATTATAATATTTAAGGGAAAATGCAAAAATCTTGTCTTAAAAGAATTACTATATTTTGGACCTGAAGTTTAAATTTGGCACGTCTCTCCATTAAATAAAAACATGTTGCCGGGCGCGGTGGCTCACGCCTGTAATCCCAGCACTTTGGGAGGCCGAGGCGGGTGGATCACGAGGTCAGGAGATCGAGACCACGGTGAAACCCCGTCTCTACTAAAAATACAAAAAATTAGCCGGGCGCGGTGGCGGGCGCCTGTAGTCCCAGCTACTCGGGAGGCTGAGGCAGGAGAATGGTGTGAACCCGGAAGGCGGAGCTTGCAGTGAGCGGAGATCGCGCCACAGCACTCCAGCCTGGGCGACAAAACGAGACTCCGTCTCAAAAAAAAAAAAAACATGTTGAGACATTCCTTAATTTTAAGAAAACCCGACAAGAAAGGTATTATATTACTACACTTTATGCTCCATACATTTTGCATGATGCCAGATAATGAATCCCTTTTATAATAAACCACAATAGTCCAGTTCTGGTTCTAGATTTGTTTTTTCTTTTCTTTTCTTTTTTTTGGGGGGTCTGTGGGTCTGAGCTCAGGATGAACTTATAATTCATATAGCACTAATCTGCATACAAATTTGACGCATACAAAAGCTTAGTGGTCAATATTCTCTTATTCATTCTAACCCTTCTTATTGGTGTTTTTCTTTTTTGGTTTATAGCAGGCACTCAATAAATATAAGTGACATAATCCATAACTTGAAAAGGTAAGAGCTGTGTCAATATATTGAGAGAAGAAAAAAGGCTGTAAAAATGACAGTAACATAAAATGGAAAGGATACGCCATTTAATAAAATAAAATGCATTTAATACACAGTATTAAATACAGAAGCTATGCTACAGCTAGAGAAATATAATTTGGTTTCTTATTAAGCTAAATTCCTAATATGAAAATTTAAAGTATTTCCATCAGAGATAAAATGTTTATTGTCAATTTAAACCTCCTATGTTAAATATAAACAATGTCAAATCACATATTTTTGTCTTTTAGCATTTCTTAAGGGTTCACTATTACGCTATTTCTACACATTTTCAGTAGCATATCAAGAAAGATTATTTTAAAATAGGGAATATGTTGAGGTATTTTCTGATGAATACGCTTGCCATACATGCCAAGAATACTTAAGGATCTGGGGCAGGTTTCAGGACCAAGACTATAAAGAGTGCTGTTGAGACTGAAAATCTAGATAACCAGTACACTGAACATAGTAAACAAAAGAATGCTTCCGATTTCTGGTAGATAACAGTAAGCACTTATTACAATTCACTTTTTCAATGGTGTTATACCAAATACAATATTTAACATGGACCTTCCAAGCAGGTTTGAATTGTGCTAAAGTAGCTATCTCAACGTAAACCATAAAATGATCCCATTCTGCCTTTTATATTTGCAGAAGTGATTTCTTTTTGCAAAAAAATCTATTCCAACCCCTCAATACAGTACACAGGAACTTGCGTGCTCCATCAGTGAAAATTCCTTGAGATGAATTTTAAGTACAAGACCAGAGTCAAGCCACCTGCCCTGCCATAAAGAAATATCAGCAATCTGACATATCAACAGTATTCACAGATGCAGATATATATATTTATGGGACTCTATCAGCATAAATCCAATGGCTATGAATAAAACATCCTTTAACTCTACAGGGACTCAAATCCAACTTTACAAGCAGAGCATTGCTAAACCCCTTGCCACTGATGGAAAAAAGAAAGAAAGAAAGAAAAAACAGCAACAACAACCACAAAAAAAAACCTCCATAACAACAATTTCTCTAATATATTATGCTCACATTTTTATCAGTCTTTAAACAACTTCATCCTAATGTTTATTTTCAGACATAGAGAAATGAAGGCCATGTAAAATTTCTAAATTTTCAATTTTACTATAGCTTGGAAGGTGTACCCCTTTGCAATCTGATAAATAGAAATACGCATGATGACAAAGCATACTTCCACTGAGACAATAAAATATGTAGGCCATGATATCTGAAGTCAAATGACATAGCCTCCAGTCCCCAGTTTCCCCTGTATTAAAGACGGCTGTTTACATCTCATCAAGTAGCTAAACATCAAGCACATATAGATACTCTGATCAAAAGATCATCTCTGTTTTTGGTGATGAACCACCAAAGATACTAGGGATCCATTGCAAGCACACACATTCCAAGTCAAACAAAAGAAAACCCAAGAAAAGCCAACCCTTTAATAGTCAGTGACATAAATGCAACATGACGTGAAATAAATTACAGTACCAGGTTACAAAACCTCTTTAGACATCATAGGGAAAGAAAAAGGTTTTTACCCACCTGGGATCTTTCTGAATGCTATCAATGGACGGGGACCTGGCCAAGGTGCCTTCAGGCGGGAGAGCAGGGCCGGATTTGCTGTATGGAGACTCAACAGAGGGACAATACTGCAGCTGTCGGTAGGGGTCCGCGTAATTGGAGGCTGGGCCGGCGGCATAGCTGGCCCTCTGGAAGGTGGCCGCGGCGGCATTCTGTGGGCCGTGCTGGCTGCCTGTGCGCTGCAAGGGGACGGAGTCGACACCAGGGGAAGATGGGGCTACGACAGGAAAGTAGGGACAAAGTAAAAAATTGAGGACCTGCTCACAGAAATGGTTAACCAGGTCTAGGCAGGGGCAGGGGAAGTTACACACATAAAAAATAGGGGGTTCAAAAGAATAAAAAAAATTAATCCATCATATTTGAACCAATACATTCAATGTTATCCAGTCAAATGATAATTAGCATGCCTAAGAGACAAACCTTTCAGGTATGGGGGGAATGCATCTGTTGTGTGTATATCGCTTACCTACATCCAACAGAAGGTGTGTTCAGCTGCAATATAAACTTTGTGCATAAGAAGAAATATAGAGAATACTTTCTAAGGAGGCATGGGAAGTTAATTCTTCATTTTCAAGTTGAGAAGATTCAGAATGTGTTCCGGTAATGTTATATTAACTTTATTAAAGATGTAAAATGAATTCAGTAATGTAATTAGTAATGTAGTTAATTTTCTTGAATCAAAGAAAATAAGAAGAAATGAGAGGGAGTGTATGCATGGGGGTGGAGGTGAGAAGAGGTGGGGTTCACATCTCCATAATTAGCACCAGAACATTCAATCCATGACTGCTCTAGTTTTTGTAAAGTAACTCCCGAAAGATTTTTATATGCCTCTTTTTCAAGTGAAGCTGTCACAGAAACAAACACATTTGGTGAAGGGAGAATAAGGCCAAAACCAACCCAACTGCAAGGCAGACAAAATAAGGAGCTGACTTAGCTTTTCTGAAAGTATTTGCATCTTCTCAATGTGTCTAAATTGTTTTGAGAAGATTTTACACTAGTTACTAAAATCAGTTTGACTATTTTGAAACTGAATTTCAATTTTTTGTTTCCCTCTTGGATTCTTTTTAGATCCTTTCATGTCATTATTTTTATCTGGTTCTCAAAATATATTTGACATCTAAGGTTTGGTTGATAGATACAATGAAAATAGCATCTTTCATTTCAGTAGAATATGACCAGTTATTAACTGCTTTAGACTGCTAGTCATGATCAACAGCAGACAGCCCACTTGCTTTCTGGTGCTGTAGAACAGACTTCATATCCAAAATACAGCCAGTGGCTAGATAGGACCATTTATGACATGGGTGCTCTATGGGAATTAGGTTCTAATTATCAATTATACATCTCTGACTTCCTAACCATTTCTTAGTGAACAATGATAGAGCTTATTTTATCCTCTTTTACATTAGGGGACATATACCAAATCAGACACAAAGGACATTATGTCATGCTGAGAAAATAATTATTAAAAGAGGTAAGGAAATTGTGTCGAAATGATGAAAATCTGCAAAGTGAATGGGAGGAATACACTCTAATACCGAGGATTGACTTAAGAGTTCAGGGCTCTTCTTTCCCAGTGAACTTTCAAGACTTCATCTTAGAATTACAAAAATTTAGGAAATTAGGTTCCGTGACATGACAAAAATGACAAAAATATTTAAGAGAAACTTTATAAACAAAAAGTGCATATATTCCCAGAGGGACAATATTTTGAAATAACGAAGGTTGTCCTGATGTGTTAAGTCTCAAAATAATCAGATTAGGCTAATAAACATTAACTGCACAATCAGAAAATCCGCTTTATGTCCTTATGCAAGTCCTTGAGGATTTATCGTTTCTCCAAAGTATTACCAGCATGTGTAATTAAAATCCACATTTTAAAATTTATGCATAATGTGCCTTATATTATGCTGAAAGGGGTTTAAAACAGGCAAGTCATAAACTTGCTCTTGGATGAACAAATGTACAGAGGTAAACAAAATTTCATTTTCTACAAGTTGTGATAAGCTAGCCAGAAAATCAAGGGCAAAAAAAAAAAAAAAAAAAGAAAAAAGAAAACTAAGTACATCTGGCATTTTTCATAGATGTGCATTTTTTTCCATTCAGAAAACTAAGTATCAACATTTAATCTTGCTGAAAATGGTTTTCAGGAAAGAAATAGTTTTCTATGCAAAATCATTTGCTATTAATGTATTCAATACAATGATTAAAGTGTCAGAGATCAGGAAATAATATTGAAATCTAAAGAAGTCTTTTTGTTAAGAAAACAACAGAGTAGGTAAGGAGAACAATTTGACTACCCACACAAAAAACTCTCAAAGGACCATGAATTAAAAGAAAATATAACAAGAAAGAGTTTAAGAAAAACTCTGCCAAGCAGCAGACAATAAATTATAAATCATGTAAGAGGGACTGGTTCAAAATGTGAAAATAGGGTGGGAAATTCAATTAATTAAGCAGAAACAGGAAGGCAACATCTTGGTATGTATGCAGGAAGAAAAGGTAGAAAAAAGTTTATGAATGTTATTGGGTTCCTATTTATATTTCACTTTAGACCCTTTCAGGGAAATGTCCTGGAGCTCTTTTAGAGCTTGGTTTCTAAAGGTGGAGAACTGGTTCCTGTCCTGGCCTTTTGGTCAGTTCTTGGCACTGGACAGATTTACCGAGCTCTCCAAGCTCCAGTTTCAGTGTTATTGAAGAGAAAAAATGGCTTCATGGGATCATTGTTTAATTTCAACCCAGGAAAAGTGTTAAATAACTCATATGGAGAAAATATTAAACAAATAAATTATTAATATTATTACCATTAATGATGTTGAAATCAACCGACAGTAGGAAAGGGGATTGTACACTTGGCATTGGGGAGAAAGGCCCTTTCACTGGGTGTCAGACTATATAGCTCCTTTTGAGTGCTGGGCTCTGTTGTAAGTGCTTTATTTGTATAAATTCATGTTTTCTCCAACAGTCCTATAAGAGAGTATACACATCATTTTCACCTTACAGACAGGAAACTGAGGCTCAGAGAGATTAAGAAACTAGCCGGCAGTCAGCTGATATTAATAAAAAAGGAATTGAAGTCCTCGGAGTTGGTTTCTAGAGTTCATGCTCATAGACACCATGGCTACCAGGGCAGGTTTAAAACCTCAAAGCTGTAGATTATTGAATTACCTAATACGGTCAGAAAACTTAGAAAAACGGTGAGGCCTGAAACGAAAGGAAATGTCTACTAAAGGTACAGAGAAGAGATGGGTTCACTAAGGAATTAACAACCTGAATATTATATTGAAAAATATTACAAACTCGTATGCTAACTAATTTACACTATTTCTCATTACATTTACACTATTTCTCTACTAAAGGTAACAGATAAAAGATGGGTTCACTAAGGAATTAACAACCTGAACATTATGTTGAAAAATATATTACAAAATTGTTATGTTAACTAATCTACACTATTTCTCATTACATTTACACTGTTTCACTTTGGGAGGCTGAGGTAGGCAGATCATGAGGTCAGGAGTTCCAGACTAGCCTGGTCAATGTGGTGAAACCCCATCTCTACTAAAGACACAAAACATTAGTCGGGCGTGGTGGCACGTGCCTGTAATCCCAGCTACTAGTGAGGCTGAGACAGGAGAATTGCTTGAACCCGGGAGGCGGAGGTTGCAGTGAGCTGAGATCGTGCCATTGCACTCCAGCTTGGGTGGCAGAGCAAGACTCCATCTCAAAAGAAAAAAAAAATTTACACTGTTTCTACTAAAGATACAGAGAAGAGGTGGGTTCCCCCTTTAAATAATTAATAACCTGAACATTATACTGAAAAACATATTACGAGTCGGTATGTTAACTAATTTACACAATTTCTCAATTAAATTGAATTTATTGAGACATGCAAAAAAGTACAAAAATTATGCCAAATAAACCTAACTTTGTTCATTCCTTGGAAAATAAAAAATATATATATAATTATCTTAATTTTATTTTAAACTGTTTTACATTTTAGTTTAACCAGTGATATCACTACTATGAAAAGAGGCTGGGATATGAAATCTAAGATGAGAAACAACTTTCAAAAAGATTATATATTTAAAAAAATCACAATCATGTGTAGTTTCAGCCTTGTCAAATGGTCTTTTAGAACTGTCATTCCCAAATCCATGCTTTAAACTTCTTTTAGGTCATAATAAATAAAACAGCTGATGAAAATTTCAAAATATAAAACCTCAAGCCAAATTGGTGCTGTTATAGTAAAATAAGTTAGAGGCTAATCAATGCAATGAAAATAATGTAAAATACCAGTACAAATGGACAGAAAAACACACTGTATTAAAGGACAGGTTATATAATCATACAGAAGAAAATGTATGAGAATCTAATGGATCTCAAACCAACCATTAGTAATGTAACAATGTAATACCTTACTTTGTAAAAGTATATATGTGAAAACAATTACTTTAAATGAATGAAAATCATTAAAGATCTAATATGTAGAGAATATTAAATAAATGAGCTATTATTATTACCATTAAGAATTTTGAAATCAATCAATATTAGAAAATGGAAAAGTGCGTATGGCATTGAGTAAAATGACATAAAGATTCAGGGTCCAAGTCTCCCATCTGGCCCCAACTATTTAGACATTGATGTGGCTTATGCAATCCTTGGCTCTCCATTAGTATGGATAAATTAATATCAGTCACACTATTAAAAGACTTTCCTTTAATACATTTTTTTCCCTTAATTTCTGGACTGTTGAACACTTTTCCTTATTTGCGTTTTAAAGCTCAGTTGACCAAATCATTCTCCTTGTAGGATTACTCTATCCAATTGAACCCACTCAGGGCAAACACTGGAGAGGGAAGGTGCTTCATCAACTCTGTAAACACACTCCTCTCTCGTCTCACCTGCTCTACAAACAGCCCCTTTTCCCCTCAATAAGCTCTTAGAATTCAATGAACTGTATCACTGGTCTCTTCGGGAGATATAACAAATAGCCACTTCAGCAGCTGACGTGATACTTCAATAGATACCTACGCTTTCATGAAATTATCTGTTTTCTGCAGAGCTGCACAAATAAGGGCCTAGTTTATAAAGGAAAAATAAAGAGATGTTTTACGTTTATGTGCTGTATTTGTTTGAAAAAGGGGAAGAGGCATCCTTTTTAATAAAGTGAAATATTCTGCTTTATGATAGATAATTGCAAGCATTATTTACTGACAATGGAAAAAAGGAGAACAGAATAAAATACAAGAATCTGGGCACACAGTTACAGAAACTTGGTGGGGGGAAATACAAGGTAATGTTCAATAAAGAGGAAGAAAAAAAGCACTACTTTTTGGATTATTTGTCTTTAAGTATATCTGCATATACAGATAAATATGAAAACATTAAGCACATTTACATGTTATGTAAATACAAAATAAGCATATAATAAAGTAATTAAAGAATGTCCCTCTGAAAGTTCAGAAAACAAAAATAGATGAGGTGACAATGGGTCCAAGAAAATGGCCTACATACTTGGAATTCAACTCAGTTTCTTTAGGGATAGGGAAACTCTAGCACCCAATCTGGCATATATCCAAGAGTGTCATCATTAATAACTGAACTATAAACATTTTGCAATTTTCTGTACTCAGCACAAGTTGATCCATCTAAATTCAATGGAAAAATACTCAAGGGTAAATTTGAACATACAAAATTTAAAATAATTGCATACATTACTATCTTTGTGGGGAGAGGCATTTAATGCATGATTCTTAGTAGTAATGGAATAATTGTCATTGGTGTTGACCTTGTTTTCCCTGCTTTTATTGGAAAAGAAGACATTGAAAACACCAGAACAGGCCAAACATGCCTATCACATTGGTTCTCAAACTGAATGTGGGATCATGTGTATGAATATATCATAGATATATTTGAAAGCGAATATGATGTAAAACCCTATCCTTAAATAGCTCTCATAGTTTCCTTCTTGTTATAACCTTGAAAAAATTTAAAAATGCAAGCTCTTCATCTGGATAAATGGCTAATACATGCAGGGTTTAATACCTAGGTGATGGGTTGATGGGTGCAGCAAACCACCATGGCACACATTTATCTACGTAACAAACCTGCATGTCCTGAACATGTATCCTGAAACTTAAACAACAACAAAAAAAATTCAAGATGAGATATAAGGTACTACGGTCATGTTGAAACTTTGAATAACATTTTTGTGATGGTGGTGACTATACTTATCTTAACCAATAGCATTGTAATGAGCAGATAGATTTCTATGTAAGTACAATTTTTAAAAATGCAAGCTCCTCATTAGGTCTTCATGATATAAATTAGCAGGAAAAAAACAACAAATGATTAACACAAAGGATCCTGCTCATTCATTGGCAATAGCTACTACTATTTCTAAGAATGTTATGGCGATATACAGCATAATGGACTTCAGCAGGTTTCTAGAACTTGGTATAAAAATTAAAAATGTAAATAAGCGAATTAATAAAAAAGGAAAGAAAAATAATCCCATGTTTAATCCTACATATGTATGTATTTATATCTATTTAAATGTACATTTAGCACTGTGCATTTTAGTTGTCCTCTAATTTATAGTGTGTGTAACTGGAGTCACGATGAATGATGAAGAGGATGATACACAGTCTTTTTTTTTTTTTTTTTTTTAACCATTCCAAGCACGTTTTCAGCCATCAATGGGAAAGGATAAAAATAAATGCTACATGTATTTGGAGCTTCCCATTGTGCCAACTACCATATTAGGGGCTTCTTCACATGATCTCATTTAATGCTCACAACAGCCTACATGGCAGGTACTACTATCATTAACATCATCCTCATTAGGTCACAGAAGAGCAGTGACAGGACGGTGGGCAGGACTGGGACTGAAATGTAGCAGTGGACTCCAGGGTCTGCGTGTTTTACCCCCTCTCCTCCACTGTTCGGCACTAGAGGTGAGGGCAGGCCTGGTTAATAAAACCTACACATTTTGAAGTGCAATATGTTTGGCAGAAATGCCAGAAAAAGACTAAAATTTAATGTGATATAGAGTGTCACTGCTTAAATCCCTATTACCTAGATAATTGGCTCCATCATAATATTCCTAGGGCTGGGTGCAGTGGCTCACGCCTGTAATTCCAGCACTTTGGGAGGCCAAGGTGGGCGGATCACGAGGTCAGGAGTTCGAGACCAGCCTGGGCAACATGGAGAAACCCCGTCTCTACTAAAAATACAAAAATTAGTTGGGTGTGGTGGCAGGCACCTGTAATCCCAGCTACTTGGGAAGCTGAGGTAGGAGAACCGTTTGAACCCAGGAGGCGGAGGTTGCAGTGATCCGAGATTGTGCCGTCGCATTCTGGCCTGGGCGACAAGAGCAAGACTCCATTTCAAAAAAAAAAAAAACATTGTATTATCATTTTCTTTGGCTTCTTCTTCAGAAAGAAATGCAGAAGAATCTCCTTCAATTGAAGACAGAAAGGGATTAGGGGAAGGTCAATGAATAGAATTTTCCATAAAAATGGAAATAGGATGGTTGGGTGGAGAATGCTAATGTATCCACAGTGGACTTATTTCTTTACCTTGAGTAAGATGAGGGGACCGAGCAAACTCATCACAGGACAAGAGAGAGGCAGGCCAGAAGGAGAGGCTGCATGGGGCAACCTGAGCAGGTTTCCTACCTGCCAATCTCTAGAGAGCCAGATGAGAAGAGATGCATTATTCATGTGGTTTCACACGAGGCTCAACAATGTGGTGATAGAGCTGGTTTTGCTCCCAAACATGAGCTAGTTTGGTGAGAACAGAATTAGCTGTGGAAAAAATCTTCTCTGCCATCTTAAGCACTAAATGATTTTACATCAAGTACTTGGCAATATGTGGTTATGGCATAAAAGGTATATTATATTCTTTATGCATCCAAATGTCCACTGCTGAATAAGAGGCTCAAAAAGAAACTCCAAGGAAGCTTAAGTGTTCAAACAAAATACCTTAGCTGGCTAAGGGCCTTAAATTAGGGATATAGCTTGGAACCTGGTGGATTTAAAACCACAGGTGCTGTGACCCTTTTTATTTTGTAAAAATAAGCATTTCCATGTCAAGCGTATTCCATGCTGATCTTGATCTATTCATTTGTCTATACACTTGCAACATTTCTGAGAACATTTCCACGAACAGTCATATAAATAAATTTTAGAATAAAGAAAATTATTATTAGACCTAAAGGAAGAGATAGACTATAGAACAGTAGGGAACTTCAACCCCCCTTTAAGTGTGGACAAATTATCCAGACAGAAATCAATAAGGAAACATCAGACTTAAACTACGCTCCAGACCAAAGGGACCTAACAGACATTTATAGAACATTCCATCCAACAGCTTCAGAATACACATTCTTCTAAACTGCACATGAAACATTCTCCAGGATAGATCATATGTGGCCACAAACAAGTCTTAACAAATTTAAGAAGACAGAGTCAACATCAAGTATCTTTTCTGACAAAAATGCTATTGAATTAGAAATCAACAAGAAAAACTTTGGAAACTTTACAAATACATGGAAATTAACATGCTCCTGAACCAATCAATCAACAATTTAATGAAATTAAACGGCAAATTAAAAATTTCCTTGTGACAAATGAGGATGGAAACACATCCTACCAAAACCTATGGGACACAACAAAAGCAGTTATAAGAAGGAGTTTATAGCAATAAACACCTATATCCAAAAAGAAGAAAGATTTCTAATAAACAACCTAAAGGTGTACTTCAAGGAACTACAAAAACAAAAACAACCTAAACTCAAAATTGGTAGAAAGAAGAAAACAATAAAGGTGTGTTTATTTTTTCAAAATTCTCAACAAGATACTAGAAATGCAACAGCACATTAAAAAGATCGTTCACTATGATCAAATAGGATTCATCCCAGGGATGCAAGAATTATTTAATACATGTAAATAAATAAATGTGATATATCACATTAACAGAACCAAGGATAAAAACCATATAATCATTTCAATAGATTCTGCAAATAAGTTGATAAAATTCAACATCCCTGCATGATAAAACAAAAAAAAACTCTCAACAAATTAGGTATAGAAAGTGTGTACCACAACACAATAAATTTAAGCCATACATGACAAACCCACAGCTCCACAGCTAATATCATACTGAACAAGGGAAAGCTAATAGCTTTTACTCTAAGGTCAGGAACAAGACAAGGATGCCCACTTTCACCACTTCTATTCAACATAGTACTGGAAGTCCTAGTCAGAGTGATTAGGCAAGAAACAAAAACAAAAGGCATTGAAATTGGAAAGGAGAAAGTCAAATTGTCTCTGTTTGCAGATGGCATGATCATATAAATGGGCAGCCCTAAAGACTCCACACACAAAACAAAGCCTGTTAGAATTAATAAATGAATTCAATAATACTGCAGGACACCAAATCAACACACAAAAATCTGTAGCATTTCTATACACTATCTGTACAGAAATATACTAGCTGAAAAATCAGGAAAATAATTCTATTTATAATATTAATAGCTACAAAAATTAGATATGTAGAAATAAACTTAACCGAGGAGATAAAAGGCCTTTACACTGAAAACTATAAAACTTCAATTAAAGAAATAGAAGAGGACACAAATAAATGAAAATACATCTCATGCTCATGGGTTATAATAATTAGTACTGTTAAAATGGCCACACTACACAAAGTGATCTACAGATTTACTACAATCCCTACCAAAATACCAATGATATTCTTCACAGAAATAGAAAACCTATACTAAAATTGGTATGAAACAAACAAAAAAAGGCCCTTAAGAGCCAAAGCAATCTTGAGCAAACAGAACAAAACTGAAGGCATCACACTATGTGACTTCAAAATATATGACAAAGCTACAGTAACCAAAACAGCACAGCACTAGCAGAAAAACAGACACTAGACTAATGGAAGAGAATAGAGAGTCCAGAAATAAATTCATGCACCTAGAGCCAACTTATTTTCAACAAAGGTACCAAGAACTTACACTGGGGAAAAGATGGTCTTTTCAACAGATAATGCTGAGAAAACTGATATCCACATGCAGAGAATGAGACTAGACTCCTAATTCTCAGCATATACAAAAATCGACTCAAAATGGGTTAAAGACTTAAATGTAAAACCAGAAACTTTGAAACAACTAGAAGAAAACATAGGTAAAATGCTTCACAATATTGGGCTGGGCAAGAATTTTTAAAATAAGACCTCAAATGCACAGGTAGCAAAACCAAAAATAGACGAATTAATACTAATATTAATAGGCAAACTATTAATAGACTGAGAAGACAATCTATAGAATGCGAGAAGATATTTAAAAATGATACATCTGACAAGTGGTTAACATCCAGAATATATAAGAAACTGCAACAACTCAACAGCAAAAAAAAAAAAGTTCCGATTTTAAAATGTGCAAAAGACCTTACTTGACATTTCTCAATACAAGACATACAAATGACCAACAGGTATATAAAAAAAATGCTAAACATAACTAATCATCAGGGAAATGTGAATCAAAACCACAGTGAGATACTACCTCACTCCAGTTAGAATGGCTATTGTCAAAAAGAAAAAGAAAAGTGTTGGCAAGGATGTGGAGAAAAGGGTGCACTTATATACTGCTCATGGTATTATAAACTAGTTAAGCCATTATGGAAAACAATATGTTGGTTCCTCAAAAAATTAAAAATAGAGTTACCATGTGATCCAGCAATCTCACTCCTAGGTATATACCCAAAGAAAATTAAATCAGCATGTTAAAGAGATACCTGTACACTCACATGTTTATTGTAGCACTATTTACAATAACCAAGATAGGGAATCAACCTATGTGTCCAACAATGGGTGAATGGATAGAGAAAATGTAACACATATACAAAACAGAATACTATTCAGACATTTAAGAAAAATGAAATCCTGCCATTTGTGATAACATGGATGAGCCTGGAGGTATCATGCTAAGTAAACTAATCCAGGCACAGAAAGACAAATACCACAGGATCTCACTCAAACATGGAATCTAAAAAAGAAGCTGATATCATAGAAGCAGAGAGTAGAATAGTGGTTACCAGAGACTAGGGAGGGGAGGAGGATGAACAGGGGAGAGAATGGCCAATGGGTACAAAGTTACGATGAGATAGGAAAAGTGAATTCTGGTGTTCTATTGCATAGTAGGGTGACTATAGTTAACAGTAAAATATTGTATATTACAGAATAGCTAGAAGAGAGGCTTTTGAATGTTCTCACCACAAAGACATGACAAACGCATGTGGTGATGGATACACACACTGCCCTGACTGGATCATTAGTATACAGCATACACATGTATCAAAACATCCAATTGTATCCCATGAACATGTACATGTGTCATTACAATGTGTCAACTAAAAAATTAAATAAGTAATTTTTTAAAATTTGAGAGCTTTTTCTATTATAATTTTAAGTGATAGAGCATGTCTGGTGTTGAGGGCAGAATCTGCTAATGTGTAATTATGGTTCCATAGTGCTGTATCTTCGGGTAATGTCTTAATTATTCTTAAGTTCCAACTTTTGGTATTATATTATATGAAGCCCCATTCAATGTGCCGTTGAAATCTCATACTTGGCTTCTATTCTTTTCAACATTGCTACGCTTAATGATGTAATTCCACGTATGAGGTGACACATCTTCCAGTAATTGGGGTGCATCATCCAGGTCAAGGCCAGCTGTGTAATTTTCAGTATGTGTATCCCTAGTTGACATGACATTAATAAACATGGTTTCATGATCTATTTGTACAAAAGTATGACAGTTATGATATTTTTGAATTTTACCAATAAACTGTTCTCCCATCAAACACTCTGTCTTCCTTCAACTAAACAATTAGACTTCTTATTTATACCTTTTTAAGTGAATCCACACAGGTAAGCATCTGAAAGTTCTCTTTGGTTCTAAGATGACATTTATCGTTGGGTTGATATAAAATTTCTAACTGGGTAACAACAGGCATTTAACTTTTTAGCCTAAGAAAAGTGAAAATTTTAACTAATAGGTTATAGAGAATCTTATTTGACTTGCTCCAATAGGAAGCACTTGATTTAAAAATTTTAAGTAACAGCTCTTAATAAGTAATAAACTGCTGATAATTCACATCTTTGTGAACTCAAATAATTTTAATTAAAATATTTTTGATACTGGACTATTATTTATATCACAATGAATAACAGTAATAAGATTTTATGAATATGCAGGTCCTATGTAATCCCTCTATCGCTTCATTAAACACTGGCTATTCTTGCAGAGGATTACGTTTTTTTTAGAGACTATTTTCTCTACATGTGTAACTATTTCACCACATTCTTTTTTCTTTTTATGTTGCAGTACTTGTCATCTTCATGAAGATATTTAGCAAGTTTGCTCCTTGCAACATATCTATGATAATTCTTTCTTTATTACAAGCTGACACATACATCACAGAAAGCTTGTTTTCAACACTCAGTTTGAATAGCATTTATCCAAAAGAAAATCCATCTGACTATCATCACAGCAGACGTTGGCCATTTCTACTGGTTTATAAAAATGTGTTTAAGGGGTTGTCAGAGTCAAGTGTTTGTGTTGGTCAAATAACTCCTAAATTGACAGTCATTCATACATTTGAGTTTGAAATAAAAATTCATGTTATTTATTTCTGCTTAATAGACTTTACCACAAGCAAATTCATGAGGCCCACACATTCCTTGTTTCACTGTACTCCTTATTTTATAAGCTCTGGTTTTGACAAGCCTCATCTCACATGAAATGTATATTTTATCTAAATAGACACCTTAGTTAAAATTGTATCTCTTTACATTTTCATCATGCAAGAGGTATAAATGCCCAAATATTAGGGGGATGGTCATGTAAAAGTAAGTCTGTCATTTCTGCTGCAGTTCACACAATTCTGCCTCCTCATCTAGGGAAAGGACACTGGTGGCCTTCCTCTCTGTTATACTACCCGCCTCCCCCTGTTAATGGTCCTGCAAGAAAGATGTGGCTGTCATGTCTGGTGATGGGTACTCTCCGGGAGCTCTGTTGACCAGGGACCACTCTGTGGCACAAAGTGACCCTTTCACCTTTTCCTAGGCTGCCAGATCTCTGGAGCCACCATGCTGGCTCTGTCTCCCTCTTGGAGTCCTCGGGCAGGTGGGCACTGCTGTACTTTCTATCTGCCTCCCTGTTCAAAGCACTTTCTATCTGTCTCTCTATTCAAAGCCTGGGGCCAGGGATGCAGGCATTGCTGTCCCCAGAGCCCATACCCTTCTGCTGGGCCTAGTAGGGGACAAAGGTCTTTGGCTCTTATCTTGCAATGGCTGGCAGACGTAGGTCTGGGGCAGGAGGATGGAGAACCCCTTTAGACCATGTTCTCTAACACAGCCTTGGGTGATGGCATGCCTGTTCAGCTTCATGAAATCCTATTGTCAATAGTGAAATTTGTTTCTGTCACCATCCACAAGCCTGGAGTAGAGGAGAGGTGAGGAGTAGGACTTGGGTACCCTGCTCCTTGGACATTACATAGATGTTCCTATATGCATGCTCAGGAGGTCTCTAACATTATGGCTAGGTAGCTTTTTGGGTTAGGAAAGCCTGGAGGACCTGTTTGATTACAAAAAGGTAGACAGTAGTGCGCATCTGAGTTGGTACCCAAGATTTAAATTAGTCTTCATAATAAAGTAACAGGCATGGATGGATTACTTATGACAGCTAAGAAGAAAAGAGAGATGAAGAAGGAAGGTCTAGAGGAGAGATAGGAAAAGATGGTGGTAGGTGGAGTCTAAGGGGAAAAGCTAATTGAGAAATCCTCTTTGGTGGGAAAGTTAAGAGATCTAACATATCTTATCTTCAATGTCTGAAGTTTTTTTTCTGGTCTTCTCTGTGCAGTTATCTCCCTGACTATCTCTCAGCCCTAGAATGGTCTCTTACTCATGTTAGCCTTAGTGGTGTTTTGAGTAAGGAAAGCCCAGGGGTGAGGTCAGCATGGGGCAGAGCAGGGCAGAAAGAGTAGAGTGGCCACTAGAGCCAGAGTCATGCCCATGAACCCGAGCTGGTAGAGCGTACAGCTGTAGCACCGAATGAGGAGTGATCACACTCATACCTTCCCTTGGTGTGATTCCATCCAAATCCACACCTTTCCATGCCCCAACTTGCTACCCACAAAAGAGAGGAAGGCCACTTTAGTAGGGACATGAGCAGGAGAGTGAAGGGCAACTCAATCCCTCATTTCAATGTCTTCAGGTTTTTTTTGGAATATGCATGTAGCCTATATGATATTACCTTCCAATACCGGTTAATTTTTCAGATGTTTATGTCTTTCTCTGAAACAAAATTGAACATGCTTAAGGACAAGGAGTAGATTTTAAGCCTCTTTGAATCCGCCAGTACATCTAGCACACAGAGTATCTTAAACAGATATTATTTAACAGGATATAGAAGACCATTAAGCTCCACAGATGAAAATAAATGTCTATCTATTTTGTTTTTAAATGATGATTTTTACCAATGCAGTCAACGAAGCCCAGGATCTAGGGTAAGACTGCCTACGTATGAAAGTTTGTTTATTTATTTATTTATTTAGATGGAGTTTCACTCTTGTTGCCCAGGCTGGAGTGCAGTGGCGCGATCCTGGCTCAGCGCAACCTCCATCTCCTGGCTTCAAGTGATTCTCCTGCCTCAGCATCCCGAGTAGCTGGGATTACTGGCGCCTGCCACCATGCCCGGCTAATTTTTGTATTTTTAGTAGAGACGGGGTTTCGCCATGTTGGCCAAGCTGGTCTCAAACTCCTGACCTCAAGTGATCTACCCACCTCGGCCTCCCAAAGTGCTGGGATTACAGATGGGAGCTACTGCTCCAGGCCTATTTATTTATTTTTAATAGAGATAGGGTCTGACTATGTTGCCCAGTCTGGTCTTGAATTCCTGGGCTCAAGCGATTCTCTCATCTAGGCCTCCCAAAGTGTTGAAATGATAGGTGTGAGCCACCATGGCCAGCCTGTGTGAAGGTTTAAAGACTGGTTCCACACAACCCGTGTGACCTTCGCATATTACTCAACATCTCTGTGCCTCGGTTTTCTGATCCAAAAAGCAAGCACCGAGCATCATAACAGCATCTCCTTCCAAGGATTGTTCTGGTGGTTGGTAAAATACCCAAAGCATTTGGCACACTCCCTGGAAGAAGTTACAAGCTAGATGCTTCCCCACCAAAGGGGATTTCTCAGTTAGCTTCTCCTTTTAGGCTCCACCTACCACCATCTTTTTCTATCTTTCCTCCAGCCCTTTATTCTTCATCCTACCTTTGTTTATCTGGCCTCACATGCTTGTTTCAATGACACCGTCTAATAATTCCCTAACTGTTGAGGCATGTCTACTTTTCTTCATTCCCAAGTGTTGACCCCTTGAAGGGAAGCAACTGGTCTTCGATCTTTCTGCCCCACTTCTCTTGCAGTATCATCTGGAAATGCCTTATGAATTGTACTGAAAGACCTCCACCTGGTGGTCTATTCTTAAGGGCAGAAAGATAAGACCAGTTGCTCGGGTGCCCTCAGCCACTCATCTGAGCTAAGAGCCAGAGACCATGAACATTTTCAGGCTGGTAGGCCTCATAAGAACCTGTCCTCTTCTTTCAAGGAGTTAGGGTGTCTGCTTTAGGCCTGCAAACCTCTTAGAGTTCTGTATCAGTGGTCTCCAGGGTAGCGGTATGTACAACACAGATGACCCCCACAAAGATATTGGGAAGCAAACTTAGAATGTTTTTTTACGGCTACTGGATAACTATATTTAATCCTTACTTCTTTGTAATCTCCATTTTTATGGGTGTTATTCTAGACAGAATTTAATAATATTATATATGATGTCTTTAATATCTAAATAAAAAGACATATACACATATTAAAGGCATTTTCTCATACATGCAGGTTGTGATACAGTTTCTGTGGCTGTGAAAATGTGAAGACATGAAATTATATGAATTAGGTATAGACACAGGGGTAACCTTGGTGGATGCAGGGAAGACAGAGTTTGCGGCTTTATGCTTAGGAGCTGGAGAGAGGTAGTTTCTCCTCCTCCACTTGTGGTCCTAAGAGGTCATCCAAGCACTTCTGGAAATTTCCATAGTATTACGTCAATCAGCATGTTTTCTCAAAATTGCCTTAAGTTCAAAGGTGCAGGCTGGGTTGGGGTCTTGGACATCTGAATGTCACAATCATAGCACATCTCTGCCACATTTATTACCAGGAAAAGCCCCCAGCAAATGGGTTTCACCTTTGAAGCAGTTAGAAGGTTACTATTGCCTCCCTCATAGGCGGTAGGAAAAAAACACTTGTTCATTCTGGATAGCTCTCCATTGACCGCTTGGAGCAGGAGACGACAAATTTTTCCTGTCAAGGGCCAGATAGTAAATATTCTTGGTTTTGCCAAGAGTCTCTGTCACGGGCACTCCACTCTGCCCCTGCAGGGCCCAAGCCACCATGGATGATACATAAATGAATGGGTATGGCTGCATCTCAGTAACGTTATTTATGGATACTGAAGTTTGAATTTCATATAATTTTCACATATTACAGAACATTAATCATCTTTTGATTTTTCCCCCCAATCATTTAAAAATGCAGTCATCATTCTTAGCTCATGGGCACTACTAAAGTAGATTGGTGAGCTACAAATGGCCCATGGGCCATTGTTTGCTGATGCAGACTCAGAAAAAACACTATCACACTAGAGTTTTCTTTTTTTAAGTATGGATATCTTCCCTGTGTTTAATGTGATATAGATGAATTAAAGTTTTTTTTTCTTATGTAGCTAATTTTTCATTAAATTCCTGGAAGTTTATTAATAAAGGATAATTCTAAGAACATGTGAATATGGAATAGAGAATCAACATAATCTCTTTTGTCAGTTTTTATTCAAATTAGATATTGAATGTCACTGTGGTTATCTTCTTCTTTTATAAGATGTGCATAAAAATAAAATTACCTTACTTAAAAACATGCAAACATTAAATGCTAAAGTAGCCCAACTCCAAGCAGGAGTGGATCTAACAGGCTGAAGGTGAAAAAAATTCTGACAGAAGAACAAATAGGCATTCTTTATCATCAAAACCAAGATATGTATTATTAATATTGGGTGGCATTTATGATGTCAAAAATAAAATAAAGAGTATTTTGTGCCTTTCTCCCTATGATTCAGTGAAATACTGAAATGTAAATATCAATAATCAACTATAAAAGCAGCTTGGCTTGCCTTGATTTCAAAGCATGTAATTTAGCACCATAAGGCAGTTTAAGAAAATTGCTATGCTCTACTTAGTGGTCACTAGAAATTCCAGTAGTCTGAGGATGTAGAGATCTGCGTGCCAGGTTCTGAAGCAGAGAGCCAGCTCTGCCAGCCTCAGTCCCTGCCGGAGCTCATATATATCATTAGGAAAGAAGGAGAGAGCTGTACTGTCTGCAGACCAGCAACACAGTCATTCCAGTTTACTTAGCAATGTGCAGCTTGATAATAAATGCAATTCTCAACCTGTTTTTAATTATATCGATTTTGGAGTTAAGATAAGTGTTCTCTAGCAATCTAATTATGACATTTGACAGATTATGTTGCAAATGGCTCCAGATACTGGAAAACACTTGCGTTTTGTCGTGTGATCTGTGGTTGTATTCAATTGAAAATATATATTTAATCCAGGAGAGCTATATAACTGATTGAACCATTTGCAATTGCCAACATCCAACCTTCACACAATAATTTTGTGATTCAATCTATTAGTGTATATGAAATAAATTGTCTGCCTTTCAAAATATGCTACATGTTTAGTAAATATGTTTTTGTTCCAAGCTTGCCAAATAGGTAGACAATATCATGAAAAAAACACTTACCATCATCAAGCATACGTCTTTCACGTCCTACAAATGACTACGTCCTTGGGGTACTTAGATTCATTACGTAAGTGAATAACGATGGGCTTAACATTAGTATTGCTTCTTTCAATTTTTCTCTTTGACAAAATGAGCTTACAATCGCCATTTGCTTCCTTTCATTCAGATTATACCAAGGTAGCCTGAATTAAAGTCATATTCTGTTTCTACCATTATCATTACAGACATTGATAGAAGCAGGTCACAGTGCTTGTGGGGATAGTGGACACAGACACACACCTTTCATTTGGGAGTGTTATTGAAGCTCCCGCGCAGAGCCCACCCCCTGTGGACAGGCCACCCAGTGGGGTCCTGATTACACACCTGTGCTCGTGCGGTAGGTGCCGGTGTGTGCTGGCGGCAGAGGGTCCCCCTGGCTCTGGCTGAGACTCCTCATAGGGGGCTTCTGATAGACGCGGTCTTCATAGATGGGATCTATGTGGTGTTCTGGGGACTGCAGGGCCCGCAACTCTGGGCCCAGGTGCCCATGCTGGCTGCTGTATGAGGCTCGGGAACCAGCTGAAATAAATCAACAGAGGGACATCAAAGCTCAGGCGACCTCCAAACAGAACTTGTTTAATCAAAGACATATTCAAATTTTTTTGGACAAAATTGTTGAAATTCCCAGGAAACCAAATGAATAGCATGAAATGGCAGCAATATGTCAACCTAATCAGCCTGTCGGCATCACCCAGCTGCCTGGCTTTGCGACCAAACATGATCTCACTCTAAAAATGACAACGTTTCTGAGATAAACCCACATGGAACAAGACCAGTGAAATGTTATTTTTCTCAAAACCTAATGAATGTAGCTAGGTTCTTCACTAAAGGAATCAGGTAGATAGTCAGTCCTAAAAATCTGTTATTAGCCCATAGCCCTTGCACCTTAAATTGTACAATAGAAATTATTTTAAATGGCGAGCCACAATGGCAAAGCCATCTTGATGTTGTTCCTAAAAAGTGAACTAGAAATTGTTCCCATCAGCAGTTTTTCCCTGGGAAAAGGATAAAGCAAAATGTTTGAACTTACAACAGCCTAAATCCCCGAGAGAAGCAGATATTAAAGAAAGAGGTTTCAAGTTATATTTTCCTTTACTCTGACCCTCTAAATTGAAGCATTTACATTTAGCCTGCCTCTCTCTGAAAAAGTTAGGAATGATTGCCACTAACTGGTTTAATGTATAAATTGCGGCTACACACCACTTTGCTTTGTAGTATTTATAAATCCTTATTTGTGTCACTTCATTGCATGATATGGGAAGAGGTGTTGATGTGAGGCAATGCTATGGACCAGAGAATCACGAGAAAGTCTCTGAAGAAAGGAAGCCTCTGTACATCAGGAAATAAGACTTTAGTGAGGGTGAAGAGGCTGGCTTGACAGACAGGAAAGAGGACGTTGATTGAGAGCCAATATTTTATCTGACGTACAGTCAGAACCACTGGAGCAGAAACGTCACGAAAATCATTTGCGTTGGGGCAATGAGATGGCCTTGGGGCATCAAGGAGAGGTGGCATCTTCCATGTTGAATACAGAACACGGACAAGAACCAAAGGAGACAATGGCTGATTTTGGGAATGAGCCTTCAGCTACATCCTACAACTAATCCCCACATGGCGTAATGGGATTTAACTGGCAACTGTCTTTCAGCAGCCCTAGTTCAGCCTCTCTATTCCGGACTAACATATCAGGGTGCTGGGATTCCTTGATCTTGGCCATGTCGGGACAGCTCTCCTTCCATTTTGCCTTCCTCAAGGACCACTTCAAAGCCAAAGTCTTCAAATGCTGGATGTTAGGTCTGTTTTGTCAGGAACATATAAACTCAAAATTGTAATATTCTTGTCTAGAATATTTGAGAAAAAAAGCCATTGTAAAGTTTTAAAATTGCCAATAGAAAAATGTTTTACTGGTATATTTAACGTGGGCTACTTTAAATTTAAGTACACAGAGAACAGTATTCCTGAATAATTGGAGAAGTGGTGAGAATTCTATGAATTCAGTGTTAATAAAAACCACTGAGTATTTTGAGGAGGAGAAAGGGACAGGGCAGGCAAGTTCCTTACCATTCTCTTTGCTGGTAATTAAATTCTGATTTAGATAGCGCTCCGATGAATGACAGATTCAAAGTAACTGTTTTGCATAATTAGGTTCATCGCATCTGATCTGTCAAATGCCAACATCACTCTGAATATTACCTCAAGCTTAAATTTTCCAGGAATATATTTAAGTACAGTATGCTTTGAGTTCCTGTTGTCAATTCTTATTCCTGAAGGTTTTGAAAATATTGCTAAGGATTTAAAAATGTAAAAATAAAAAAAAAAAACAGTCATCACATCCAAATGCAGAGATAAATAAAAGTTATCCATCACTGGTACATTTAGAATTGTTACTTTATCACTATTCCTTTATTCTAAGCCTCAAAAAAACATCCAATGATGACCAATGAGAGGATCTGCTGAACTTTTAAGTGGTAACATGGTCTTAGGCTATATGTAAAAATCCTCTTATTACATGCATTTATTTGGCATTCAGAAATTTTCATTAGTGGCATTAATCAAATTGATGACCAAGGGTGCTAGGCAAGGAAGAAGAATCTTAAGGTAAAGTCTACCTATGTGGATATCAGTCTTTTGATGTGCTGATATTATTACGAATATAATAATCAAATTAACTATCTGAATAGGATACTATACTTTTTTACATATTAGAGGGCTCTGAGTAAAACTATAAGCTCATAGTGTTTCCCTGTGTAAATGCTTGTGCAAAATACAGTTGCATATGTAAGCCTTATGCATAGTTCTGAATCAGATAAGGCATTTTAAAAAGAACATTATTTACACTTCTTTTTATCCACTGTGATCAAGTTTTGATTGCTCAAGGGTGGGCACAGTTATTGGCAAGAGAGACACAGAGAACTATGGGAAAGAAAAGGGCCAAGGAAACAAAGGTTAAAGATGTCACTGCTGGAATTCATGTGTTCAACCGCCCGTGTTCAAGAAAGAACATTTTAGATCCATATGAACAAGGCCTATTTTATTTGGGGCAATTTCAAGAAAAAATTCTCACACAATGTTTTCTGGGAATCTGCTACAAAATGTCATTAGATGGTGTATATATTTGCTGATTCAAATTAAATGTCCTTTTGTTTAGTAGTAATTTTTTTCATCATTATGGTCTATTTGAAAGTGAATCTCAAGCGTCACACTGGACTCAAAACGTCATTCATGAGAATTTACATCTTTGCCAGGGACTGGAACTCTGTTATTATAATAAGAAAAAATGTTGGAGAAAATTCAACTTTGTCTAAAATGTTATAGATGTCAAGGCCAAATGTTCTTGCCAATTATGCTGGTGCAGAACAATCCTGGGAACCTGGCCTTGACCAAGACCCTGCAGGATGGCAAAGTGCAATCAAAACATGGATGAGCCAAAGAGAAAAGGGGAAGTAGATCCACAGACCAGACCAACTTTCCTGATGGTTTCCCCTGCCATGACAGACATAATGTCATGCAATCATAATCCCTGTGTCTATAAAGCATTTCATGACCAATTACCGCAACAATTCCTACATCATCCAGCATTAACGTCTCAATTTTATAATAGGGTTTTGCTCTTCCTATTTCTTCTCTTCACAGGGCAAAACTGGGGCCTAGAGAGCTCAGGCACTGGCAATTTTTCATATACAATGCGTTTCTGAAAATGAGCTTGAAGACTCACAGCTGAAACATGGGTACTTGGCTTACAGGTTAAGGAAGATTTCATGATGCAGGAGGACTAAAGGGTATTGGAATTTCCCTAGATATGTTCTGTGCTGGGTGCTGCTCCTATAGGTTCAGAGAGCCCCCCAAAACTGGGAAGGGCTTTCAAGCTGATCTAGGACTAAGCCTGAGGCATTTGCTGTATAAGAACTACCACATATCCTGTCATGGAACCTCAGAGCCATCTCTTCTTCACCACAGCTACAGGTGACCTGAATGGATGCTTAAACAGCTCAGAACCTACCTGACTACTGACCACTTGGCTGTGGGGTTGGTGTTGGGGGAGCGAGGAAAGGGTTCAGTCCTATGGCAGGGAGGGAGGTATAGATTCTAGGGACCCAGAGAGGTGGGCAGAAGGGACCACTGGAGAATGAAGGGACACAAGACCTCAGACATCCCCTGCTTCTATGTTGACACGTTTAATCCTTGGCTCTCATTTCCATGTACAACTACTATGAAGAATCATGACAACATGGCTCAGCCTCAAATTCTACACATGAAAGGTGGCCTCAGGGTGTTGATGTTCAATAGTTTGAGGTAAACAGAAATGGTATCTAAAGTAGTAATTTTCCTGCTGTTTCTTGTGTCACTTTTGCCCACAGAACTTGAAATAAGAATATGTGAATTCTGTCCCAGATCTGTCTCTAACCAGTTGGATAAACCCAGGAAACACACCAAACTCTTTGATCCCCAGTTTCCTCAAGTGTAGAAACAGAGATAATAATATAAATGGTATTGTTGGAGGGTCAGATGAGAGAGACTATGTGTGAAAGTGCTCTGCAATTGATAAAGCCACATCAAAATAGGTGTCCTCATGCCAATGAATCTTTGAATCAATAAATTATGTCACCTCATGCAAATATATCTTTTGATTTGACAAAATAGTTGAATACCTCTTACCATAAACTATCCAAATTTCAAAAACAAGTTGAAGATTTCATTTTGAAATAATCTAAATAACAACCATTTTTCTGATAATTCTGTGAAGTATTATTGCAAAATGTGAATGTTATAGTTTTATCTTTTCTTAAAAATGTGTGCTTTCTAATGGATTATTGCAAAAAATGTAGGAATGAATGACGTTCATAAGGAAAGAAAACACTGAAATGACCACAAAAAGGTGACATCCTTTTTAGAAAGGAATAGGGCATAAATTAAATCTCCAAATTGAAAATAACAAATACCTGCTAATTCAGTAGGAAGCCAGTGACAGATCTCAGGGGGTTCTTGACACAGAAAATAATTACAAGGCTGAAAAGGGCTACATATGGCTCACCGCCTTGTGTCTTGCCTGTTCCTGTTCCACACCATGTTTTCCTTGAGTCAACAAGGCTCTGTTTTCATTTGGCCAACAAAACAATGTATTTATTATTTTTGGAACGATTTGTAACTAAATTTCTATGTACTAGATTTTACATCTATCATTTGTAGGTACTAGTTAATCCTATGGATCTATATATTCATTCAACACATTCAACAAGTGCCTGGGAACCTCCAGGAGTTGAGGATGTCCTAGTGCTCAAAACAGACAAGGTCCCTGGCTTTGAAAATAAGTTATTACATGCAGGAGGATGGAGGTAAAGGTGTTGAAGAAAAATGAGGCAGGGCAGTGAGAAAAGAGATAAAGTGTCAGGAGGTTGTGGTGTTGGGATAGGGGGATCAAGAAAGTTCTTTCTGAGCACCTGACATTTTAGCAGAGAGCTGCAGACAGTAAGAGAATGAGCCTCACTGGAGAAAGAGCTGTATGGTTCTCAGGCGGAGGGAACCAGCAGCAGACACGAAGGGTCCCTCCGGGATTTCAGAATATACACAGAAGTGATTTTATGTGTACTGAAACCACATCATCTTTAAAAGAAATACCAGTAAGTATATGAAATCTTTACGAGTTCATACTACAATTGATTGGACGAATGAAAGGATTTTTTTAACTCAAAATTTCAAAATCACGGAAACACATTTTTATTAGAAGGATTTGCAGCATTCAATGGGAGATCACATAACCTTGGGAGAACTGCATAGCTGAAAATTCAGCTCCAACTACTTGGGTTTTTTTTTTTTTTTTACATTTCAATTTTCATTCCTTAGAATAGGATTAATTCTCAAATCTTAGTTTATTCCTCAAAGAATCATCTAGAAAACTTGCTGAAAATGCTGACTTCTGAATACAACCCCCAAGAGATTCTGATTAGGTCAGCCAAGTGGGATGCATCAATGCACATTTTAATGGGCACCCCCGAGCCTCCTGGTTCTAATGCTGGGATCACACTGTGAGCCATCCTGTCCCAAATAAAGGAGAAAAAGAGGAGATGGGCATATTTATTTTCAAAAAATAAGCATCTAATGTGTTACACCTTCCATTTATCATTTGTTGCTTTATTCAAACAATTCCACTTAATACAGGTTATGCCAATTATTTTACTACATTAATAAAACAGGTCCATGCTGGATTTTTTAAATTGGAATCCATTCATATTATTTTATTTATATACTCTATAATCTATGACTCTCTAATTTAATGCAAATTCACCTGCCTTTACAAAGAAATATATTTTTCCATGTTTTCATTTTGCAGTATCAATATAGTTTATAAGGACATACTGCTATGTAACTGGTGTCTTCAAATTTAGCATCCAGTTTCAAATGCTTATTTGCAAAGAAATGGAGGGAGAAAAAGAAGGGTCTAAATGACATAGTATTCACATAGCCAGAGTGAGCAGGCTTAATGTGTTTGTGAACAGTTCTTTCATTATTGAGATAAAGTGCTGTTGTATGGAGAAAAAAGTAAATTTCTTATGATATGAAGAAAAATCCAAAATAAAATTGAGGTTTTTAAAAACTGTAAGGTCAGTTAATGCACTGATAATTATTAACGAAACTACAACTTTGAAGGGCAAAAGGGAACTTCTATAGAGAAGGGTGGGGCCTGGACTAGATGCCAATTTTTCCCTTGCAAATCTACACTGCTGTTGTTCCTTTGTGGACATCCTGATTTTAGGGGTATGTCCCATGATGATAGGTCAGCATCGCTAGGCAACATGGCTTTGCAGGTAGTCAGCCTGTACTCTATGATAGTTGATGGCTTTGAAATAGCTATTTTCTGGACTTTGAACCTCTTAAAATGTTTGGCTTGATACCTGTTATCATGAAACTCCAAGGGGAAAAGGTGATATCAGCATATAAACACTTTGAGATATACAAAAACTAACATAACTTTGGTTAACATTATCTCAGAAATGTGTACTAGGTAAATTGTTGAGAGGTGCAAATATTACATCTTAGATCTGAAGAATACCTCATCATAATAAAACTTATCTCAAAGAAGGCACATTAAGAAAGGTGTGCCTCAAATGCTACTTCAGGAGTATCCATGAGGAACTGGGCACATTCACATCCTTCCTTCTGAACTCTGTTTCCTGAGATTGACTTGTTTTATTCTTGATTTTTGCTTTTGACCTAAATCAAAACTCCAAAGTCTCCTTCCTAATCCTATGTTAATTCAAAACTTAAATTTGCTATTTAAAGGGCCCCAAAATATTTTCCTATGTATTCTGAATCAAGCCTATCAACTGAATTTCATTTGCAAATGATCATTACTTTGTTGTAATTAATTTGACATCTTATATCATGTTGTTATAAATGCAAAGATATAAAGACACATTTCTCATATAGATTGAGTCGTATTTCAGACTTACGTTTGGAAGGAACATTGTTAATTCATATGATTTCAAAGATAAAATTGCACTGAAACCAAATAATTCCAGTGTAACAGGCCATCTGATAATATAAAATGATCTTATTATAAATCTATTTTTGGAAAGAAAAAAATGCCCTCCTATTTCATCATATTTCATAAATGTTAGATTTTCTTATACTAACTTAGTACAGCTTTGCTGCTTTCACTAATAACTTGAATACTATGCAGTCTCTGGCAGCGTACAAAACACAGAATTTGTTCCCATAACTTTGCTGATGAGGTTTTCCGATACAATTTATTGTCATGATGAAACCTCATCACACCTTTTACAAAATGAATACTGTAAACTATTGGGACTCAAATACTTTCCAGCAAAAATAATTTAAAAGTCAAAATCACTGCCCAGGACATCATGGTAAGTGTGTCCATGTGATCTCATCCCTAGAAAAGTATATGCCCCTTGTTCCTGTACTTTCTTTTTAACCACAAGCATCTATTCCCAAACTGTTAGGAAAACAGGCTTCCTTTGTTCAGTTCTTTTTGTAACAGGCAGGCATCTGGAAAATAATGATAGTGGTAACGGAGTATAATGAGTAATGTGGGGTCCTGTGTCAAGCTTTGCATTTTTACTTGCAGTGGAAGGTTGTTCTTCCTCTCTAGTGAAATGGATGGAGTGTAATACCCCACCCCTCATGCACGGCTTCAACTTAACAAAGAACCGGTAGGAACCTATGGCTAAGGTGGTACTGGTAATAGTAAAACATATGAAGTACACAGGGATGGTTTGACACCTGCAACCAATATCTGTTCTGGGTTTCCTATCTCACAGGAAGTAGAAAGTAGCACCAAATTTACTAGCCACGTATTTTGGTGTTTTTCAAAATGCCACAGGCATATGAATGCCTTAATTGGAATGCAGGTTCTGGCTCAGTGGGTTTGAGGAAGGGCCTGAGGTTCTTCATTTTTAGCAAGTTCTCAGGCAATGCTGGCGCTGCTGGTCCACGGACCACCCTTTGAGAAGCCAGGACATATTTGTCTAGCTATGAATACATATCTGGTCTCTAGGAGCCCCGGAGACAGACCATCAATGCCGTGGTCTCTCCTGCCTCAGTGCTAGGATTACAGGTGTGATCCACTGTGCCCAGCACTCCTGCTTTGTTAGGCAAACACAAGTGGCCTCAATAAAGGCACAGTTCAAGAGTATAGCTAGACACTGGCAATGCAGGTGCTCATCAGCTTGGGCTCTGCAAGCACAAGCTGTGCTGGCCATGACAACTGTGACCATTCTATCAGCTGCTGCAGAGTGACTGATCTTAGCTACAGTTGTCCGGGCCCCACACCAGGGGGACTTCAAAGGCCTTAATGAGCAGGATAGCTGGGGCAAGAGTCACTTCTAGTGGGGAAAGAGCATCTTTCTATCTCTAGGGTGGACTTTTTTTAAGACAGGGTCTCACTATGTTGCTCAAGCTGGTCTCAAACTCCTGAGCTCAAGTGATCCTCACACTTCAGTCTCTCCAGTAGCTGGGACTACAGGGGACCCACCACCATGTCTGGGTCAGGGTGGATATTTTAGACATGGGTGGGCTGGAACATTTTTGCTATGATTATGGTGTTTCTTGGGTGATTCTGGAGAGGCAAGTATCTAGGTTCCCTGCATTGCCACAATACCCACATAGGTAAGGATAGCTCAGGGCTTCTCAACCCTGAAAGAACATGCACAGCATTTGAATGGGAGACTTTTTAAAAGAGGAATGATGCTGTGGCTGCATTCCAGACCAGGACCTCAGGGGAGGGGCCCAGGGAATGGAATAGTTCAAAGATTCTCCAGGCTTCTCCAAGAAGCATCCAATCTCTGGATGGCCAGGGGTCAAACTAATAGATTTGGGGCTAGATGTAGGATCTTGAGGAGCATGTGTCAAGGTTTGGTCCTCAGCAGACTCTTTAAGGCTGAAGCTTCAGAATATCCCCAGAAATATCCATTCCTGAAAGTGAGGGAAGGAAAGAACCTCTTCTTAGATGAGGTTTTAGTGTCAGAAATTTGCGGGTACCTTTGAAAGTAGAGGCTGCTTTTTGCCCCTGGCATGCTACACCTAGGGGCATGTCCCTAGCATGCCTCCTGCTGGGAAGTCCCTGGGAGGTCACAGGTTGTGGCCAGGCAGAGATGGCAGGACATTTCCTGCCTCTGCCTTTTCCCTTTCCTTCTGCAGGTCTCTGGGCTGGATCAAGCCTTATGTCTGAGGAGGGTGGGGTCAGTGCTGTGATGATCACGTGTGTCTTGTGAACTCTTGCTATAAAGAACTACTGTAACCATACCCTTCAAGTGAGAGACAGTCCTGACTGAAGCTAGGGAAAAGACCCCTAGAAAGACTCTACCCAGGCACCCTAAACCCTTCTCAGCTGAGACCAGGTAGAATAAGAAATTATGGAGTGATTGAAATTTTGAATTTGTAATATCTTTGTACAGAAGAACAACATAACTTGACATCAGACTTGTAACAAAAGTCTTTTGACATGAGCATGTAAAGAAATTTAATCTATGAAGGTTAATTTTTACCTGGGAGAAGGCTTGTGTTTAAGATTTGCTTCAAACTACCTCTCCTCCCTGGGAGTAGCTTTTGGCAGCTACTAGGAGGAGTGGGCCCAGAGTCTTCACCACCACAATCTTCTGTTTGTCCTGATTAACTACAGATGCAGGGCGATCTATGACTCGGTATTTTATTCATTAGTGACTTACCAGAGTTTTTAATGGGCATATTCACACAGATACTCTTCCTTATCAAGGAGGGGGATAAAATTCAACAAGTGGCATTTTATTTCTCAACAGCTGTGTCTCAATACCCCATCAGTGCAATATTCCAACAGTGCATCTGGAGTCTGGCTTCCAGACCTCATTATTATGGATCACTACGAATATTTCCATGGAAATAATCCAGAACAAGGTGCTCCCAATCTACTTTTTTTTTTTTTTTTTTTTTTTTTTTTTGTTACATCAAGATGCAAAGCAGACCTGTGGGCTGAAGCTTCAGAGAGCCCAGAAGTCTCCATTCTGCTTTCCAGAGTGCTGACTGCTGTGGGAACTAAGCTAAGTATTCATTTTTGATTATGTGGCTTCTGCCCATCAAAGGGGTACAGATGAACTTTTCAAGGTATGAACAGGAATAAGGCTTAACAAGCAAGAATAGGATTAAACATGCAGTTGTCTTTGTAAATGGGTTCAAATATTTTGAAAAACATGTAAACGAAGATGTTTTACATCTCAACATCCTAAACAGAGGCCTTTTTCCTCAGATTGCATAAGATAGGTAATAGGTAGGCTGCAGAAATTCCCTTTAAACCATTAGACATTTAGCTTCTAAAATACAAACTGAAAATGTATTCTCCCTATATCATTTTCTTCTACTTCTTTGTATCTTTCACCAACACTCAGAGTGACCTCTGTCATAACTCCAGAAGAAAAAGACACCCTAACTCTCAACATAATTTAGAGGGAGGAAACGACAAGTAAACAGCTTCACAGATTAGTAATTCTCTGTACTTATATTTTACAACTTCTCTATATCAACATTTTATTAATTTTTATTATTTTATTCAACATAATATTCAGCATATATAAAACGAGTTGGAGAAGAGAGGAATTCTGTTATGTAATAAACAGTTCTAAGGAGAACTAAAATTTTCCTTTGATTCTTTTCCTCTCAAAAGCTTTAATATGTGTGTATGTGCATGTATATGTTAAAGTTCAATTAGTTATTGGGTTATGTATGTATAATGATCATTTGAATCGCAGTTGTATTCATTAAAACATTAATTTTCTAGTTGAATACAAAATTGATGAAACCAATCTATAGCCAAAATTCTCTCACCTCCTTTTTCAAATGTTGTCATTATCCAGATAATACTGTTAAACAACCAACTGGTTTTGTACCCTAGTGATGTTAGTGATGCTTTCTAGTACAGAAAGTCAATTTGTTTTGACTACATACAATAAATACTACATATCTGAAAAAAGCTACCAAGTTGGGGGAAAGGGGACTGTTTTTCGTCATGTGAATAACAACAAGCGAACTGACTACTAGGGTCTAAATGTTTGTGCTCTCCTCGCCCCCCGATTATGTTGAAAGCTAACACCCAGTGTGATGGTGTTAGGAGGTGGGGCCTCTGGGAGGTGATGAGGTCATGAGGGTGGACATGTCATGAGTGGGATTAGTGCCCTTACACCCGAGAGAGCAAGGTGAGGACACAGCAAGAAGGGGCCATCGATGAGCCGAAAAGTGGACCCTCATGGGACAATGAATCTGCCATCACCTTTATTTTGGACTTTCCAGCCTCCAGAACTAGGAGAAATAAATCTCTGTTGTTTGTAAGTTACACAATTTATGATATTTTTTATAGCAACCTAAACAGACTAAGACACTGACTCAGCCATGGAAAAAGCTGTGGCATTATCTGCTTCTAACCACCTGAGCTTAAGACCTGAGTGATGAATGCCTTTGTGTGTGTGTGTGTGTGTGTGTGTGTGTGTGTGTATTTCTTATTCTAAAGAGAAATAAATACTGACTTCCCCTTTCTACATCAATTTTCTATTTTGGTCTCTCTTTTTCATGCCACTAACTCTTTCCAATTCCTCAGTAATCTTTGATAATTTATCATATTTGAGAAAGAAAAATCCAGTGACAGCTTCTTTCCACAGTGTCAAGGGCAGTATTTTCCACTGTGCATTCTCGAGTTAGAATTTCTGGAGGGGAAGGCAGGGCATTCAGACTGGCAGTCTTCCTTCAGAATGAGTGGGGGGTTGGGGGAGCAGTCCCAACTTCCTCATCACTCCATACGCTTGTACTATCTAATGTAAACCAGCATCTATAACAGAAGTCTAGAAGTTTCTTCAAGAGAACACCTCTCAGAGTAAGCACTGGCTACAGGGTCGCCATTTTGGTAGGAGAGATGTTTGTCAGGGGGTGTCAACCTAGAACTGTCTTGAACACTGACTTTCAATGAATCCCTCTATCTTCAGCCCATCTCTCCCCAGCCCCACCCCCTCAAGCTCAGCTCTGACCCTTGGGCCTGTCCAGGAATTCACACAAGACAGCCAGTCCACCTCCAAAGTCCAGACAGAGCTCATTCTCAAAAGATAGCACTCCTATATTTTAATTGCTTATCACTCTACTTTCTAGAAATTCTTAACTTGGCTTGCTTGTCGGTGACACTCAGACCCTGGTCTCTGTGTTTTTGTCTCCTTTTTTTTTTTTTGAGAAGGAGGCTCATTCTGTTGCCCAGGCTGGAGTGCAATGGCACGATCTTGGCTCACTGCAACCTCTGCCTCCTGGGTTCAAGCAATGCTCCTGCCTCAGCCTCCTGAGTAGCTGGGATTACAGGCACGCGCCGCCACACCTGGCTAATTTTTTTTTTGTATTTTTTAGTAGAGACAGGGTTTCACCATGTTGGTCAGGCTGGTCTCGAACTCCTGACCTCATGATCTGCCTACCTCAGCTTCCCAAAGTGCTGGGATTACAGGTGTGAGCCACTGGGCCCAGCCTCTGTGTTTTGTCTCTTTTGTGACTTCATTCCCTATTGTATTCCTGTACTTTTATTTTTTGAGGTGTCCGGGAAATAGGGGAAACAAATGAGTGGGCAGAGGATGCCATCTTGAACAATTATCTTAGGTAGTTTTCATTTTTTTAGGGCACATTTTCTCAGCTAAAGCACAACTGAAGTCATATCAATATCAATAATATTAGAAGAGCTTTCACAGAATTCTATATAAAGATGCCACTTTCCTACCAAAGAACAAAAAAAGGATCTGTTTACCCGCATTTGATTTACAAGGATGCTATGAGGTAGGAAAAGAATGGTAGATATTAACTTCTGTGAAGGAAACAAAAATGAAAGACACCAGGAAGACATTTTGGGCCACCTCGCAATCCCAACTCTTAGTTCCAGGCTTAGGCACTAACTTGCCATACGGGAGTGTTAAAATTGCACTGTTCCCACTTCAGTTTGACCTGGACATCAGTTGGATAGAAATTGGATAGGAAGGTAAGTAGAATAGAGGTGCTATATCAAATGAATTTACAAAAGAAATGTTTGATTACCATTTCTGTTGAGTTCTGGACCCGTAGGCAGATGAATGCTATTAGACTGGGCTTAGCATGTATAAAGGATGGAAGGTTTGCTGAACCTTCAGCAAAGGCAGACCTCATGTCTGCCTTCCTGGGAGGTGGGGAATTCCAGAGAGATGAGCTTGCACGAAGCCACTGAGATATGGATTCCCTACTATAACATGGGGTCCTGGAATTCCAGAGGGTAAGTGGCTGGCTGAATAACTGCTTTGTTGGTGGAAGCAGGAAATGGCTGGTGTGTGGAAATCAGCCTGTACTCCCCAAGTGTGTTGAGGTGTAGGATGACACAATGCACTATGCAGAAGAGAGACCCATATTACATTGATTCTAAAGACACCTGGGGCAGGCAATGGGTTCCTAATGCTTATGAGGAAGGGGCTGGAGCCCAGAGGCATGGCCAGCAGGGAAGGCAATGAGTCGCTGTCGTTGGGAGAGTGCCCAGTTAGGTCTAGTTCGAAAGAACCCCTGGAAGCTCCAGTTGAGAGCAAGTCAGCCTTAACCACCTTTACAAGGTTAAAGTTGATTGATATCACAGGTTGATCATATTTTAATTAGTAAATGTACACTGGAATTTTTTAACTTTAAGTGACAGTGGGAAAATCTAAATATCTAGCACTAGAGTGAGCAGAATGTTCGTGAGAACTGCGCAATGCTTGTCCACAGCACGGGAAGATTAGCTTTCCAAAATGAATTGAAAGGAGCAGCAGGAGCCAGATATCATGTTGCATTTTGACCCCATCCCAGGAGCTGTGGCCTAAACAAACTCGTTCATTACCCCAGTAGACTTCACATTTCCTTTGAAAACCTCACTGCAGAGATTGCGAAGCTTTCATCTAGGACTAGACTCTTTTTTTTTCTTTCTCATATAAAGTGTACCTGGAAGCCTTAATCAGTCAGGGAATGGGTCTGAAATCTCTAAACAGTAAAGATTCAGCATTTATGTGCACGATCCACTCTAAATACTGAATTTTATGTCCATTTGACTGGGGGACAAGTTAGACAGGCCTTGACCAAATTCCTCTCCATATTAGGTCAATTTTGATTTAAATCATTGGTTAAGAGTCTCCACTTCATTCATTTCAATTTTACCTCAAAATAAGCTTCTGATGTTTGACTCAACTTCAATGCATGTCTACAACTCGTATTTCTTTTCAAAACAGGATTAATTTAGCTACAAATCCCGAAAGTGAAAGGATTATGTTATTCTCTTTGTAAAAGTGAACAAAAATTGGTACTGGTGAAGTTACAATCACACATTCAATAGGATGTCGACAGCTTTTTTAGATACTATTATTACTTTCTTTAAAATAATGAGTCACTTAAATAAGCTGAAAATTTATATTGCATTTCTACATCCTTCGTGTTTTTCTCCACTGACACAAAAATATACTACCTCTAACTATGCATCACGTACATTTAAGACTACAGAGATTCTGGGGTCAAAGCGACGTAGGTTCAAATCACATCCCTGTCATTTCTAGATGAGTAGCTTTGGGCAAGGAGGTTATCATCCATAAGCTTCAGTTTTTAAATCTGTAGAATGGGGGTAAAAATCATGTCTGCCTCATCAAGTTGCTGGAGACTACATGAGATGTATTAAAATAATACATTTAACTCTTAATTTATTAAAAAAAAACTAAACAAACTTTGGGTCAGGAAAAAATATAAAAAGTAGGTTCTGTCGCTGACTAGCCTTTTTCTCAACCATTTATAAGTGATAATTTTTGTATTGTCCCATTTCAAAGCAAACGGGAAAGAGTTTTAAGAAGCAGTGAAGGACTACTTCACTGGCTTCCAAAGTGATTCTCTGCCCATTTTTTCTTTGTAATTCCAGCCTCCACACACTGCCCAGAACAAAGTTTCTAACAAGCACATATGACCATGTCAGTTGTCTGCTGGATGGATAAAACGCTAAGTCCATTACAGTGGGATGCAGCAGCCTTATCTCCCTCTGCGCCTTCATGTCTCACCACCCCTACCACTCTGTCTTTGCTCAAGAAACACTGAGCTGCCAGTTGTCTTCCCCTGCCTCCCTGCACCCCACACACACCCTCTCAACTCTGACTTTGTTCTGGCTACCGCTTCTTTCTAGTTGCTCCTTTATAGCTTTGTTCTGGGACCACTTCATCAAGGAAGCATGCCAGGTGCACACTGAACCCCACTGTAAGATGCTCCGCTAGGATGCTCCCATAGTAACTAGCTTCTGTCTGACTCTGCGCGGGGTTTAAAACTGCCCATTCCTGTGGCTGTTCCGAAACTAAGTCTCTTGAAACCAGGGGTTATGCCTCATTCATCTGCATATGCCCAACACAGACACTGACATGTTCTGGGATTCAATAAACCTGCTGTGTCTGAAGCAAAGATGGATGTCTTCTTCCTTGCACACCCAAGGTAGTGTGGTAGGTATTACTAAATAATATGAGTTAACTTCTATTGAGCCAGAAAATGTGCTAGTACTTTACATATGCTACCTTATTTATGTGCAAAAGTATATGAATAGATACAATGGTGACCCCTTTTATCAGGGAATAATTTTAAGCCGGTGAGCAATGAGCCTACCAGCCTTAAGGAGCTCCCCCAAGGCAGAGTTGGCTTTCCACTCAGGTAGCTCTATATGATAAAAAGCAGATATGATTTTTTTAAATAAAAGAAACGAAATTTTTAAACCTATCCAGGGATCTTTGGGTTCTGATGACTTAACATCTGAGAAGTTACACTCTGTAGGTTGAATCTGAATTGTAGTGTTTTCCCAGAGAGTCAGAACTCTGACGTTTGTGGTCAGATTTTCTAAGGTTTGTCTATCAGGAAGATCCAATGCAAACTGTGAATGTGTGTTGCCTTACCAAGTGCCCACTATAGTCGATGACCCGAAACCCTCAGATAGAACTTCTAATTTCTGGAAATGTTTATAGCGAAACAAGAAAAACTTGAAAAACTCTAACCTGCATATATCCCACTTTCTAATGGCTACATGCACTTTGATTCTGACAGATATCACCTATGCAAAACCAAGATCTTAGCATTTACCAGAACTACTCCCAGACCACCCGGTCCCTCTGCAGCCCACTCCCTCTCAATTGATGGTGACTCTATTCTTCTGGTTGTTGGGTGGGTGGCATCCTTGAGTTCTTTTTCTCTTACCTTCATCACCTAGTGCATGAGAAAATCTCAGTGGCTACACCTTATATATACATCAAGAACTATAATACCCACTTCCATAACGTCCAATGCTTCCATCTTAACCCAAACCATAATCACCTCTTGCTTAAATTACTGCAATCAGCTCCCAACTGACATTCTTGCTTTTGCCTTTAATCCTGATAGTCTATTCTCCAAATGGCAGCCGAAGTAACCCTGTTACAAACTAGATCAGAATGCAGTACTCCTCTGCTCAAATCCCCAATGGTGCCCATGGGTTTAGCAAAGGCAGCATCAAGTTCTCCACAAGACTTACAAGGCCTCTCAGACTTGGCCTTCCACTCCCACCTTGCTGACCTCAAGTCATGTGTTTGCTCTTGTTCTCTCTGATTAACCCCCGTGGTCTCCTTGCTACTCAGCAAACATATCAGACACACCCCCATTTATAAGCCCTTGAACTTGCTGTTCCTCCTGCTTAGAAAACCTTCTGCCCAGATAGTCACAGGGCCAGCTCACTCACCTATGTCAGGACAGATTCAAAGTTACCTTCTGTATAAGTACTGTGTACTAACTAATGGCATCACTGGAATCTAAAAAACAAAATATTGGGGACCAGGTGTGGTGGCTCACGCCTGTAATCCCAGCACTTTGGGAGGCCGAGGCGGGCAGATCACGAGGTCAGGAGATCAAGACCATCCTGGCTAACACGGTGAAACCCCGTCTCTACTAAAAATACAAAAAATTAGCCAGGCGTGGTGGCGGGCACCTGTAGCCCCAGCTGCTCAGGAGGCTAAGGCAGGAGAATGGCGTAAACCTGGGAGGCGGAGCTGATAGTGAGCCAAGATCACGCCACGGCACTCTAGCCTGGGTGACAGAGAGAGACTCTGTCTCAAAAAAACAAAAAAACAAAACAAAACAAAACAAAACAAAACAAAACTATTGGGTACTATGCTCAGTACCTGGGTGACAGGATCAACTGTACCCCAAACCTCAGCATCATGCAATATACCCAGCTAACAAACCCAGAGAGGTACCCCCTGAATCTAAAATAAAAGTTGGAAATTATATATTAAAAAGTCTCTTCCTAATTAGAGCCTTCCCTGGCCATCTATCATAAGTATTTTGATAATTTTCTGTCTTCCTCATTTGAAACAAGGCCAAGGATTTTGGCTGATTTCTTATCCCTAGGATCTAAATCAATGGCAGTACATAAAAGGTGCTTAAAAGTAATTATTGAAGGTGGCTAGGTGCGGTGGCTAAGGCCTGTAAACCTAGCATTTTGGGAGGCCAAAGCGAGCAGATCACTTGAGGTCAGGAGGTTGAGACTGGCCTGGCCCACATGGTGAAACCCAGTCTCTACAAAATATACAAAAATTAGCCAGGCGTGGGGGCAGGTGACTGTAATCCCAGCTATCGGGAGGCTGAGGCGGGAGAATCACTTGAATCCAGGAGATGGATGTTGCAGTGAGCCGAGATCGCACCACTGCACTCCAGCCTGGGCAACCGACAGAGTGAGACTCTGTGTGTGTGTGTGTGTGTGTGTGTGTGTGTGTGTGTGTGTGTGTGTGTGTAGAATGATGAATTAGTGAAAGTCACTACATATCCTGTATCCACCCTTCCTAGTCATCAGTGACAAATCTCTAAAATCACAACCCCGAAATTCCAAAAGCTGTTTTGCCATCTCTTGACCTAACTGCTCTTTCAACTAGCAAACCAAGTAGCTCCCAACTTCACAACGCCTCGAATGGTATCAAGCACACGAAATCAGGCATGGAGGTCTTGGAGTTGCAATATTCCTAATCTCTCAGAAGCATCGAGTTTGTCCCTTATACCTTCCCTGGGCCATAGTTTGCAACCTAAGCGCAATACAATCTATTTTTACAATGTACTTTTACTACCTCTTCTTAGATGCAATGATAGAAGGAGCTGTTGGCTCTATTCAGCTCCATTCACCCTCCCCTAACCTCTCCACAGGTATATTCAGCCATGTGGCCACACTCTCGATTGCTACTGAAATGATAGACTAGAACATGCAAAAGTCTACACAAATCACCCATGGGAGAAAGAACTGGAAGCTAAGACTCCTGATTTCTTTCATGAGGTAAGTGTAAGAAATGAAATGGCCTCTAGTAGGACGCCTGGACTCCCTGCGCCTCAGTCTCCTCTTCTCTGTGGTGGTGCGCATGGCTGAGAAGGGTGTCATGGAGTCTCGTAAGAACTCCACCCATCTCCCCCTTCTTGACATGATCTGGTAACTTATTTTACAAAAGCATTTACATGAAGTTTCAGTACATGTTCACTCGCCCCCTTTTCTAAGCAGATCGCTACTCCTGAGTCCCTACAGCATGAAGATTTAGGTACTCATACTGGGTTGGCACTAATAATTGTCTACCTCAAAAATTCTATTTGAGAGAGAGGCAGTGAGTGAGAGAATATTTTCATTTCAGTAAACGTAGCTAGCATAATTTTGTGGGCAGTGGCACCCTAGCCTGCATCCTGTTAGGCCAGGCCAGTCCACACTGGCAATTACTGTGCTGAATTAAAGAAGCCCTTGGCCACCTGCCTCATGCATGCAACAAGCTCCTTTTTTAAATCCTATTTATCTTCACAGTCATCTATTTGTGTCAAGAAAGGAAGCATATGAGCACAGCATCTGTTACTAGAGTGACACAATTACCAAATCCTTCTGTAAGGGAAAAAAAATTCACAATAAATCCGGGTTAGTTGTCAGGTGTTTCAGAAGACAAAACATTAGTCTTTCAATCATGGTGTCTTGTTTAAGCTGAGCATATGGTGCTAACAGCAGAGAGGCACCAGCGCAGCCTGGTCGCTGACGGGCATAACGACCACAGAAATGTCACCTCCTCTAAACTGGGAGAGGAAAGCAGGTTTCTCTCCCCAAGCCCAGCCCCTCCCTCCCTGTAATAAAGCAGGTACAAATTTAAGGGACTTCATCATTGCTAACTTTGTCGCAAATGTTAGGACCCAAGTACATCCAATGACAGGTATGGGAGAGTCCTTTAGTTTTCCCAATAACTAATTTAGCAAAGATGTAAATAAATTCAAGCCAAAACAAAAGGGTAATAATTCAAGGCAATTCATTATTAATTATTTCCCCACTACTATTGAAAACTATGTAAGCTGAACGTCTAATTTGAGAAAATCCCTTACTTTTTCCACAATGAAATGTAGACAACTAAAGGTGACCCTGTCAATACTGCAACTGTTACTTGTTTTGCTTTTTTTCTGGATACCATCAACAGGTCTATGGGATGCTTTCCTAAATGTGTCTTACTTTTATGAGTTAGTCTTTAGGCTGGGGAGAGGGCAGAGAGAGAAGAGAGGAGAGAAGAGAGTGATATAGGTGTTAGAGATTGAGACACCACATTACTCCGGAAAAGAAGTCACTGACAAACTGTAGGGAAGATACTGACTTGTTCCAGGAAAGCCCTGGCGTTCTCTGTCTCCTGCAACTACTACAACCTGGCAGACAGCGCGCCCGGCTTCGCTTCTGCTCAAGCCGGGCTGCTGCTTCCGCGTCCCCGCCACGCGCCCAGGTGAGTCGCGCCAGGTGGCAGCGAGCCTTTACCTGCCAGGCTGCCCGGCCTCTGGAGGGTGGCCGTGGCATACAGCTCCTGCGAGTGCTTGCTGTACTGCTCGGACGCGTGGACCAGGCGCTTGGTGGGCGACAGGGTGGCGTACGTGCCGATGGTGGAGCTCAGCTGGTGGATGGGCGAGGAGGAGATGGTGGACTGCACGGTGGGGGGCGAGGTCACGCGGATCGGGGACAGGCCGGCCGAGGACACGACGATGTTGATGGGCGAGCTGGTGCTGTAGGACTTGGCCAGGCGGCTGGGCGACTGCTTGGGCGAGGAGCCGCGCGGCGCGGCGTAGGTGGCGCCCTCGGGGGCCGAGCCGCCGCGCTGCAGCTTGGTGGGCGAACCGCCCTGGGGCGCGGCCAGCGGGGAGCCCCCGCGCGGCGGCGCGGGCAGCGTGGAGCTGGAGTAGTAGAGCGCGGCGGCGGCGGCGGCGGGCGGCGCGTCGGGCAGGTGGAAGGCGCTGCCCAGGCTGGGCGCGAACGGCTCCCGCGGCGGCGGCGGCGGCGGCGGCGCGGGCTCGGGCCCCGCCAGGTGGCCGGCGCGGCTGGTCGTGCCCTGTGCCCGGGAGAGGAGAGAACACGCGCACTTAGCGAGGGAGAAGCACACGGCCCACCCGGCCCAGCCCGGCCCCGAGAGCAGAGGCACACCGGGGATGCCGCGGGCGCCCGGCGGCTCTGCGATCCCAGCTGCGCTCGGGGCAGTACGCGAACCTGCGCCCCGAACTCTCCTGGGGCGGATTTCTTGTCCTGACACTGGCACAGGCCAGCTGACTACTGGAGGGAAGTCACGTTTGACAAATGAGACCTGTGTTTGCTTACATGTAGATGTTATTTCGGAAATAGCAGAAGCATCGCATTAGTCACATAAAGATTTTTAAAGCCCCACCCCGACAGGGCAATCATGATCTCCCTGGTCGCAATCACAATCTGTTTGTTTTAATGAGAAATTCGGGCAGTAAATCTTTTTCTGTCCCCCACTCCCCACCCTTGCCCCAGGTCATTTCATTAGATACACTTTCTACCTCTGAGATTGGCCGAGTTACATACTTATCTGGAGAACATCAAGAATAAACATACTTCTTACAGTTTATTCTGTTGCTATTGTCGCGTGGATTCTTCTTTTTGGACAATGAAAAGTTAAACGGAGGGAAAAATACTAAGTCAGAATGAATTCGCTTCGTCTTTTCAGCATTAAAAAAAAATCTAGAGGAATTAGAGCAATTGGAAATGAGAATGCTAAAAAAGCCTCCCTTTTCTAGATTTTAATACTGGGCTCCCAATCTTTCAGCATCTTTCTCTCTCTAGCTCCCTTTAAGAGCCCCCTGCAGCTGTGTCTTCAAACTGAAAGCCATTCGCCTCTCATTTATTTACAAGAACACAAAAGACAACAAGGGCTGGGGAGGAGCTGGAGAGACAGTTGGAGGGGAAAGCACTTTCCTTGAATCTTGTCCAGAGACAAATTTGCATTCGAATGAAAACACTACATTGTCAACCACTTCTGGGCAGGAGGTCTCAGATCTTCCAGGCTTTCCCCGGGGAGCAGAGAGGATTTTGAGAGCCTGCTGGTGTGAAAAGGGAGTAGGATTGTACACAGAGTTGGAGAGAAGCTGGGAAGGAGGGATTTGAAATGAGGGATGAGAGGTGGGTGGGGAGGAGGACTCCAGAGAGATCGAGGGAAGGGAGGAAGAGAAGATTGAACAGATGCTAGCCATTAAAAGTTTCAATTATGCCTCTCTACCCGTTCTGGAATGGCAATTGGCAAATAATAGACTGGGCACTTTCACTGCACATACACAGGCATTCCAAATTTTATCTGGGATGTCAAGTTCATATGCAGATCTGAAGGAGTTAATTGAGCAACATCAAAATTCTCTATTAGGAGCAGCCTGGCATAGGAGGTAAACAGTTTGGTGAGAGACTTTCTCTATGCAGAGTGTGTGTATGTGTATGCATATGTATTTATGTACGGTATATATATTTTAAATATTCTCACACACACATGCAATCCATAAAGCAATTATTTTAATGTTAAGAGTGAAAGTAAAATGTAAGCTCCATGAGTTTGTTCAATGTTGTGTCCCCAGCAACTAGAACAGGGCCTGATTCCTAGCAGAGACTCCAGGAATATTTGTGGAATGGTTCCTCAAGTTAGTCTCAAGGCTATGAGGGTCTTATATGTGGAGGATGGGTAACGAACACTACAGATGTGGGTGTGCTTACTCTGAGCCCCAGAGAAATAGTCTAGCTTCATCCAGAGTCATTGAGGGGGTGGCTTTGATGCAATTTTGCTTCTCTCCCAGTGGCAGCTCTGAGCATGAAACATGTATTAAATAGATTGGGCTTCTCAAATCTAGTTGTATATTATAATCTCCAAGGGTGCTTTTAAAAAAAATCTCAATACTCATGACTTACCATTGCTATTTAATTCAGCATCCCTGAAGGTGAGACCATATATCAGTTTTTTTTGGAAGCTCAGCAGGTGATTTCACTGTGCAACCAAGCATGAGTCCCACGTCCCGCTAGAGCAGTGGTTTTCAAAGGGAGGTCCCTGATGGTCTTTTCAGCATTAAAAAAAAAAAAATTCTAGAGGAATCAGAGCAATCAGAATCATACCCCCACCATAAACTGAACAAACTCTGGGGGAGGGGCTGAGGGATCTGGGTTTTAACCAGTACTCTGGGTGATTATGGTGCTGGTCAAAGTTTGCCAACACTGCTCCAGAAGACACTTGGATTTGGAGGGTGCGGAGTGGGCCCCAGAGTCTGCATTTCTAACAATCTCCCAGAGCAGGCAAATGCTGTTGCTCTGAGAACTACCACTAAGCTGCAGACATTTTTCTTCTGAAGCTCTACTGGGGTTCCCTATCAACTGGGGCCTGAGCAACACTCAGCCATGCAGAACACAGCTGGCAAGTGATGGAAAAGCATCCGACAAAAATTTCTGAAAACCCTTCCCACAGGAACAAAATGAGAAGAAAGAACCCTTTCTCTAAGGTTTCAGGAGCACTCTCTGCTCCCTGTTTACAACAAAACAAAAACTTTTTGTTATGTCTTGGCTATGTAACATTAATAAAACAACCTTAGAGTACACTAACGATGCCATTACCAAATAGCATAATTTTTAATAAATACTAACTAAAGCATACCAATGTAAATGAGAATATTAAGTCGGTATTCATTCTAATATTTAAATATTAGAACATATATCCTGTGAAAACCTTAATGCTTTTTACAAATACTTTATTTTTCTTGTAATCTGTCAAAACATCTAGTCTCAGGTGTACTAAGTGCTGAATACGACTGTCTCCTATGTTTTCTTAAATGCACCCCAAATCTGTAGAAGTCTTGACAACTGCCACATGAGCTGTAGACATTTTGACAAGCTACGGCAACCAATTTGAAAGTCTTTTAGATATTATAGGATCTTGGTAAAATTGTGCTAATAATTTTGGCATGAAAAAAGGAAAAGTATAAACAATAAAATTTTATATACTGTTTAACATAGTAAGTGGTATTGTCCACTGTGTACTAAAATGCACTTCCAAAAAAGCCTCCTGAATCCATTTGCATAAGAAGCCATTATCAACTAGAGCACCTTCTCAGGAGCACCAGCTACACTGGTGTGTTACCAGCAATGCTTTCTACAACGTAGAGAATGTTCTCAATCCGTACTGCTCAATATGGCACCGCTGAACACATGGGCTGATTGACAGCTTGAAATGTGGCTAATCAGCTGAGGAACTTCAGTACATACTTAACTTTAATTAAGTTAAACAGCCACATGTGACTAGTGGCCACCTTCTTGGACAGCACAGTTGTCTAAGCTCCTCTGCAGTTTACAATAAATAAACCAGGGGTGCTATACTCCATTTCAATGGCTTATAGAGTAATAAATGCCTAAGAACTATTCTTTGGTTAAACAGAGAAATTTGTTTTGTAGCATCATTTGAATAAAAACAAAATTTGGGGGAGCCTCTTTTCACCCTTGTGCTTATGTTTTCTTTCACTACCGAATTTGATTTAGTAACTCTTTGTCAGTTAAGGTTACCTGAGGCTGTCATTCAAGCCAGCTGCACAATCATAGGACAGTTTATTACTACCCATCGTTGCATTAGAGATAATCGAAACACATTCCAACACATACAGAATTGTATTCACTTTAGTGTCACAAGAGTTCAATTCTACCTTAAAAGTATGTTAGCACTATAAAGCTGCAAATCTGATTTTAAAGTTAGAATTCAAGTAAAGTTTCATTTTCCTTTTTTAAACTAAAGATTACTACATACTGCTTCCCTGCAGATATTTGGAAATGTGTGTGTACATGCAAAGACAGTTGAAATAATTTTTTATTGATGTGTGACTCTGAAAATAAAAATAATGATATAACAAATTTAGATATACTTGGAATAGATTGGGCCCCATCCTTGGTCACACCATCTAGGCTGTTGGCAGAGACAATTCTTGACTCTGTCTTCATTCTCAGCTCTTTGGATCAGTCTCAGCCTCGAGGGCAACTTTATTTGTCTTTCCCACTCCTTCAAAATGAGGAACCCATTTACGAGAAATGGACAAGGAAGCAGAATGTTCACAGATAAACAACCCCATCAAGGAGATGTTCTGATTCAACAGTTTCTGATAGGTAGAGTATGGTGCACATTAAGTGTAGTTCAGTTCTTGTTTCCCTTATGGGAAATTTTTCAAGAAAAATATGGAACATTAACTCATCAAAGCTATTACAAATTATTTTATCTGTATACATATGTTTCAGATGGGTCAGATTTAGGATATATTCAGTGTCACAATTTTTACATTACATGGTGTGTGTGTGTGTACTTAGTGGTATATTGAGGCCTCTTGTGTAATTGTAGATGCATTGATATCTATTTTATAGAACTGTTTAAGGGGAGGATGTATTTACAAAGTATAGTAGAAAAAATATTGAAATGGGAAGTTAGGGAATATGTACATTATTCCAACAGCCATTAATGAACAGTACTCAAGTTTGATGCATTAATTTACTCACTGACTCAATAAACCATTAAGAAGAGCCTACTACAGTCTGGGAATCCCTACTCTGAAAATCCAAAATCTGAAATCCAAAAATCCCAAACATTTTGAGCACTGACATGAATGTCACAGTAGAAAATTCTACACCTGACACCTTTGCTTTCTGATGGTATAATGTACATAAACTTTGTTTCATGTACAACATTATTTAAAATGTCATATAAACTTACCTTCAGGCTATGAGTTATGTATGAAATACAAATGAATTTTGTCTTTAGACTGGGGGGGAGTCCCATCCCAAGAAATCTCATTATGGATACGCAAGTATTCTAAAATCGCCCCCCGCCAAAATCTGAAATCCAAAACACTTCTGATCCCCTGCATTTCAAACAAGGGATGCTTGACCTGTCTACACCATGTACAAATGAGGAGTTTGTTTTTGAAGAGCTCTCAACAATTCCCTTATATGGAGTATTTTACTTTGATGTTATTTTGGAGATCTATCGATGGAGTATTTTTGTTTGTACAGAATACTATCTGGCCACAATTAAGACACTGTTCTTTGGGGGAGTAGGAGCCCCTAAGAATATGGCACTCTTAAACCAGAAAGTGGCACTCGTTTTAGTGCCAAGCACATTTGCTTCCAGATTCTTTCACGCTGAATCTTCTATGGAGGGAGTAGGAATGGCAGAGGAGTCATAAGGGGACAATTCTCAGAACTTGAAAATTTATTCAATCCTCATTCTTTGGGGATCTGGCAGTGCAAACAAAACAAAACAAATCCCCCCAATGCTTATATCCAGTTAACAAGAGACCTGACAGCCTGTAATCTCTAAGGAATCTTGACTTCTCATCATGAGTAAGCCCTGTCACTAAGCAAAAGCACATTTTATAAAGCAGGCTCATGATTTATGAGCGGTCCTGTGAAGATGCATTTAGACCTGCCAAGTTTTCTTAAATTGCCAGCAAGTCCCCCAGTTCTGGGACAGGAGGCCTATTTGCCCAGGATGCTGGGCAGCCGGGCCAACAGTGTCAGGAATGGAGAACTGGAGCCCCGTTTTGTGGCTTCCCTGAGTCCAGCTTAACGGGATCAGCAGTCTGCTCCCCCATTCACTGTATTCATCCCTTTCTGTTTTCCTGGGATTACAATCAGACTGGCAAACCTAGTTACTAATGATGTCTTCCTTTTCCAGATAATATTGGCTGGTGGCACCTAAGGTCACCACAGGGAGCAGTGTACCCATGCAAGCACAGGGTTATGACAGGTGCAGCTGGGGAGCACATTCAAAGGAAGGCACAGGCCACAGGGCCAGGGCCACAGAGGAGTCAAAATGTGAATGTGGCCACGGACTGGGGGAGGAAGACATTGGAGCTCATGTGTGAGGAAGATGTCTCAATGCAGAGTGGTTTAAGTTGTGACAAGGACATGAGAAAGTAAAAGCAATGACAAAATGTACTCCTTCAGTGAGTTAAGAAAGGCAGGATCAATCCTGCATAATAAAAAACAGGGCATGGCTTAAAGATGACATATTCAAAGAAGTCTGTTTCTACTGAGAGCACTCTGGTAAGGTAACTGAGTTATATCAGCTCTGTGCTGCTGATTAACAGTTTTAAGAAATTGTTGCACTTTCCTAGTTTAAGTTTGTCTAGAGCTTTGGGCTTGCACACAAAGACAGACAAGGCGATTTGATCTCACAATTTTGAAACATGAAGAAATCACCAACTCCAAAATGCTTACAGTCATATTTAGTACTATATGAAATGTTCCTATAATATAGTGCAAGTAAAACAAATCTACATCCCCAAATAAGTTGTGTGCCTTGAACTTACTCCCTGGGATGTAATGAATTTGCTTGAGCATGCACACCATTGCTCAAAAAATTTGGAAAGTTTTCTTTTCAAATCGTCTTCCAAAGGAATGCCATTCTTTAATTCCAAAGGAAGAAAACTCTGGTACTGCGAGAAAAGTTTGATTTTGTCAATAACTAAATAAAATCATCCAGGGCCTTGTTTGATGATTCTCTTGAGGGGTGCTGGTTTTGGTAAAAGCTAATATGTAACATAAAAGAAGAGATAGCTTCTATGCACATTTTATACACCTTCCCTGAAGTCATCACCACTGGGATCATTACTGTTGGTGAGAAAAGAAGGGCTGGGTTTACCTGGTGGTGATGTCCCACTGACACTGAAAGGTGGTGTCCACAACAAACTGAACTTAAGTAACGGAAAACCCAAGGTACTTGGAAGAAATTCCTTTCCTCAGATGGGAACATCCAAATCAAAAGGACCATAAAAGCAACTATATCCCTGGAAATAATAACAGAAACCACCCTCGCTGCTTTCTCTCTGCCCAATGGTCCCAAAATTATGGAGGAGGGGGAGAGAAAGAACAAGAGAGAAAGTGAGAGAGAGAAATTTTGCAAACTATTTTGTCTCTGCCACTGCAGTTAGAAGGAGGCGGCAATGGATTCATTTTCCCCAGGTCTCTAAGTCACAAGTGCAAACATGGTGACGTAGATTTTTGCATCCTTGAGTACTGATTTTTCCTACCCTTTTACCTCCCTTTAAAGAAAACTGATTAGGATCATTATCAGTAAATGTTCTGAAAAGTATTTCATATGGCCATTTCTGTGGTCTACCAGTGGAAAGAAAATAGAGAAGAAAGAAATAAAGCAATGATGTAAGTATCTTATAGATTTATCTTGAAGAATACGTAAGGAGAGATTTCTTGATGGCAACTCTTTCTTAAAACCTACATGAGCACCCGCAAAAATATACTACACAGAACTTTATTTCAGCAAGAGGCTCATTTAATATAACTGCAATAGCCCAAATATTTGCTCAGAAGAGAAAATGTTACAGCAAAACACATATACACCCTCTCTGCCATGAGAAACGTTTCCATTATTGAAGCCAAACTAAATTTGCTTATCCTGGAAAGAGAAAATGGAGAGAAAAGATTTTAAAGCAAAGCAAGGAATAGGGATTCACAACAGAGAGTCATCCTAAAACTATCTTAAAAACAAATATTCTGCCACTTTCCTGCAAATACGGGCCAAGGAAAATATGTGAAACAATATGAATTCTCTTCTAAATGTTGCATAGTGTATACATTTATGTTAAAAATCTCTCTGCAATTTTTGTGTTTTCCAAATTTATTGGTGACTTTTCTCTGCAGGTTTTACCTAACAACAACTTATTTCATAATTAAGCAAATGGGAGTGAAGTCATACTAGCTGTCTTTACCACCCTTTTTATTCAACACTCAAGACATAGGTGTTTACAGGGAACTTGCTCTTCCTTCAACTTCCCCTTCCCCTCAGCCTTCACATCCACCCGCATGAGTGTGCACCAATAAGCAATGTTCCAAACACAATGAACACACTTCCTTCTGAAAGAAGTGAGCAGATGGTGTACTTATGATTATGATATAGCATTAATGAGGACTTTTAAGACATAGAAGTCAGCACAACATTAAATAGATAAGCCAGATCAAAAAGAAATGGAAATTTTGTTTCTCAAAAAGTGTATTGCTTTTCTAGAACACTTACCACTGTTCAGTTTTATTTTAGAGAACTATCATACAATTCTTAATTTCTCTTACAGCAAGCAGGCCATTTCCCTAAGATTGCGGTTGTGCACACTGTTCAATTCTACTGGAGAATATGCAAAGATTTTGAAATCTTTAGGCTTGTGTACTCCTTTGCCAGTGCTCTGTCTACAGATGTATATTTTTATATTTCTTGCATAGTTTTTTTGTTTGAGGGACAAAATGCTTGGTGAAACTATTTTTTATTCGGACATGGGGTGAAACCAACATGTTTAGAGTTGGTTTTTGGCTCCTCTTTGCCAGAAGTTTTATATTTAGCATTTCATATAATCCAATGGAAACTTTATGTGAGTGGAAAAAGCCAACTTCTTTATCTTCTAGCCCACCCACAAACCAGCACAGAATAATTATAAAACATCAGTCTGGTTTTGGCAGAACCTGATGGATATCTGGTGAACCCTGGGTCAATTATGAGGGATATGAAGGTAAGTCTTGCATCGTTCTCGCTCTTGCAGCAGGGCAATCTAATAGGAAGAAACAGACTTAAATGCAACTAACTATAGGATATCACTTATTATATGACAGAGTAATGTTTTTAACACATAAGGTAGATCATGTCGTTCCTCTGCTTGAAATTCTCTACTGGCTCCTCACTTCACTCCCAGTAAAAAAAGGAATCCTACCAATGACTGAGTGGTTTCCCATCACCTCACAACTCCTGCAGTCCACTGTAGCCACTCTGGCATCCTTGCTGCTCTGTCAGCATGCCAGGCTGCCCCATCCAGGGGCCACAGCATTTGCTGTGCAGAGGGAGCCATATAGCTTCCTTCCTCTTCTCCATGTCTTTGCCCAAAAGTCTCCTCGAGGTCCCTATCATGCTGCACTCCCCCATGCACTTTGGATCTTGCTTACCCTGGTCTGTATCCATTTCCTTCCCATAGAAACCATCACTTTCTAATGTACTGTGCAATTTACTTATTTGCTGTGTTGATTTTCTGAGTCTCCATCCCTGATGCTAGAATAGAAGTTCCTTGAGGACTGGGATCATGTCTACTTTCTTTACTTCTCCATCCCAAGCACATGGGCTCATGGCATCAATTGGCACATGATAAACATCTTGAATGCATCAAAGAATAACCTAGACACACAAAGGTGAAGGTTGACCTGGAAGAAGAAGGGGTCTGTGGAGGGGTGACCTACACAACTTATTTAGAGGCTGGGGCAGGAGCTTGCAGCATAGCTGAGCAGAGTGCTGGCAGTGGGGAAAGGATATCTGTAAATCAGTTCAGGTCACTTTCTAGAATGGCCTTGGGGTCTGATGGGAAGGGTAGTCTACTCTCTCTCCTCTGGACCAGCTCCATGAACTCATCCTAAGTCTCAGAAGAATGATTTTAAAGAGTAATGTCAGAGAACAAATATTTTATGGCAATTTGGGTGGCTTACAGTTTGAGTTTTGGGCTGATAAGTTGGGGCAATGTGGGTTACACACATATCATCAGGGCCTGTTGTAGATCCTGGTGATGATCACTGAATAAGCATTTATTACGCTGAATAGAGATTTTTAAATACTGAAATTAGAATCTTTGAGCATTTATAATACTCCTTTGAAATTACATTTAAATTTACGAACCAGATAAAAAATTATTGCTTTACTTTAGAACTACATAGTTTTTTAGAAAAAAAATAGAATATTTTTGTTTTGATTGATTATTGACCATACTCACTTGGTCTGACATCTGTTAGCCATCGTTTGAATTATATTAGGCCTTGTGGCAATTTATTATTACAGGATATTGTAAAAATTAACCTCGGCTTGAAGGAGTAAGATTTCACACGGATCAGAATTTTGAAAAGAAAAGTATCACACCACTCAAATAGAGGGATCTGAACAATAGTGTCATTATTGGAATGGAATGTGGCCTCCCTTCTCTCAAGGGTATAACACTAAAAGCAGAGTGAAAATGCTGGCTTATTTGTTGAACGTTTCTCTGACATTACATTGAAGTCACAGGCGCTACAGAATATTCAATAAGCATCCCTTTCATACTTCAGCACACAGCTAAAGTAAATTATAATACCAATATCTACCACTGAGTTAAATAAATGAGAATTCAGATATTCCACAATGGTTTCCCTTCTGTTAGTAGAGTGAATTAGAACATTTCAACTCCTGGTTTGATTATTCATACTTGTGCATCCTACCCACTGCCAGGTAAGTGAGTCTACCAGTAACCTTTGCCTCAAACTTAAGTTATATCTTTGAACATTTACATTTATCGATGTCTTCAAACTATAACTCTGATGACTTCAGATACAGAGCTTTGATATCTTTATAACTTAGTAACCCTTTCTGATTAAACTTTAAAGCAACTTTGAATGTGGGTAGAGGGACAGGCCCTTTATCTCAATGGAATGTTTTATCAGTTCCTCTTACCCATATTCCTATCATTCAGCATTGTGAGAAGGTAAGACTTACAAAGCCACTGATGAACAAGGATGTTGCTTGAAGAAGGTAATGACATTTTAAAAATTGTTTCTGGCACAGTAATTTAATGTTAGTAGTGGAAATCCAAAAAACTTCCAGCTCCTGCTTCAATAATGTGAATGTCACATAAATGAACACATAGTGGTGCCTGCACCAGGCTGTTAACCCTCTTTGCCTCTCACCTCTGCATTCATTTTTTGGGGCCATGTGGCCTGCCAGGTGCTCCTGATACAAACATGAAAAAAGTCCTGACCTCAAGTAGCTTTCAGTTTAGTTAGAGGAATGCCTGGATGGATAACATCAATAAATTGGTGAAAGAGATGGGCTCGGGGGTTACAGAGCCAGTGGTGCATAGTGAGCATTTCAGAGGAAGGGTTCCTGGAAGAGATAGTGCCCAATAAATGCAAAAGGGCTGAAACTAACTTTGTCAGCTGCAAACGTGGTGTGGGGCTTGCAGTTCTTCATTCCAGAAGCAAAAACACAGAGGTTAGAAGGACTTATGTTGCTGAAAATAAGCTTAAAACAAGACAGCCTTCCAATAAATTAACTCTGGCGTGATGATCAAAATTATACTCTGGTGGGTACCTCAAAATTATAAAAACTAAAATATTAGCATCCCTTCTCTCCTCTCTTCTAAATAACAACATTTACATCTTTCTTGAAAAAAAAAAATTTCCAGATTGGTAGCTGCTTCTTTTTACCAAGAGTTGGTTTTAACTGCAGCTAATGTATTTGTGCAGTGAAACTGTAAGATCAAGCACCTGCCTTAAAGAAACAATGGAGGGCAAATTTCAAAATCAGACTTCACAAAATGCAGCTATGCCTAAACTCATCACAATCATTTTCCAAACAGTTCTGTTTACCTGATTACACATTTATAGTATGTTTCTTTATATTGATATCAAAAACCACAAAGCAATCCCATGCTTTTTTTTAGGAGACACAATACTCAGTATTTTTTCCGAGTACACTCACAAATTCAGAATGTATATCATACTTATATCACATATAGACATAGAGGGAGTAACTAGATGGACACTGACATAGTCACACAGGGAAACATATATAAGACAGGTATAGCGTGAACAATACATAGATATTTCTAAAGAAAATGTCTGTAATTTAGCATTACTCCATAATTGTATTTTATTATTTATTTTCTTCATTCACAGCACCAAAGGGCATTTTCCCTCAAGTTGAGGGACACACCTACAAAAAAGGCAGGCTGGATCTCCACAATCTCCACATCCACTGCATGCCCATTCCCCACCTGTCCCCTTGGAGTCCACTGACACCATACAGCACTGGGTACCTACCTGGCTGAAGCTCTGGCCCGTAGCTCGGGCTTGTGTGCCTCGGGCCGGGAGCTGTGAAGGGGTGGTTTCCCCCAGGGCCAGGGTCTGGTTGCTATGGTAGCTGGCCGGATACTGGAAAGACCCTTCAGGTTTGGAATTGAGCTGAAGTGCACTCTGGGAGAGCAGGCTGGGCCCTGCATTGAAAGTCATTTAGAGCAGTCAGTGACAGTCTCAGTGAAGCAGAAATGACATGTATTATTTATTGAGAGTAGCCTAGAATTATCTCATGCACATGATTCCAGCCATCCATGCTTAAAATTCTGAGAACTAAAATGACCATATAATTTGACTCCAGCTCTCAGATGAGATTTTTTATTTTTTATTTTTTTTTTGGTGGTGGTTTAAAAGTTCTCAAAGGAGTAGATTTTTCAAATGATCTCATCCTGACCTACATAGAGACATTTCTTATGAGACAAATTAGTTAATCAAGTAGTTATTTTGGGATCAGACAATATCAGAAACATTTGAAATAATGTAAAACTCTACTTTTCGGTACCTGTTAATTTTGCTAATATAATTATATCTCCTACTTAATGATGGAGATGCTAAAACACTCGAAACCTTCCAATCACTGACAAATTCTACTGTATAAATAGTGATATAATACCTCAGTGCCTGAAGGGTAGACAGTGTTTAAAATATTAATAGCTCTTTGTACGATGTGGAATTCACCGTCGCCTCACATAATCCCTGATGACTGGTTACCTTTACCATCCCAGCAGTGCACAGTAGGAGAACAAAGAGAACATACGGTGTTCAAATTCATGCCACGCATGTAGCTGATATTACAAGGGGTGAAGAATCAGTTTCTGGTCTTACTTAATTATACGTTGCATATGAAATTGTGTTTTGTTTTCTTATATTCTTTTTAGATGAGATCCTTGCAAACATTTTCCCATTTTCTTTTTAAGCAAATTTTCTTTGATCAAATTTAATACTCTCTTTAGGGATCAAATAAATATGGAGGAGAGTAAATGTACTTGTTATTTTCCATTGTGTGTGTTTGAGAGGGGCTGGGGTAAGAAGAGCGTGTCAGTGGCAAAAACTTGGCAATACAAGTTTTCTCCTGCCTCTTTGTACCATAGTACAAAGTCATATATTCGATGGAGTGTAATAATACACATATAGACTATAGCATAACCATTAAATCATTCTTGATCCCCCTCTTTGGCTGTTTTAGACAATAATATCACTTCTGATAAGTATGAGCAAATTTCAAGTTCCTTATTTTTTTCTTTTTAAGAATGGAACATGACTTTATATTTCGAATGAGACATGATGTGGATCACCTTTCATAAAAATAATGCATCCTCTTTTAAATAACATTGGTTCACAAATTCTTTGGCACTTAAAGCCTTCCCAATCCCTCTGATTTTCTGATGGAACTTTGAAACAACATCAAGATATTTTTTCATCAGTATTTGAAACAACATGAAGATAATTTTTCATCAACATTTTATATTGAATAATATGCCAATTAACTAGTACAGTTATTTTGGAATCTATGCGGTTTCTGGAAAAAAAAAAGGTAAGCAAGGAAATAAAAGTGTTTTCATCCAGCCACAACTTCATCATGAAGGGTGTAACAAAAGTACAAATGCAATCCCTTCACTTTTAATTTAAGAAACCCAGTCCTGAGAAAACAGTATGTACCAGATGGTAACATTTCCAATAGCCTGGAAAAAAAATCATTTATTCTGTCCTAATGGCATTATAGGACTCAATCACTGAATATAAGGAAGTCTCTGAGGGGAGATGCATTTAGAATTTGATTCTGGGTGCCAGGAACGTATTGTCCCTATCACTGCTATGGAAGCTGCCAGGCCCAGCAGAGTCAAAGAACAGTGTCTGAGGTCCAAGTGACAGGCAGGCTGAGATATGGGAGAGCCTCTGGAGGTGGGGCAAGTGGAGACTAACCATAAAGCGGAGGAGAAGGAGGTGGGCACTGGGAAGACAGTGACAACTGTGGCTAAGGGCTTTACCCTTTGTCCCTCCGAAGGTCACATTTTAATGGTGGGAGTGAGCTATGGTGGAAAAGCAAAGGCCTTTTCAGCTGGGTGGTCACCATTCTACCTGACAAAGGAGGGCTGCCTGCTGCAGCTTTCTTGGTTCTTTCTTTTTTGTACAGTCTACCTGGGCATAATGGCTTGTACTGGCCAGCCTCTCCTCCCCCCTTGAGATAGTAATGCATCCTAAGGGCAAAGAAGGTTAAAGCAGATACAACGACAGTGCACAGACCTTTGGAAATATCAATAGAATGAAGTAAATAAACACATAAACAAAATACTTAATTTCATGGAAGAAGTTTAGCATTATCTTAGACAGTTGCATGTCCTCATTATTTGTCTTTCAAAGAGAATGCAGGAATTGCTCTGAAGAACTGTTTTGAGTATGTAGTTAGCAAGTTAAATAACTTTGTATATTCTGAATAGACTCATACAATTATCTCCAGAAACTTACAAATGCTGTCTGTACAGTATCTTCTAATGACAATGTAAAGTCCCTTTTCAAAAGAATTTAAATTAAAAATGTGGTTTACTTGCTCCCAGAATATATATGATAGAATAATGAAATCTCTTCATCTTTTATAGAATCAGTTGTGTATTTGATCAGTACTCAATGAAAAGTAACCAGGATTTTCTATCTCATTACTCTATTCATACATCTCAAGCACTGAAAACTAGATGTACTCTGACAAAAGTAATTGCAACAATGAGCAATGTATCAGAATATTACAACACTGACATATCACCTGGCAAGGACAGAACAGTCAAGACAATAGCCAAAACCATGTATGCATTTTAGAATGTTTTTCCATTGCTCACTAGGTTTTAAATCAGTGTCATTTACTCATTCTAATTTTAGAGAGCACAGACATATGAAACACGTTAAAATTTTAGGACAATTCTTAACTACTTTATAATGAAAGTACAATTTAAATGTAACTAACTTTCAATTAGCTTTATTAATATTACTGTGCAATGAGGTAGAAAATACAAATTTGCCAAGGATTTAAAAAGCATTTATAGTTTTGGGCTTTAAATTATGTTTTTTTTTTCCTCTGGAACTTTTGACTTTTTAATCAAGCCTTGCTTGGGCTAGAGGTAAAACGAGGCTGTGGTCCTGAACCTATGGAATCTATGACCTGAAGGATGTGGGTGATATGGAAAGAAATGGTAGACGAAGAGAAAGAAGCTGGACCCTAACATTTCACCCAGGGAAACAGGCTATTGTCTTTAATGTAATGATTTCCAGTAGACATCTGAACTGTGAGCAACAGCGGATCATCATGTCCTTCTTGGCCACAGAGAGCAGAAGCCATGGTCTCATTTGCCTTCAAGACGCTGACCTGAGGGGTCACAGTGACTTCTTTGACCATCTGGCCCTTCTCCATGATAGAATAGTCCTCAGAACTGAGCCCAAGGGTTTTCCCAAAATGAATCACCCCTGTGAGCCAGGAAGAAAAGGTGAAACCATTTCCTCATACATTGATGATGCTTAAGACAGTTTTCTTTGTTCTGAAACAAAACCTACTATCCTTAACTGGATAGAGAGAAGAAATTCCAAGGGAACTACAAAGTTGATTCCATTAATCCTAAGAAGATACATGAAGCAAGGATCTTGAGTGTAACACCAATGTCTCAATATGTTTTCACATGTATGAATTGGTTAGAGACTACACAGCAACCTGTGAAAAAAACTGCATGATCTTCATTTTTGTCCTAGAAGTACAGGCAGAGGCAAAGAGGTTAAATTGGCAGCCAGTGTCACAGACATGGTAACATGAAGAGGCTTGGATCCTTATCTTCTGTCTCCAAGTCCAAAAGTTGTTGTTGTTTAATATCAAAACACTGTTTCTTTAAGTCATATATACATGTCAGCAGTTTAAGGTTGAAAAAGTCCTGTGTAAACAGAAATCCACTTGTTTGCAGGAGAAATCTTCATGCCTCAGATTTTGGTGCTTCTCCAGTGAACTGCTGCTTACAGATTCCAGGTGCTGGCTAGAGGAAACTCGCTGTCCACTATTCGTGGGACAAAATCAATCTCAGAAGATGTAGAGGTTGAAATGTTAATTTTCTGCATAAAAATTCAGACCCACTTATAGGTCATATCAATACAGACACTATATAACACAGACACAATATGGCCAGCTTCTTCTGATCAGATTAACTGAGTATTTTAGAGTTTCCATGATTATGTGCACTTGTTCTGTTTACCTAGTTTTAAAGAGACTTTATTTGGAATTGCTAATATTTGCCTGCGTTAGCTGAACATCTGCCTTAGAATACAGTAGACCTTCAATTAAAGAATATACTTTGTAATAATACAGAAGAGGCCAGAGGTCTACAATGTGGCATTCCCGAGTTATTCTATAAGTCACAACCACACTAATGGAGTATCTGAACGTGTGTTGAAAAAAATCCAGGACTGGACATCCACAGACCTGGGCTCTAGCCCATCTCCATACTTATTTGACCATAGATGATGATGACAAAGATGATGATGACAGTGACAGTAATGACCAGTTAACCTTTTTTGAGTACTTAAGAAATTCCAAGGATTGTCCTGAGCAGTTTCCATCTACTAACCCATTCAATTTTAATGACATCTAAGCGAGGAAGGTACAACCATTCCCACTAATGTCGGGGGAACTGAGGGATCCATTAACTGAAACCTCACAGTTACTCGTGGGCCTGGGGTTAAACAAAAATAGCAGATTGGCTTCAGAATGTGTGTTCTTAAGCACACTTCATGATTCTGTCACAACAAATTGTAATCTTTCCAAATTTGAACACCTAAGGAGATAATGGATGTGCAAGTGCTTGGAAAAATTTTAACTGCTATATAAATATCAGTTATTATTATCTGATTATCTAATTGCATAGCCACATGGTCTGATAATAATAAAACCTTCACAGGGATATTTTGGTCTTGAAAACCTTATTGTAGGACTCTCCCACACATTATTCATGCTTTCTTTCAACAACCTGCAAGCTTTCATCTTACAAACAAAACATACAAGGCACAGTTCATTAAAATGGCCTGCATGCAATAAAACAACAACAACAACAAAACTAATGTCAGAGCAAATAGATGAGGAGCTAAAATCTTTTGGCACTTAGAGACAGTTCTCCGTTTCCTCAGCCTGAAATTCTTTTTTCCATCAACCTCAAAACTCATTCTCAAACTTAAACTGCTGCTTAAATGTCACCTCCCAATATTTTAATAGAAAATATTAAGTAAGAATAAAGGAAACAGATGGTAGAACTTACATACAAAAGGGTTATTGGACCATTACAAAATCAATGAGAAAAATTGTTGATTATTTCTAAAATTACCAAACTGATTTAAATAGATTCAAAGCACTTTGATCAGACTTAACTCTGCAGAATAAAAATATTCTGTTTAAATTTCACTACTAATGATTTCATTTGTAGCAGCAGTTTCACCTTTATGGGTTCCAGAAGAACTTGCCCATTTACAAATTAACTTAGAGTAAGAGGTAGCTACTGATGATAAAGTGGTTGTTTTCTCCTGATCTTCGTTAGTAACTTATAAAGCTCATTTGGAGGAGTTTCTCTGAGGAGGTCCCCTAAAAATAGTGGCTCAGCGCATCTACCATTCCAAAAATGAGCTGAGAGAAAAAGCCCAAGGGGCTTGTTATGCAAGAAAGCTTCAGAGTTGACGGGCAGGTGTGTTTATAAATATCATTTCTAAGCCTCTGTCTCCAGAATATCTATTTCGTCTGGTCAGTTGCTTTCAATGTGTAATGCTTTATGTGAAAATTAAAACGTTAATGGTCCCAGGAATATAGAAGTACCCATTTAGTTTTTAAACTGATTTAGACTTATCCAATGTCCTTGGCTTAATTAGTACGCTTTTCCAAGTTTGACTACTGTGGATGGATACATAAAGGATTGGTCAAATGTTTGCACTACACAGTAAGTCACTCAACTTTTTTTCTTTTTTTTAAATTTTATTTTACTTTAAGTTCTGGGATACATGTGCAGAATGTGCAGGTGTGTTACATAGGTATACATGTGCCGTGGTTGTTTGCTGCACCTATCAACCTGTCATCTAGGTTTTAAGCCCTGCATGCATTAGATATATGTCCTGATGTTCTCCCTCCCCTTCCCTCTCATCCTCCATCGGGCCTTGTATGTGATGTTCCCTTCCCTGTGTCCATGGGTTCTCATTGTTCAACTCCCACTTATGAGTGAGAACATGCAGTGTTTGGTTTTCTGCTCCTGTGTTAGTTTGCTGAGAATGATGGTTTCCAGCTTCATCCATGTCCCTGCAAAGGACATGAACTCATCCTTTTTTATGGCTGCAAGGTCACTCAATTTCTTTACAATGGTGTAAAATGGAAGACATGAGCAAACTGACATTTATCATAAAAATAACTCTCAAATGTATAACTTTAGTTTGGAATGTGTACCCAAAGAATTTTATCATGAGTGAGATTGCACATAATATTGTAATCAGAGAAGTGTACTTTTCATCGTTCATTCCAATTCCCAACTATACCTTACAAAGTTTTGTCTTTAGGTTATTTGCCATTAAAAATTAATGTAGCACAAGGAGAAGAAAAACATTATTTCTTCATAAATAGTTTAAAGAGGATCTGATATATTCGTATTTCTCACTATCAATACTTGCAAAAATAAATAAAACATTAATACAAATTGGTTTTGAAGAAAATAAAATTTAAAAGTGAAACTCAGAAAACACTACAATTTGTGAATGGGAACATAGCAGTTTAAAGAACCAGTCTTTGATTTGTGACACATCACACATTTGCCCCCCGTTGATCTGCATGGCTTGCTGGTGCATTTCTTTCAGGTCTCTGATTCAATGTCTTCTCACAATAGAGGATTTCCTGGCCTTCGATCATTCTTTATTCTAGTGGTTCTCAAAACTCTTGGTCTCTTAACCCTCAAAATTATAGAGGACTCCAAAGAGCTTTATTTTATCTGGGTATATATGATGCTAGTCACTCAAAATGTTTCCAACAGAAGAATATGCAGCACACATTCCCAGAGCTGTCAGGGACATGATGTTGTTACATGCCATGTAGTCTCTGGAAATCTTCAAAAACATTCGTGTGAGAAAAAGAATGGGAAAGCAAGTATCTCTTAGTATTATTATGAAAACCTTTTGGCTTTGAAAGTCCCCATCAGGGGCCACGAAGACCCCAGAATTCCCAAGTATATTTTGAGAAAAGGTGCTCTACTCTACTGTTGACCTGGCTTTGTCCTTCTGCAAAGCCATTATCGATCTGGCCCTCCAGTATTGAAAAGGTTGATTTTGGCCTTTTCTGACTAGAATGTAAATGCCACAAGGACAGAGACCCTTTGTTCCTGCCATTAATAAGTGGTTAATACATACATTTAACAAAATAAATGACTGGAACATCCACCTGTGCCTACAGTGATATAACAAAAACTCAGTACATTAAGAGTTGGTTACATCAGTTACTGTTCAAGTGCAAGTGCCTTATTGTTTGATCAGTATCTGTCAGTATCTGTATTCTTTTTTTTTTTTTTTTTTTTTTTTTTTTTTTTTTAGACAAAGTCTGGCTCTATTGCCAGAGCTGGAGTGGAGTGAGGCAATCTTGGCTCACTGCAACCTCTGCTTCCCAGGTTCAAGCGATTCTCCTGCCTCAGCCTCTCAAGTAGCTGGGATTACAGGGGTGCCCCACCATGCCCGGCTAATTTTTTGTAGAGATGGGGTTTCACCATGTTGGTCAGGCTGGTCTCAAACTACTGACCTCAAGTGATCTGCCTGCCTTGGCCTCCCAAAGTGCTGGGATTGCAGGCATGAGCCACTGTGCCTGGCCAATATTCATATGTTTTAACTTTTGGGGAAATCCCTCAATACATCTTCATAATGTGTTACTGAGAGAGTCCTCTCCTTCCTCTGCCTCGCGGGGAAAAGTCTGCTTATTCTAAGGCTTTCTCACTGGGGCTGGCAGCGTCTTTGCTTTTTCTCATACCTATGGCAGCTCTGAACCTGTCCTCACTTTCAGCAGCTTTCATCTAATCTTCATATTTGTGTTCCGGGAATCTACAATGCCTTGACAATTTCAAGACCAGGAAATTCCCACCAGGTTCTACACACATTGTGCTTGATCCCAGAAGATCCTGATAACTCAAGTGGGAATGATGTCTTTAATGAGAAATTTGCATTGTTTTCTCATATTAAGTGTGTGGTTAAAGAGCTCTTCTTACTTGATGCCTTTGCCTATTCCTTAAATTCTTAGGTTTGCCTCTGAGCTGGCGACCTTGTTAGAGAAGGTATAACATGCTTCTGAAACATCTACATGGTAGGAGGAAATCTAAGTGAAATCTAAGAAAAAGAAATTAGGCCGGAGCAGTGGCTCATGCTTGTAATTCCAGCTACTTGGGAGGCTGAGGCAGGAGAATCACTTGAACCCAGGAGATAGACGTTGCAGTGAGATGAGACTGCACTATTGCACTCCAGCCTGGCGACAGAGCAGGACTCCGTTAAAAAAAAAAAGAGAGAGAAATTAAACACCAGCTGAGAAACAGGTAGAAATACTTTCTGGAATGGAGGATAATTACAGCTTCCTGAAGGATTTTATTATTTCCTGTGGGCCACCTATGTGTTTTCCCTCAGCTTTTGCCCTCACCTTCTATTTTTGCTACTGCTAACCTCCCATTAATTTCATATACCCGAGGTAGGGGGGGAAGTGAGTGTAAGTGAATTTCAAAAGGAATGGTAGCATCAGCCAACTTTAGACATGGACACCATGACAAACCTCTGGAAAGAACAGTCTTGTTTGTATTTTAAAAACTTGGACCTCCCAGCACTTTGGGAGGCCAAGGTGGGCGGATCACTGGAGGTCAGGAGTTCAACACCAGCCTGACCAACATGGTGAAACCCCGTCTCTACTAAAAATACAAAAATTAGCCAGGCGTAGTGGGGCACCTGTAATCCCAGCTACTTGGGAGGCTGAGGCAGCAGAATCGCTTGAACCCAGGAGGCAGAGGTTACAGTGAGCTGAGACTGCACCATTGCACACCAGCCTGGGCAACAAAAGCAAAATTCCATCTCATAAGTAAGTAAATAAACAAAACTGGACCAAAGAGCATATGATAAAGTGATTTCACAGGGAATGAACAATTAGGATAGCTCAACTGACTCAGACACGCTTTCAGGATGTGGGGTCTCTAAGGCCAGGTGACAGTCCTTGGGCACATCTGGGATAAGGAAGGTTTTCTATCCTGTTGGGTCTATTGGAGGACCTGGTTTCCACTATAATAGAAAGCAAAACAAAGAAAACAGCCCTTTTTCCCTGACCATGACTTTTATTTTTTGAGCCAATTTGATTAATGGATTTATCATTTTGACTACTATGATTTTCATGAAAAATTTACTCTCCTAAGACCTCTTCTGCATCTTTTGGTGTCATGCTTAACACGAATTATGAAAACATTCACTTCACAAGGATGCCTCCCACCTTTATTATTATTATTGCATGAGAACATATGGAATTAGGTTTTATAGCTTTTAAATAACCTGATCTCTCAAACGTCTCTTGTAAATTAAGTATATTCACAGTAATCAAAATAAAATAAAACTGTAAGTCAACAGTGAATAATATATTTGCCTCTGTTAAACTATATATGATTATTCTATTTTAATTCCACCTGCTTAGAATGGTAACATATACGATTGATTCCTGAATATATTTAAAAATATATTCAGATTTGAAAACTTATAATAATATGTACTTTTTTTTAACCATAACACTCAGAATATATTAGCTCTGAAGATTTTCTTCCTACTGAATAATGGAATTTTCTAAAATATGACAGAATTTCAATTCATTAATATGCTACAGAAAAAATAATTACTATTGCAAAATACAATATTTAAACAAATTAACAATCTGTGGTTAAACATACGAGTTATTTTTTTCCAGGTTATCCTTTCTATTTCTTATTTTGACTGACAACATTTTTGTGAATCACTGGCTAAGATATAATCACCTTTATTTCTGAGTTTGTATATAAAAGGATGCATAGATTAAAGAAAGTACTTGGTCCTAGGCAGTTCAAGTCACATTATTCATTATGTAGAAAGCTAATGGCCCCAAGCTTCTGTTGGTAAATTATTTTTTATTGTTTTGTTTTGTTCCACTGAAGCGACAGCAGTCTCTGAAACAATTCTCCTAGTGACTCAGTGACTAGTTTGTTTAACAATATTTGTTAAAATTGAAATTACACAGCCGGTAGTCACAAAAAAGAGGCAGGGTGGCAAAGGTTGTGCACATGGTTTACCAAGTGTTTCAGATTGCACTGTTAAAAATACACAAAGTGTTGGAAAACACTGGTAACTGTATGACCCAATAAAATCAGCATAGCAGAGCAGTTACTGCTTGTCTTGAGGTCAAAAAGATGCGTACTGTGACTCAAATTTTATTTTAATCAGACCTTTGAAAGACAAATAGCAAAAAGCTTTAAATAAAACAAATTAAGAACTATGCGATCATGGGGTGAGACTGCTTTCCATTTTAGAACTTTTCCAGACTGAGTTTAGACAGTATTTAGCCTTGTTTTAGTCCCTTTTGAGTGAGGATTAAGAGACTGGTTCTCAAGGGCAGGGTGCCAGGTCCAATTTAGCATTAGCTGGTTCATAGCTAATGAATCCATTGATTGAATAATCACTGACTGGCAGAATCTGATGGGCTTTTCCTAATTAGATGAAATCTGTCAATGTGCCACTGCATATCTATTTGCTATGTTTCTATACGGGAGAGGTAAATATGGTATACGGTTGTTCCACTATCGAGGAGGATGCTGTGCTGATAGTGCTGTACACTCACTCTCTGCTAGTCCTCTGCACAGAGAAGGATGTCTTTCAGTTTGGCTTCTGGTTGGGTTTGGCCAATGGGAGGCAGGAGAAGGAGATTGGGGGAGGGAGGAAAAAGAGATTATGACATTGATTCCCCGCTTGCTGCTAGACTCTGCTGGGGATAGTTCCTTGATTTCCCTTAGGGTCTAAGGGTGGTAAGGGCATCTGTCTTCCACTGCCTGAATACCACAACATGCGCTGTTTGTTCCCTTAATCTTGCCCACCTCTTCATAAATAGTCCCTTAATTAAATTCTGTTCAGTTAAACTCTTTTGAATAGAATCTATATCTCATCTGGAACCTAACTAATATATATACACAGAGCAATTTAGATTTTTATTTTATGATCCTCTGAACACTTAAAATTCGCAATATTGATGCCCAAAATGATAGTTATCTACCCAATATGTTAAAATTATTTTCCTAGTTTTTACTCAGTTACTTCAGTTTCAAGGTGACTCTGAATATGTTAAGGGCAAATGGTTCTTAAGAATAATAATATTCTTTATGTGACTGTGGTTCAGAATCCTTCCGCATACAACTTTTGAATGGTACTTTTATCAATTGTTTCTTTTTTGTTTTGTTTCTTTTCCTTTCTTCAAAGCAGGATGAAGGAGCTTTCAAAAGAAATAATCAACTAAAATCCTAGGAGTCTTCAATAAGATAATTCAGTACGTGACAATATAAAGTGACTAATCTTTCTGAAAAATAAATATTTGGTGGTTACCAAATATATGTGGAAAGACCATACTGGAGCATTTAACTTCCCTATTATAAACCATTTGTAGGTAATTTTTGAATACATATTGCAGGCAAACTAAAGTGAAAGCTAAAAAATTTCTTTCCATTTTCCTTGTGTGTAACAGAGTTTCTCAACTAAGAAAGCTCAGTACTATTATTTGACTTACAGAAAAAAATATCATCTATTTATCCCCTCTATTTATCTCTTCTGGCATTTATTTATCTTTGACTATTTTACTTTATATTACTTTATCTCTGCATTACTATTATCGTATGCATCTTACTAGTTTCTTGCTATTTATTTACCTCTTTTAAGATTTTCCCCAAATAAGTACAACATTCTTTATTTTGTTTTCTATTTTTAATCATGAAGTTAAGATATCCTCTGAATGTGTTTTTTCCCCCATACTTCTGTTTTTACTAAAAAATGTTCCTGTTTTATTTGCTTAGTAAATGCTATGCAATTTTCTTTATTATTTCCATTTGATTCAGTAAATATCCAGAAGTATGTTTCTTAGTTTTAATATTAGTACATTTTGCTTACAATTTTATTATTTACTTTTAGTGTTGGTAGATTTTTATCCAAGAATATGGCCCTCCATACTTCTTAACTTTTATAATTGCCTTTATCTTCTAGTAGCTGGTCAATTTTTATAAATTTTCCTTGGACATATGTAACAAACATATACTATCATGCAATAAATAAAACCTTTAAAAGTTATTTAATACATGGTTATCTTAATTTGTTATTTCAACATTTTGTGGCTTTCCCTTCTAGCATTCTGTCTGATTCATGAGACGTGCATTCAAATGTTCACAATAATATTTTTCCTTAATTTCTTTTATTTTTAGTAACATTTGTTTTAATATTCACATGCTATGCTGTTTGGTGCACACATGTTCATTAGATTTGAGTATGAGCTTAACACATCTTTATAAGTTAAGACAGCTCACTACATAACTCCCATCTTTGGCCCTGCTAAGTGATTCTGTATTAAATTCCAATTTATCTCACATTATTCTTCCAATCCCACTCTTTGCATTGATTATATTTGCAGGCACTACTTTGACCATTCCTTTAATTTCAACACTTATTTCATTAAATGTTATGAATAACTCATAACTACTTTCTTTGTTTACTGCAAATTTGAACTTTTATTCTTTTCAGAGGAGAATTTAGAATGCAGCATTAGATTGATATACCTATATTTTCCCTTCTATTTTAATTTGTTTACTTTTTATTTAACTCATTAATTATTTTCTGTACTTTCCATTTATTAAATGTTACTCCTTCTCCTAAACTCGTTATCAAATATATTATTATATTAAAAAATGAGATTTCCACTATCATCTCCCCGTTTCCCAACAAGGCAAACTATTCTGTTGCTGCTCTTATTACTTGCTAATAAGATGAATGCATGTGTTTCAAATATTAATTAAATGTGTTCTAACTAGAGTTGTCCCTACAAGAGAAATATATTTAATGACTATGAGTAAAAGAGGTAACGATTAGACATTTTTCAATACAAAATACAGAGAACAAGGATAATACCAACCAATCTTTCTTTACGAATTGTATTGAGAGGATGCATATGGGTATAAATAAATCTGTGTATACACAGCAATGTTATCCTAACAGTAATGGTATTACAAAGATTATAGAGAAAATGAGCTAATCTGTAAAATAAATGGTTTTCAAGATCAGTTTGCTATCTTATCCTTATGTCTTCCTTTTGCATGACGAAGCTTAGTGGGTATTGGAGGAAATTTTATTTTTTAAATTAAGGAATAAAATGCTTCACTGGTTTTTGATGTATTACCAGGATAATACCTATTTTAATGATGAAATTTTTAGTCTTTTGTGGAATTTTATTAAAATAAGTAAAAAGAATTTTATGATTTATTTAAAGGAGGTCCATTTCAACTCCTAATCCACAACCATTCTGGTTGAAAAATACGTCATTAAATGGAGAGAAAGTGATTTTTAAATGTTCTATGGAATTAATATAGCAATGCAAGATGGTTAAATACAGAAATGTAAGAATTTATTGCATAGTACCTTAGCATAGTACTAAATAGATAATACTAAGAGTACACCATTTTTTTTCCTATTTTGTCATATAATTGCTGCTTTTTATGATTTCTACCAACAGTGATCTCTATGAGTAAAGCACTGATAGGTAATTTTTTTTTTTTTTTAAGACGGAGTCTCCTTCTGTTGCCCAGGATGGAGTACAGTGGCGCAATCTCGGCTCACTGCAACCTCTGCCTCCTGGATTCAAGTGATTCTCCTGCCTCAGCCTCTTGAATAGCTGGGACTATAGGCACGCACCACCATGCCTGGCTAGTTTTTTTGTAGTTTTAGTAGAGATGGGGTGTCACCATATTGGCCAGGCTGGTCTCAAACTCTTGACCTTGTGATCTGCCCATCTCGGTCTCCCAAAGTGCTGGGATTACAGGCGTAAACCACCGCGCCCGGCCAGCATTGATAGTTAATTTTAAGGCAGACATTGTGTTGACTACAAAATATATGATGAGTTCATAAAATGCAGTAGTCTAGATATTGAAAAGGATATCAGAGAACAGTGAGAATCACCAGTATGTCAGTAATTAGTGCGAAAACTAGATGCCAACTACTGACTTAAAAGAGTTTATACTCTAATGTGAACTGAGGTGGGATAATGTGGGAAGGGAACAGATGGGACGGAGTGAAATGGATAAAACAAGTATAAAAATATCCTGAAATCCTCATTTGATATGGCTCATAACAGTAATGATATTAGAAATAATGACATAATACTCCTATATTTCAACTATCTTCAAGCATAACTGCCACGTGACTTACTTTCACCTGTAGAATAATCCTGTGGGTCAAGTATTCCTGATTCCTGTAGTGACCTAATACAGGAGTCCACCAGCTCGAGACCTGTTGTAAGCTCATCTTCGATATCTTTTTGACCATCTGAAATGAAATATTTTAAAGTGATGAACAAACACATGGTATATTATTCTTAAAGATTTAGGTTATCATTTAATCATGGAAAATATCCTAGTCAAATATATTACCTCTATGAAGTTTTCATTAGCTATTCCATTTTAATTTTTGGTCAACCAACATTAAAGCCAAGGTCAGCAATTTCATGTACCCTTGAAGAGCATAGTTACTACAGAATTGAAAGATTTAACTCTCAATAAATTGTGAACTATCATAACAACTTCATCTAATTTTACTATCGGGATGTTTTCCTATTACTTTTCTAAGTCTCATTCTAAAGTTCATAAGAAAAGTCATCAGTAGAGATATGTTTAGAAGTGTAAGTGTTCATCAATAAGATAGACATTACCTTGTGACTGCCACTGAAACTGCTCTTCTGCTGAACTGTAAAAAAGAAAATACAGAGATATAATGCATTGATTAGAAAAGAAAAATAAAACCCTAAAATCTAAGACACAAAGGCATATTAGGGTAGTAACAGTGGCCCCGTTGCATTTCCTTTCATTTCTTACTATGAAAAGGGATTCCACTTTGATATAATTTTAATTTTAATCCATTTGCTGTATATCCCTTTTGATTCGCAAGTATTAGCATGTTTTAAATGGACATTGTCCAGTAATTTTCAGAAGAGCTCATTTTTTACAAAGCCCAACCTGTTAGACTCATTCTTTACAATAGCTTCTCTATACATGCAGTTTTACTCAATTTTAGTTATTTTAGAATAGGATCATGTAGACTTTGTAAGGTAGCCTAATAAGGAAATAACTATCCCTTTTTTTATTAGAGAGATGAAATAAATCTTTGCCTCCATTTAGCCATATCATATTAAAATTTCCCTTTAGTTGATTTAAGAGTTTAAGTAATTTAAAAATTATAACACTTTACCACCAACTAAATACACATTTCCAAAAATCTCAATAATACATCTTATGAAATGACCCAGACGGAAAGGGTTGTCCATATACATATGCCAAAGATACTGTATAGAGTGGTTCTGTATAGGTAACAGATTTATTTTGAATGACTTATTAAATACAAAATACATAGTTTCTAAATATGAGCAATTCTTCCATTGTGTATGCAAACACTTCCTACAGGCCCCTTTTTTATATGTAAATAATCGGTGAGAAATCTACATGCTAATTCCTGAAAGACATCATTTTGAGAATGATTTTGTACACTTATTTCATGATATTTTACTCTGTTCAAGCAGCTTCTCTGAATAGTTCATTAGTTTCACAACAGCACATGGATTGTAGACCTTTAGTCTGTACCTTAGAGGTGGGTTCTGAATACATTTACGGAGAAAAAGGGAATTCTGGGTATAAATCAATGTTCAGAAAGGCCATGACTGGCGTAAATGAAAACAAGAGTAGTCCATTAAGAGACATGTGACTGTTATGGGGTATCTTGCCCCTGAGTCAATCAATATTAGGAAACTGGACAATGGTTTTATAATAATGAGAGCTGTAGACAATATTGATACAGGAAATGATAATATTTCAAATTCAGTCCAATGCAACTATTTCTTGCACAAAAAGATGTGACATTATATAATAGTAACATATAACTACAAAGTTTAGCCCTTAAAATAGAAATGTAATAAAAATGATTTTAAAAATTATAAAAACCTTTTAAAAATTAACAGGTTCACTTAGTAAGTGGAATTTAATATAAAGTAGTCCCATCTTATTATTCAAGAATCACCAATTCAAAAATCAGAACCATAGTTATCCTGGCTATTTTAATCCTCTAAGAAGTCTATGGATCATTACTTTTCAAGAATGTGAATATCAAAATACTACTGTTTAAAGATCAATCCCATTGGTCATTTGCAGAAACTAGACTAGAACTCAGGCATATGGGTTCTGAGTAATTCCAAATGCTTACTTGTGTCAGAATCACCTGTAGCATTTCTTAAGTATATGTATTTTGGGGCCCTACTAGAGACCTACAAGATGAAAAAGTCTACGGATTAGGCTGGGAGCCTGCATTGCATAACAAGCTTCCATGATGATCCTTGCGTGCTTCTAACTTTGTAAAACACTAGATACTATTTTCATTAATCATCCATTATTAATTTAGGGCTCCCCACAACTTCATTCTTCTATATTTTAAGGCTGGACAAATTCTCAAGGTGGTATAATATTTTAAGTGTTTACATGCCATGGATTTATACACAGATAGAAAACACTTCCATATTGATAGTGGGTTGAACGGAGGGCCTTCCTCTCTCAAAAGATATGTCCTCATCAAAACCCTAAGACCTGTGAATGGTAACATATTTGGGAAAAGTGCTTTTGCAGGTGTAATTAAGTTAATAATCTTCAGATGAGGTCATCCTGGATCATCCAGGTGGGCCCTAAATCCAATTACACATGTGCTTATAAGAGATAGAAGAGAGACAAAAATGGAGAAGGGCAGGCCATGTGAAAATGGGGGCAGAGACTGGAGTGATGCAGGCACAAGTCAAGGAATGCGTGAAGTCATCAGAACCTGAAAGAGGTAGGGAAGGAAACTCCCCTGGAGTATTTGTAGGGAATGCAGCCCTGCTGACACCTTGATTTTGAACTTTTGGTCTCCAAAACCATGACAGAATAAATTTCTATTGTTTTAAGTCACCCAGTTGTGGTAATTTGTTATGACAGCGCCAGGAAACAGATACAACAAAAAAGTTCTCGTGTTATGTCCTCCAGGATTTGCTATTATCTCTATACTCCTACATTCCTTCACCAGTACAGCTATTTACTAAGTGCTTCCTGAATACCAAGGCCCAGTTAATTCACAACAATCACAAATCTCTTCTTTATAGATGGGGAATAACAGATTTAGTAATGTTGAAAAACTTGGCCAAACAGCTCCTAAGGATCCCAGCAGGGATTTAAACTGATGTGTGAACTCCTAAACTCAAATTCTTTTCTTTAAACCTTTATTTCCGGGATCCATGCGAAGGTTTGTTACACAGGTAAACTCATGTCATGGGGGTTTGTTGTACAGATTATTTCATCACCCAGGAATTAAGCCCAGAACCCAAGAGTTATCTTTTCTGCTTCTCCACCTCCTCCCACCCTCCACTCTCAAATAGACCCCAGTGTCTGTGGTTTCCTTCTTTGTGTCATAAGTTCTCATCATTTAGCTCCCACTTGTAAGTGAGAACATGCAGTCTTTGGTTTTCTGTCTCTGCAGTAGTTTGCTAAGGATAATGGCCTCCAGCCCTATCCATGTTCCTGCAAAGGACATGATCTCATCCTTTTTCATGGCTGCATAGTATTCCATGGTGTATATGTACCACATCTTCTTTAATCAGCCTATCATTGATGGGCATTTAGGTTGATTCCATGTCTTTGCTATTGTAAATAGTGCTGCAATGAACATTTGTGTGCATGTGTCTTTATGGTACAATAATTCATATTCCTCTGTAATGGGATTGTCGGGTTGAATAGCAGTTCTGCTTTTAGCTCTTTGAGGAATCATCATACCGCTTTCTACAATGGTTGCACAAATTTATATTCCCACCAACAGTGTGTAAGTGTTCACTTTTCTCCTCAACCTCTCCAGCATCTATTATTTTTTGACTTTTTAATAACAGCCATTCTTTCAAAATCAAGTCATGGTGGCGCTAGGCATGGTGACTCATGCCTCTAACCCTGGCTCATGCTTATAATCCCAGTGATTTGGGAGGCTGAAGCAGGGGGATGGTTTGAGGCCAGGAATTCCAGACTAGCCTGGGCAACATAGCAAGACCTCATCTCTACAAAATCTTTTTAAAAATTAGCAAGGTTTGTTGGTGCGTGCCTCTATTTCTAGCTAATTGGGAGGTCAACATGGGAAGATTCTTTGAGTCCAGGAGTTTGAGGCTTCAGTGAGCTGAGATTGCGCCACTGTCCCTCATGCACCCCAGCCTAGGTAAAAGAGTAAGACCACTGCCTCTAAAACATTAAAAAATAATTTTTAAAAATTTGTGCAAGGAAACATGCTTAGGTTACCACCCATTTTAAGTGATATGAGTGAGGGTGTCAATGAAAGTCATTCCCAGTACTCAGTAAAGTCCAGCACTCCTCTCCTTGCAGGCACTTTGAGGAAAACACTCTGCTTAGCTCCCTTGCACATAGATGGGGTCACAAAAGCGTATGAGAGGAAGTGACAAGTGCCACTTTATGGCCAAGCACAGAAGAATAAGCATGAGGTCTTCATGCTTTCTCTCTCTCTTAAGCCCTGTGTTGAGATGCATGCCTGAGTAACTATGTGGAATGGAGACTTCTGCCAACCCACAGAGAACACAGAGCACCAGTGAGAAACAAATAATTGTTGTGTTAAAACTCTGTAATTAGAGGGCTGTCTGATCCTGAAGAATAAATGTCACACTGACCAAAACAAAAAGGTGAATTCCTAAGGCATTTCTTGCTCTTGCTCTTCGATTTCTGCAGCACAGAGTTGGAAGAAAATGTCCGGGGTAACCCTAGTACAAATAAGGTGGTGCCGATTTTATGTGCAGGTGTTGATTTTATGTTTAGGACTACACGTCATGCTATTAGATATTTATTTTTCTGTTCATCTCTATCAAATGTGTTTCAATTTTATGACACAACAGAAAAAAGAAGAAACTCTTTTTATTATAATTTAAAAAATATAATTGGAAGTGAATATAAAACTGTCTTTCCAAAGCACAGGCAACTTCCTTTTGGGCAGACAAAAAGCACTAATCACTTCAATGGTTTCCCTGATTTCTTTGGCACAGTTAAAATGCATTAAAAGTATGACTGATCACAGAGAATGGAAGTCCCAAGAGAAAGCTGGTTTGGATTTTATTTCCTTTAAGTGCACACTTTAATCTCTTAGCTAGGAGATTTTATGCAATTGCCTATTTTATGTATTTGATTCCTTGTTTTAAAAATTGCTCTAAGGTAGATGCTTTTTAAAAAGCAAACAAACTATTTATTTATTCAATAAACATGGATTATGCCTGGGTCACAGACACACTCATATCAGGTGTCTAGGAATTACCTGTGGTAAATTTTCTCTCAATTACATAATTCAATTTAATATAATAGAAACGTCATTTTTGAAGGTGTTATAACTTAAATGCATGTTCAACTTCAGGAAATAAAGTTTGCTTTTACTGCTGAAATGCTATTTTATGAAATAGAAATCACCTCTAAAGAAATAAATGTAAAAAAGACTATAGACATAATTTTGATCAGTCCATATGTGTTTGAATATACCTAAATATAAGATCCAGAACCTAGTGACTGTGAGAAAAACATGTATTTAGGACAAAGACAACCATAAATAACACTTAGCCTTTAAATACATAAAGACATCAGTGATGCTAGGAAAGAAATTTTGAAACAATATATTGAAAGCAAAAATCCTAATAGCTAATATTTATATAGGTCTCATTTGGTAGCAGACAATAGTCTAACTGATTTGTAGTTAATCTTCATATTAAAACTTTTGAGAAAGGTAATATTTTCCCATTTTAGAGATAATAAAACCAAGGTAAAAAGATGCCACGGAAGTTGCTAGAGGTCCCTCAGCCAGTTAGTAGAGAAGCCAGGGTTATGACCTTGGTTTTCTGGTTCCAGAGTCTACAGAAATGTGTGAACCACTATTCCAGTCATACATTTGGCTACATCAAAAGTAAAACCTTATGTGACTAAAAAACTCCTACCAGAAACCAAGTTGTAAAATAAGCCACAACCTGGGAGAAAATATTTGCAAGGCATATAACTTACAAAAGCTTACTTTCCAGAATATACAATGAACTCCAATGAATTAATAAGATAGAGATTTAAAATGAAATAGAAGAGAGCTCATCAGACATGCATAGCTGGTGCACAGCAAAAAAACAAAAAAAAATGTATGGCCACTGAACACATTAAAAGTATTTGAGGAATAAAAATTAAACACAAGATAACTCCTCATACACCACAAACTGTCCAAAAATTTGAAAGCCTGACAATATTAAGTGTGGGGGAAGAAATGGGGAAGTAATTCTCATACACTGTAGGTGGGAAAGTAAATTAGTGAAACACACAGGTGACCTGTGGGATAGTACCTGGTAATTTTGTACATGTAATACCTAATCACCCAGGAATTTTGCTTCTATGTAGAGACTCCAGGAAAACATTTGCACCTTTGTCCAGGAGACTTGTACAAGATTGTTCTTGCCTACATTGTTGTAATAGCAAGACAATGGAAACAGCCTATGTGTTCCAGTAATAGAAAAATAAACAAATATAATAATATGACTACATATCATATATGAGGGGTCTTCAAAAAGTTTATGGAAAATGCATATTATGAAAAATTTATTTGTGGATTTCAAATATTTGTTGCACCCAAATAAGCTGATATTAACTTGTTATAACATGTCTGAACCTGATCTAGTTTGACGCACTAACGAGGGTAAGATATCGGTTTGAAAAGAGCTCTTTTGGGCCGGGCGTGGTGGCTCACTCCTATAATCCCAGCACTTCAGGAGGCTGAGGTGGGTGGATCACCTGAGGTTGGGAGTTCGAGGCCAGCCTTACCATCATGGAGAAACCCCATCTCTACTAAAAATACAAAAGTAGCTGGGCGTGGTGGCGCATGCCTGTAATCCCAGCTACTTGGGAGGCTGAGGCAGGAGAATTGCTTGAATCCAGGAGGCAGAGGTTGCGGTGAGCCAAGATCAGGTCATTGCACTCCAGCCTGGGCAACAAGAGTGAAACTCCGTCTCAAAAACAAAACAAAACAAAACAAAAAAACAAAATAAAGAAAAGAGCTCTTGTTAGAGCAATATGAATTCTGCTAAAATTGAAGCAAGAATAAATATCAAATTTACAGGAAGCTTGGTTGGAAGAATGGCAAAATCATTGATGCCTTACAAGAAGTTTATGGTAATAAAGCCACCAGAGAAATCAGCAGTTACAAATGGATAACTGGTTTTAAGAAGGGACGAGATGATGACGAAGATGAAGCCTGCAGTGGCAGACCATCCACATCAATTTGTAAGGAGCAGGGTCGCACCTGGTTACTACTTGGATATTGGGAGAAATAGAGTTTATTCTTTCCTTTTATCTTTTAATTCCATTTGTCCACAAACTTTTTGAAATCCCCTCATATGAACACTTATGGAATAAATACTATTTGGCAGGTAAACTAAATTAGCCAGATACATATGTAGTTCTTAAAAACAAAATACAGAGAAAAAAATGGAAGTTGTCAATAAGATATGTATTGCAGGATCCCAATTATGTGATTTTAGAAACACTGAATAAACAATATTGTTTATAAATATACACATTAATACATATACATGCATCTCTCTATATATATATATCTATATAGATGTCTATCTATATATAGATATATAGATAGACATCTATATAGATATATATATAGAGAGAGAGAGAATAAAAACATATGAACTGAAAAGGTATCAAATTCAAGATGGTGGTGGTGGCTCTACAGGGGGTCAGAAGGGTGAAGAAAATGAGTCCAAGGAAGGATAACTTCCCTCCCTCTTTTATCTCCAATGTTTTATTTATGAAATATGACAAAATGACCTGAAGTTATTATGACAAAATGTTAACATTATTTTAAAAATATCTTTGATACTTGGAAGAGAAAAAATTCCCCATGATTCCTACACTTAGAAATATGCTTAGTTAAATGTTTAGATAAACCTTTGTGATTGCAGCCTTTATAATATTCTTAGCATTGTTAGAATCACTCCCAGTTTAAACTCAAATGATGCCAAACAATTCTGAAATATATAATTACAAATAATAGTGGCAACAACTGTTTAGAGATACACTAACTTCTTTTTCCATTTCATATGTGAGACAACTGACAGTGTCATTTTTACAATGTTTCAAGTTTGATTTAGTTTGAACATTTCAAGTAAGCAACCAATAATCTTCAAGTTCAGAGGGCATGAAATAGGAAGCACACTGGTGTAAACCCAAAGACAACCTTTGAGTTCCTTCACAAGTGATTTCCACCTCATCATTCCAACATCATAGCCTTAGTAACTATCTCCAGGCCATTTCTAATAAAAATATATATATGAAAGTTCAAAGCATTTTTCTTAATGCCAGGAAAAGACACAAAGCAAACCATTACTAGAGATATTCCATCTGTTATGAACCTGCTCAAATATACTCTTATTGTCTTTTTCAATTTTTTGATGCCCAAAGCATCAGTCTCCACATTGTATCATGTGGTGTATTATTGCTCACAATATCTTTCAAAATGAAATAAAGGTACAGAACTATGAGTTTTTTTGTTAGTCTGCTTTTGAGTTAAGCAATGTACCTAAAACATAAGCCAGAGAAACTACTGGGAAATAAATTGCTTCAAAACTGACCTCTGGCCAGGCGTGGTGGCTCACACCTGTAATCCCACAAGTTTGGGAGGCCGAGGCGGGCGATCACAAGATCAGGAGTTTGAGATCAGCCTGGCCAACACAGTGAAACCCCATCTCTGCTAAAAATACAAAAAATTAGCTGGATGTGTTGTCAGGCGCCTGCAATCCTAGCTACTTGGGAGGCTGAGGCAGGAGAATTGCTTGAACCGGGGAGGTGGAGGTTGCAGTGAACCGAGATGGCACCACTGCATTCCAGCCCGGGCGACAGTGCAAGACTTCGTGTCAAAAAACAAAAACAAAAACAAAAAACCTGACATTTGATTCTAACCTATAGGAACAAAGACCTTTATATTGATGATGTCCATATGACCTGACCTTGTATTTGGACAGCAAAACATTTTTAGTACATAGTTTTGCATGCAGCCCTCCCAAGAATAGCCATGGGTTGCAAAATAAAATGCCCTTAGCCTCAAGTACTGTGAAAGTGTAACATATTTAGTTAAAAATGGTGAAGAGTGATCCCCCACTGAGCTCGGCTTTAGGCCGCTGTTGCCCTGTTCCATTAGCGCATTATGTCCAGAATCACTGGTTTGGGTTGCCGAATAACTCCACTCTCCGCAGAATGTTTCGTGGAACTGACTTCCCTTTGGTCGGCTGCCTGTGGTCTCTATACTTGTCTGTGATATAATCCCAAATGAATGTCCTAATATCTCTGCCATGCAATTAGAATGCCGTTTTTCTTGCTTAGATGATATATCTTCTTTTTGCTTTAACTATTGCCATCAAAAATACAACTTGACGGCTATTATGAACATTTTTACAGGCTACAATGGATATAGCTACAGAATCTCAAAGCCTGGTATATCTTGAGGAAGTAAGGAACTGCTTCCTCTTTTATGAGATTGTTACCCAGTGTCATGCCTACGTGACACAGGTAAATTTCTACCCCACCTTAACTCTGCTTACCTTTAGGAAACTAGATCCCTGAGAGGTCAGAAGCTCCCACTTCTGACCAAACTGGCTAAGACTAGCGGGAACCAATATAGCAGCTCGTCTGACCTCTGAAGAACCTCTAACTTCATTATAATCTGATTTCCATGCTAAATGATGCTCCCACTAGCACCATGACAGTTGGCAATCACCATGACAACAACTGGAGGAAACCATAAAAGGACAAAAGGAAAGTGGTAGCTCCAGTTCTGAGAAGTTCCCTGCCCATTCCCAGAAAAGATATGAATATTCTTCCCCTTGCTTTTCATGCCCAACCCCTTCATTCAAGATACCCTACATCTGTGACTTTCCAGCTGTCACCCCTGTCACACACCTGCTTCTTGATTTCATGGCCACTGAATACAGCTTGCTCTGCTTGACGCTTACTTTTGGTTTTGCATATTGGCTTCGAGGCACCAAACAGGGAAACACCCCACTTTGAGGGGGACCGGCTTTGCTAGTAACATCATGTTGTTCAAATGGCTTATATGGCTTATTGACTATGGCTTACTCTAATCTATTTCATCACTTGGAGTACACTGTGGTCCACTGGGGGAGGGCCAAAATGGGGCCAATATGGGGAAATGGGAACAGTGGACACTAAAAAAATACCCAGGCATGGCGGTGTCTGCATCTAAGCAGCCAGACACAACCAGTCCTAGAGAAAATGGTGACACAGTCACCACAAACTCTTGGTGAGTGCTCACTGTGGCTCTGCGGATAACAAAGAGAGGGGCAGCACCAGCTGTCTATGAGTTTGCAGTCAGGTAAGGGCACAAGTAGGTAAACACACAGAACTGGGGGGCTGCTGCCTAAGGGGATGTGATCAAGGCACTTCTGCCTTACACTCTCCAAGTCTCTGTTTCCTCATTTGTAAAATAGAGATATCACTAGAATTTTTCCCATAGTGATTGTACAAAAGTTAAGGGTATAAAACACGAAAAATCCATAGAACATTTCCAGGAACATAGGATGCAGGACTGCCCCCGCACTCCAGCCGCCCAACAAAAGTTAAGCTATCATTACCACATAGAGAAGAACAGAGGCCTGAGAGAGTGCAGCTAATTCACAGAACTGAAAGATGAACGCAGGCCCACCATATGGCATTCAACTTGTCTATACCTGGGGACCAATACATATTATCAAAAATATAAGTTACAGGCTCTGTAGAATTTATATTGTCTACCTTTTTTTCCCCCACGCTAAAATGGAGAAGAAACAAAGCAGTCTGTGATTTATAAAAAAAGATGATTTGCTTTAAAACCGTAAGTTTTTAAATCAGTGTTGCTCAGGATGTCTTTCCTGGCAACTGCCACCATTCTTGCCATAGTAAAAGCCATAAAGACCATTTGCTATTTTCAAGACCACAGGAGAAAATAAATCAGAACTAAATTGCCGCTATTAATTTTAGTTTGAGGCAGGGGAAATTCATATTCTTAAGCTAATTTTGTTGGCACTGGTGACTGACAATTGTCCAAGCAACTGACACTGCAATGTGGTAACAGCTCCCACACCACGGCCTGGACACACGCGACTCCTGTGTTTATCACAGAGTACCACAACACTGTCACGTCTGCGGGCCAGCCAGCTACAGCCAAACCAGGGAGAATTCACATTAAATTCTGTTTTGTTTTAATTCCTTCAAAATAAATATTCTAGTTTCTAACAGCCACAAAGAATTAGCCAGAGGCTCAGTCACCCTAAATGTTCTGTCTACATACAAGCCAAGCTGTCACTGTGGGAAAGAAATGCATTCATTTTTTTCTTCTTCAAATTCTTTTATAGCTTCAAAGTTCATTGTACTTATATTACAAGAGACACATTATGCATAAAATTCAATATCAGAAGCAGCAACAAATGGTGCATTATAAAGTAGAAAATTCTCACACCGTAGCTCCTTCTATAGTATTCCCGGAAGCTTCTCATGCATGGGGCTAGGTATTATTTTTCAAATGCTCATAACAGTACATGAGAAATTTACAGTAAAGTAACATTTCCAAATACCAACTATGTTAGAAAATAATGTATCATAGTATCTTTGCCAGTGGGCATTCCATAAATTGGAATGTAGTAAGTTGAAATTCCAGTTGGCCAGGGGTACTGTTCACCAGTTGACCGATAGGTCTTATAATATACAGTGTTTTGAAGTACTTTCCAAACCATCAAACTGAATAGTTTGTGTAGTTTGTGTGCTTGGTGTATACTGCGGCATTCTATATGCCACAATGATACTTCTGTTTTGGTGACATTATAACTCACAGTCAGATGTTGATTAACTTGAACACTTCATTCCCTGATCCTGAGAGTGAAGAGAGAGCTCACTGCATCTCTCAGGTGGATTATCCATAACTGATATTTCTGCAGGAGAAGAGTACCTAGTTTGTTTGCCGATAGAAGTGGCATGTATATCAAGGTTCCCAGACATTTCAAGTTTCACTCTTTTGCATTCAATGTATTTTTGTTCCCAGAATTATCCCTGTTGTCGGACCATCTCAGTTAAGGCAGCTCTTTAATTTTGGAGACCTCTCTGAGAAAATGGAGGGGGTCAAGCTTATGTTTTCCTGGCTTCCTGTGATTCTATGTGTGATATTATGTGCATGAGTGTGTGAATGTGTGTTGTTGCATACATGTGTGAACTCACTCCTCTGTTCCTCTAAAATACACTGATGTGCTCATAGCTTCTCTTTCCTCTGCTTTTGCTTCCTACATATGTCATCTACTACAGGTATATCAAACCCTGAATATTGGATTTGACTGCATTTGCTATGATTTTATTAATGTAAGCAAAGCTAACACCTCTTAGACATGTAATGAAAATACAAATGAATAACCATTGCCGATTTCACAATAAAGAAAAAATTTTTTTTTTGCTTTTTTTGAGGATCAACAGAAGATTTGTAAAAAATAAGTTTCAATCTTAGCGCCTTTATACAGCAGAAACCATGTAATATTCATGTACAACAATTTTTTGTGGTGTTATAGATCTTTACTTCCTTAAGAGCAATACTGGCCTTTTGACCATCTGAGTCATCTGAAACCATCTGAAAGTTTCGTTAAAAAGTTTAATGGGTGCACAAATGTTCATTAGAGTTCTATTCATAATTGTCAAAAACTACAAGTAACAAATGTTCTACAAGTGAAAGGTTACACACACTGATACATCCATACCAAGGAAGTGTATGTGAAACATGCAACAACTCTCAAGGGAATTGCGCTGAGTGAAAAAGAGGAGTAACGTTCTTGAAATACAAAATTGTAGAACTGGAAAACAGATCAGTAGTTGTCAGGATTTAGGGATGGAGAAGGAGGTGTGTGGCTAAAAAGGGGTAGCACGGGGGAGACTTGCAGTTATGGAATAGTTTTAAATCTTGATTGTGGCATGGTTTCATACAGCTACTGACATGACAAAACTGCATGGAACTAAACACGCATACACACACACATACACATACACACACATCAGTGCATATAAAACTGGGGAAATCTGTTGGTTGTAGCAATGTTGATTCTGGTTGTGATATTGTACTACTTAAGCAAGATAAGACTATTGGAGGGGCTAGGCGAAGTTAGAAGAGACGTGTGTGTGTGTGTGTATGTTTGGCATGTCATAAAAATCTATAGTTATTTCAAAATAAAAAAGCAAAAAAAAATTAGAGGAAAGTGGTTTTATACCACTGTGTCTGCTTTTCCCAGACTGGTTCTTTATGTGGAATTTGTTACACAATTATTTCCATGTAATAATTAAACTAGAATTTTTTTTAAAAGATTGGGAATAGTGAAGTAACAAGAAAGAAAAGAAGGAAGGAAGATGGAATAAAGGAAGAAAAGAGAAAAAAAGAAACCATTGTTGACTTCTGATTATCCCTTTGTTCTTCATTCTTCAGCCAGAGCTCAGGTGACCCTGCCCTGGGCTCATCTCTGCTTTGTTCTGTGAATGAAAGAGTTATCCCTGGAGCATAATATACCAATCATACTGCCCATTGCCAATCAGAGACAAGAAATTGTGCTGCTACTGAAGGAAAACTCATCCATTATGTGTAAGATTCCCTGCTCATCAGGATCCTGTATTCACTTCCATTGCCATATGTTCTCAGGGAAAATTAAAAATGATATTTTTGCTTTCAATATTGGAGCAGAGTACAAGTCTTAATGCATACTACGTGAGTTCAGGAGACCTCACACAATATACTTCACTGGCTCTCTGGAAGCATATTTACTGAAGTTAGGCTGCCACCTGGTAGATGATTTGCAGGGTAGCTACTGCAGTGCCAATCTGCTTCCAGCCCACTATCCTAATGCCTGGAAAGGGGTCTCCTTGATTGACTACATGTCTGTTGCCTTCCATATTTATTGTCATGAAAAAACATTACACATGAAAAAATTACTTTATTTCCAGCATTTAGCATCTGATACTTGAAACGGGAAAGATGGAGCAGCCTCCCCACCTTCTCCGGGTACACAGCAGCTGTATGTGTCCTGAAGTTATCCTTTCAAGAAAGAATGAGGATTTGAATGAGAGGTCTGATGAAACAACCGCACTGCCAGTCGAATGTATAAAATCATTTTAAAAGCCATGAATTGAAATTCCTACTAACGTTCTTAAGCTATTTAGAGCATATCTTTAATCATTCTTGGGATTATTTACACCAATCTATCCATTTTCCACTGGAAATGTCCCTGGAAACCCACTCCCCTTAACTGCCTTGGTTGGGGATTTTTATCATCTCTTGCCTGGTGGTATAAAGAGCTCTGTGCCTGGGTGGTATGAATAACTTCTCATTGACAAAGATTCTCTCCTTGACCAAATGTTGGTTGGGCTCTCCTGAGATCTTCCATGATCTTCCTTGGAGAGTGCAGTTCTAGCAACAACCCTGCTACGTCAGTTTCGCCCATCCTCCATATCTGATCAGGTTCCTCCACCTCCATCAGCCTCCAGGTGATGTGGGATCCCCTCGGCCTGCCTTTAGCAAAAATCCTATTAGGTCAGGTTAGCCAGAATCCTTTTTTTCCCCTGATGTTTCCTCTCAGTAATTTTCTATCCATTGACCCCCACCCTCCTCCTTGGCTATAAATTCCCACTTTTCCATGTTGTATTTGAAGTTGAGCCTAATCTCTCTCCTCCACTACCAAACCGCACTGTTGTAGCCCCCCTTGAAAAACACAAGTCATCCTTCTCATTCTTTATCAAGTGCTATTGAATAATTTTTTATTGATACCATCACAGCTTCCTTACTGCTCATGAGAAATGTGAAGGAAGTCACATCTTATCAATAGCCTGAGTCTACACATATGTGCTCAGATAACATTATGAGGGCTGGCTTCACGGGCCTGAGACCTGTGCAGTTGCACAGAGTCCCACACTTAGAAGGCCCCATGCTTGGCTTAATGCTCTGCTGTTGCCCTCTTAAAACTCTGGACAACTCTATCTTTGAGCTTATGTTTTGCGAGTGAAATCTGACAGGTCAATGGAGCATGTGCAGAGTGAAGGAGATACGCACAATCCACATTCCTCTGTTCCTTGCTGCCTCGTTCACATAGAGCATTTGCAATGCCCTGATGGACTCATGATGTGTTGTGGGAGTTGAGTGAGACTCAAGTCAGTACAAGGTAAATGTGTTACGTTTATGACTGAGTAAGCAGGCGTGCTGGCAGCTCCAAAAGACCACACTTTCCCTTCAAGCCAGAACTTGCTTTGAATGAAGAAGGTAATGACCTTCTGAAAAACATGAAGAATTGAGGAGCCCTGTCATCTCCTTTCTTACTCAGGTTAGCCAATCAGTTAAGTTGAAAATGATAACTTAGAAGGAAAGGAAAAGTCAGGGCAATTCATGGTTCCATTTGCTTTAATTCATTTCTAACTCACCAATAAGAGAATGTTGGTAGAATATGTGCATATCAAGAAATCAAAGAAACACAGTGGAGGCGGTTTTGCACAGTGTTTCTCCTGCTGCAGTAAGAACAAAGCATAGGGAAATGCATGAGCTATGAAATATGAACTGTATTATTTCAGTGATTCTGCAAACAAGTTAAATGCTCTTATATTTGCATTTGAATCTGCAATAGCACAATACACAGATAAATAGTAAAATCTGTGCTAACAACTTAAAATTTTAAGTTTTCTTTACTTAGAATTATATTAAATAGTATGTAAAAAACAACACTATGACGAGTTGAGAGCAAGACAGTGGAAGAAAGGAGAAAAGCCTTAGTATTTTTTTAGTACCTTTAAACGCATTTTCCCATATGCTTTTTTTTTTTTTTTTTTTTGAGACAGAGTCTCACTCTGTCACCCACGCTGAAGTGCAGTGGTGCCATCTCGGCTCACTGGAACCTTTGCCTCCCAGGTTCAAGTGATTTTCCTGCCTTAGCCTCCTGAGTAGCTGGGACTACAGGCGTGCACTGCCATGCCCGGCTAATTTTTTTGTATTTTTATTAGAGACGAGGTTTGACCATGTTGGCTAGACTGGTCTCGGACTCCTGACCTCAAGCAATCCACCTGCCTCAGCCTCTCAAAGTGCTAAGATTACAGGTATGAGCCACTATGCCTGGTCCCCATCTGCTTTTTGAACAACAGATCCTAAATCTGCATTTTGCATTGGGCATTGTGAAATATGTGAACATGACTGACCTCAAATGACCACTGTGATGATTCAATAATAAGGTACATGAAGGTCCCAGGCACACATAGGATATCAAGAAATCCTCTCCTGCCTCTCCCAGACTTCATTCCACCCCACTGCCCCTCTCTCCCTCTTCATGTCTGCAATCTTTTTGCTCCCATCAATTATCTCCACTGTCAAAGAAATCCACAACCTTTTATTAGCCTGTTTTCATGCTGCTGATAAAGACATACTCAAGACTGGGAGGAAAAAGAGGTTTAATTGGACTCACAGTTCCACATGGCTGGGGAGGCCTCAGAATCATGGGGGGAGGCGAAAGGCACTTCTTACATGGTGACAGCAAGAGCAAATGAGGAAGAAGCAAAAGCAGAAACCCCTGATAAACCCATCAGATCTTGTGAGACTCACTCACCACCACGAGAACAGCATGAAAAAGACCGCCCCCATGATTCAATTACCTTCCCCTGGGTCCCTCCTATAACACGTGGGAATTCTGGGAGACACAATTCAAGTTGAGACTTGGTGGGGACACAGCCAAACCATATCAACCCTAAAGACAAAGTCTGACTATCAACAATCCCCGGTTCAAAAGCCTTCAGTAGTTTTTTAATTAATTTCCAAAATCTGACCATCAGCAATCCCTGGTTCAAAAGCCTTCAGTGGTTTTTTAATAAATTTCCTTCTCCCTAATCATCACCTGTAAGATCAAGCCCCAACTCCTTGGAAAGCATGTTCCAACTGTGAGGATCTCCTTGACCTAACTTGAGGACCCTGTCTCAGCCACTTGCCTTAGATGAGGCCAACTGAGTGAGGCTCTGTATCCTCTGAGACTCCATAGTAGCTTTACCCCTTATCAAAACAGGCTAGGATTCTTTGTTTTTCAGCATTTGTCTTTCTGGACTGGGAGCACCTTGAGAACAGAGACTAAACCACATTCTTCCTTTTTTGTTGCATTGGGAAGCTCTGTTCCTGGTACTCATAAAACAGGTGTTCACAAATGGAGGTCAGCATAGTTAGTAAAGCGTAGGATTTCCTCTTAATATTCTAAGCATGCTCTGCATTTATTTCGCTGAATCTTGTCTTTAGAATTGTCTGTGACAAAAAGCGACTACAACACTTTTATTCAACTTTCATCATAAAGCATCACTGGCAGAAGTGATCAATCTACCGAGTGAATATTTTGATTTGTATAACCTCATTTGGAATAAGAACATTCAAGAATCAGTTCCTGAGCTACAGTCATGCTCCTTTGTCCTCATCCTGTATATTAATATTAAATACTTTAAGAACATATCATGGCAAATCCTTTTATGAAAACAATGAAACCTTAACTTATATTTTTATATCTCTAAATTTACATATGGCCTTCCCCACCCCTCCCCCTTAAACATAGCATATACCTTGATTTAAGAGAAAGCTATAGGGACCAACTTATTCCTCTGTAGGGAAGGGGATGGGGGTGGCGTTCACATATAAAAGGAAAATCCACCCTTTTCAAGTGCCACTGCATGTGACAGCACTTCAGAGTCATCTTTTTACTTTTCAGCTGTTAAACTCTGTCCATCCTATAAACTTGAGCAAACTAATTTCCTTCTCCCTAATTAAGCCCATTGCCATATTTCATTCACTCAAGCTTTCTATTAAATGAAACATTATTTTCACTTATAAATGTTCCATGATGTGTTCCTAGTGGCTTCTAATTGGGGACAATTATAAAAAGATAAATCAGAACTCATCAGCAGCAGCTGTCATGAGCATGTCCCCGTTCTGCCTCTGGTGCCCACGTGTTTGTTTAAGGCGCCGGGGCAGAGCAGGACCCGGAGTGAGCCCTGATGAAGCAGCTCGGGAAATTCGCAGGCTGCCAGGACATTCTTCATTTTTAATTTGTTGATTTAATCTGGCTAGAGAGGAACTGACAAAATCCTCATCACCTAATGTGCTTAATGGTCTAAATGAAATGAGTTGGTGGTGTTGGTTTAGTTCCTCTTGGACCCATTTCTAAGTCATACAAGCCATCGATACATTGCTCTAACAAGCCCTTCTCTCCGAAAATGCACCACAGAAGATTAGACTTTGGCGTTTTGTATAGATTTTCCAAAAGCATCAGAAAAACGAAGTGATGAAAGAGTGTCTAGCAAGCGGGTTCTCGCACCCCTCAAAGCACAGGTCATTATCAACCTAGGGGAAAACTGCAACTGAGTTTTCCTTCATTTTCTTTTCCTATTCAGGAAGAAGCAACTAGAAAAACAAATGTAATTTTTGTTTCTTTTTAGCTGTAATTGCTGGAGTTAATCTTCATTTTCACTACTAGAAAATAAAGGGGCCAGGTGCAGTGGCTCATGCCTGTAATCCCAGCCTTTTGGGAGGCCGAGGTGGGTGGATCATGAGGTCAGGAGTTTGAGACCAGCCTGGCCAATATGGTGAAAACTAGTCTCTACTAAAAATACAAAAATTAGCCAGGTGTGGTGTCGCGTGCCTGTAGTCCCAGACACCTGGGAGGCTGGGACAGGAGAATTGCTTGAAACCCGGAGCGGAAGTTTCAGTGAGCTGAGACTGCGCCACTGCACTCCAGCCTGGGCAACAGGGTTAGACTCCGTCTCAAAAAAAAAAAAAAAAAAAAAAGGAGTTTTTTTTTTCCTTTTTACCATTAAGAGTTAGTATAAAAAACATAGAAAGGAGTATAATGTTGGAATGGGACATGAAACAAAAAAAAAATAATTCTTCCAAAGTCAGGGTAGTTCAAAAATAATGATGTAGGTGAGGATGACTTGATTAAAAAAAAAAAAAAAAAGAGCTTACAGAGAATAAAAAGCATGTTTCCTTTCCTTTGTCTCCTTTAATCTTCAAAATGCAGGAAAGTTCCCAAAACATCAAATCCTCTTGAAATTTAGAATTTTAATTAATGCACTATCCTGGGAAATGACTCAATTTTCCCCCACAGTGATTAGAGAAACTGGACTTAGAATGTCAATTTAGTAAACGTATGAAAACATGTGTTTCTGTATTTGGTCATCATCTACTGTTTAATTAACATACTCATACACGTGTATACACATTCACATCACCACCACCAACATTATTCCTTTTGCCTTACTTTGGAAGTTGGGACAGTATTTTGTGTCAGGGAATAGAGAACAGAAATGCCAGTATTTAACCCTAGGGTTAGTATATGGAAAATGCAATCTTAGTTTATCTGGATAATCTGAGCTATGCATAGGGGTCATACCTTATATCTCTTTTTTGTTTTTCTTTTCAAAGATTCAATCGAGAACCCATCAGGCTAAAATACGGGTTGTGTATTTCAAAGGGATTGAGCAGTTTAATGTGTCTGAATCTTTAAAGGATATCATAAAGATTTGAAAGAAACAATGAATCTATACTGCCTATGGAGAATTAGTCAGTAGAAATATCATCATATAAAATAAATCATATCGGGCAGCTATTCTTTACTGAGGTTATATCATTTAGTAGAGGATTTTTATGGACTTTCTTCTTTTTCCTGACCCTCTTTTGGTGGAAAGCATTCTATTGCTTGCATGCCCTGAGCTGGTATTCTACGACTTAAGGTGAAAGTCACATAACACTCTTAGAGGTGAACTCAGCTAAAACACCATTAAGTCCATAGAGGTCAGGAAAGCAACCTGGTTGGTTAAACAGGTCTAGTTAGTTAACCTAGACACACTTAGGTCAGCAATACATATGATGGATTAAAGTTAGCCACGTATCCTTGCCATTTCATCCATTAAAAAGGGATGTCCATTTTTCTCCCTCGCCTTGTCTCTGGACTTGCCAGTGATATGTTGAGACGTAAAATGCAGCTGAAGTGATGCTCTGAAGCTTTCTAGCATCTTAAGGCAAGGCTTAAGAGATCAACAGCTGTAGATTCCCTTCATATGACCGAATGCTTCTTCTTGGCAGCCAGCCTCCATATAAGGACTTTGGCTACTCTGCTGACAACCATGCTGTGGGGAAGCCCGCGTTAGCCAGGTGGAGAGAGGGGCCACATAGAGAAGCACTGAGGTGACAGACGTGTGAGTGAAGCCCTCCGAAACCTTCCTCTGAGCCCTGCCCCTACAGTAAATTGCCTCAGTTATTGCCATATGGAGTAAAAGAACCACCCAGACATGCCCTGCTTGCATTCTAGACCCAGAAGCTCTGGGCAAGTAACTTGGTGTTGTTAAAGCGGCTAAGGTTTGGGCTAGTTTGGTAAAGAATGGTAGATAACCACAATAACACGCACAGCACGGAAGCACTCCTTTGTCATCAACAGTAGCAAAGTGACTTGTAAATTCGCATGGTATATTATATGTCTGCATTTTATTTTGAAGAAAAGATACTTGTAGAAACACAGGGCTAAACATTTACCTATCTGCTTCATTGCTTCCTGGGTAAATTTTCTATTTTATTTAATTGTTAAATAAAATGCTCAATGGACTAGATGCACTCCATACTATCATTTTCTGAGGTTGAGGCTTTTTTTTTTTTTTTTTTTTAAGTTAAGGGCTTAAGGACTGTTACTTTGAGAAAAATTGTAGTTTGAAATGGAAATGATATACAAATTATAAATTAATACCTGGCAACACAGAAAGTGTTGCAAGTTAGCATAAATTGGCCATATGAGGACATGGGCTGAAAAAAAAAAAAGAGACCCAAATTGTATGAAATTTACCAGGGAAGACATCTGGGCAGAAATGTGGTTTGAGCCAGATTTTGAAAGAAATGATGGGATAAAATTAGATGGCAGAATGGAGGGAAATCCCAGGGGAGTGTTGGCATGGCCGATTTCTAACATGAGATAAAGATGAAAGGAGAATCAAAATCAATAACTTATTTAATTCAGTTTCATATTCCTAGCAAACTACTACAGCTAGGTGTGCATGACTCTGCAGAATATAATCCAGCCTGTGAAATATTTCTTTTAGTTCTGCTGTGGTGGTGAAGCGGGAGGGGATGAGGGTGATGATTTCAACTAAACAGTGATATTTGAGAATCTTTCAGAAAGACAGAGTATCTTCAAGAGGATAAGCCAAATAAAATGATAAGCAAAAGAAAAAAATTATAAGGAAATGAGGAGGCACTGCTGGGGCACTTCGTTTTGGATTCATTACTATAACTGTGTGTATGTGCATTTTTTGCAACAACAAGTATCTGAATATCTTACGTTTCTCTAAAGGGGCTGAAATCTGTGATTTAATGGAATTTTATAGGGGAAAAAATCTGTAAAACAGACACAAAGTGGGAGTATATTTACTCCACATTAAGTTTTTCACAGAAGTCATTTTAAGACCACCAATCTATGTTAAAATTATTTACTAGCCGGGTGCAGTGGCTCACGCCTGTAATCCCAGCACTTTGGGAGGCCAAGGCAGGCGGATCACGAGGTCAGAAGATCGAGACCATCCTGGCTAACATGGTGAAACCTCGTCTTTACTAAAAATACAAAAAAAATTAGCTGGGTGTGGTGGCAGAAGCCTGTAGTCCCAGCTACTTGGGAGGCTGAGGCAGGAGAATGGCGTGAACCCGGGAGACAGAGCTTGCAGTGAGCCCAGATCACGCCACTGCACTCCAGCCTGGGCAACAGAGCAAGACTCTGTCTCACACACACAAAAAAAAATTATTTACTTATTTACTATAACATAAACAAGTGCTCTATATCATTGGTCATTAAGGAGATGCACATTAAAGCCAAAATGAGATGCTGATGCACCTGATGCACATCCACTTGAATGACTATTTTTAAAACAATTGACACTACCAAATGTCAGCAAGGCTGTTGTATCAGGCTATTCTTGCACTGTTAAAAGGAAATACCCGAGGCTGGGTAATTTATTAAAAAAAGAGATTTAATTGGCTCATGGTTCTGCAGGATGTACAGGAAGCATGGTGGTGTCTGCTTCTGGGGAGGTCTCAGGAAGCTTCCAATCATGGCAGAAGGAAAAGGAGGAGCAGGTGCATCAATGGTGAGAACGGGAGCAAAAGAGTGAGAAAGGGGTGTGGGTAGGTGCCACACACTTTTAAACAAGCAGATCTTCTGTGAACGAAGAGTGAGAGCTCACTCACTATCGCAGAGACAGCACCAAGCCATGAGGGATCTGTCCCCATGACACAAACACCTCTCACCAGACCCCACCTCCTGCATTGGGAATTGCAATTCAACATGAGATTTGGGTAGGAACAAATATCCAAACTATATCAGTTGTAAAGGTACCAAATTCAAATAGGTGGTTGTGTAAAACTGCCCAACTACTTTGGGGAAAAGTCGGGGAGTTTCTTTAATAACTAAACATATACATACCCAATGTGCCAGTGGTTTCAAACCAAGATATTTCCCCAAGAAACAAAAAGCATATATTTACAAAAAGACTTGTAAAAGAATGTACTTAGTAGTTTTATTCATAATTGTCCCAAATTGGAATGAGCCCAGAAACTAATCAATAAGAGAATGAATCAACAATCTGTAGTATATTTATACAATAGAAAGCTACTCAGCAATGTACAGGATGGAACTGCCAATACATGCAGCAGCATGGAGGAATCCCAAAGCTTCCCGCTCAGTGAAAGAAGACTTATACAAAATAAAACATGCCATTGATTCCATTCAATATGGAATTCTTAAACGAGCAAAACTAATCCATGGTAGGAAACAAAACAAAACAAAACAGAGCAGTGGTTGCCTTTGAGAGAATAAGGTGGGGATTTACTGGAAAGGACAGAAACCAACTTCCTGGGAAGACAGCGTAATATTCTATATCTTGACAGAGGTTTAGGTTACACATCTGCATGCATTTGTCAAAATTTGTTGAGTGGTACCCCTAAGACTGGTGCATTTCCTTGTGTGTAAATTGTACCTCAAAGGAAAAAATAGGGACTGAAAGTAAATATTAAAATATAGTTATTAATATGCACAATAAACTATTTAGGGGGATGTGTACTGATGCCTGTGACTTTCCACGAAATGCATCAACAAATAAAATGGATAAGCATTTGGAAAGAGGGGGTAGAAAAAGGGGTATGTGGTAAATCAAGTATATTAAACTGCTAATGGTAGAATGTAGGTAGTAGAGGGCTTCCCCTTGTCAGATTCTTTCAACTTTTCTGTATGTTTTTTACATAATTAAATGTTAGAAAAGGAATGCCTCCTATATTAATAGTATAGGAAAAGAATGACTCCCATATCCCAGGCTCAAACATGTTGTGTAGTATGCCAGAAAGAAAAGGCCAAATTCTCCAAGTAAATAGATTATGTAATCAAATCAAACTGGATAACTGCAAAGAAAATATAGCATGCACAAGTGTAACATACACACAAACAATAATTGAAAAAATGCACGAGGTTGTTTTTCTCCAATAATAATCCAAATAAGACATTTTACTTTATTACAGAAATAGAGATATTCAGTGTCACGAGATAAATGGCTACCTTGACTGATACTCTATTTACAGATTAGCAAACGTTTTCTTTTTTACTATTTATTTATTTATTTATTTATTTATTTATTTAATTTTTTGAGACAGAGTCTCACTCTGTCACCCAGGATGGAGTACAGTGGCGCGATCACAGCTCACCGCAAGCTCTGCCTCCCAGGTTCACACCATTCCCCTGCCTCAGCCTCCCGAGTAGCTGGGACTACAGGTGGCCGCCACCAAGCCCGGCTAATTTTTTTTTTGTATTTTTAGTAGAGATGGGGTTTCACCGTGTTAGCCAAGATGGTCTCGATCTCCTGACCTCGTGATCCGCCCTCCTCGGCCTCCCAAAGTGCAGGGATTACAAGCCTGAGCCACCGCGCCCCGCCGTTTGACAAACGTTTTCTGTAAAGGCACCGCTATTTCAGGCTTTACAAGCCCTAGGTCTCTACTGTAGTTACTGAACTCTGGTGTCATAGGGCAAAAGCAGCCACAGAAACAACCTAGGCAAATAGATGCTGCTGTGTTCCCATACATTTTTATACAAAAACAGGCAGCTGATTTGGCCCTCTGGCTGTCGCTGGCCAACTCCTATTCTATTTGACTGAAGAACATTCATATTAAATTCCTCTTCAACCTCACATCACAGATTTTATAGTATTTATAATGCAAATATTGGTTTCAGATAGTATAATTCAACTAGGATGTCAAACCTCAAGTCTTCCAATTCAAGGGACTTTAGGAACACAGTTCTATTATCTGAAGGCTTTTTTACAGGATGATTTTTGGGTTGGGGTTTGCTTTGGAGCCCAGCTCTTGCTTTCAAATTCACTGGGTGTCAAATGCTCACATTTCTTGGTTGCTTGAGTGCTTACTGATGGGGACTTTAGTACTCATGTATAATGGCGAAGATAAAATAACAGTTGTGAATATAACTAGGAGCGTTGAGATAACTGGAATAGGAGAAAGACGACGGCAGGGCAGAGTTAGGTGCCTCTGAGTACTACAGGCAAAAGTGGACTCCCTTTGCTTCCTGAGCGCTTGCTCTCGGGGGCTGGCACAGTGGGAGAACCAATCCCTACCAAGGCACAATCCCTACCCTTCAGGAATATACACTGTTGTTTGGAAGAACACCAGTGGGCAACAGACGAATGGGAGAAAGATTCACCCATTACAAAGACCTTTCTACAGTCAGAGCTGTCTGAGTTGAATTTTATACCTGAAGAGAGAGAAAAATCTCACTATCCCTGGAAGTACTCAAGGAGAGGCAGAAAGATCTCCAACCAGGCTATTTATTAGAGCAATTTCTCAATGAGGAAGAACCTTCTAAGTCCAGAATCTGATGTATAAGGTCACAACTTACAAATTCAATGTGATATTGGAGGAGAGAAAATACAAGATTTTATAGATTGTTCTTAGTGACAGGGCCTTGTTCCTCATCATGCACAGTATTTTGAAGTATTTTTACATGTATCTACTTTTTTCTTTATCGAGAATTCCGCAAACTGCCATGGTTAGTGACTTCCCAAAGATGTTCCTTACTCTTCCCTTGGTTTTGACTGATTCAAAAAGAATGAAACATTTATAAACATCCATCCCTGTATCTCACATTAGAAGTTAAAGCCTAAGCTATTTTATTTAGAACAAAGGATTTCAAAAATTTCACCCAGGATATTTGCTGACAGTTTTAAAATGACACAAATGGCACTGATTACTTTCAAGCTCTTTTAGTTTCCTAATATTTCCCTTTTGAATTGAAAGATAAATTCAATGAAAATGAAATAACTACAGCACCTCAGTTTATTGACATTTTGGTATTTTATTAGTTAATTAGTCACGCCTTAAAATGTTAACTTACAAATGGAAAGGAAGAGTATCTAAAAATACAGGCCAACCTAATCCACTAAATCTAAGTATGCTAAAGACATATTTTCCCAATATTGAAATAAACTCACTAGTTTCTCTGAAATGTTCTGGAGTACCAACTGGAAATATAAAAGCACTCTAAAAACCCAATAGTATGCTTTTTCGGCATATGCATTTGTCACTCAAGGGTAAAATTTACTTAATTATTGTTATGTATTTCCATCTTTTTAAGACTGAGTCAATTAGGTTACCTCCTTATGAGTGTGAGTTACCGAGTTTCAGAAACCCTGCATATTCATGACAGTAATTCTCAAATCCTTGTAAAAGAAATAAAGTTGGATTTAAGATATTCATAACTTTCCCAAGAGAGCATTTTCTAATAAGGGAACAAGTAAGAGTTTGGATGATCTGTCATCATCTTTATGTGCCTAATCTGTGCCCACCACGGTGCCAGGAATTGGAGGGGAAAAGATAACAGTGTTCCTGCCTTCCAGATGCATGAGAATCCAGCAAGCGGGCACAAAGTCTAAGATTTGACACTATCAGAAAGAGTGTTGGGAACGATTTTGTGTAAGGGAGGAAATGGAAGAAATGCCAACGGAGAGATGATGTGAGAACTAAACTGTGAAGACTGAGGGGAGTAAATAAGGGATAGGGATGTGGTTTGAGCTTGAATTGGGCATAATAAGGGAAAGAGCATTTGGGGTTGAAGGCAGACATGAGTGTGAACCCAAAGAGTAAGTTTGGGACAGAGACAATATTCTGAAATGCCTGGAGCAAAGGAGGTGTCTTCAAGAAGGAAGAGGAGAGGACTGTAATCGGAGATGGTCCCAGTTGATAAACTGGGGAACCCAAATGTCAATATTTGGCATTTATTCTGAAAAGACTTGGGTGCCTTTGGAGGTTTCTGGGTACTAGGCTGTCCTGCTTATAGAAGGCAGTGAGAAGAATATTCCACAAGCACCCTCACACAAGCACTGCAAGCTCAGGGGTGGCTAGGCCTCTTCTGAAGTACGAGGTCTGGCGGAGGGGCAGTTCCCTGCAGGGTCAGTATAGGCTGTTATGTGTTATCTTAACTCAGCATTCTCAGGGTATGTGTGACAACATGGGAGAAGAACCTGATGATCTAACCTAAACTGATGCTGATGAGAGTCTTCGTTGGGAAGAAATATTAAGAGGATCTCAGATGTACACAAAATGGCCAGCTGTGTATTGTGGACTGGATATAGAAAACTAGGCGAAGAGGATCGTCATCTTCAAAGGACTTTCAATAAGGTAAAGGGATACCAATTACAAAAATACAACCACAAATGCAGATTCAATTATATATTTCCATTTCTTTTGTTCATTCATTCAATCAACAAATACATATGTATTCATGTCCACAATGTACCAGGCCTTCTTTTAAATGCTGAGGATTCAATGTCAACAATACAAGCAGGCACAGTCGTGATTATAGAATCAACGTGGGTGAAAAGGATGGGCTGTCTGGGAAGCAGTTGTTAGGGAGCTTCCAAATTCTAATATATGAACTACACGTGGTGTTGAGAAAAGCAGATGGTCCCATATTAAAAATCTGTACCTAATTTCAGAGTCACACTTGATAAAGGGTCTGAGTTTTTAAAGGTGATTAAGTTGACTGCCATCTTTGGCATTAGATTTAAAGAATGTAAGAAGCAGCAAATGACTAAGAATGAACATGATTATTAATCTTCATGATCTACAGTTTATGAAAGGAGGCTATTTGGATGTGGACAAGATTAACACGTTCTCTGAATTATCAACAATGTCCTAATTACTTAGGCCAGTTGAGATTAGATAATTTAATCGGTATCTAGAAAAACATGATTTAATCCCTTCCGAAAGACATGCTTCGATTTTAACTTTATTAGCAATAGCAGGACAGTCCTACCTAAGGGACTTACTTCTTTTATGGAAAGTCTAAACTACATGGCATTCTCCCCTTCATTATTTATCCCTTTCGCCAGGGCAAGTCAACATAGCGATTAAAAAGTGGCTACTTTAAGTTACATATGTTCAATGTCTTAAAGTACCTTTGAGTTAAATATCCAAATGTTAGTTTTGAGATGTAAACTACACTAGTACCACCGATGTGTACCTAAAACAAGCAGCAGACACGCATTCTCCGACATATCAAATTTACCTGGCAGAGAGGGCAGGAAGCTCAGTAACCTCTCATTTCCTGAAAAGGCCAAAACCATAATCCAATGCATGGATGCATGGGTTTCTCAGGCCTCTCCAACCAACACCACGTTTTCACATCTTTTAATGTGAAAGTCAAGCCTTGTCACTGTTCACTGTTCAGCATGCTTGAATTGTCATCAAATTAATTCCTTAGGGGTAGACCTAGACAGCAGAGGGGATGCCTTGGTCAGGGAGAGGAGATCCCTGTAGACAGTAGTGGCTGCAGAGGGTGGATCTTCGGTCCACTATTTGGCCAGAAATTCTGGGATACCCTCGTTAGTCATAAAGAGGAAGTCACTTTTTCCCTTTCACTCCTTTAGTTTTCTGTTAATGGAAGAAGATGTGATAAATAAATGTGAATAGTTTCTTATTAATAGTTGGAGTTATAGTCGGAGTTATAGTCCAAACCACGACTTTTTTCTTTTTGAAACAAGGGTCTCACTCTGTTGCTCAGGCTGGAGTGCACTGGCACAATCATAGATCACTGCAGCTTGTAACTCCTGGGCTCAAACAATCCTCCTACCTCAGCTTCCCCAGTAGCTAGGGGTACAAAACTATGGTTTTGGCCCATTCAGGAACTGGGATGTTACTGAGCTAGCTGCCCTCTCTGCTAGCTATATCTATCTATCTATCTATCTATCTATCTATCTATCTATCTATCTATCTATCTATCTATCTTATATATATGTGTGTATATATATGTGTATGTATATATATTTATTTTTTTTTTAGAGACAGGGTCTTGTTATGTTGCTCAGTCTGGTCTTGAATACCTAGTCTCAAGTGATCCTCCCTCCCTGGTCTCCCAAATTGCTGGGATTACAGCCTTGAGCCACCACCATGCCTGGTCCACACTGGGACATTTCTTAAGAGAGATGACAAAGGAGGGGAATTTCTGCCAATAGTTATGCAGGTACAACTTGCAGAAGCCAGGACAGTTCTGAGAAAATCAGACATAGGTCCCCTCCCTGTAATTAACACACTTCTAACCCAGAAGATCTCATTCTTAATATTCTAATAAAAATATTCAGATGATAAAATTTGTCCAACTAACATATTCCTTTTCATCTCCACCTATTCTCTCATTAACTTTAATGTATACTAAACAGTGTCTAGCTGATGTGTGAACTCGCTCATGGCATCAAAATTCTCTGTGATCCATGTTTCACCTTATCTTAAACTCAAAAATAAATTATGATGCTTTAATTCTCCTCAAGTTCAACGTGGACTTTCCTAGTCAACTGGCTGTAGAGGGCTTTAATTGTGATATGCTATGATCCTGGTGTGTGAGTTTTAGAAAACTATTTTAATAAGACAGGCAATTTACCTTGAGAATATTGGAATTCTTCTGAAAAACTCCAGGCAAATAAAATGTATCTCCAAATTCTTAGGTATGATTATTGGGTAAGAATAGATTGACTATAAAGAATCCCCAAATGAGAAATACTGGGAAATAGTAGCCTTGTATTCAGAAATTGAGAAGACTAAAGTGTATTTTGATTTCCTACTACTATTTGAAAATTCTCATAATACCAGCATTATAAAATATATGTATCAGTGTTCATTGCTAGAATAATGCTAGAGGGCCAACATATATATTTGTACATAGTTATGACAAGGTAGTTTTATGTTGGAAAAATCTAATGTATGAAGAAATATGCTCCTTCCCCAAATTAAAATTTAACTTTCAGATGGCATGGATAGAGTTATCGCTGAAGCTCTATTATCCATAAAATTGTCAAACTATACTTTTGCTTTTATATGCTGAGTTTACACATAATTTGAATATAATCATGCAGAAGGAGCATACTTATTTGTTGATGTCTTAGTATCTTTCACAAAGAGATATAAACTATATAGAGGATATTCATAGTTGCAGAAAGACAGAGTTTTGGATTTAGAAGAATCTACTTTTGTTATCTAAAGAGCTGAAAACATAATGTATTATCATTACATTGATTTTTTTTAAAGAATGATAGTTTTGATGTTAGGCAACATTTAAAAATTATATGGGGATCATATTTGGTAATTACTTTTTGTTACTGAAATGTGTGTCACAGCATTAGTACCAAATACACTCATGATATTTTAGAATTTTTCTTACAACTCTCTACAATTTTGCAATGTATAATTTCACTTGCCCCGAACAGAGTTGATATAAAAACTGCTCATCAGGCCATTTTATTATTGAGCTTATGTTTATAATTTTTAAAAGAAGAAAAGTGTTCAATTCTCCAATGTGGGATTTTTTTTTTTTTTTTTTTTTTTTTTTAAAGACAGATTCTCACTTTGTTGCCCAGGCTGGAGTGTAGTGGCATGATCTTTGCTCACTGCAGTCTCTGCCTCCTGGGTTCAAGCAATTCTCCTGCCTCAGCCTCCTGAGTAGCTGGGATTACAGGCGCCCGCCACCATGCCCAGCTAATTTTTTTTTTTTATTTTTAGTAGAGACGGGGTTTCACCATCTTGGCCAGGCTGGTCTCGAACTCCTGACCTGGTAATCCACTCCCCACCCCCCACCCCACCCCCTTGGCCTCTCAAAGTGCTGAGATTATAGGTGTGAGCCACTTGGCCCGGTCTATCCAATATAGGATTAATACCCTGTCTCACTGAACTTGGAAGCTCCTGGGCAGTTTCTCAGCTCATTACCCTGTCTGGAGGGAAGTGCATCCATCATACTGTCTTCTCCTTAATCATCAGTTATGTGACTATTAACAAGATATTTTCGCCAATATGTGCTTCCATTAGCATAAACCCGTGCCTTAATTAACTTACGCTTTTTTCCATCTGTAACTATCTGACATAAAAATTACAGTAGCAAACAGGCCTGTGTGGCTTTTCTAATTTTTTCCAAACTTGTCAGAAATGACATTCTTTGATGCGCCTTTAAATCCAGTTTCTTTTTATTACTTCCTAACACTTTTTAAAAAAAGAACGAAATACATATTTATAGAAAAAATTTAGAAATTCCGTAGTTTAAAAAATTCACATCACTTATAATTCTGTGAGTCAGAGATAATCCCTGTGGGCATTTCATTGTATTTTATTCCACTATTATCTGTTAACATATATTTATTTTGCATCTTATTATTTTATAAAAATAAAAGCTTACTACTTTTCTTACTAGCCACTGGCTTTTTTCTCTAACTCAGTTTTCAATAAAATAGTACATAGATACAGATATAGATATATTTTTAGTAGATTAAATTAGAATCCCTTGTGAATACACCAAAGTTATCTAATTAGTTTGTTGCAGATTTTGCTTAGTGGTTCAGTATTATGAAAATACAACTAACACTGACAGAACAAGTAAGCATATAAAATTAACTGTGTTAATGTTGATTTGAAACATTTTATACAATCACTACAAAGCATTCATTTACTCTTGGTAAAAGAAAGGAGAGTTAGTTTGAAGCAACTTTTTCTTTATTCTGAGTACTGAAAAAGTAGTTTTGGGAAATAGGATTAGCTTTACTGAAGGCTTTCGCAGTGCTCCAAGGGTGAATAGAGGGTGCAAATCAGACACATTGGATTCTGCTTTGAATCCAAGTTCCTACTGAAGTGTAAGGAAAGAGACTTTACTCAGCATGATCTTGAGGGCACAGTGGGACAGCCAACCACTGTTGATATAAAATTCCATTTTATGAGATTGCAATCATTATATATATAATTATATATGTATATAATTTTATATAATATATAATGATTATATTATAATTTTATATAATATAATGATTATATTATAATTATTATAAATATTATATATATTTATTATATATTAGTGAAAAGCACTAAAATTAATAAGATATAATAAATACATATAATAATTATATATAAAATAAATATATATAATATATATTACATACACCATGAAGAATATATTTAAAGAGTATATTGGTTTCTATTGGCATTTTACTACAATGAGTACACCTCAACCAAACCCACTGATATGACCCAATGAAAAGGCATCAGTTCTATGAAACTGGTATACAACACAGGTCACTTTTGTTTATTACAACAAATTCAGACTTTGATTTTGACTTTAAATATGTTTGTGTGGTGTGTGGTGTGTGTGTGTGTGGTGTGTATGTGTGTGTGGTGTGTATGTGTGTGTGATGTGTGTGTGTGTGTGCTGTGTGTGGTGTGTGTGTGGTATGTGTGCATGTGTGTGGTGTGTGTGCATGTGTGTGGTGTGTGTGCATGTGTGTGTGGTGTGTGTGGGGAGTGTGTGGGAGGGTGTGTGGGGGGGTGTGGCATGAGTGGGGGGTGTGTGGTGTGTGTGTGGGGGGGGTGTGTGGTGTGTGTGTGTGGGGTGTGTGGTGTGTGTATGTCTGTGCGGTGTGTGTGTGTGCATACATATATATGTGCATATGTCTTCACACAAGCATGTGCAGATAGATACAGGCTAAGTTCTCTAGTTAAAAATTCTTTCAAAATGTTATCTTTACTTTCTTCTCTATTTTGATGTTCTTACTCTCTTAATGTTTACATTCCCTTAAGGTATGTATGGTTACCCTAAGAAGAAATAAACCAAATGTGACATTTACCAGCACTCTAAATAATGAAACAACAACAAACTACTCTGATATAGAAGAAATATTTTTTTCACTTGGAAATCACATGAAATCAGGTCCAAATTCAATCTCTGCTATCTCTCAAAAGTGTGAACTTGAGTAAGATTTTAAAACACTCAGTGAGTTTCAGGTTTTTTCTGCAAGATGGCATTATAATATCAAACTTATTGGGTGGCATAAAAAAACTAAGCATTGGATAATAGTAGTTTCCTTCCACTTAATCCTTTTATTTCTTACTGACACCAACTGTTATTTGGCTGCTTAACAACGGCACAATTTTCTTTGTACATATGGATGAATCAAGTCATTAATTACTCTCCATCAGCAGTGCAGAATGTTGGCTTTGTTTAATTTCGTTCAGAAACAGTCACTGGGAAGAAGCTAAGTGGGCTACCTCGGCATTGACTTAATGCCAAAATTCAGGAGCATTAAGACACTTAGAAGTAAGTAACAGATAACTCAACTGACTGAATGCACTGTGGAAGTGATACAGGTACTAAATAAATTAATTACTGGGCTGCTGGAGAACTGGTGTCATCGGATCATTGTTGGAATTGATGTAGAGAATACACAAAGCATTTTCTCTTCTTCAGATGTTCATACTCCAAAAAGTGCTAACAAAAACATGAATTAGCTCCACAATTGCAGGCTTCAATGAGCCACGAAAAAACAAATGTGTAACCTCACATAGAGAAAGAAATTCTCTAAAAATCTGGTCATTCAAATGCTCAACAAGTATAAATTCACTAGCTCTTAGGCACTGGTGGCTGTTAAGAGGAATGCAAAAATAAGGAAGTATAAGATGAAGGGCAGTCTGACCAACATGGCAAAACCCCATCTCTACTAAAAATACAAAAATTAGCTTGGTGTGGTGGTTCACATCTGTAATCCCAGCTACTTGGGAGGCTGAAGCACAAGAATTGCTTGAACCCAGGAGGCAGAGGTTGCAGTGAGCTGAGATTGTGCCACTGTACTCCAGCCTGGATAACAGAGTGAGACTCTGTCTAAAAAAATAAAAATAAATAAAAAAGATGAATGGTGTCAATGTATTTGAAGCATAGTAAAGACAAATAATTGACCAGTTCTGGGCACTTGCTGGCCCCTGGGACCTGTGGACAGGAAAGTGTCGATAAAGCCTTGAGCTGTGCTGAGGTCCTGTGGCCAGCACTGGCACCCAGGGCCTGGATTGGGGTATGTGATCAGGGCAGCGTAGCCATGAGGGGATCAGCTGAGGGCAGAGGTGGCCCATTCAGGCCCGAGTGAGTGTGAGGGGCTTGCTTGTCCTGAAAGCCAAGAGGAAACTGCCTCAGTTTCCTACGGCTGCAGTACCAAAGTAACATAAACTGGGTGCTTCATAACAGCAGAAATATAATGTTCTCGGCATTCTGGAGGCTTGAAGTCTGAAGTGAGGATGCTGGCAGGACCATGCTCTTTCTGAGCACTCCACAGGAGGATCTTTCCTTTTCCCTGCTGGCTTCTGCTGGTTGCCAGTAATCCTCAGCACTCTGGCTTACAGATGCATCACTTCAATTTCTACCTCCTGTCATTACCTGGTGTTCTCCTCTGTGTGTCCAGGTGTCCAGACCTCCATCTTCTTATAAGGATATTAGTCATATTGGGTTAGGGATATCTCATCCTAACTTGATTACATCTGCAAAGCCTCTATTTCCAATTAAGGTCACGCACGGTTTCCCGAGATTAGGACTTCAACATGTCGTTCTAGGGGACACAATTTGGCCCATAACTGGAACTAAACGGTGGGTTGAGTGTCCCCTTCTCCTGCAACTGTGAGAGTATCGGGAGTCTCCAAAGCAAAGCGGCTCATGCCAGGTGCCTCCAGAGGGACTGGAGGCCTGGCTTTGCCACCAGCTCTGCGTGCTTCTCCTCACCCATGCCTGGGATTTCCACCTTGGAAATATCCAAAAATAAGACTGCATCCCAGTGAACCAGCAGAAAAAACGTACCCTAATAAAAGCCCACTTACGGAGGCTTTCAGCCACAGGGAGGAAATTTTGACAGAACAATCATATAGCGGGGCTGGTGAGGTGAAACTGCTGGAAGTCAGTAGTGAGTATTCTACATCACATGTGGAGTTTCATTAAGCAGTAAGTTCTATAAATAATATGGAAACCAATTTTCTAAAGTAAAATGTCAGTTTGAAATGCAGTCATTCTCAACAATTAAACGTAAATGTAACACAGTATTTAAATAGATATTTGGACACAGACAACATGTATCAGATACCAAAATAAGGGGTAAACCTAGATACAAATTTTTTGTTTGTTTTTTGTTTTGAGATGGGACTCTCACTCTGTCACCCAGGGTGGAGTGCAGTGGCGCGATCTTGGCTCACTGCAGCCTTCGCCTCCAGGGTTCAAGAGATTCTCATGCTTCAGCCCCCTGAATAGTTGGGACCACAGGTGTGCACCACCAAACACAACTAATTTTTGTATTTTTTAGTAGAGATGGGGTTTCACCATATTGGTCAGGCTGATCTCAAACTCCTGACCTCAAGTGATCCACCTGCCTTGGCCTCCCAAAGTGCTGGGATTACAGGCGTGAGTCACCGTGCCCAGTACTAGATGCAAAATTTTAATGAAATCGGTAGCTTGACTTACAGTAGTCATTAGTGATGCTAGCAATGACTCCAGTTCTTCTCCTCGGTTCATGGGAGGGTCGGGATCTCCTACTCCAGTAGCGTGAAGAGTGGTCAGGTGACATTCTCTGAGCAATGGCATGTGGGTAGGGCTGTTGTACATCACAGGATGCTCTAAGAGCCAGCCTATGATTTGCTATGCTCACAATTCCTCTGGGAGATGCCTTCACATGTCTTCAAGAGTGTGGAGACTATTTGAGGTGACAAAGGGGTCTCAGATTCTGACTTGGAGCTGTAAAAACTAAAGGTTGCAAAAGATAGGTTGCCTGCATGCTGCCTGAGGGCCTGAAGGAGAAGTGTCTGTGCTGGGTTCAGTCTGTACCCCACATCTGTGGGGAAAGGAATGTGAATTTCTGGAGATCAAGAGAGTGATTCAGGGGTAAGATGCACCTGGGCCGGCCCCTGCAGAGAGAAGATGAGTTACAGAAGGAGCAAGTGGCAGGCTAGGAGACAGCATGCCACTTGAGCAAGGGGGCCGTGGATAAAAGTTTCTCAAAGATGTTGGTCACAGCACTAGGAGCAGGGGAGTGTTGGTGTTGGGCGCCCAGCTTACAGTAGTGCCAACTGTTCTGGAACTTTACTGCTCCTCTCAACTCTCTGGTGTCTCTTCTTCCCTATCCCCCCACCTCAGTCCTCAATGGCTCTAACATACACACACACACACATACATATCTCTGGAGGGTTCTTTAACCCCCTTCCCGGGTAACAACAACAACAACAAAAGTCCCTTCTATAAGACACCTTATCTGTCAGGCGGCTAAGGCGGGCAGCTCAATTGCGGCCAGGAATTTGAGACCAGCCTGGTCAACATGGTGAAACCCCATCTCTACAAAATACAAAAATTAGCCAGATGGGGCAGTGAGTGCCTGTAATCCCAGCTACTTGGGAGGAAGGGGCAGGAGAATTGCTTGAACCCGGGAGGCGGAGGTTGCAATGAGCTGAGATCCTGTCACTGCACTTCAGCCTGGGCAACAGAGGGAGATGCCGTTTACAAAAAAAAAAAAAGACAAACAAACAAACAAAAAACACCTTATCTGGAGGGAGTGTAAATAGCTGTAACTTTGAATGAAATCAGAAGCTTTGACTATGATAAGGGAATAGGAATGATAAGTATCAAATTGAGACAATGCTTTAAAAATTAAAGTAACTATTTATTTATTACCCAAATATTCAAAATAGTGAACAATCTATGTGGCATAGGCACCAATCAACAATAGACACCAGCAATGTCAGAGATGGCCCTGGAGGCCACCTGCTGTGCCTTTTAGTTGCTGAAACTTAAGAGAGTTGGGAGACTCAGAGCATAAGGGAGAATCTGGATGGCCTGTCCCTGAGGGCGGATGGGGGCTGTGTACACAAGGCACGTGGCTACTGTCCACCCAGACAGAAGTGCATTGCTATTTCAACAACTCAAGTGGTTGTTACAGCCTGAGTAGCAGGGGCCAAGGAAGGAGTTTCTCCCACTGAATACATTTCAAAGAATAGTGGGAACTGAAGAAAATTGCTTTGTGATCACATCCCATGAATCTTGACTGCTTGATGTACTAGTTGTGTATATTAACAATGTAAGCTGCTTAGAGAGGGTTTGATATGCATTCATATAACATACTCAATTTTCCTGAGAATGAAGTTATAGAAACTCGGAGTTGAAACTGGCCCCTAAATCAAGCCTTGGGCAAGTGTTCTGCGAAGGGAGAGGGAGAATCTTCCGAGTGGAGGAAATGAAGGTGAAGGATGAGTGGGTGTGCAGATTCACACATTTGTGGTTTTTCCCCAACTGCACACATCTGAGGATTAGCTGTGCTGTTCAATTGTTACTGCTGATACTGGTTATACCAAACGATTTACACAAAACTAATGAGAATGTGTAACTTTGGTAATGATATGAGATGTACAATATTAGGTTGGAATACTGAGGTTATGAATTTATGTGCTGAATTTGTTATATAATTACTTTAAATTGTTTAAAAATTTAGTTTAAATTACTTTAAAAAATTCAGTAGCCAAAAAGAAAAAAAATTTCAGTAGCCAATAAATGTGCTACATCCATCCTTACCCACAAGCCAAGAAAAAAACGACAGAGTATTATCATGATATTTCAAGTCTTTCGGGGAGGTTATATTTCATTGTTTTATTAATGTTTTATTGTCTGTCTGTGTGTGTGTGTGTTTGCTGTTGTCGTTTTCAAATAAAATAATTTTGTTATGGTCCAAGGGCTACTATACCAATACAAGCAAAAGATCTCATTTTGGTTTTCACAGTTTTAATTACTTATATTAAGGTATTGAAAATGTTTGTGTTTACATTATTCTCTTGCCTGAAACATATATATTTTTTGAACAGGATCTCACTCTGTTGCCCAGGGTGGAGTGCAATGGTGTGATCTCAGCTCACTGCAACCTCTGACTCCTGGGATCAAGTGATCCTTCCACCTCAGCCTCCCAAAAAGCTGGAACTATAGGCGTGCACCACCAGGCCTGGCTTTTTGTGTTTTTTTTTGCTTGTTTGCTAGTTTGTTTGTTTGTTTGTTTTTGTAGAGATGGGGTTTCACTATGTTGTCCAGGCTCGTCTTGAATTCTGGGGCTCAAGTGATCCTCCCACCTCAGTCTCCCAAAGTGCTGGGATTATAGGTGTGAGCCACTACACCTGGCCTCAGAATTTTTTTTTTTTTTAATCCTGGAGCTTGGGCTCAGTTGTGAATAAACTCTAAGAATGAATAAACATAAAAGAAACACAATTGTCTAGGTATCTAAAATTTTCATTTGCTGTGAATTTCAATCAAAACACAATTTATTTTTCTTGCTAATTATGAGGTCATATAAATAAATGTTTTTCATTGTTGTCTAAAAATATCATTCCTTTATTTCAAGGTTATTTACAGATATAAATGTCTATAAGAGAAACCTACGCTTTTGTCTCACTAGCATTTCATTGTCCCTGTATTTGAAAGCAAATTAATTGATCAACTGTTTCAAATGAATAGTGAATTCATGGTAGAATTCAACATCGTTAGGCTTTGACAATAAGCACATGTGGCTGCATTATCCTAGCCAAAAACCACATTGTTATTGGCTGCTCTGCTGTCCAACAAGATTTGGATCAGTCTTTCATCAAGACGCTAGTTGTCTCCTACCTAACATGAACGCTTAGCAGGTGGTCCTATAAACACTGGCAGCCATCTGAGGATCACAGGGGTGGAGGCAGGGGTTGCATATCATGGAATAATGACAGCAGGGGGCACACTCAAAAAGCCCCCCATCCATGTTGTCCCCTCAAAAGAAGTAAGATAAATTAATTACTTGTATTCATTTCTCTGTTACTTGAAGATGAAAGAATCCTGATTTCTTTTTTAGATGTCCCTTATTTCTATATGAAATTTTATAATTTATTGCTCAGTTACCTATAATCTGTCTCCTTAACTAGAATGTAATCTCATTCAGAGTGAAGATAGTTTCTATCTCGTTGACTGCTGTACTCACAGTATCTACTGCCGTGGCTGGCACACAGACATTCAGTAAATGTTGACTGTTCATAAGAAAGCTTTCCCTGGATCTTCTAGATAAAATGTCAGTCCAAGGAATTCATCATCTGTACAGTTGCTAGACACTGTGATCTGTTACAGTTTCATTCCAAGAAGTTCTGAAAAAGCCCCACTATTTTTTTAGAATTAGAATAAACTGAGTGCAAGAAAAGCCCTTTTCGGACTTAGCAAGGGCTGGCTTGTCTATACTGAACTGTTCACATTCCTCACCTTTCTCAGATCTTGGCTTCAATGGCTCTCAACTTATGTATCATTCGTGTAAAATGGGTTGCTTCTGACATTTCTCTACCATGTAGTAAATCCCACTGCTGAGATTTCCTTGGGCTGCCCCACATGAGAAACCTGGATCTGTCAAAGGTGCTATTGGTAGGTTCTATCATAAAATCTATAGAAGCTGTTATTCCATATGTCACCATAAAAATTCCCAGGACTCGAGTGTTGAGCTGTATGTCACACCATGCAACAGAACAGTCGTGCCTTCAGTGAGGGTGCCAATGGGTAAAACTTAAGTCTCTTAAAAATGACTCACATTGATGAAGGATGTTGTATTGTCAATTATCCATGCACCCAATATCTTAGGACAGGGGAAGTGAGGCCAGCAGATCCTCAGCTTTGTCCCACTAATACTCAGTGCACAGCACGCTTCTTTGCAGGTCCTCATCTAGCTTTAAGACAAAACAGGGGTTTCTGGAAAGAGACTGATTTCAATCTTAAAAATGCGTCCCAGGCTGGGCGTGGTGGCTCATGCCTGTAATCCCAGCACTTTGGGAGGCCGAGGCGGGTGGATCACGAGGTCAGGAGATCGAGACCATCCTGGCTAACATGGTGAAACCCCGTCCCTACTAAAAATGCAAAAATTAGTTGGGCGTGGTGGCGCATGCTTGTAATCTCAGCTACTCAGGAGGCTGAGGCAGGAGAATCACTTGAACCCGGGAGGCGGAGGTTACAGTGAGCCGAGATTGCGCCATTGCACTCCAGCTTGGGCAACAACAGCGAAACTCCATCTCAAAAAAAAAAAAAAAAAAAAAAAAATGTGTTCCAAAGCAGCCATTTTATGGGTAGTTTCCTTCACAGTTTTGGACAAAAAATATGTTCAATCATTTATCAATTATAGAGTGAATTTGGTTTAGGCAACCTCTTTTGGTCTATCAAATCATAACATGCAAATGTAGAAATTTTAAAAATTATAAATTTATATTTTATATAAAAATTAACCATATGTCACAACCAAAGGTATATATATAAAATACGAATATAAAAATTAACCAGAGACACTGTTTTTCATGTGTGTATTGTTGGTGTATGTGGTATCTGTCCCGTAACGTCTTTGTCAATAATTTTTCCCATATAATCACCTATTTAAAAAGTTATATTTAACATAAGAGTTGAAAGCTTCTAGGCATCACATTACCCCAACATTACCCTATTGTACCAGAGCTCTACCTAGAACCAAGAGCTCTAAAACCAAACCAACCACAATATAATTCTTCACCTCCAACTATGTGTGCCCAAAGACACAAATGTGCAACTGTCCTAGGAATAGTAAGTAATACAGATCAAGCATCCTCATCCAAAAATCCAAAATCTGAAATGCTCTAAAATTTGAAATGATGTTCAAAGGAAATGCTCCTTGGAGCATTTTGGATTTCTGGATTTGCAATGCTCCACTGGTAAGTATAGTGTCAATATTCCAAAATCCAAATCTGAAATCTGAAACACTTCTGGTACCAAGCATTTCGGATAAATGATACTCAACCTGGATTACAATAACATCAGACTAAAATAATAAATTCTAATGACACATTATTTATTATGAAAGGCAGTTTCAATATTACTATTTACATAATTCGCACGTTCAAGATCTGTTTGCTAAATCCTATAACATGCCTATTTTTAATTTGAGAGAAGAAATTGACTAAGACATTCATACTGAACAACACATGCGAATAACACATTCTTTCATTAAAAAACAATAAATGTAGTGGCATATGCTTCTACTTAGCATCATCCTTTACTTGTTTATACCCAAATAAACGCAGCTGGCAACCATGGAATTCCAAAGTCCACTTTCCTCTGCTGTTTTCCCCAACAGTGGTACATACGTTGCATGGTGATTACAAGAATCATCCAAGGCATAATTTTAAATTTTAAGGCTAAACATGCTTCAGGAAGAAACTTTCTGAAAATGGATTAGCTTACTTTAATAATGTCACATGTCTGCACAGATAAGAATTACTACAGCCCTCTAGGCTAAATATCTATATAGGTGGATAGGTTGCAAAGTCAGGCTACTGAACATCAATAAAAACGGCAAATGCAATTCAATATTTGCTTTTTTTATCCTGGTTTTTCAACTATTATGGTGGATATAGTTTTATCACAAGTCCCTGAATTAACGAAGAGACTATATTGGTAAACAGAAATGAATTTCATGCTCCACAAAGAGAAAATGAGTTGCTATGGAAAATATACCCCAAAGTAAGAATAAAATTTTATAATTTCTCTTAAAAGTATCGAAAAAATAATTTTTAAAAATGTGACTGGAAACACTGATGTCCAGAGAAGAGCTAAACAGGTGTAAAAGTGCTCCTTCCTCCCAGGAAATTCACTTTCTGCAGCTCAGCTCCTTTAAAACACACAGAGCTCTCTGGATTTCAGGGATGAATACCATTACCTCACAATGTTTGATTTATAATTTTTTAAAAATCAAAATACAGATAGATGCTGAGTGACACTAAGATTGTTCAAGATTCTTTTCATTCTAACTATTCATTCTAGGTAGCCTGTTCACAAACAGGCATTCTAATCTTTACCCAGTAATTTATAAAATATCGGCTGGTTTCAGAAAGAAAAAAAATACTCTGGCATAGAATCTAAACTTTTGATGTAGTTCATTTAAAATTGAAGAATTTTGAAATTTGAAATACACATAATATGTGCGCACATTTGTCTGAAGTACATAGGTTTGCGATCTATCCTAATATATGTATATGACACTGATCAATTGTAGGGTGAAGAAAAACTTTCTCCAGAAAAATCTTACATCACACTCATCAGTGTTACTCATTGATGGCTACAGCGATGAGTTCCTGTTGTGTTTGAAGTACTGTATATTTGCCTCTCAGACTTTCTTGGCTACCCTGACAAGCAAGTGGCATCATCTCCATGTCACACTTCAGGGAACTAATGTGACTCACCAAAGACCACAGAGCTAGAAGGTGGCAAAGGCAGCTGAAGTTTAAAACCAAGTCTGAGGGACTTCAAAACCTGTCCCCTCTGCAAGATGCCTCTCTCCTAAAACACAGCTTCTAATTCTTAACAGACACAACTATTCTATTAATAAATCATTAGCACCATCCCATCAAATGTGAGATGGTGGCACTAGCTAATATCAGAGGTTGACTTCTAAGACTAAAATCCATGTTATCAACAATGACATATGCGGCTGCAGCACTAGAAGCTGTCCCAATGTTTGGCAAAACACATCAGCTCTTCTTGGAGCCAGGGTATTTTAAGGAAGTGAAACTATGTCATTTCCAGAGTTATTGAGACCTACTCAAAATTTCTTTTCCATTTTCCCAAAATAATCCAATCACTGGAAATTTTTTCATTGCTTATTGTAAATCATAGGAGGTTTCAGCCGAAATATCAGGGACTCAGAGTATCAGACTATCAGAAAGCCCAGAATCATTAATGACAAATCAGAAGAGATTTCTATCTGAAAGTCTCCATTTTGGTTTGGGTATATTCAAAGAACATATAACCTAGTATTATCAGCCATGATATATTCCCCAAAAAGAAAACCCTTATTCAAAACACATTCAGAATTGCATTTGTGTAATTTAGGCATTTTGCTTTGCATCAGATAAAGATGTAACATGAATCTCTTTTTTTTTTGTGCATGTACACTTGTACTCTTCCTTTTAAAACTTATTCTATTAGTTTCTCCAGGATTTATACTACTCTTCTTGAAAATCATTTATTACACGATAATATAACTTTTTAATAGAAATGGGATTGTTTTATGAAGATTTGAAACTCATTCTCTTATGGAGTGTTACAGAAATACAAATTTATTCTATCAACATTAACACTTTATAGGATTTCACATATTTAAAAAGAACAACAGGCAGAATTAACTGTTCTTAGCAGCAAATTATTTACTTTGTTCCTCTCCACATGAGTTTTCCTATATTTTCTATAACACTTCTTAGATGACATTAGGACTCTACTTATAAAAACATAATAGGGCCAACGCGGTGGCTCACGCCTGTAGCCCCAGCACTTGGAGAGGCCGAGGCGGGCGAGTTACGAGGTCTAGAGATTGAGACCATCCTGGCCAACATGGTGAAACCCCATCTCTACTAAAAATATAAAATTTAGCTGGGCGTGGTGGTGTGTGCCTGTAGTCCCAGCTACTAGGGAGGTTGAGGCAGGAGAATCGCTTGAACCCGGGAGGCAGAGGTTGCAGTGAGCCGAAATCACATCACCGCACTTCGGCCTGGTGACAGAGCGAGACTCCGTCTAATAAAAAAAAAATAAGTAAATAATAAAAAATTAAATTCATTAACATAATATTTGTATATGTTCAAAAACAATTTTATTCATACAAATCAAGTATTTGTTTAGAGGGATTTTTTGATTGGTCTGCACTATGCACTCACAAGACATAATGTAATAGGATATTCATAACAGAAAGTTTTTTTTCCTTTTTTTTTTTGTTGAGACAGAGTCTTGCTCTGTTGCCCAGGCTGCAGTGCAGTGGCACGATCTCAGCTCACTGCAATCTCCACCTCCTGGTTTCAAGCAAGTCTCTCTCATGCCTCAGCCTTCCAAGTATCTGGGACTACAGGAACGCACCACCATGCCCAGCTAATTTTTTGTATTTTAGTAGAGATGGGGGCTTCACTATGTTGCCCAGGCTGGTCTCGAATTCCTGAGCTCAGGCAATCCGCCCATCTCAGCCTCCCAAAGTGCTAGGATTACAGGTGTGAGCCACCGCGCCTGGCTTTTTTTTTTTCTTTCCAGAAGAGAAATCATTTGGATTCTTTCTTAAAAATCAGAAAAAAAAATTCTGAGTATTAGAAAATGGAATGCTGGCAAATAATTTAACTCTTTTTTTTTTTTGCAGTGTAACATTGAAGTTGGAAGTACTTAACTTGTTCAAGTTCTAAGGCTGGACGGGACAGATAGGAACTTCTGGGTTTTTGGTTGTTCCTTTGGGTTGGCTTAGGAAGAATGCATAGCACTAGATCCTTTAAACCATTCAAAGACTGATAGTAAAAAACGCCAAGCAGAGGACTGAAAAATGGAACTGAAGTAGGTATAGAAAGCTACTTTATTCAGATGGAGAGTAGTAAGAGAAAATCAGTATCATTTTCCATTTGTGTTTCCAAGGTGATGCATAGTGCAAAGAACGATACTTATTTTGCCAAGTACAGTGAAAATACTATTCTCTGGGCCCCAACTTAATGTTTTTCTAATTCACGTAATCGCATGGTGCATACACTATGATCATGATCTTTCCATTGTGGGTGGAAATAATTTGTTCAAACCATGTGTATCTGTGTGAAGCACAAACAGAGCTGGTGCATCCCTACACTCATCATGGGACTGATATTGACTTTATTTCCAAGTATACACCAGAAATTTCAGATTAAATGGCAAGACATGACCTTTTATGTCTCTTTTCAGAGGCAGCTTAGAAAGCTCTCTGGGAGTCAATTCCTCCTCCTTCCTCCCTTCTGCCTCTTAGTTGTTGAGGTGTTGGTTTAAAATCAATCATTTTGTCATTCAAGAAGTGATCATACCTCCCTAACAGGAGAGAAAAGAAGTGGATGAAAAAAGATGACATTTTACTTTAGATAATGGCAACTAATGCTTATAAAAGAAGGTTTTTTTTTCTGCTCAGAATTAAAGTAATCATATATAATAAGAGCATTTTGTTTTCCATCCGAACCAAGAATGCTTGCTCAGGCGCCTTTGAGAAATAACACAAGATTACTTATGCTGTTAGATTCTGTCAGCATAAATCTTCCCCAATGGTGATGGGAATGCATTTATTTATTTATTTATTTTGGAAAAATGACATCTTTCATATGCCATGAGAAGGACTACTGCTAAATTAACACAATTAAAGGCAGCAGAACTTTTATCCGTTTCTACAAATTAATATGTGCACTGCAGAGCATGCACAAGACTGCACATTCAATTTCAGTCTTTCCTCACTTGGGCCAATATCTACATATTACCATCACTTATTTATCATCTAATCGAATCATCTGGGCAATAGATTGTTATGGGTTCTGCTACTTCTTGATGTGCCCCAAGGGAAGAAGGGTTGTGTTTGGTTTTCCTCCCTGCGTCAAGGAGACAATGTTGGTTTTACCCACATATAATTTTTTTTTCTTTTGCCTTTTTGATGCTTTTTTTTTTTTTGGTGTGCAAAAGAGGGCATAATGGAGACGGAATAGAGAATCATTTTAAAAACACCCTCTAGTTTTACCTGATATTTCATTTACAGCAACACGAGTTAGGTGTAGATTTCTAGTTTCACATCTGTGTCCAGACACAGGTGCTGTGACCCAGCAGAGAACTACGTCACGTGAGTTGAGGGGATACTTCCTGTGTCCTCAGTTGCACACATCTATATTTCAACCCCAATACCTGGGAAGGTTGCCTCAAACATGTTCTGTTATTCAACATTTCTATTATAAATTATATTTTCCAAAAGTACATCCAGGGTGAAGGTATGGGAACTATCACCTTATTTGGTGCTTTTGTTCTTGGCTTTAAAAAAGGGAAAAATTATTAAAAAGACGATTTAAAAATTATTAAAAGATAAAGCTTTCAATATATTGTATTTTTCCATTGAATGCTGCTAAGTATAATTTATTATAGTGGAGTTTTAATATGAAGGCACTACTTATTTTTCTACATAAAGTGGCAAATTTAAGATTGCCACATTGTTTATAGAGGTAAGATCTAAATGAAAATCTAGAACTCTGGTCTTCATATTCTGAAGACAGTGATTTTTATCACCAGCAGCATAATTGTACTAAATTGTCTAAACTTGTTCATTTTGTAAACTGTAAAATAACAACAATAATAAAATTAAAAACTTGTAATAGCCACTTAATTGGTGTCAAGCACTCTCTTAAGCACTTTCCGTATATTGTCTCATTTAATTTTCACCTTATTTATTTCTTTTTTATAACAAATCTTTGAGAGTGAGGTGAGGTGGCTCACGTCTGTAATCCTTGCACTTTGAGAGGCTGAAGTGGGAAGACTGCTTGAGTCCAGGAGTTTAAGACCAGCCTGGGCAACATAGTGAGACCCTGTCTCTACACAATTTTTTTTTTAAGTTGCCAGGCATGGTGGTGCATGCCTGTAGTCCCAGCTACTCAGAGTCTGAGGGAGGAGGATTGCTTGAGCCCAGGTAATCTCAAAACTTGGAATTTTCTAGAAGTAGAATTGCTATATATATCAGCAGCATGATAGAGAAACAATATTAATTATTAAATTTCCATGACAATTGACTTCAGTCATCACATTAACCAATGACATCCTCTGTAATATTATACTATTTTTAAGACAATAAGAAATGACCTCATTTGTTCAATGTCACAGAGCCAGTGAGTGGCAGGGCCAGGACTCTCCACTCCATAGTTGGCATTTTTTCTACTTCATCTTCTTAAGAAATCTGTATACTCCTTGATTCTTCATTGTCAGAAATGGAGATAAATTATCAGTAGTGCCTCAGGGTTGTGCTGGATTATTCTCCAAAGGCAGGCATTTTTGGCCATCTCTCTATCCATGCACAGGACACTTGTGTAGGATCCAGCAGAGCAGATTTCTGCCATCATCATGGGTGACTTCAAGATCCAACAACATGGCCCATCAGTTCTTTGCCTGCCTCTAACTCATTCCATGACAGCTGTTGACTGCAGTCCATGGGCTCTCCTCTGATTGCAACCCCTTCTATTCCTAACTCCTTTAGAAACTCAACAACCGTGATGGCTGATGAGACGCAAGACACTGAAATCTTACTTGCATGGGCTCTGAAGTCTGACCCTTGGACTTCAGCTCAGTTCCAGCTCTGCCACTTACTAGCTGAGCATGTTTTCATGACATGATAACAGTATGGATCTAAAGATGTTATTAAGATTAAATGAGTTCATATGTGAAAGAGCCAAAACAGTCTCTAGCATTTAGGTACTGCCTAAGAAATAGCATCTTACTAAGTCGTTCAACTCCTCACCTCTCCAATCTCTCTAGTCCTCACCAAGGGGTCTACTCAGGAAACACCCTAAGTTTTGCTTACTTAAAAGCTAAAATATATGACTGTGGATATGTAAGAGGAAGACAGGCCCAGGGGAACATGCTGGGCAACTTCCATGACAGTTGTTTCATAAACAGCTGAGGTATGGATTGGGTAGTTTATACACACAGGATGGGAGTGAAGTCCACACCAGCTGATGGATTCAGAGTAAGTGTGCCATGAGAAAACTAGGAACATGGCAATCCTGGAAAACAGAAGCAGGAATGAGTTGTCCAAAGTCCATTTCTACATAAGCCTCATGGCTGGGCAACTTTCAGGTGGACCCTTGAGGATGTGAAATCTCCTAATGGACGCTTTAGTGCCTGAGCAGACACAGTTGGGAAGGCAGAGGTGGAAACCAGGAAGAGCGCAAATCCTGCATCTCTAGTCCATTATTTTTCTGAATGAGACCAGGAGAACAGAAGTTCTACAAGATGTTAATAGTTGCACCCTATTGGTCCTTCAGTTCTACTTCCCTCTTGGAGATTCATAAGGTACAACTTTAGCAGAGGTTATGGTGCCGGTCTAACTCAAAGATTTGTTTTTTGTTTTATTTTTTGAGACAAGGTTTCACTGTTGCCCAGGCTGGAGTGCAGTGGTGCAATCATGGCTCACTGCAGCCTGGAGTCCCTGGGTTGAAGCAATAGAGCAATAGATCCTCCTGCCTCAACCTCTGGAATAGCTGGGACTGTAGGCACGCACCACCACCACGACTGTTTCTTTTCTTTTTTTTTTTTTGGTAGAGATGGCATTTTGCCATGTTCCCCACCCTGGTCTTGAACTTCTGGGCTCAGGCAATTTTCCCACCTCAGCCTCCCAAAGTGTTGTGATTATAGGCACGAGCCACCATGCCTGGCCCTTAAGGACTTCTTATAAGGAATCAATAAATAAGGTGAAAATTAAACGAGACAATACACAGAAAGTGCTTAGCAGAGTGCTTGACACCAATTTAGTGGCTATTACAAGTTTTTGTTATTATTGTTGTTATATTACCATTTACAGAGTTAAAGAGTTTAAAGGATTTAGTACAACAATGCTGTCGATGATGAAAATCATTCTATCTTTAGAATAGGAAGACCAGAGTTCTAGATTTTCATTTAGATCTTACTTCTGTAAACAATGTGGCAGTCTGAAATTTGCCACTTTATGTAGAAAAATAAGTAGAGTCTTCATATTAAAACCCCACCATAGGAGACTCTACTCGGAAGAATTCAGTGGAAAGGTATTGTTTTGTCTTATTAAATACAATATATTGAAAGATAAAGATAATTGCTTGTTCTGCCCCTTTTTAAAGCCAAGAACAAAAGCACCATGTATGGGGACAGACTTAAAGTTGCCTGACTTTTCATGCTGCTAAGTACGTCTGTTCTAAGAATATGAAATGTTTTCAGGTAGTTCTTTTATTTGTCTACCAGGCAAGGAAACTATTTCTTCCCTATATACCATGAATTCCAAAAACCTGCAGAAGGACATTTTAAAATATACTTTATTTAAAACATTAAAACTAATGACAATAAAACTTTTGTATATTTCTACATGGAAGGAGTTGTGGGTACACTTGGCAGAGTGCATTTAGTCAAGATTGTATTTAATATTTTATGATTCTATAAGTACATTTAGGTCAATGTCAAGTTGTAAGTACCTACAAATGAATTCAGAACCTACATTCTTCACATGTCTCACGAACTTGTGGTCAATGTACTGATAGTGTCTGATGGTTAATGCCTCAAGTAATCTGATTAAATGACTATTCTTATATTGCAAAATTCATACTTAGAATTTTGATGAAGCTGAACCTTTCTCACACAATAATATTTGCCTATCATGTTGACAAGATCACCCGACTGGGATGGAAAGAGTTCTTAAACCCCTTTGGTAACAGATTTAATGGTCCTGTCTTCAATACATGATGCCCGCAACAATCCAGTCTACAAATACACTCAGAGGGAGCCTCCAACATAGGTGAGACTGTGGCAATATGTGCCCACAACCCCACCAAAATCTTACATCTCACCCAGATCACGGGACTACTGACAGAATTCAAACTATCTCAGGAAAAATTTATCCAAGAACAAAGAGAAAACAGATGCCCTATGAGAGAAAGCCAATGGGAGAAATGCAAAGAATAAAGCTTGGAATTAACATCTAATTTCTGGCATCCATTGTAATTGTCCAGCCAATTTCCAAATTTGATGTATATCTGAATAACCTAAATGTTGAGACACTAGATGTCACTCATATTTTAATACTGAGAAGTGTGTTTAGATATGAGAACCAAAAATATGCACCTTCTACTGTTCTCTACTATGCTGTCCCCACTAACTGAGTGATGCTCTACCCCCATTGGGGGCCCCTGTGCATTTCTCTGCTTGTTTTTGGATCTGGCCCTTGCTCAGGCTATTCTAGTCTGGGTGATCTCCTTCCAGTACCCCAGGGCCTTTGCGCTTGCCACCCTACTACTTTGCCTCAGATACAGCTCACTCCCTTTCTTCTCCCTGGAGTGCTCTGCTCAAATATCACTTTACCTTAGCTGACTACTGCACGTTAAATTGCACTCTGGCCAGGAACTGTGGCTCATGCCTGTAATCTCAGCACTTTGGGAGGCTGAGGTGGGCGGATCATGAGGTCAAGAAATCAAGACCATACTGACCAACATGGCGAAACCAGTCTCTACTAAAAATACAAAAATTAGCTGAATGTGGTGGCATGCGTCTGTAATCCCAGCTACTTGGGAGGCTGAGGCAAGAGAAGTGCTTTAACTCAGGAGGTGGAGGTTGCAGTGAGCCGAGATCATGCCACTGCATTCTGGCGACAGAGCGAGACTCTGGAAAAAAAAAAAAATTGCACTCCTCCCTTCACTTTCCCCGCTAGTCCTGCTTCATTGTTCTTTCTGGTTCTTTATTTTCTTTCTCCCCTCACTAGATGTAACCCTCATGAAGGCAGGGACTTTGTTTTTTTTTAAACTGGTGAATCTTGAGCCTCTAAAAGTTTGTGGAACAAATGCCCTGAATAAACGTGCGCTGAAGGGACAGAAAAACATAGATAAGTAAGGCACTGTCCCATCTCATGTGCATGTGGAACTGGAAATGCATGCAGAATGCCGAGAGAACACAGTACAACTCGGTCCAAACCCAGCCCTTTCACGGGAACCTGAGAGTAAATGTAACTGCAAACCCAGAAAATGAAAATTAGGCCAGGTAGGACTATTTGCACTAAGATGCAAAGACACCTGGGAAATTGCTTGTGAACTTCTTGATATTAGAAATAGGCATGTCTCAAACTAGTAGAGTTTCATGAACTCGGTGGTAGACCTTTGCTTGGGGTGGTCTAACGCCAGAGACCCCAGCTGAAGCTTGCTGTGGATGTGTCACCTCTGTCCCTTCAATGTGGTTGACCTATGCATCTTGAGCATGTTGTAGCTCGAATGAGCAAGAATCATAAACTCATGGACTTTCCAAGCTGGAATGGATTTTAGGCATCATTCAGCCAACACTTCTTGTAAACAAAGAAACAAAAGAGTGACATTTAAGAAAATTTCAAATGTTTGCACTCACGTTCAGGGAAACTACTATCCAATAAGTAATTCAAGATTAGAAAGAAATAAGGATTGAGACATTGATTCTCAGAGATACTGTGCAGCATCTAGGTAAATTCTGGGTAAAGCTTAAAAATCTACACAAGAATAAAGTTTTGTTCATATTGCTGTTTCACTATTAGATTTTAGGTGGTACTGGATAACCTAGGTTATATTGAGTCTTAGGGTCTGTTCTGAACTGACAAAATACCATCGAGGAGGAAAACAAGGGTAGGAGGTGATCAACACCCCAGGTGGTGACCAGATCACAGTGGTTTCAGGGCCTCCACAGAGGGTTCCTGAGATTTGGTCTCAGTGCTCACAAATGAATGTCCCCACCCCACTATAATCCAGGGATATCTAAACACACTTCTGTGGGTTTTGCCCCAGCATACCAAGCAGAGGGCATAATTCCTGGCCAAGAGCAAAGACTGAGGATCAGAAAGGTCATAGTTCCAATTTTATGGTCTAGGTTCTTTATTCTTTGATTTCGATGACCTCGTGGGCATAGGACTTGGGGGAGCTGCCCTCTCTCCTATAGGCCTGGCCTGGCTTTCTGGCCTTCACTGTGGATTTGACCTATTATAAAGCACTGATACACCCCTGACATATCACATCTCCCCTCAACTTGAGCCCTGGCCTTGGTCTCTTCAGCCTCCCTGCCTTTGCTGTTGTGGCAGCAGAGAGGAGTCCGATAGTGTCATTAGTGGCCTCAGGCTTTAGTCTTAGATATTATGGGTATGTCTATAGAAGAAAGATTCTATTTTTTTTTTCCCCAGAGTAACAGAAGAATATAGAAACAGGTTACGATGAGGAGAAAGCATCAACAAGAAATCTAAAGCTAAAAAGCACAAAAAATAAAAAGTAAATTTAAAAATATAAATGGAAAATAAATTCCATTAGTTGGGGTGCTCGAAAGTAACTTACTTTTATGTTATGTGCTGTTGTTGTTGTTTTTAATAATTTTTAATAATTTAATAAATACCAACTAAGAAATGAGCTATCACTCTAATCTATGTGTTTCTTAACACTTGTCTGCAGCAAATAAACCACCACCAAGAAAAGAAACAAGAAAAAAAGGACAACAAAATGACCTATCAGAAGCTGCCTCGGCCTCATGTGGACTTGGCACGGATGCCCTCCTGTCCCACATCTGCAGACTCCTCAGTCTTCATATCAAATGTGGACCATCCATCAATCTTAGTCCTGCATTTAAAACTCATTAAAAAGCTGTTTGCCATTCCCTTCAAAGATTAATCACACAAGTCCAACATAATAGCTTTGACAATTTAAATCCTCCCATTTTAGCATTTCATTTCAAGTGTACTGTAATTATATTGCTTCTGGCTAACTTAGAAAATATATTCAAATAATAAGCCTACTTTTGGTATATGATACACTCTTAACACTATTCCTCATATTCATTATGTAGAAAACTTGAAAATGTACTTAGAAGCGTCTTCAGAGGTAAGAGTAATCTATTAATCCATCCATCCATCTATCTCTTAAATTGCACAGTTATATAAATATGCAAATGTTCATCCAGGGAGACAATTATTCTTTGAGTGCTTTGGATTTTTGTACAATAACTTCCTTATTTTTAGTTTGTGTTTGTATTGAAAAATTTACACCAAACATCTCAGCCATTTGCTGTCTCAGGTTTATAAGCACATACATGATGGTAATGTGCTTCTCAGTTATGTGGTCATTAACCAGGACCCTTGTTTGTGGCTACTGTATCCTAGTACATTAGAGAGGAAAATGCTGCCTGCCATAATATTCCATGCCCCCATGTTCTGGCTTACTCCTTGCCAAGAGTGCGGTATGATAAATTCAAAGCACAAACTCTTTCGCATGGATATACAGATACCTGAGAGAGCACACATGGGGTGCTTCATTAAAAAAAAAAAAACTTTAAGGATTCTTTATATCATGACGCAAAAAGCAAACCTACTCACTCAATTTCTTATATGCTTTTAATGACTTAAAAAAGCACTGGGCAATGGAGGCAGGAGTCTATGAACTACAGGTCCAGCTAAGCTTTGACAGCTGAGGAAAGCGTCCCTTACAAAAAAAAAAAAAGATTTCATTTGAAAATGAGAAAGACAAGTTTCTGGTTTCTTTTTTCATTCTCAAGTGATTAGTGAGGCAGGGTATAGAGATAGCCAAAATAAGTGTTAGTTTCAAAGCAATTTTAATTGATTATTTTGTGTTAACTCCTGTTAATTGATGATGAACTAGAACCAAAATTTACTTCCAAGAGTTCATCTAAGTGATATGAATAAAAATTAAATTCTAAGTAGGTAGTAGATTTTGTTCATTCATTCATCTGATATTTATTGAGTTCCTACAAGTGCCTAGTCCTCTTTAGGCATTGAGGAATTCAGCAGTGAGCCAAACAGACAAAAATTCTTCCATTTGTAGTTGGGTGAGACAGATAAACAAAATAAATAAGTACATAATTCTGTAGCATGTTAGAAGGTGATGAAAAATAAAATAGGGACAGAAAGTGTCAAGGGTTCAGCTCTGCATAAAGTACTGTGAGGGGTTTCACTGAGAGGTACTAAGGCATGGTGATCACTGGGAGGAGAGAGTCCTGGGCAGAAGAAAGGGAGCCTGCAATGTTCTCCAGGGAGAAAGTGCCCAAGGTTAGAGCACCTGCAGCCCTGGGGTGCCAGGCAGCAGGACTTAGACTTAGTGGGGGCAACAGGGCTCCAGACAACTAGGGCACAGTCATTGTTAGAGCTTCCATATTTACTCTGAGTATCCTCAGAGGCCTTGGGAAGTAGGGAGTGAAGTGATCAGACTTGTGTTTTTAATTATTATGCTGATACTTATGCTGAGAACACTCTGCTGGAGAACTGAAGCCAGCAGGCTAGCCATGGGGCAGAGATATACAGGTGAGAGCATGGTGGACCAGGGAGGAGAGAAGGTGGTGAGAAGTGGTTGATCCTGGCTAGATTATGAAAATGTGGGTGACAAGATTGGCTATTGGGTAGAATATGGGGTTTAAGAGATAAAAGGAGTTAAGCTTGGCTCCTGTATTTTATTAACTAAAATTCTAGGAATATACCATGATGGATTTGATGTGGGTTGTTCAATCATTGTGATCATATTTATTTTAAATTCATAACAACATGGAAGAGGAAATGCCTTCCTCAGTTATTGTGAGTATGGGCTGAGATCCCAAAATGATCTCTCCTTGCAGGCTTTGTTTCTTCTAGCTTAAAGGATATTTCTCTCTTCTTCCCCTCCCCCTAGCCCAAGATTTTCTCTTTAGACTTCCTAATCTTCATAACTGATTTTTGTCTTTTGGAAGGCACATTTTCCTTAAACAGTCATGTTAAGAATAACTAAGATATTTTACATTTTTGCAGTAATTGTTCACATTGTTAATAATCTGCATAACTTTTCCTATTATGCAGTATTAAAATATTTTCCAAAAAGCCCCAGTCTTTTACTATGCATACCTATCCAGAGTTTTCCTTGAAATAGCACAGAATATCCAAAACTGAACTTTTTTTTTTTTTTTGCATTCTCTTCCTGTCCCTATTGTTATTTTCAGAAGTTGAGCACAGTTAATGGGTTGCTCAGAATTATTGTGGATAGAGATGCAATGTTTGTGCAACTGGTAAAAATTTGAAACATAATAAATGCAGCAACTGTACACCTAGGCATTCTCACATGATCGATGTCCCAATTTTGAAATGCTAGAATTAGGCAGACAAACAAAAGTGACACAGCTTTCCTGTCACCTTTATTTTTGCCAGACTGACTCGAATGAAGATCACTATTGACTGTGGTGTTCCTGATGGGTAATTATTTCAGCACCAGCTACTGAAAAACTCATAGCTATAATTCAACATCTGTTTCCCCTTCCAAAAGGGCACAGACCCTGAAAATATTAAAACCATCATGGTGACTAAATAATCTTAGCAAGTTGGTCCAGTTTAGACTCTCCAAATATACTGGCAGAAAGATGACCAACTCCATCTGGAGTTTGCTATTATTTCTAGGAATTTCCTTGTAAGATTGAGGGTGTTGCAGTAATTTACTTGGCTTCCTCATGGCAGAATGCAGTTGAAGACAACAGTCAACTTCCATCTCCAAGGTGCAGATGGCCAGTTCTGGATAACCTTTCCTAATGGCAGACTTTATGGAAACAGACCAGTGGTACAACTAAAAACGAACTTCATGAAATTTTTATTTTCTAACTTAAAAAAACAAAACTACTTATTGAAGAGGTGGGGTTTTCACTCTGTCACCCAGACTGGAGTACAGTAGTATGATCATAGCTCACTGCAACCTTGGACTCAAGCAATCCTCCCACCTCAGCCTCCTAAGTAGCTGGGACTACAGGCACATACCACCATGCCTGGCTAATTTTTAAATTCTTTGTAGAGACGGGGGCTTGCTATGTTGCCCAAGCTAGTCCTGAACTCCTAGCCTCAAGTGATCCTCCTGCCTTGGCCTCCCAAAGGACATAAAACCATTTTTAAATACAAAAGACTGTTCCATTGTACAGTCATTCACCTAAAAGGTAGCTCATTTGGAACAACTACTAATCTCCGCTGAGTTCTAAGCCTTTTTTCAGTATCCCAGGACTTATCTGTCAATTTACTACTAAGTTCCTTCTGATCCATTTTCTTTGAAAAAAATGAAAAATATACTAGTGTCCTCCAAATTCTATAATCAAATCCACACTAGACTATGATATATAACAGAAGAACATCTAAAAACTGAATTGTTAATGAAAAACTAGTAACAAGAAAATGTAATCTCTTCTCTCTTCCTTTTTTAAAAAGTTAAATATTGTCAGGAATCCTCTTCCATTCTATTTAAAGTACTTTAAGAAATCATGTCTCTAAAAATGACAATTAAAAAATTATCAACAGGAGGGCATACCTCATGAGATATTGACAAGATGACATTTCCAAGGCCCACATTAGTGGGGGTTCTGTAGGACCATCAGTGGGAAAGTCACTGACGCCATCTCCTGCCTTTTATCTTCCCCTCCCCCACCAAATCAGTTCCTTTTGACAAACTCATTTTCTGGGAAAACGATGTTCTATGTGATGGTCAGCTTCCCACACATGCGTGTACTGCAGCAACAACATCACACAGGTGCAATTCACCATGAAAGAAATCTGTGCTATGCCAATCTTCCCAGGATAACAAGTATTGTGCAGTGTGGGCTGGACACAGCAAAAGACCTGAGCCAGGACAGCTCAGGACATGGAAATGCCCAGGCTCAAAGGTGGTATTGCTCACAAGGGCACTCACTGAAGCCATACAAAAAGCTCCTTCCTAAGCCAGTGCACCAGGCTGGTGCCCATACCATCATCTGTAAGAGATCCATAGCGTGGCCCTGGATGTGCAGAAAAGTGTGTGCAGAGCCAGCACAGGCTGTGCACTGGAGCAAGGCCCCTGGGGAGCTCAGCTCTCCCAGGCTGGCCTGCCCGACCCCAGGCGTGATGGGCAAGCTCCGCTATGTGCTTGCTTCATCTCTCCTCTTCCACTTCCTGCATGGTTTCTGCTCGTCCTGGTTGTATCTGGAATGGGTTGGCCCTGAGATGCTCTCTGTCCTTCTCCCACACTGGGGCAAGGCTTTGCTTATGTCGGAGGCTGAGAAGGTCCCTGCCATTTTTGAGGGTCCTGGAGATGAACGGTTATACTCCAAGTGCCTGTTGTTTACATCGGGCCTGATTCTACACAGAATATTCAATGAGTGTCAAGAATTTGTGGCATGTTCTGGCCTTTGAAATATAATTTTGTTTGTTTTCTCTAGGGTTGTGTGTGTGAGTCAAAATAAGTACGTAGACTTAACAAATAAATATGCTTTTACTAGATTTTAAAAGAAAAGGGTGACTTGGGCTTCTGGGGGTAACATTTTACTTAGAGAAATTTTAATGTTATTTAAGCAGCAGTTTTGGGTATTTATTCCCAGTGATAAGGGTGGAAGTCCAAAAATGAATCCTAACCACTTAGCTGTGTTGTGCAACCAACATTCCTGTTTTTCTTCTACATGCAGAACTATTTAAAACTTCCAGTAAATGTCTTTCACTAACACATACATAGTACTTTAGGGGGCATAAAGATAAATACAAGTAACTTTCTGCCTTTAAATTTAGTTCAAAAAATAATAGGATAAAAAATATGCATTAGCTTTTAGAGATATCGTACTGTTCTTCCTCTTCTGACTAAAAGTGTTTGTAAATTTCTTCTTCTTCTTTTGCTAATTTCAACTGGGGAGTTAAACGTGTGTCTGTGTGAAGTCCCAATCTGCAAGTGTTACTGTAATCTACATCAAAAACTGCACAGGCAGAAGGGCAAATGAGACTCAAGTACAAATAACAGAAAAACTGTATTAGTGCAGAATTTCCAGGGAGACAATCCTAAGATTAAGGCAGTCCCTAGCCCATAGAATAGGGAATCATAGAAACTTAAGAGCTAGTAACCCTTGGTATCGCAGTCCTTAAGCATCAGTCAGTCCTTACAGCCAATGGAGATGAAAGCAAGAGGACAAAAGTGACTTTTAAAAATTTGTAATCATAAAACAGAAAATCATTAAGATGAATAATAAACTCATTTAGGACACTTTTGGTTTTAAAAATGTCAGCTATGGGATACTTTTTAATCAAAGCAAACTTACTCAGGATAAAAATTCAGGGAACCATTTCAAGAGTTCCATGGTATCAGCCCCAGGAAGCCACAGCCCATCCACAGAGCAGCAGGTTCCCAGATCTCTCTGTAGATACAGTATCCAATATGTCTGTCAGGTCCTGAAACGTCCAAAGGGTGCTCGGACAATACTGCAGATACTCAAACCCTCCTGCGAGGCTTTAACGTTAATGACTACACTTATTCATTTCTAGAAATTCTATTTTTTCCTTTTTCAAATTTTAGAGTCTCTTATTTTCTCTTTTCATTCAGTTTCCTCTAGTAACTTCAATTCCTGGGTTGCTAATCACTCTGTTGAAATTGCTGATTATTCATGGTGACTCACTCATCTTGTCACCTGGAATTTTTAAATCTGAGCTCATTTTCAGTGGGGTGTTCTCTCCTTTCTTGTGGGATTCTTGCACGATCAACTTTGTGGAAGGGCCTGAAGAGAAGAGTCACATTTGCCTGTGCTGTGGCCCTAAGGGTTTCTACATAAGTCTCCAGTTTAAATTTTTCAGCTTGGGTTTCTGCAGGTCATATATAACTCTCTACGCTCAAGCAGGTCTGGAGTTTGGGTTTCTCATGGGAGAACGTTTTCCTCACCCAAGACCCCTGAGATGGCAAGTTGCTCTGCTGATCTCAAACAAGTGTTCAGGGAGTTTCTAGCTCTTTCCACAGCTGAGGCTGCCCTTTGCCTCCAGTCTTTGTGCAGGGATGCCATGCCAGCTTCCTCTACATCCAGCCTAAGGATGTAAAACAAAGTTGCATGTGATTTCTCCATGTTGGGTGCCTGCAGATTTCCTTTTTTCCCCCTGGAAATCAGATATGTATTAATATTTTTGCATGCAGATTGTAATTTATTCCTGACCTCTGAAGAGTTTCTGGTGTGCAGGAAGAAGATCAGCCAATATCAGTTCAGTCACCCACATTGTTGGGAGTTGCATAAATCGATATGCAAGAGAGTACACGAAATCCACAATCCTTTAAAGTTACTTTCAGCACAGAAAGGCATAACACTGCTGCATTTATTGGAGCACCAGGGCCCTGAAACCTGGATGCACGTTCAGAGAAGTCAGTCCGTCAGCTGACACTGCTTGTTACAAACAGATGATGATCACATCACAGGGGCTGACAAAGAAAGGTTCTAAGTATTATCTGCTCAAGACCAGAACACCCAGAGCCACACAGTTAAGGCCAGCTTCTCAGAAAATTCTCCACCCTTGTAGATGCCCACTCAACACTTTCTCAACATAATTTATTTTTCTTAGGTAATTTTAAATATTCAAGTATTTTTCCTTCCTTTTATAAACCTTTTCCAATGCTCCATTTTCATCTTGAAAGCCATCATCGTAGATTTTTCCCTCCTCTCACCACCTGGCCCAATTTAATCAGGGATTAAGTGCTATTAATTCCACTGCTTTGCACCTTGCTTCCTGCCTCCATTTAGTCTCACTGCTGTTGCCTTCGTTCAAGCCCTTGACCATGCCTCCTCTGGCCTGGTCTGAGTCTTCACAGGGCTACCGGAGTGCATATCCTATGACTCAATACCTTAGAGGCTCCAAATATAATTGAAATATGTTCTAAATTGCTTAGTACAGCATATAATAATTCTATGCTATCCAACTCCACTCTCGCCCCCTCCTTCTTTATAAAACACACCCTATTATCAGGATAGTTTTAGATTTATAGAAAAATTGAGAACATAGGCCAGGCACGGTGGCTCACACCTGTAATCCTAGCACTTTGGGAGGCCGAGACAGGCGGATCACCTGAGGTCAGGAGTTCGAGACCAGGCTGACTAACATGGAGAAACCTCATCTCCATTAAAATACAAAATTAGCTGGGCATGGTGGTGCATGCCTGTAATCCCAGCTACTCGGGAGACTGAGGCAGGAGGATTGCTTGAACTTGGGAGGCGGAGATTTGGTGAGCCGAGATTGTGCCATTGCACTCCAGCCTGGGTAACAAGAATGAAACTCTGTCTTAAAAAAAAGAAAAATTGAGAAGATAGTACAGAGAGTTTTGATTGTCCCATACCTAGTTGATCCCCTATTATAAACATCTTATATTAATACGGCTCATTTGTCACAATTATTCAGTCAAGAATATGATCACTGACTAAAGTCCTTGGTTTATTTAGATTTCCTTCATTTGTAATCTAATGTCCTTTTTCTGTCCCACGACCCCCTCCAGGATTCCACATTGCATTTATTCATCCTGCCTCCTTAAGCTCTCCTTGGCTATGACAGTTCCTCAAGCTTTCCTTATTTTCAATGACCCTGACGGTTTTGATGAGTACTGGTCAAATGTTTTGTAGAATGTCCCACTATTAGGATTCATCTGAGATTTTTCTCGTGATCTCATGATTAAACTGGGATGATAGGATTTGGAGAGGAAGACCACAGAAGTGAAATCACATTTTCATCACAATATGGGCAGAGCTGGGTTTCAACCAAGATGTCTAAGTATCTAAGTCCTTTTACTTTAGCTATTATTTGATACAAAGTATATATATATATATATATATATATATTTTTTTTTTTTTTTTAGATGGAGTCTCTCTCTGTCGCTGAGGCTGGAGTGCAGTGGCGCGATCTCTGCTCACTGCAACCACCGCCTCCCAGGTTCAAACCATTCTCCTGCTTCAGCCTCCTGAGTAGCGGGGACTACAGGCGCCCACCAACATGCCCAGCTAATTTTTTGTATTTTTAGTAGAGACGGGGTTTCACAGTGTTAGCCAGGATGGTCTCGATCTCCTGACCTCATGATCCACCTGCCTTGGCCTCCCAAAGTGCTGGGATTACAGGCCTGAGCCACTGCACCTGGCCCAAAGTCTATAATTTTAATGCATTTTCTATCTTTTAATGTAGTTTTTAATTTTCTTGTCATACATACAGATTTTATAGTCTAAAAAATGAATGTAAACACATTTGAATGCTTTTCTGCTGAATTAAAAAAGTTTCTTCGATTGTTTCTTTAACAAAGAGAATCAAGGACTGATTATACTCAGAATACACTGTTTCCTACTTTTAAAAAAATCACAGTGATGTTATCAACGTTTCTAAATAACAAATTCTAGTAATAGAATAATGGTTTTGATAAAGGTATTTACCAACAGTAAATGCTAAACAAATTGAGAGCACTTGATACTAATTAGTGTGTCCTCTCTATCTGACAGGCATAGCTTGACTATGACTTTTAAAAGCTCAGGAAGTTCATTCTATAAAGGCCAAAAAGTGGTCCATTAAATATCATGACAAAATCATTCTGAGAAAAATTGATACAGAAGCTTGCTGTCCTTGTCAAGGCTTAATTCCACATAGGAGTTACCAATGCCAAAAAGAATAAATATCACTCTCCAGAAGAATAGGAATTAGGTTTAATATGGCATTAATTCCCAAAGTGAAGCCAAAAAGAATTTGAATTTGGTACTTTTAAAATATTACTATTGTTAAAGTGAATAAATCTATGTCTGGCTTCATTTTGTTTTTAACACAAGCTGGCAAAACTTCTTGTCTTCCCTGTTACCATATATAGAACAATTCAGCCTTTATTTTCAGAAGCGAACACTGTCATATTCAAAGGTATCCTAAACAACAGTTTAATTTTTGCCTTTAAAATTAAGTATTTAAGAAGCAAGTGGTGTCATCGTGTGAGCCTTTCATTTTATATAAGTACTTGTTCATCCTATTTTTTAAATTTTTTGGGGGGGATCCTCACTTAATCCTTATAACTGTTGGACAACTTTACACTTAATAGAATCTCAACTGTTGTAAATTCTTCTTTTATAGCCAATGAGATAACCACGAATATCTTTCAATAAAATTATCTCAAGCCTTGACGTAGCTTTGTATAACATTCCTGGCATCAGTACCATATAGGTCTAACTATTTTATCATTTTACTTTTATAATTGAAATAATTTTACTTCTCATTAATCTTATCCTAAAATATTTTCGTTTCACCCATTGATTTTTCCAGACAAACTTCAGATTAATTTTCTTCCCAGATTCTTGCCTCATCCCTAATTAATTGCCTTTAAATTTGAATTTTATTAAATCTATGAGTGTATTTGGGGAGAACTTGCATCTTTTCAATATTTAGTATTTACGTTTTTGTCTTTTTACTCAATTCTGTAAGTTTCTGCATTTCAATCTTAGGAAATTTTGGTTGGAATAACTTCTAAGAATGTTATAGTCTTGAGATCTTTGCACTGTTAAGTTCTTAGAACTTATATGATTAAACTTTGTAAAAGGTTCCTATGCATTGTTAGAACTGATATTGATTTTTATATTGCAGTATATTTTCTAATTTGAAAAAGATGTATAATATGACGGTGTTAGACTGACCAGCAATTATATGACATCAAGTTCAGCACAGAGAGTGAAATGGATAAAACCAAAATGTTTCCTAGTCTCGTCTAAGAGGAGAGACCTTTACTGATTAAATTTGAGCAGTGTCACCTGTCTTCAAAAAATTATTTGGGCATGGTGGCGCATGCCTGTGGTCCTAGTTCAGGAGTCTGAGGCAAGAGAATCGCTTGAACCTGGAGTAGGAGGTTGCAGTGAGCCGAGATCGTACCACCACACTCCAGCCTGGGTGACAGAGCAAAACTCTGCCTCAAAAAAGAAAGAAAGAAAGAAAAAATTAGTGACAGGTCCAAATATTCTGTAGAAAATACAAATCGGATTGGCAGTCCTCAAGAGCTAAACTAATGGAATTCATTTTACAGCCAGAAGCTTTGACTATAAGACTTAAGGAGAATGGATGACAATTACATTCTCAAAGATTTAATGGCACCCAACTGAAGAAGGCCAACTGGGAGTGGGGAGAGAGAAAATGCAAAATCAGTAAGATACAAGTGTGGCTGGCAGTATCTTCTAGCCCACTCCTGGCATTGAATGTTCATGTTGTTTATTATAAGTATTAGGCTTTCCCTAGGCCAAATAATAAAGACATAAGCAACACATGGCATATAAGGGCAACCAGTTGGCTGAGAAGGGGATACTGAGTGAGAAGAGAATATTTAAATTTAGATGCGGCAGCATCATCAATGGTTTCCAGAGCAGTAAAAAAGGCCTAAGCAGGTTTTCTCTCACTGGTGCTGAGAAGTCACTGAAACACTCAACATACACTCAACAACTACAGGAAATGGCTCCATCGCTATTCCCAGAAAAGATGTTCATATCAAGGAAAAGTTAAAAACCCATTCTAGAGCACACTGAGAGAAGGACACAGCAGGTGTGTCCACAGGCAGAGCACTGCAAACAGACCAATGGGTGAGCCAGGAACTGAGGAGAAAGTTAGCAAGGCACCACTGGAGATACTAGGATAGAATCTGAGACCAGAGCATCCAAGAAGAGCTTCTGTAGGATCCCTGCTATTACAATGGGGATGCCAGGCCTAATCTGCAGTGTGCAAAGAAGCTGTGTGGATCTTAGTTAAACAAATGTGATGAATTTGAACACTCCCCTTCCTCTCAAATATTTTTAAGCTTCCGCATCATCTTGTGACCATGTTTGGCTGGGATTTAAAGAACTCTTTCTTTCTTAATAAGCAGTAATCGAGAGCCTGAAGCATGGCATCTATGCTGTTTGGAAGAGAGGGTCCACAAAAGGAGCACCTGTATATGATCATTATTTGGTTTAAACTGACATTTGTCTGGAGAAAAACCTTCAACCCTTTTAACCACAGATTTTTGCATTCCACCCATGTGAGATTAGCAAAAAGAATACAATATGATTTATATGATTAAAACTTCAATTAATTATGTAGATAACAATTTATTTATTTAACAATTTAACTGATTGTTCGGCCCACCTCCATGCACTGGACAAGGCACTGTGACACCTTCTCCCAACTCTCCCAAAATGAGCAAGGCTTAGCAAAGATCTTCTAATCTAGTTAGGGGCAACAGAAAAGCACTTAAATATTGTAATAGAAAAATAATGTTTTTGTTATAACAGTAAGAATCAAGGTTTAAAAATGATATTATGAGAGCCCAGAGAAAAGAGACAATAATAGCTAATTGGAGAAGAGAGAAGTAAACAAGCACATAAGAGAAGATACTTTGACTCTGGGGCAGCTTTCAAAAGGCAGAAGGAACTGGTGTTTTCTTTAAGGGTAAATCAGAAAGAGGGCACCAAGACAGAAGACACCAACGCAGGTGTCTCCTTAGGGATAGCAACAGCCATGGTTTTCCTTGAAGCACCATTGTGAATACTGGATAGGAAAAAAATTTATTTTTCGCTTATGAAATACTTTTGAAAACCATGATAGCTGAAATTTCTCAAGCTTGATGTCATTATATGCATTCAAACTGAGCCCCTTAGATTGAGTCCCATTAGCACAGCAAGTTGCCTCTTGCTATTTTGCAGCACTTGTCGTCATTATTACCAATTACCTTCCATGGTACCCTTGAGGTTCTAAGCACCCGCCCTATGTACACCTGCCCTTCATTGGTTCACTGTGCTAGAGCCATACTTCTGTGACATGTCATGGCCACCCGTTTTCACATCTGCTCTGCAAAGCTGAGGTGTAATCAGCAGAACTGTGCTGCCTCTGCAGAGATAATTTTCTGAACTACTAATCAGACTTCTCAAGAAAGTCCTTTTAGCTAGAGGTTATAAGTCAAGTGTGTCTCAGGTATTACCGCCATTCTCTTCATACTGCAGGCAAGTCAATTTGACTCACAAGCTTTATTTCACATTCATAGCCTGTGAGCTACACTGAATATTGGCAGAAAGTGAGAGAAATTAGAATTGATGATGGTTGTATTTGGCCAGCAAGATCGAGGGGCTAAATGACTTGTCAAAGCTTGGTCAAGTAGCCAGGTTGCTAGGAATTTAATTCAGGATTTTGGATACTCAAGGAGCAGTAAGTAATTAATTTTTTCTCCCTTTTATTCACCAAACTCCCTAAAAGTGAACAATTAATGGCATAAGAGTTCAACATTTCTTGTATGCCATTTTGAATCAGTTTGGGTTCAATAGCATTTATTATGTACCTAATTTGAGTGTGCAAAACACTTCATTAGACTCTTGCTCTCAAGGAATTTAGGGAAATCACACATATAAAGGATGAACTCTAATCAAGACAAAAGGAATATCCAAACTTGGATGTGCTGATTGCCCAGTGTTAGTGAAGTGAATGGTAAACTTGAGACACAGAAGTCAAGTTGGTTTTATATCAGGGTGCAGTTCTCAAAGAGAGTCAGCTGATGTGAGAATGCAGAGACTGGCACAATGAAACCTTTATATGCCACTTTTTATATTTAAATATAGGGTGACTTTAGATATTTTATGTCCTATATTCACATAAAGAAATGAAATAGAAGACTTCATGTTGGTAAACCTGGATGGACTCTTACCAGATGATTCTGGGGACTAATTTACTAGTTTTGTTTTGTTTGTTTGTTTGTTTTTCTTTTTGAGACTGGATCTCATTCGGTAACCCAGGCTGGAATATGTGGCCCCATCATGGCTCACTGCAGCCTTGACCTCCCCAGGCTGAGGTGATCCTTCTACCTTAGCCTCCTGAGCAGCTGGGACTACAGGTGTGCACCACCATGCCCGGCTAATTTTTCTATTTTTTTTTTTTTTTTTGTAGAGATGGGATTTCACCATGTTGCCCAGGCTGGTCTGGAACTCCTTGACTCAAGTTATCCGCCCACCTCGGCATCCCAAAGTGCTGGGATTACAGGTATGAACCACTGCACCCAGCCGGGACTAATTAACTCGGAAAACCCACTTAAGAACTTGTAACTCTATGAGTAGACTTACATTATTAATGACTTTTCAGAACCTCCGAGTGTCTTTAAATTCCCACTGTACCATTCTGTGTTCACCTGTAATTACCAATGAGGGTTATTACTTGGACAATTTACTAGGTGCCAGGCAACATGCTATGTGAGTTATATGCACGATTTCACTCAAACTTCTCAGTAACAATGCAAGATAGGTATTATTATTCACATTTTTAGATGAGGAAATGGAGGTCCAGATGGCTTAGGAAAATTTTCAGTGATTCTATGGCCAGGTGGAGGCAAAAGTAAACACAAACCTGGCTGATTCATATCACCTTTACATATAAAAAACTCCATACACTCACACGCCTAACAATCTTCCCCATACAATCAGCTTCCTACAAGTTTCTCTTGCAGTAATAATAATATCTATTTGCTATTCAGTATGGAAATATGCCCAGAGAAAATTATTTCTGGATAGAGCAAGAAACATATACTAAATGTTCATGATTATTATTAGAATGAAATTAATATACAGCCCAAAACACTTAAAAATGTAAAGTGCTATATAAGTGCAAAGTATTTTAACACTCCTTACAAAAAATAATACTTGACAGCGGCATACTGTTGAAATCATGGTTGTGGGATTAGAGTGATTTTTCACTTCCTATTTCCCTCCAATTTATTTGTAATATTGCACAGAAAGGGAGTAGGTCTCTGTTATCTTTGAATTATTTGCCAGAAGTAAAACACCTCCCTTTTTATACAAAGATCCCACTTTAACATAAAAAACTGGGGATTCACAGTTAAGAACACTTGACAAAGAAAATAATAGGCTCTCAGTCACATTTTTCTGAGTTAACTGGAATAGGCTGAATGTCAAGAAGAATGAGACTGTGTTGATTGTCTATTTTGTGGATTCAGTTCCATTGCTTTACGGGCAGGTCTTTTATAGCCCACTGTTTTATTAGCAGGTCATGATTTATCCCACAATTATCACGGCAATTAACTCCCATGAACTATTCATTATTAACTCTCAATTTTACATGGCCTATTCTTAGAAAAGCAACTTTTTTTGTTTTGTTTTTGTTTTTTTAACAACCATATGATGGTAGTGTTAGACACAGCAGACATATACCTGTTAGGGAGACTCAACCCAAGGAAAAATGTTTATGAATACACATCACCTATTTTTTTTTTTTGGTGGTGTTGTTTTTGTTTTGTTTTGTTTTGTTTAAGATCTAGGATCTTAATCTGTTGCCCAGGTTGAAGTAGAGTGGCTTGATCATGGCTCACTGTAATCTCAAACTCCTGGGCTCAAGTGATCCTCCCACCTCAGCTGCCTGAGTAGCTGGAACTACAAGTTCACACCACAACACCTGGCTAATTTTTAAATTGTTTTTTGTAGACACAGGGTTTCACTATGTTGCCCAGACTGGTCTCAAACTCCTGGGATGAAGCAATCCTCCTGACTCGGCCTCCAAAGGCTCTGCGGTGTCTGACAACACACTCGGCCCACCTTGCCCATCTTGACCCTACCACAAAACTACTCTTTCCAAATGTGTCCCTTTGCTATGGTTACAATAATCTATGAGGGATTCCTTTTCATGAGGTGATGGCATCCATGTTTCCTTAGAAAAGTTGGGTGGTAAAGAAGAGAATGTTGTTATGAATAGCGGACCAATGGAAATGATCTCCTGTACTGCGTATCTGATTTTTAGGGATTTAAGATCAAGCAAGCAAATAAATATGGCTGATGTCAAACAGTGAGAAGTTGTTGGAAGTCATCCAGCTTTGGGTGGTAGAGTTTAACCTCAAATTCACTCAGCCAAAAACAACAACGACATGACTTGGTAAAAATTCTTTGTTGTTAAGCAGTCTACTGGAATTATTTTTCATTATCTACTAATACTAGACTCTCACTCTACACTTCTTCTCTCATATATATGCATGGATGGATATAAGTATGTGTGTGTGCATATTTTTTCTTCTATTCTATGGGAGACAGCAATTCGTTAAAAAATTTCTCCCACTTTATCAATTTGTATCCATTTTTTCATGGGCCCACTGCTTTTGCTGTGCTTGGGGGACCTATACATTTGATATCTGTTTTTCCAAAGCAGTTTTTGTAATACAGCTGATTGAATGTAAAAATCCTGTAGTTTACCCATGGCTCCCAAATTGCTCATGTCCCTTGCACTTTCATAAACTACTTTCATTTCCTGCATGAAATCTGTGAAATCTGGCAGTGTGGCTCTTAGAAGATGGGAATTGCTGGAGTGGTGGCTTTTCAGCCTTTTAAGCACCGTGTCTTCAAAGCACTTTGTCAAAACACATCATACCAGCCACATCTGTTCATTTATTTGAACCAGAGAAAACAGCTTTTCTTTTAAGATCTTCTTCAATCATGCATATTGCTGCTTAACTATTTCCCAAAGGTAGATGCCATTGTCCCCTTGGCAGCCTGAACTTATCAGTGACCTATAATAATTATGCATTTTATTTCAGTCTTGTGAAATTTGCCCTGGTCTTTGAGTATTCTAGGTCTGGAAAGCAATGTTAGTCATCAATGCAATTAATTTTAAACTTGGAAAGGCTTCACCCAATCTGGTAAACTTAAATCTGAATATAAAGAAATTCATCAATTATTAGATTTAAGGTTAAGAGACGTCAGACGGCCACTGTACATTCCATGTTTACTTCACTTAAAATTTCACTGTTGTCAGAACAAATTTAACAATAGCAACATTTAGAAACTACTAGAAAGGGTTCTATTATATTAAACACCAGAGAGGAAAACATAATTTAACTTAAAAAAAATTAGGTTTGGGGTACATGTGCAGGTTTCTTATATAGGTTCACTTGTGTCATGGGGGTTTGCTGTTCAGATTATTTTGTTACCCAAGTACTAAGACCTGTACCTATTACTTATTTTTCCTGATCCTCTACCTCCTCCAACCCTTCACCCTCAGGAATGTCCTACTGTCTGTTTTTTCCCCTCTTCGTGTCCATGTGTTCTCATCATTCAGCTCCCACTTATAAATGAGAACATGTGGTAATTGGTTTTCTATTCTTGCGTTAGTTTGTTAAGGACGATGGTCTACAGCTCCATCCATGTTCTGGCACAGGATATGATCTTGTTCTTTTTTATGGCTGTGTACAATTCCATGGTATATATGTACCACATTTTATTTATCCAATGTACCTTTGATGGGCATTTAGGTAGATAACATGTCTTTGCTATTGTGAATAGTGCTGCAATGAACATACACATGCATGTATCTTTATGATAGAACAATTTATATTCCTTTGGTTATACACCTAGTAATAAGATTGCTGCGTCCAATGGTAGTTCTATTTTTAGCTCTTTGATGAATTGCCACACTGCTTTCCACAATGGCTGAACTAGTTTACACTTCCACCAACAGTGTATAAACATTCCCATTTCTATGAAACCTGACCAGCATCTGCTATTTTTTGATTTCTTAATCATAGCCACTCTGACTGGTGTGAGATGATATCTCACTGGGGTTTTGATTTGCATTTCTCTAATGATCAGTGATACTGAGCTTTTTTTTTTTCATAAGATAGTTGGCTGTATGTATGTCTTCTTTTGAAAAGTGTCCATGTCCTTTGCCCACTTTTTAATGTTTTTTCTTATAAGTTGGTTTAAGTTCTTATAAATTGGTTAAGTTCCTTATAGATGTTGAATATTGGATCTTTGTAAGATGCATAGTTTGCAAATATTTTCCCCCACTCTGTAGGTTATCTCTTTACTCTGCTGATAGTTTCTTTTGCTGTGCAGAAGCTCTTAAGTTTAATTAGATCCCATTTGCCAATTTTTGCTTTTGTTGTGATTGCTTTTGGAGTCTTCATCATGAAATCTTTGCCAGTTCCTATGTCCAGAATGGTATTGCCTATGTTGTCTTCCAGGATTTTTATAGCTTGGGGTTTTACATTTAAGTATTTAATCCATCTCGAGTTGATTTTTGCGTGTGGTGTAAGGAAGGGGTCCAGATTCAATCTTCTGCATATGGCTAGCCAGTTATTCCAGCACCAATTACTGAACAAGGAGTCCCTTACCCAATGATTGTTTTTGTCAGCTTTCATGTTTGAACTTTTAATTCACCAATGCCACTTGGAGCAGCCTTGGTTAATCACTTCTTCATGATTGAAGGTTTCCAGCAGTAAAACACAGACTGCACTAACTGTATATCTCCTGTGTGATCATTTTAAGTAGCTTATTACGGAACTTTCTTCTCCCACATGCTGCTCCCATGATGTAAGTTAGGTGCTTAAAGAAGAACACAGATAACTCCCTTCAAACTCCCAGTGTATTCTTTTCTAACGCGATTCAGTAATAGCTCTCTGTTCTGATGAAATTACTTTGACATGTTTCTGTTACCTAACTCCCCCCACCAAACATGCTTGTTCTATGATTTGAAAATACATATATGTGTGTGTGTGTGTGTGTGTGTGTGTGTAAGTGCATATAATTAGAGGTTATAATAGAGTTTTTCTTTCTGTAGAAAAAGAGTTGCACAGAGACCTAGGCAGGTAAGTTCAGTGTCTAGAAGGCAGGTAGGAAAAAGCGTTGATGTCAGGTGAGCTGCACATGCTGGCAAAACCTGCAGGATGTAGAAAGGCAGGGAACCATCTTGTGTTGTTTCTTTCCAAATGTTACTATGGAAAATGAGTGTAGAGGGTAGTCACCCAAGAGTGCCCTGCCAAGCCCTGCTGGAGCTTGGGATGAAAGGGGAAATGGGCTCCTATATACACTCATCGAAGCACATGACGATATTTTGAATTAACTGGAAAAAGTTAAAAAAGAAAAAAGCTCTACAATCAAAAAGCATGATTATATAAAGCCCCACATAGTCCAAGCTCTCCAAATGTCATCATCAACACTCATAAACCCATTGGCAGGGGACTCACAGCCAATTGTAAGTGACATAATAACAAAAAGGTGCACAATAACGTGGGATCAGAAAACAAACACATGGATGCCTGTCTTTATTGAAAAATTTGATACCTTGCTCCTCATGGATTGTTTTCCTGAATTTTGATTTTTATAAATATTCCCTAAAAATATGACTTGATGGACTACAATTTTGGTTCCCCCATAAGTCTTGCACCTTCAACAAGTTTCTCACCAATCTCACCCTAATCCTGGCTCTATCAGCCAGCATTTTAAAAATAGTAACAATAAAATAAAAGAGAACTCAGCCTGGGCAACATGGCGAAATCTGTCTCTACAAAAAATTAGCCGGGTGTGGTGGCGCAGGCCTATAGTGCCAGCTACTTGGAAGGCTGAGATGGGAGGATCACTTGAGCCCAGAAGGTCAAGGTTGCAGTGAGCCAAGGTCATGCCACTGCACTGCAGCTTGGGAAACAGAATGAGACCCTGGAGAGAGGGAGAGGGAGGGAGAGACGGAGAGAGAGAGAAAGAGAAAGAGACAGAGAGACAGACAGACAGAAAGAGAGAGACAGAGAGAGAGAGAGAACCTAAAAGGAATTATCTGGGTGCCTCACACACAAAGGAAGGTTGAGTATTATTTATTTGTAATAGTCATATTTGTGTGAACTGGGTTGGGAAAAAAAAATTGATTCCTGTCTGTAGGTGAAAAACAGAAAGAGTTAGAAAGCCAGTGGCCCAGAGAGTCCAAAATCAGACATAGGAATTGCCAACACGGACAGCCTGTGCAGGCCCCAGAAGGCCCCATTTGAGAAGTTTTTAATTACGCCATTTCTTTCTTAATTCCTTTGCACAATCTTTTGCAAAGAACAGCACACAGCCTTGGGTTTGGAGGAAGGTACCTGATTTTCTGCTACTGCCTCTCTGAGTTTTAGGTCCACGCCTTTGTACCAGTTCAAAAGGTATTCTAGAGTCTAACTTTCTCCCATCATTGAAGTCGGACTCATATGAACTTGATTATGCCGTGGACACTATGGCACTGACCTCAATACCGCAGGAATTGGTGTTTTGCAGTTTCCCAGGGTCCTTCCTAAGCACACTGCTATTCATGGCATCTTTCTGGCAGCTCCCCAGTCTGGAAGGTTTACATCCCTGATAAATGATGTCTCTATGGATAGGAATCTGGATAGTGAGGTCTCCTGGTGAAATGCCCTCCACCACCTACACATACAAAATGAATGCAAATATTCTGAACTCTTCCCCAGAAATATTCAGGATTCAGTGAATAGAGGTCTTCCTGAATGCATTAGTATATTCATTCACTGAACAAAGAATGACTGAGTGCCCTTTATATGCTGACACTGTTCTAGGTGCTGGGAATGAAGTAGTGAATAAAAACATCAAGAATCGCCATTCTCAAGGCGCTAACATTCCAGTGAGGAAGCGGCCAGCAAGCAGACTCCTGAGAAGGACACACGGCACCTCAGAGAGCAGCGTGCTAGAGAGGAGAACAAGCGGGAAGGGCATTAGAGATGGCTGGAAGGAGGGGGATGTGGTTTTAAATTGGTTGGTGGTAAAACACTGTCTCCCTGAGAAGCAGACATTTGAACAAAGACTTGAAGGAGGTGAGGGAGTGAGTCAAGAACCAGGAGACTGTTGTAGCAAATGAGAAGTCCGTGATGCTGGAACTTGACTGGAAGATTCAGTATCAGCAAGGAGACCAAGGGGCTGGTGCAGAACCAGGGTGCAAAGCAGGGAGTGAGGGGAGAGAGCAGGGGGCAAGGAGTTGGTGTGAGAGGGTCAGCAGGCAAAGGGGAGGAGAAAGAAGACGGCATGTGTGGAGCCTTTTGGGGCACTGAGAGGAACTGGGCTTTTCTCTGAGATTGAAAACCACAGAGAGGCACTGGTCAGAGCAATAAAATGGCTTTGGTTTTCATTGATAGCCTCCTTCTGGCTGCTATTGAGGTGATTTTGCTCCTATCAAAGGCAGAAGTGGATGGAGGACAGTAGTGGTGGCAGCAGAAGAGGCAGAAGGAATTGGCTGAATTCTGGGTAATTTTTGATGTCAGAGCCAATGGGGTGGATGAATTGAATACACATGTGATAACAGGTGACAGTCAAAGATAATACCTGATTTTCACAGTTGAGCACCTGGAAGCATGGAATTACCATTTCCTGACCTGGGAAAGGCCACTCAGGAAGAGTGGATTGGCGGTGGGTGAGGTTGAAAGTTCACTCTTGGCTATGAGGAGTGTGACCTGTCAGTGAGACTTCAGAGCAGCCATGTGAGTTGGGTGCTGTATAGGGCTGTGCAGTTCAAAGGAGAATTGTGGGCTACACATCTGGCCGTTGGCAAAGAACAGATGACATTTAAAGTTAGAGGGTACCCAACTGGAAGACCTGTTTCACATTGTTGCCCAGTGTTTTAAAAGAAGAGATTTGTGTACCTTTCAATGGAGCATATGACCTTCAATTGTCTACACTGGCCGCCAATCTCTTTTGCTTTATTCCTATCCTACTTCACTCACTTGCGAAGCCTGCAGTCTTGTAAGCTCCTCGAGAGTAAGGATCGTGAACTTCATGGTTCAGTGATGCATGTTTTTGGCACCGAGTCTGTTCTCAGAAAGTGACAAACGAATGAATGATTTCTGGTACAGAAAATGCAATGTGCTCAACAAAGTTTAAAGGAAACTGAACTCCCAGGAGTATACTGGAAGATCAGAGAGTGAAGCAGGAAACAGACTCAGAAGAAAGAAATGTACCAGAATAATCCTTTTACTGCCAGGCAGTCCCAAGGGATGGAAAACTGGATTGGGATAGACAAGTGACTCAGGTGGGAGAAACTGAGAATGACAACTGAAAGCAGGCATAGTCATAGATATTAGAATCAGTCCCAGTCAACAATAGAGGCACAAATTTGTTGGCATCACAAGCTGGCTCCCCCCAGCCAGGCTGTCCAGTTGCACACCCTCAAGGTTCTCGTAGCCCAACTAATGGCCACTCCACATTGCACAAATGAATGAAGTGCTTTCATGTGTCCTTAACTATGACTGAGCTGTTCTCCAGGACCTGTCTGCCCATTTCAGCCCATCTCACTCAATATTCAACGATCTAGCCGAGTGTTCTGCTCCTGTAACACCACCTCCCCATCACCACGTCATACAAATGGAGAGTCTGTCCATCATGTTACGCATAGTTGAATTTGGCTCCGAATCTGCCCTCTGGCTTCCACAGCACTATGACAATGCCTAGGTAAGAGTTAGTAAATGTGGGTTGTATTTGATGTCACACAGGATCTAAACACAGAGAACTCACAAATAAGAAAGGGTCATTCTGTCACATAAATGTGCTGCATCCAAATATCCCTTTAGAGACAGCACATTTCTGTACTAAGAAAAACACATTTACTAAGAGAAGTGTTTATATTTATGCACTAAGAAAGGCAGCATCTATATCCTGTGGGAAGCAGTCCATGCATCCCAAATATGCCCCCCATATATACCCAAGACAACTATATCTTCGCAGTTTACAATTAAAATGCTACATACTACATTCTGTTATTTTAACTATTCTAGAATATAAAGAATGGCAGAAAGTTTCCATATGCATCATATGGAGCAAGTATGAACTCATTAAACCATCAAATTATCCTATTTATGAAAAGAAAAGTAGATTCTATGTAAAATAGCAAACAAGACAGAACAGTATACAAAAAGAGCTCAATTGTGCTGGAGGAATGCTCATAGAGTTGGCAATCTTGACCGTCATGAAGGGTAGCCATCCTGCCCTGGTGGGCCTGCCAAAACTTTCTAAAAGAGGTGAAAGTATGAAAAATGTAAAACCTTCACTATTTATTTATACCTGATTATATCATATACTTAGGAAAGTCCAAATAATCAATAGAAAAAATCTTTAAGAACAAATTTTCAAAAAAAAATGTGGTTTCATGGCAGGTTACATAATATACACTGAAAATCAATAGCTTTTCTGTAAACTGGCAAAAAATGTACAACATCATTGGGGGAAAATTCATGGTAGCATCAAATATTATAATATGCCTAGCATAGACATAACAGAAAAGGTGAAAGAAACATAAAAACAAAATGTAGAATTGTTATTGGAAGAGTGAAAACAAAAGGAAAACATTTTATGCAATCAGTAGAAAAAATCATGTTTCTAGATGGGAGGACACAGTATTTTTTAAATGCCACTTCTTAACAGAGAGAGAGAGACAGAGACTGTGTGTGTGTGTGTGTGTGTGTGTGTGTGCGCGCGCGCGCGTGCGCGCGCACATTCAATGCAATCCCCCCAAAATATCTATTTTAATTCTTTTTCTACTTGAAAATTCAAGTCTAAATTAATCTCAAAGAGAACCTGAAGAAAACCAGTTTTGAAAAAGAAAATCAGCTATCAAAATATACTCTAAAATAAATAGCCTGTTAGTAGTACAGATATAAACAAATATATCAATGGAACACAAGGTGTCCAGATAAACTCATAGGCATATGAGAGCTTAGTAAAAACCATTATTTGGTAAACAATAATATTTAACAAATGATAAGTGTTAGGAAAATTATGTACCATTTTGGAAAATATAGGTCTCTGTCTCATATGATATTGTACACTTTTCCAGGAAGATCAACATATTTGGGAGAAACAAACTCCAAACAAGAAAATGAATAGCTATGAAAATAGGCAAAACGTATAAGGCCATTATTTTTATTTTATAATCTTTCATTGAGAAAGGTCTTTCTAAACAAGATGCAAAAGGCAAAAGTTATAAAGAAGAGTAAATCAAATTAAAATTTCACTAAGTCCAAAGATATCATAAACAACTTAAAATACAAAAGGAGACTGAACAATTTTTGCAAAGTATATAATGAAGAGTTGATAAAACATGGTATAAGAAGCCCTATAAATAAAGAAGAAAAAAACACCCAATTTGTAAAAATGGCCAAAATATATAAGCAGGCAACTCACTAAAGGAGAATTAATACAAACTGCTCAGGGATGGAAGGAAGCAGCCTCCATTTCAGAATGACCAGGGGAATGCACATTGCCAGGAGGATGAGATAATATCCAGTAGATCACACTGGGTGATAAAATCCAGTAGATCATACTAGGTGATAATATCCAGTAGATCACACTAGGTGATAATATCCAGTAGATCACACTGGGTGATAATATCCAGTAGATCACACTAGGTGATAATATCCAGTAGACCACACTAGGTGATAATATCCAGTAGATCGCACTAGGTGATAATATCCAGTGCTAATCTGCATGGGGCCTGGATGGGATATTCTCACCTTCAATACTTGTTCAAGTTGGCAGAAACTTTCAGAAAATCAATTTGCCAGTAACTATTGAAATGGAAAGTGTGTATAGTCTTTTTTTCCCCCCAAATTCCTTATCCAGGAAGGAAGAAAGAAGGTAGGAAGAAAGAAGGAAGAAACAAAAGGAGGACATTGGAGGGAGAGACAGGGGAAGGAGGGAATCCAGGAGGAATGAAGGAAGAGCAGAGAAGATGGGGGAGAAACAGAGGGAGGAAGAAGGGGAAAAAGGAGAGACTGAGAAAAAAGCAATTCAAAAATCATCACTAGTTTATCTTCAGCTATAATGAACCTAAATAGTCTTCATAGTATTATTACAATGTGAAGCTATCTTTCTTCATCTCTAATTTGGGAAAATTTTACCAAAGCTGTATATGAAATAATTTAAAATTGATAATATAAATAATCACCTGCTGAGTAGTTATGTTTTATCCTACTTGTTGCTGCTAAATAGTTTGAAATATAGTTTATATCACACATAGTTTATTTGAAAGCAGCTTACATATATAGTAATAACTCAAAGCTTTGGACATATGTAAAATGTCTATTTTAATGTCTGTACTTATGTTCACATAAAATGATGTTTTACCTGGTTCACTGAAAATACAAAATGAGTTACATATTTTTTATTCACTTTTGTATTGGTAAGATTTTATTTTCTTTGCTGAAACCTCCATGACCAAACACTGACTAGAAGATATAAATGATCATGTCAAAACTAATTATAAATAGATCAACTACGGCAAAACTTTTATTTAAATTCCTTCTTACTATATACTCTTAGCTTCTACTTAATAAAATGCAAAACTTACTAAAATGCATGTTCTGTACCTTAGCATCTTCTTAATAATACATACACACAGCGACACAAAGTGGTTATTTAAACAATGCAAATTCTTAGTGTCATGTTTTCCTTTATGTCCAGAAATATACCACCATTTTTACTATAATTTAAAAATCTGACCATATGGTCATTTTTTTTAACACTACCCTAGTAGAGTTTACGTCTTGTAGGGGCAAAAAATATTAAACTCCAAATCACATGAACAGCCCAGTGATAAACTGATAACCACACTGCAGGAAATGCACAGAGATCCATGAAGGTGGCATGTGGCAGTCAGAGTGCAGTGTGCTCGTCAGAGTGCACAGTTACATTTCCAGGGACGCTGTGAGTCTTTAAATGCAGACACCATTAAAAATTAAATTATATATGCTTATAATTAAATCATTTATATTAAAAATAAGATAATATTTTACATTTTACTATGATTTATGCTTTTGAGGTTATTTTTATCTTTTGTGTCTATGGTGAAAATACTATAATGTGTTACTTTGCCTCTCTTTCCAACTCCATGCGACCTCATGTTGGTAGCTTGAAATTGACCACGGTGGGAGTATTTAGACCACAGATACGAGCAAAGACTACGGATCAGTGGCTTTTTTTTGGTCCCAGAGATCTAGTTGTTAAACATTTTCCAGCATACCATTGCAGGAGGCTGTATATCAGGCAGCAGTGATCTAACCTGCAGATAGCAGGTATGTCAAGATGAACAGGGAAGATGCAGCAGATGCTGCTAGTTGTCCACCCACACTCATTCTCAGCCACTGTTTTGTTTGTGGTGGCAATTTGCGCAGCTACAAAACCTCATATCCCAGCCTACTGCCTATGATCTAAACATCTGATTATCTAAGAAAATACTGACTTACTTAGTATTTCTTAAACTGCAGTAGATTTCCCATTATTTATATACTTTCAAAAACTGCCTTTAAATTTTTTTATAACGTTTATAGTTAGCCTACTTTAAAGTAATAATATCCAAGAATTTATGGATCAGATGTATTATGAATGGTTTTTAAATACCCACTAAAATATATAATTGTTGAGCCAGGGGCCACCAGCAACCATGTCATGTCATATCTCGCTACTTCTCTTGCCCCACCATTTGAGAAAACACTATCTAAATACAGTTATTTCTCTTTCACATCGTAGATAAAGAACATGTTAACCAAAAATGCGGTTCCATTACATATTTTACGTTTTTGAAATTGCTATTGGCTTCATCTTTTTCATGTAAAAGTTTAGCTTCTTAAGCAGCTTAAGTAAAAACATGATTGAAAAGAATATTTTAAAATTACCAACCGAATTGGTAATTTTGGTATATGGTTTTGTGAATTATAACACATATATAGATTCATGTAACTAGTAGCATAATCAAAAGAGAGAAGAGTTCAACTACCTAAAAATTTCCCTCATGCAATCCTTTAGATACTCCCTGACAATACCCCAAACCCTAGCAATCTACTGATCTATTGGCCCACTTTCCATCGTTATGACTGTCCTTGGAGAATGCCATACTAATAAATTGTCATATACTACATAATCTTTTCCAAATGTCTTTTGTCACCCAGCATAATGTCTGTGAGATTCCTTGAAGCTGTTGTGTACATCAATAGTTTGTCCTTTTACATTGCTGAGTAGTATTCCAGAACATGGACGTGTAGAGTTTAAGCATTCACTAGTTGAGGTTATTCAGGTTATTTCCAGTTTTGGACTATCACAAATAAAGCTAGTATAAATACTTGTGTGCAGTTTTGGTGTAGACACAAGTTTTCATTTCTCTAGGGTTAATACCTAGAAGTTGGATTCTGGGTCACAGGGTACGTATATATTTATATGAAATTGCCAAACTGTTTTCCACAGTCTATAGTATTTTGCATTCCCTCGAGCCATGTATAAGAATTCTACTTGCTCCACATTCTCTCCAGAACCTAGTACTGTTCTGTTTTTAATGTTAGCCATTGTGGTAAGTATATAGTGATCTCTTTGGGTTTTCATTTGCATTTCCCCAGTGGTTAACGATATTCAACATCCATGTGCTTAGTTGGCATCCTTATACCCTCTGAGATTCAGTGTCTATTCAAGTCCTTCCATTTTAAACCACAGACCTACTTCTTTTTGACCATATTCCTAGATAAAATTTGTAAGACATAAAAATATGGCTGGATTCCACAGTTTGCTAGAATTTCTTATGCTGTCAACTCATTTTCCTTTCAAAAATTCAATAAATGTGGTCTGAAAATTATTGAATAGGAAAAAACGTGACTAGAGGAGCTTTCCAACACACAGTTTTACTTCCTTGGAGTGAAATGAAAGCAGAATGGGTTGGGAGATGCATTCTCCTGGATAATGTAACCAAATATGCAGAGAAGTTAATGAGTAATAACACAGTGATTGGCACACAGCTGCCCACATAACATTTACATTCACATAAATTTATTCTCCATACTTGCTCACTGAGGTGTCCTAATTCACATATGATTGTTATTCATTTTATTTATAAATTTTAAACTAGATTTATTATTAGGAAAGCATTTATCATCGGCAGGCACAGCTGTGTGTGAAACAACAACTTAGTGAATGCGTACGAGATCGTCTCTGTGAATTTCGTTCTAGGTTTATTGTATTTATTCCAATGCCTCTTGCCTCCACCTGCTCTAGTAATGGCTCAGATTCATATTCTAGAAAGAGCTTTGCAGCCAGCCCAGTACCACTCCTGGCCCACACTGACAGAGGGTAAAATCCCTGATGTGAATTCATGCTGATAGGTGGTGCAGGCAAACCTCATGATAAAACAAAATCTCAGCTTCTCCTGAGGGTCTAACTTTCTGTCTTTATTGTTTTAACATTTGGCTTTTTGCTACACAGAGCTTGCAACCACATTTTTAAGAACTCTAGTCAATGAGATTTTTTAAAATTTTCATATGAAAATAATGATGCACATATTTTTGAAGCCAGACGCTGACAGTCAAAGAATCAGAAAATGGTTCACAATTGTGTTTTACATACTAAAAACGTAATATATTTTGAGATGTATGCTGAGCTTTATCCTTTATGTGCTATTTATAAAACATAATGTTAAAATAAAATTAAAATGTAGTTTCCATAGCTATAATTTATTTCATAGCTTTTGAATGTACATGTATATTTATCACACATTTACTCTTTGGCAAATATGGACTAGGCACTAAATAAAAGATCTAAAAGATCCACAAAATGCCAGATGTAATGAGAACTACTCAAATATCTCAAGACATTTCATTTGAATTTTATATTCAAATTATTGTGCCTGACTACAAATGTTGGCCTTAAGAAATAAAAAGAACATGCACCTGTACAGACACATGCACACATGCACACACACACACAGAAACACACTATGTTTTAATTTTGGTTTTTCATTGCTTAGATAATTTGCTTAGATAATCTGACATTCTTAAATATTAATGAATATATCAGGATTGACCACAGTTCATCAAAAGCCTTCAATAATCTATAGTACACTTAATCTCTCGAATGAGATAAAATATGCCAAATAATTGCTCATCAAAATAAAAGTAGAAGGCCTGGCATGGTGGCTCACCCCTGTAATCCCAACACTTTGGGAGGCTGAGGTGGGAGGATCACTTGAGCTCAGGAGGTTGAGGCTACAGCGAGACGTGATTACACCACCACAGTCTAGCCTGGGTCACAGAGCGAGACCTTGTCTCAAAAAATAAAATTAAAAATAAGAAACAAATAAAATCACGAGACTGTTTAGGAGGGGAACTGTAACCATAATGAAGAAATCAAAAAGCAAGATGAATGTGACCATCTGCTTCCAGATTTTTGAAAACACAGAGTGAAGTTTTAGAAAGTCTGAAGCTTTCAAAATTCCATGATACCAGTTATGACACGGATTATTATTACCACCTAGTATCCTCCTGTCCTGGTTCCAGTTGCTTTCCCAGTGACACATGTCCACCTCCAGGCTCTTTTGGGGAGGTCTCCATAAATGATGGGGTTTTGGATGTTTACTGGGATGGCCCATTTATTTTAAGAAGTGCAAACAGTTCAATAGTGCTTCCTGGGTACCACACACAAAGTGCTTTCTTTTTTCCCATGTGTTATCTCATTCATTCCTCTCATCCACACCAACAGGTAGGTACAATTCTTAATAACATCCCCATTTTATGGAAGAGTAACTCATGTGTCGAGAAGTTAAATAATTTATTCCAGGTCCCAGCACTAGGAAGGGGCACAGCTGGGATTCCAACTACTGGCAGTCTGGCTCCAGAGTTTAAAATCTTAACCACACCCTGCCTCCTGGGAAGACAGAAATGCAAAGCATCTCATATGCAGAGCAGAATGTCAAATTCTACTTCTACAAAGGAAGTTCTGGAATGACTGAAGGCTCATGCCCGTCATCACAGTTACATCTCCTCTTTGCAAGTGCTCTGGTTCCTCGTCGGTGAGTGGGACCCTTGAAGCAGTTATTGATGCCAAAATGGAGAGATGCTAAAGTGACAATTCTGATTTCTAAGCCGATACCCAGTCAATGTTTTAAATAACATATCTGAGACAGAATCCAGTGACTCAGCAACTACTTGTGACGCATTCTAGTTACCATTGAACATTTGGTTCTCTCTAGACACTCTGCTGTCACCAAAACACTGCTATTTCATGCATGAAAACTTGCTTAGCAAAAATATTTTCAAGAAGAACAAGGACAGCTGTCAAAAATCATCATAACCTTTGCAATGTGAGGAATCATAAAATAAGCTGCTGGGTAATCTTTAAGTGTGAGATGGAAACCGGGTATAGCATTCAAAGCTCATAACACAGAATACTACCATGCACACATCCCATATATCGCTTTATGATGCTAATAAACCACACATGCCCATGTGGCTTCACATGAACTCTGCAACTACCACATGGGGCAGGTAAACGGCATTTTACTGGCATGTTCTCAGAAAAGGTGAAAGCATCAATCCATGGTTACTACCCTGTGGCAAAGGAGCTTTTAGACTGGTGTTCTCGCCTTTACAAGATGGGCAACATTCTTCATTTCCTGAGGTCTTGGTACAAGGAAGGTTTTATTCAGTAGTGTGGGTGTGTCTTACACATATTTGTAAGTATGTGTAAATATCAGAAAATGCATATGTAGATATCTGTACATATGTCTATATATATGCTTTCTGTGAATGATTTTCAGATATCTCTTTCTACAGCTATATATATATATATGTGTGTGTGTGTGTGTGTGTGTGTGTGTGTATGTGTGTGTATCTGGACTTTCTTTCTCCTATCAGCCATTATTCCATGAAAAAGAAATAAACTAATACAAAGTAGTAAAATAAAAATTTCTATACATATTAATAGATATATATGTCTTTATTCACTAAGAGGTATATACATCTTTCATTAATAAAGATATATCTATCATTAATAAAAATATATATTCATTAATAGATATATACATACCTATATTTATTCATGCAATTATTCTTCATATAAATATTAAGAAAAGGCTGGGTGTGGTGGCTCACGCCTGTAATCCCAGCACTTTGGGATGCTGAGGGGGGCAGATCACTTGAGGCTAGGAGAGTAAGACCAGTATGGCCAACATGGTGAAACCCTGTCTCTACTTAAAAATATAAAAATTAGCTAGGTAGGGTTGTGGGTGCCTGTAATCCCAGATACTCAGGAGGCTGAGGCAGGAGAATTGCTTGAACCTGGGAAGCAGAGGGAAGATTGCGCCACTACACTCCAGCCTGGATGACAGAGCTGCAGTGAGCCCAGATCCTGCCATTACACTCCAGCCTGGATGACGGAGTGAGACTCTGTCTCAAAATAATAATAATTAATCTTTATTCATGCAATTATTCTTACAGTTACTGGGTTTGAATGAGTGACCTGCGTGGCCTTGCTTAAATGACCACATCCTGGCCTGCTGTGTGGAAAGCAAAGGGATGGGGTTATGATTCCATCAGTACCTTTCAGTCTCACCTGCAGAATCCCTGAGTTTGAAGTATCAGGGATAACTGAGGTACAGGGGAAGGAACTGAGATTTCAGGCTCCACAACTTCAAGCAACTAAAACTCCATCTCTTGGGTTAAACTATAGGCTGCACTTCTGAGAAAGATTTCACTAGGAATTCTCCATCAAAGCAGACGTGAAAATCATTGATCCTGAAGGTTCCTTAGAGCTGTACACTTCTGCCATTGAATTAACTTAATGTTTAAATGTATTGTAATCTTATAAAGAATGGCATCTTCTTATCTATACATCTGAGCAAAACACAGGCAAGCACAATATTGCTGCTTTAATGGAGATATATAATTGTCTAGAAGTCATGTATACTGGGCTGTGATTTATATATCAATGCAAGACTTTGACAAGAGCTGTTGCCTTACTTAGATTAATTTCAGTTAACTGTCAGTATTCAACAATAGTTAAATTCCATTTAGCAGAATTCTAACCTTCAGACTTCATTTTATCAGAATCAATGAGGTTTTACTTAATGTCTTATTTCAGAAGAACATGCTATTCTTTTAAGAAAAATTTTGAATTTGGCTTTACTAATTTTCTCTATAAATATTTTCAACATAGGAAAAAGGTTAAGGATATGAAAAAGGTTAATTTACTATTATTGTAGATTTGTAGCTGCGATAATTTAGAATTATGAATTAATACTTAAATATAAATTTTTAGATACATAACATTAAAGAGATGTCAAATATTACAGTGATTAAAAAATCTTTTTATTAAAAAATGGTAGAATTTGGGTATAAGGAAAATTATTGAAATTTAAAGGACTGTTAATTCAATATCTATCCCTCAGGAACAAAAGATCTATTTGTGGTCCTTAAGAATATAGTAGTTGTCACAATATCCTGATTAGCAGGTTTCTAAACCTTCTAGTGAATAATTATTACAATCACTGCTAATAGATTAAGTGAACTTCATGAACATTTTCTCACTCTGATGATAGGGTCAATTTGTTGTTATATAATCAAACATGATGGACCTTTTGGTCTCACATGGCCAAAGAGAAGGACAATTTTCATTGGTAACAGACATTTTTTGAAGTTCAGTTTTACCAATCACTTACTGCATTCGTCTGTTTACAAAAAAAGAGAGTGATTTCTCATCTGTAAATACCTATTATAATATGGCTCAAGTACCAAACGTGTGTGAGTGGTATTTGAAAGAAAAAAAAATTTGAAATAAAATAAATACAAATAATTTTCAAAGAGGTGCTGCCACCTTTTGGTTGAACTCCCCTGAAGCATTCGCTCATTTCTGAAAATTTGCAATAAAAATGAGAAATGCTTGATGAAAGGACTGTGAAAATATGAGAATAATAAGCAATTCCATTATGTCAGTATTTCTTATTTGGATGGCTCCCAATACTTCTGATAGGTTTCAGAAAAGAATAATTGATATGAAGTGGTTTTTCCAAATGTTAGTATGGCAGTAGAAAGATCCACTTCAGAAATGGAGAAATGTTCCATGCTTTATTGAGGTCAGCCATATTAATGCTATGCCTCTGATACCAATTGAGTCAATAAAAAAGTAATTTTTATTGTATTGAACAAAAGACCACGAAAGATCACTTATACTTTCTGTTCTCAGTATTCCATTCAGACTCAAATCTTTCATTTCATCATTAATTATTTCTCATATCTGTGAATATCCTTTCACCAATGCCATTCTCTAGATATAGGAGGGGTCAACTTTCTCCTCACTGCTTGACTTACAAGTTCTTTAAAATTGCTTTCCTTCCTAAGGAATCAATTTGCCTTAGTGTTTAAAGAGCAGAAGCCCCTTACGAAATCATTTTGCCACAGTGTGGCTACTTTAGTTGTCATCTGATAAATAATTACACTAAGAGTGTGCTTCATGATTTTTAACAACTGTATTTAACTGACTCTGACTTGAAATTGGAAGTCTTTTTTCAGTCAAATGGTCACCTTTATTAATTATCGAAATATGTGGAATGAATAGAAAGATTAGTAATCATTTACTAAATGCCAAATACTTCACTTTAAAACCTCATCTTGAGGAATATTTAGTAGCATTGCTGATATTTACAGTATTTCTTCTATCCCCTTTAAAATAATTATTTATTCAAATTAATAACCTAAAAACCAAAAACTTGCAGTTTCCAAAATGCACCTGTAGCCTAAAAGAATCAAAGCTAACTATGTGAGCCACAGGCTAATTCTAAAGGACTCAAGTCAACTGAGATTTAATCCAGTTTTTGTACTGGCGTCAACCTTGAACTGCCCTTGAGTCCAGATACAAGCTGAGACCATCACTTCCCCTTGAGATCTGCATATGGGGACTTTGGACTCTTGGCTTATTCTGGGCATCTTCACATTCCAGGAGGCAGTGCAGGGCTTCCATCAACGACTCTTCTTTCTCTTGAACTTCTGCATTCCCACCACTCCCTCTCTCCTGCCTCTGGCAGAACAAGGCTTGAAGTTCAGCTCTTAAGTGACTTTTGCAACAGAAAATCACCGAAGTTCTGACTCCAGCAGCTCTTGCTGACATCTGAGGAGGGTGAGGACACCTAGGCCCAATTTCCCAGCTCCTCTCTGCTCCCACTCCCCCCAGTGACTTCTTCACAACCCCTCAACCCAGTGGCCCGAAAGATGCTTCTCCCACAAGAGGACCTGTGTATCTGGCAGTACCTCAAGTCATTGCTATGATGTTGTTATAATTCTTCTCCTTTCCTCACCCCATGCTGTCTCAGGTCTTTTCCATATTTTCTCACTTGATATCCTTTAACATGCTTATTCTGAATCGGGCTACACTAAATACAAGTGAACACAATCCCCCCATTACCTTCCCTTTTGTCTCTCCTTACCTGGATAAAATAGCACCATGAATACTCTGCCAAGGGTATTTCTAAAGTGCATTCATCTATTGCTGTTGTAAGGCATGAACAAACAGTAGAACCCATTGAAAGCCTGTGTCTTGACCTCAGAACAGTCAGGAATGAGTGGTTTCAGGTGCACCAGGCCAGGGCTGGAACCTCACTGCCTGTCAGCACATGCTGTGCAGCTCTGCTACCATTCAGAACTGTCACACTGAGAACATGTTTGGCTTCCATCCTAAAGATCATTTAGGTCATCAATGTTTTATTGTAAGATTTCTTCACAGGACTAGTCCAATTAGAGCTGCTCTTTATGCACATGACGCAGAAAATAGGGGTGTCCAGGGCAGCAGCACTGGTTATATTGCATTCCATCAGAAAATGCACTTGGGGCTGTGGAGTCCCCCTCCACCCTAAGGTAGGAGTGTGTATGAAATATTACACATGTACATGGTGAAGTTGGGAAGGTTCTACATAATCAGGGAGGCAAAGAATCCCTCATTACTGTCAGTAAAAGGAATTTGCCACAAATTTGGCAAATTTTGCATCTACTTGCATCTATTGATGCATTATATTCCTAAAGCCCTACACTCAGTCAGTTGTTTTGAATTCCAAATTCATTTTCCCATAGAAACAGTGGTATATGTTAGTTCCAAGTTCTGCTTATAAGGTTCTTCAACATCAAAGAACACTATTTGGATTACACTAGCCATAAAGCAGGACTGGTGACATGGTGTGAGAGTGGGACTGGGCCCCACACCTGGGAGAAGAAAGAGAGCCAGCCCCTCCTGAGTTCCTGAGTTTTGACTGCCTGATATCGGCATATTACTGGGCTAGGTATTGTGCATCCATTATCTCCTCAAAAATTTGGTCATAGTTAGGGAGTACAGGGTTAGTAAACAGAAGCTCAGAAAAGCCAGGTCCCTTGATGAAGGAAGAATGAAGGTCTGACCAACCACTAGAGCTGGGGCTCAGACTCATGTGGTCTGTCTGTGTGTCTCTAAAGTGAGAAATTCATTCCATTTGAACAGAGGAAGTTCTTCCTCCAGGGTTCTAATCATATTGATTCACTCATGTGACTACTTTTTTTTTTTAATACCATACCAGGTATTTCCAATATCAATGGAAACAAAGATGTCACTTCTGAGTCAATAATATTTGAGGTCTAATGTGAAAGGTGGATGTAATCTACCCACATAAAGAACGATGCAAATAGAAATTATGATGGGTGCTGCAGGAAGGAGTAGGGAGCTGTGAGCACAGAGGGGGCTATGTTAGATTAGGTGGTCATGAAGACCACTTTGAGAGTGGCACTTCAGCTAAGACAGGAATGATATGTTGACATCCATGAGGCAAAGAATGATGTGCGGGGGGGTGGGGGGGGGCAATATGTGCAAAGGCCCTGAGGCACAAAAGAACATGAGGCCTTTTAAAGTACTGAAATATCTGCTGGGGATACTATAAGGGAGTGGAGAGAGGAGAATTAATAGACACAGGCAAAGGTGAAATAAGAGGCTTATTTTCTAGACATTGACTTGTGTGTGTGAATCATCCACGAATCTAGTGTGTATAAGTCAGAAATTACTCATAAATTGGGCAAGAAAAATTAAGAAGATAATTATATGATGTAGGGAAATGGTTTTGTGATGAACTGTACTATCATTTAGCAAATCTGTACTCCTCCCCACCCCACTGCCATGGAATAGGCTTTGTGTCCCACTGACTATGGACTTTGCCAGGTAATGTGATTCAGCCAATGGGATGTGAGAGGATGTGACATGAGGCATCAGATTTTCTAGCCAGGCAGCACATGCTCCTTTACCCTGGGCCCAGAACAACTGCACATCAAAGGGGCCTGAACCCTGTCTGCAAAGTAGAGTCAAACCCAGTGAATGAAGTGCCTGAAATCAGGACTCCCCAGCCAAGAACTGGCAAATTGGAGGTCAGGCACAATGTGCATGATTGTGAGTGTGCAAATAAGTGCCTGGCATTCAAGGCCCCTGAGTTTTGGGGTGGTTTGTTGCCCAATTTTACTGCCACAATAACAGACTAAAGAAAAATTTTAACATTAAAACTAGCCATCACTCTCCCCCACCCCCTCAAACACACATACACATATGCATTTGCAAACAAGCACACACACATATCAACTCTGCCCAGCTCATCACCAAGTTCGACAAAACAACAGGAAAATGATGATTAGGAGTCAGTGCAGCATGGGAACCTTGATCATGAACTCTAACACTACTAAAAGATGGCTTGTTAGGCCATGACCTTTTAATTGAATGAAAACCAGGCTGCTAATACCAATGACACCACTCTAGACTTCCTCATAAAACAATTATTCAGAATATTTTCAATGTTCTGCAAAATTATTTCACTTACAACAATGTAGGGTACAAGCAAAACATGATGGCAAAAAAGACCTTCATTAACTAGCTGCCATATCCATGAGCTCAGTTTTCAGCTTATGGATGCTCCCATCTTTTCTAGCAGCTTCCCTTCCATACAGCCAATAAAATGCTGGCAGTTAAAGCTGCTGCTTTGGCCCTTCGCGTATAGCTAGATAATTTTTATATTGCAAAAATGCTTCCCAATTCTTAAGGGTTTTTTTCCTTTACTTAAAACAAATTTTTTAAAGCATATCTTTTAACAGTGAGGTTTTCTACATAGACTCTGGGACGACAATGAAGGTCATCTAAGAGAAAGAAAATTGCATTGATATATTCGGTCACTGTATAAGTGGCTCAAGCAGTCTAAGATCTGGATGTGTGTTTTTTTTTAAATGTATTTGATGGCTTTTGAACATTCTCATCTCCTAAGAATTTGAACACATTAAAATGCAGACTTCATGAGATCTGGAATCCTTTCTTCTGTGCAGGGTGTTTTAAAAATAGGACAATTAAATTTCTTGTTCTTAGATACATAGGTTTATAGAATTTTCCAGCTAAAGAGGCTTCAGAACTCCTGTATTCTACTATATCTCAAGTTTTGAGGGAATAAACACCTTTGAAAATCTAGTAAAGCCTATGAACTACCTGGCCAGAAAAAATTTCAAGTTAAAATATGGTATATATTTACAGGGAGCAAAGCCTCCTGAAACCTATCTATGGATACCAGTTCACGATCCTCTGAAAAATAGCTCTGATCTTGTCCACATTCTAGATGAGGATCACTTTTCCTGCCCTGTCCATCTAATTCTGCATTGCCCTACAGGCTTAGTGGCAGCCAAAATCCTGACAAGAGGCCAGACAATGGCAGGATTACCATTTGCCAACTTGTTTCTGGTTTATTTGAAGCATTTCATAAACATAGAGAGATTACTGAACTTTGGTATATCCATTACCAAGCTCCAATATTTGTTAACATTGTGGCCACCTTGTTTCAACTATCCTTCGTTTTTGGCTGAAGTATTTTTAAAAAATCCAAGGCATCCTGCCATTTCATTCATGAACCCTGCAGTGTGCATCCCCAAACAATAAGAATATGCCATTATCCTGATTAATAGCAATTCTCATGCCAATTATCAGAAAACCCTATCACCTGATTTCAAATTCATATAAAAATTTCTCTTGTCTCAAAGTTTTTTTTACAGTTGGTTTGTTTAAGTCAGAATCCAAAAAATCTGTACATTTAATTTTTAAATTTATCTTAAGGCTCTTTTACTTAATAGTACCTTCCTAAATTCTCTTTTTATTGATTTGTGATAAAAAGAAGTATTTTTTTTTCTTGAAGAATCTCCCACATTCTGGGTTTGCCAATTACTTCCCTGTACTTTCATTTAGTTTGTTACTTCATCCCATGCATGCCCTAAAATTTGGCAGGTAGAGATAAGTGATCTTTATTTTTTGCTCAATCCTATTTAATATAAAAAGGGAGTGAGGGCCTGTAAGAATCCCCTTATGAAGAGTACGATCAATGAAGGGCATGTTTTTATGTTTCAATCTGAATTTCCCTCATCTCTGCTGTAAGATGCTGTTTCACTAATTCTCTGATAAGAAACAGACCTTTCCTGTATAGACACCCTCTATGCCTGCATATTATCCTATTCTGAAGAGTAGGTAGGCCGTAATAAAGCATATTCCAAATCTTGCCCTGAGACAATATGCATGGGAGTGTCTGGCACAATCCCTAACACATGGCAAGCTCTTAAATGTTAGCTGAAGCTTAAAATAAAGCTCATTTCTCACTCAAAATAACTAAACATCAGTTATTAAAATAAATAATCCCTTTCAGAATTGAGGTAAAGAAAATTCTTTACAACCCATCATAATATAAATCAAAATGTTCTCTGTATTGAAATGGAATAAGAATACCTCTTCCTGTTCACTGTCATGGATGATGTTGACTTCTAGCCAATTTTGTGCTTATCTGATATCCAAAGACTGATAATAAAAACAAACTAACAACAGCACCAAAAATACCTAATCAAAAGGCAGCAGACCCAGAATACAACTTAGGAAGGCAAAATCAGTATCTTAGCAGGGTTGCATATTATTGTTGCTGAAAAATGAATATTCCAGGTAATCATCACCATGCTGTCATTCCACACATTGACCAGTTTATTACTCCAATAGCTACATATTCTAAAATACACATACTGAACACCACGCTGTGAAGTATGCATGCTAAATGTATCTCAGAGTAGATTATGATTTTATGTGAAGAACATAAATAGAATTGATTTTTTTGTATTCTCTCAGAATCAAAATCTGCTGCTCAGAAAATATCTAAGGATTATTATTACTATATAGACAAAACCTAATGGACCCTGATGTAAAGATTGCATTAGCCAGAACATTAGCATGTCAGCTATAAATACCTCTTAATTTGTAATTAATCAAAAACTGCTTTATAGTATCTCTTTTATTGAATTTTCTTGTTGTTTAACTTTTTGTGCATCTCAAGCATATTTTAACACTCCTTGAAAAGAGACTACTCTAGTGGAGTTACTTAAAGAGGACAGGGTTTATCTAATTGTTCATTCTCTTATTAGATAGCCTGTAAAAACAATATGGTTACAAACACAGCTAATGCTAGAAAAATAAATAAAAAGGCACAGTTGTTGTCCTCAACAGACTTACTTCTTTGAATCTCTCTTCCACCCATTCCTGGGAGCCAAGGGGGAAGCCCCAGAGTTTCACATGCTCCAAGAACAAGACAGGAGCCTTCAGGATTATCTCTCTCCAGATATGATCCCTACTCCTGCGAGAATGAGAATGACATTCCAGAACTGTGTACTCCTGGCAAGAGTTCCCACACTTTACAAATGGGAAGTGACTACTGGGTCTCTCACCTGACCAGTGACCACCCAAGCTCAACAAAAGCAGAAGTCACTGAAACCCTGCATCTCAACACTGAGAGGTCCTTATAACATAAATGGAAAGTCAGTGTTAGTGCAATCCAATTCAACAAATACTTATTGCAACTGACTGAATGTTTACGTTGTCGCTCCCCAAATTCATCTGTTGAAACCCTAATCCCAATGTGACAGTTACTGGAGGTGGGAACGCTGGGAGGTAATTAGGTCATGAGGATGGAGCCCTAATGAATGAGATTAGTGCCCTCATAAGAAGGGGCAGGAGGCTGGGCATGTGGCTCACACCTGTAATACCAGCACTTTGGGAGGCCGAGACGGGCAGATCACAAGGTCGGGAGATTGAGACCATCCTGGCTAACATGGTGAAATCCCGGCTAACATGGTGAAATCCTGTCTCTACTAAAAATCCAAAAAATTAGCTGGGTGTGGTTGCAGGTGCCTGTAGTCCCAGCTACTCGGGAGGCTGGGGCAGGAGAATGGTGTGAACCCAGCAGACGGAGCTTGCAGTGAGCCGTGATTGCGCTACTGCACTCCAGCCTGGGTGACAGAGCGAGACTCCATCTCAAAAAAAAAAAAAAAAAAAAAAAAAAGAAGGGGCAGGCGTGCTCTCTTTGCATGTGAGGACACAACAAGAAGGCAGCTGTCTATAAACCAGGAAGAGAGTTTACCAAGAACTCATTCCTGCCAGCACTAATGTTACACTTCCAACGTCCAGAACTGTGAGAAATAAATGTTTGTTGTTGAAGCCACCCATTTTGTGAAAATTTGCTATGAAGTCCAAGCTGACTAACGCATTTATTATGCAACCACTATGTGCTGTGCATTTTTCTAGGTACTGACTGTATAGCGGATGTACAAACTGTTACCTTTCTTCATGGAAATTCAATTCAAGGAGTGTAGTGTGGAAAACAGAATCCTATATAATCCTTACGATTTGTACCTGCTGATGGTTGCTTTGAGTTGGGAGATAAAAGACTGGTCAAGGAATTTAATATCAGCACATGGTTGAGACCATTCATGTCTGTGAATTACTTATAAATAAAAAATATGATACTTAAATAAATTATTAATATATGTGTATACAATGAGACTCTTGGAAGACATCTTCCACAGCAGCCCTCACCACCACCATCTATCTTGAGCTCTTTGAAAATAACTTCCTGTGATTTTTATCCCTGTTCATAACAATCACCACAAAGAATCCGGGAACATTTGGTACCCCAGACTATCATCCTCATAGGGTTTTGCACATCCCCTTGTCTAAGATTTTCCACCCTCACCAACTCCTGAAACCCTTCCCCTGTGACTTCTTGGAAAGATGAAGAAGGAAGCTGTCAACACCAAAAGAATTTATTAAAGAAAACACTATGAAAGAAGGGACCTAGAAATACATGCAAAAATTAAGGCCAAGTATACTTCACACTATGAGAATACAATTAATGGAAATGTAAGTACATGTACAAGGATATGATTTGTATTCAACATCAAATAGGAGTTCTAATGAAAGCTTTCATAATATCCACAGTCAGCATATACAAATTAAATTGATGTGTGGATTATTATATTCACATTAGAAACTATCAATGAATGAAACTGTATGTAGCAACAGAAATGAGGCTAAACATTGCAGGGATGGAGTCTTGATTTCATAGGGGTCAGCTCGCATCTGCCCTTTCCACATCTTCAGATTGCATCTATCCCCTTCGCAGTCACATGAAGACAGCCTGCAAATGCACTCGCCATGCAGGGGAGACACAGCTTATTAAAGCTCCTTCACTATTAAGTGTCTGAACAAAGTAAGGGTATATTGTTACGCTTAGTGAGGGCTGAAAGTCCTAGTTTCTTTTCATATACTGCTCGGACAAAAACAAACTATGACTCTAAACTCTTACTTCTTCTAGGCTATTATATTTAGCTTGGGAATCTTGTTCTCAATTGAAAGATCAATGGCCTATGTGACCCTCAAATGTCTCCGTTGACCAAGGTTTTCTTATTATTTAAACTTCTGCTTTCAGCTTTTATTTTGAATGAATTTCGTGAGCTGCCAATTATGTGATAATAAGCTTTAATCAATTAATCAATCAATGCATCTTCATAAGGAGGTATCTTATGATATTGTTTGTATCTAAAAGCAGCGGGGTTGTGTAGGTTTATTACCACTGCCTAAGGACAGCTTTAGTCATGACGGTGCAAACATACCACACATTCACTCAAACTCCAGAGTGATTTAAAGAGCACCATGAATTTTGCCATTGGATTGAGCATTATAATCTTTTCTTTCTGTAAACTGGTTTGTTCATACTTCTATACATTACGATGTCTTGTACATACCTTGTGATGGTTACTTATGGAACAAAACAAGGATGTTATAAAGAAGAAGATGTAGCAGAAAACATCTAAACCTAAGTATGTTTTCCTATGCCTCCTTTCCTATCTCTGATCTTGGGAGAATGAGCCATTCAGAATGAAGGACAACACATAAATCATTTACAAAGAAAAAAACTGCATGAAATATATTAAATCAGCATTTCCATTTAAGTGGCTTTACTGCTACCTCATTCTGAAAGATAATTATCAACGTACAAAACATAGAGAGTGCTAAAGAATCATTATATTTATCACCGACATTCTCTGGAAGCTAGACTGAATTTGGCCATTATTTGTAGCTTTTACATGTGAATAAGATAACCATGAAGAGTGCAGACAGGGAACCTGATGCTCCTCTCCTAACCCCACCCTCTCCAGGGGACCAAATCTACTCCTTGGATAAAGGCATGGTCAGGTCTAATGCTGTTGCTGCTGCTGCTGCCGCTGCTGCTGATGATGATGACGACGATGACTCAGCGTAATGTTAGAAATCATTATTAATCATAAAAGCAAGATAATTCCAGTAACTAAAATCTTGTGTTTTTTAAGAGTTAAGAGCCCAGTCTTTAAAAAAATTGTATATGTATATAAAATTTCATCATGTCCCTGCACCAGCTAGGACCTGCTTCAGTTGAGAATCCTCCTATGGTAACAAAGAGGCATGGCTGGCTTCCAGTTGATTTCCCCGCCTGACAATTCTTTCCCTTCACACCCTGAGCTGGCATCCACGAGGGCTTCCCACTCCTTCGGGGCCAAGATGGTTGGGGCCAGGCCAGCGATTGGGCATGGAAAAGTCTTCCTGGAGGAACGGTGTCACGGCCCAGCCTTGGTGCTCTCCAATGTGGATGGCTGTGGGGAGCTGATGCTTGCCTTTTTCAGATACATTTCATGGGTTTCCTTGAGAGGCTCCACAGGGACCATCTGACAGCCACTGCCTGAGCCTGGGACTAGGGCAACACCTCTCTGTTATTCCTTCCCCACATCCTACTACCGAGTGCAGCTTTAGAGTGTGACAGTGACCCTGTAGCCTTCCTTGCTGAAGATTCCTGCTATTGGCAGGCCTCTTGAGCAGGTTCCTTTTCCTGAGAACCTGGTAAGCCTCCCATCCACAGAGACCCCACATGGCCTCCTTTTGTCCTGGAGTCTGAAGAGCCATTCTCTCCCCTGGGGCCCTCTGCTGCACATCCACATCAGCTAATCTCCTGCCTGGAGGCTGCTGCGGGCATGAGTCATAGCATGAACTGGTGAAATATTTCTGTTAAAAGAGTTGGTGCTTTTATAAAAACTAGGTCGAATGTTTTGGAAAGGCACTATCAAAAACTGTTAACATTTAAGAAAAAATACGACAAATGATAAGAGGAATCATTAAAAAAAAAAAAAGTCGAGAAAGTCTCTGTATGCAAATTGCTTCACAAGTTAACTCCAAGATACCCTGCTCTTTAAAGACGCCAAAACTAGAAATGGCTGAGGCCATATCATGGGTGGAGTTTGCCTAGGAGAGAAGTTGAGAAAATCCAGTCAGCAGGGCCACATGCTTAGAAAAGGCACGGGCTCCTCAGCAAAATGCTGGTAAATAAATCAACACTCACAGGGTTTATGTTGAAATAAACCGCTTAATGTTTGCAAGTAACACATTTATAATTTTGTCTGAAACAAGTTTTCCAGCTGATTGACAATCTACCCACCATTCCTCACTCTATAAGAACAAGCGCTTCTGTTTTGTCATGTTGTCTCCTACTGTCAGGTTGTAGAGCCAGAAAACAAAAAGGAAAACCAAAAATCCTAAGGCAGAAAACAAAAAAACAGCCCCCTCCTTCATTTGGCTTCTCCCATCTGCCCATATCTTTTTTCATTCGCACCCCAAGTTCTAAATATCTTAGTTTACTTATATCTCCATGCTTGTATTTCAAAATCCCTCAAAATGTCACTAGAGGCCAGTTTCCATGAAGCTAATGAATTATCCCCCAAATTACACAACTCAGCAGCTCCTCACGATCCTCTGTGACTGACTTATTTTCTGGAGTAATGACGCAGGCCCCCGTCATTTTTCTATGGTTCCTGTGCCAGCTGCGTTGGGTTTTCCTCTCTTCGATGGCATCCATTCATTGCTCAACCACAAGATCCTTCCCTGCAGCCTCTTCTCTTCCTCTTGCTCATAACACCATGATTAAATGTGAGTTGAAACTCACATTTCTAGGGTGGTACCCATGGTGTCTGTGTGCATGGTGTCACAGCTCGGGACACTGCACTTGGCCACTGACGGAGGCTCAGGAAAGGTTTGTAGGATAAATTGCTAACTTCCCAACCTACACTGTTAGCCTTGACTCCTCCCCAAGCTCCAGACCTACATATTAGGGGGCTATCATAGGAGATTGGCCAATAGGGCAGGCTCCAGCATCAGACCACCTCGGTTCACACTCTGTCTCCAGTACTAGCAAATTGGAAGGCTTTGGGAAAGTTACTTAACTAAGACGCTTTTTCTTACCTACAACACAGGGATAATAAAATAGAGATTTAAAAAATAAGCAGTATATTGTTTTGTTTACTTTTTATGCCAAAGCTTTATTATTATTAATATTCACAGCAATCCTTCAACACAGGTCAGAGGATACAAAATAGCCAAAATGTAGGATGAACAAGTCTGGAGAGGACAGCATGAGGACTATGATGTGTACAATTATACTACATTTGGAATTTTTGCTAAATAAGTAGATTTTAGCTGCTCTTGCTACAAAAAATAAAGGTAACTATGTGAGACGAAGCGTGTTTATTGATTCCACTATAGTGACCATTTTAGTATGCATATGTGTCCCATAACACCATGCTGTTTACCTTAAATATACACAATTCATTTTTTTAAAAGATAAACATTTATTGTAAACACTATGAGGCATGCCCAGGGCTTGGCAAAGTGCCTGATGGCTAGCAAGCCTTCCACAACAGGTAGCTTTGCTTAACCACTTGCTAGATACCAGCTCACTCATATCACTCTAACACCTCAAATGTGTCCAAAACTTAATCCATTACTTAAACTCAAACAGTATCTTCCCTTCTTCACTAATAAAATCAACCCAGCTTTAGCGATGCGACTGGTAATCAATTTCTGAATTGTTTTCTACTTCCCCCTCAACCCTTACATCGAATTAGTTGTCAAGCTTTACCTCTCCACGTACTCTCCCAAATCTACATATTAAATCTTATATCTGATCCTTTCTTTTCACAGTCTCCGACCTACTTCAGACCTCATCACCTTTCGCAGGGACCACTGTAATAGGCTCGTACCTGGGACAGTACACAAGGATTGCCTGTAGAGTGCTTGCCCATAATACTTCTCTTTCACCTCCAAATACACCCTTAGTATGGCTAAGGATGTTCCTACATAATAATGGCTTTAAATGACTGAGAAACATTCAATGGTTCTTTACGAAATGAAGAATCAAGTCCAGGCTTCTAGCTCTATGTAGAGTAAGCTAAGAGAACAGGCCAAATGGAAAAATACCACCACACATGATGATGGTCTTGTTTAAGCTATACAATCAAGAGCATACTTTGTAGAGATAAGGCTGGGAATGCCTTCTGAGAGAAGTAAATGCCCCTCCTCCATCACCCAGAGGCAGAAAGGAACTGGGCTTTTGAGTGGGGAAGGGATTTCCTCCTTCCTCCGTTGCATAAGGTTGGTACCACATGGGCTCCTAGGTGTGGTGATGAAGCACAAGGTGCCCCCACCATCAGGCTGCTGAGAAGTCTGGAAGGGGATCAAGAGCAACAAGCAGACAGCTCTGAGAGCAGGTGTAAGCCATTTCCTCCACGGGTTTCCTCCTGGTCTTTATAACACTCAGCTTTTAATGATCTGTGCTGTGGGAAACCAGACAGCACAGGGTCCTGTCCCACAGCCTGGAGTTGGAGGACAAGTGGCTGTGAACAGCAGAAGAAATACGGTCGTGTGCAGATCACAGCACGAGCAGCCACAGATGGCTGGGGACCCAAGGAGTCTTAAGGACAAAAATGGAGTGGCATGTTCCACCGTCCTGGCGAGGAGGTCCCAGGCACAATGTTCCAAAATACTCGGTGGGAAACCTCGTTGAATGGGCTGAACTCCAGCAAATAAGGACAAATAAGGCTCGTGTTGTGAGGCTTTGGACATACAAAGAAATGGATTTTTTTTTTTTTTGGTCGGCATTAGCTGCAGAGAAAAGCAGCAGTTACATGATTCACTATATATTACATCTCTGTCCTAAGGTCTGGGATTTTATGTTACGGTTGTTAGGATTTGGAATTACTTTAATGAAACAATGTTCTCCTATCGCTAAGGAATTATTCCATAGAAACAATTCAGCTACTGTAAACAGCTGGTCTCTTCTCTGGCCAAAATAATTTTGCTTGTAAATATTTCCTTTACTTATGGACAAAACCAGAAGTCTGTTTTGTAGTAACGGTTCTCTCTTCAACACACTGCATTTGAAGACAATGTTTCAGGCTGATGTGGGATCTGACTTTTTCCCTTGCTGTTCTGATGATGCTCTGCTAAGCAAACAATTGCCATGTTCCCGAGACTTCAGGTTGAAACAACAGATGTAGAGGTAGGGAGGTGAAGTGTTTTCCTTCTGCTTCTGACACGATAATGCAAACGAGAAAATTCATTTCCTTTAATGTAGCCCCCAAACCCATATATCAACACATTATCAAGTGAAATAATCTCTTTTATGTTGCACTCTGAAAAACTTTTAATATTCATGTGAAGATAAAAAAAAATACTTGGGGTTAGAAAAAAATAAATGTAACATAGAAAATATTCCCAGGGCCGGGTGCAGTGGTTCACACCTGTAATCCCAGCACTACGGGAGGCCGAGGTGGGTGGATCACCTGAGATCATGAGTTCCAGACCAGCCTGGCCAACATGGTGAAACCCCATCTCTACTAAAAATACAAAATTAGACAGGCTTGGTGGCAAATGCCTGTAATCCCAGCTACTTGGGAGGCTGAAGCAGGAGAGTCACTTGAACCTGGGAAGCAGAGGTTGCGGTGAGCTGAGATCGCACCACTGCACTCCAGCCTGGGCAATAGAGTGAGACTCGTTTTCAAAAAAAAAAAAAATTCCCAGGATACAACACAGTTTTCAAGTCATCAAATTACAGAGCCAGTAATATTAATGTTTGTATGGAAGAGAATAAGTAGACTTACAATTAAGTTGCAGGGACTTTAATAAGATGTTAACATGATTTAACTTTGACACAGGTAACTTTTTGATACTTTTGAATTTTGTAAGGACAAAACCCAATCAACTGCTTTAAAATACAGAAGAGTACTATGAAGATCAAATAACCAAGTTTTAATAAAAAGGAACATGTTTCCAGAAATTCTAAGGTCTAGCATTCTTGCAGTTCCCCTAAGGCATTGCATCAGTGAACAGATTTGAGTTTTATTGGCTAAAGGGAACAATTCTCTGTAAATACAGGCATTTAGACTTATAAAAGGTGCCTATAAAACAGATAGAAGAAGCTGGAAATTATACATGTTGTGGAACTATAAAAAAACCCATTTAAAAGCCATCCCATAGGATGTTTTATAATGTTTATCCAGTTCAAAACAGCTTTATATTTCCCATTTTTCCTACATAATAGTAAACTTTAAGGGCAAAAAAGGCAAAAAAACTGAATAATGAAAAAAAGGAAAGTAGGAGGGTTAAAGAGCGGATCACATAAGAGAAGCTTGAAAGCAGGAGAATATTTACATTTATAGGATACAGAAATTGAGCATTACGGAAGAGACCACAAAGTAAAACAAATGAGAAATTTAAACAAATAGATAAAAGGTAAATAAGAAATGAGTATCCTTCTTTTATACATGTATAACTCATAAAATCTCTGAACTAGGAAAAATCTTAAAACTGGATCTAGTCTCTTTACTTCTCTTTCGGCAGAAATGTGGTTAAATTTTAACACAGACACAGCTGTACCAAACAGGTGCTACGGAGGAATGTTTTCGGATTTCACACCTTTTCTACAGAGAGTTTCCCCTCCCCACAAAGGCAGAAATGCTTACTGTAACTTTTAGGAACAGAATCAAAGCTTCACAAGGTAGAAAAAAGCAAAAAACAAATCGTTATTATTTTTCTTTTAGAGACAGGGTCTCGCTCTGTTGCTCAGGCTAGAGGACAATGGCGCAATCACAGCTCACTGAAATCTCAACCTCCTGGGCTCAAGCGATCCACCCTCCTCAGCCTCCGAGTAGCTGCAACTACAGACACATGCCAGCACACTTGGCAAATTTTTTATTTTATTTTATTTTTGTAGAGATGATGTCTCCCTAATTTGCCCAGGGTGGTCTTGAACTCCTGGCCTCAAGCAAAAATCCTCCTGCTTTGGCCTCCCAAACTGTTGGGATTACAGGAATGAGCCACTGTCCCATACCCATTTTTTTAAGCCCTAAATTTTACTCTAAGATCTAAACCCTTGGCAACTAAAAAATATGATCTTTGATTACAGAAATAAAGGCATCACTTAAAATCTTGTTAAATTACAGAATCTCAGGCCCCTTCCCAAGCTACTCAGCCTAAATCTGCATTTAACAAGATTCCTTATTTCTACACTCATTAAATTTTGAGAAGTACAATGAGTTTGTCTAGGTATCACTTCTGACAACGTTTACCTTGTGGTTTTATTTGTACAGCTGAATAACCTTAATTTATACCTTTCTTTTATTAACTATTATTAGGACTCTCTATAATTACACATATTTGTAGGTGGCATTAAAATTACATAAGAAACATAATTCAAAGTAACAGAAAAGCAAACACACTCAAATTTAAAATGCATTTGAATCGGGCACAATGGCTCATGCCTATAATCCCAGCACTTTGGGAGGCCAAGGCGGGCGGATCACTTGAGGCCAGGTGTTCAAGACCAGCCTGGCCAACATGGTGAAACCCCGTCTCTACAAAAATACAAAAAATTAGCCGGGCATGGTGGCACATGCATGTAGTCCCAGCTACTTGGGAGGCTGAGGCACAAGTATTGCTTGAACCCAAGAGGCGGAGGTTGCAGTGAGCCGAGATTGAGCTACTGCACCCTAGCCTGGGCAACAGAAAGAGACTCTATCTCAAAAAAAAAAAAAATGCATTTGAATAGAAATTATTTCTCTAGCTTTCATCACCATATCCTGAAAGAGGTACATACAGCAAAGACTCTACATGACAAAATAGGAAACTTCCATAATGCGTACTATGTCCAAGTATGCTAACTGTATGCTAATGAGGCCTTGCACAGTAAAAGCCCTGTGGCATTTCATGTTGTCTTGTTGAGAGTTGATTGGGGTAATTCTTTCAAGGAATCATTACTCTCAGCATTTCTGTCATGCTTTCTCAGAAAGTGTTAAAGGTCATTTCACTTTCTTAAGAAAAAATATCTAACATTTAATGAGTCACAGACATATCATTCTATTTGGTTTCTATCTGTAGTAGGCAAACATCAAAATCAAAGTTTTAACCCAGGATGTGTCCAGAAATTAGAGTAATTGATCCAGAGTCCTGGCTCTGGGGAAGATGAGCGATGGCAGGGATCCGCCTTGGTGGTAACAAAGAGGAAGCCAGGGCTGGGAGGGGAGAAGGTTGTGTGTGGCCAAGGTTAGTGAGTGGGGAGCCAGGACAAAAACCCAGGACCCCTCACATCGACCATTCCCATTCCATTTTCCCCTCATTTGGGGGTGATGTGTCCATTTGGGGACATATGGTGGATGTATCTTCTAATTTCTAGCTATGCACTGAAAACATGCATCTTATCCCAAATAATTATTATTTTTTTATTTTATCCTACCTGCTAATTTCCCCTTTATATGTCAAGCTCTGAACTTGAGGCAGGAATACTGAGAAGAAAAGACATCTGAAGAAATCCTCCCCCATTGTGAATTCTGCTGTTCCATAGGTTTCTGTCCGTGGCTGCCTTTACTCTCATTCTACATCCTCACACAGTTTTCCCGCAGGTGTCATATACCACCTATGCACTACAAACACGCAGCTCACTATTTCAAGATCTTGCCTCTCTTTTGTGCCCCAGACTCATACTTCTGACTGCCCTTGGACATTACCAAAGAATTTGTTTTCAGCTAAAAATCATTAGAACAAACCTATTTTGCACTCTCATGAACCAGATTTTCTTTCTGAATTCCATTCTCATGCAATGGGACAAAGACTCCTTTATTCATTCGAATTCATTCAAACAGAAACACAGAAGGATCCTGGATTGATCTCACCTCTCCCTCATTCCCCAACCAATATAGCTTCTTGGGCATATGACCTACGCAGTCTCATTGGGCCCCACACTGAGAAGAACAACACAGTGTTTGCTTTAATGCTCTGCTGTTGCCATCTTAAAATTCCTAATATTTTTGAACAAAGGGCTCCACAATATTCATTTTGAACTAGACCCTGCAAATTGTATGACTGGTTCAGTCCTCAAATCCTATAAATTGTGCGGTTAGTCCTGCTTCTCTATAATCCGTCTCTACACATTGCTGCTGGAATTCTCCTAAATCTAGGCAGTTAGGATGTCCATTAACAAAATTTTTTAAAGGCAAAAATTCTGCGGCTTATCAATTTCCCACAAAGTGTCTTTGAGCCTTGACTGCAATGAATTTTCCAGCACAAATTCCCATGCATCTTGATTTTCAACTGTAAAGGGCAACCTGCCCTGGTTATCATGTATTTGTGCCAATATTACATGGACTGAAAGTCACCACCTCCTTTCTATATCTGACACACTCTATTCATCCTTCAAGCTTCAATTTTCCCAATGTGGCATATAACTCTTCTCTGCCTTCCATCACTCTCCCTAGGTAGGTCCAGCACCTGTGGTCAACAGTATTAGCATGGTAAGTGATTTCTAGCTGATTTACATAGGGCTCCAGGGGAATGAGGGAAGACCTCCTTTCAGTCCAGGATTTCTTCTGGCAACATCTTCGATGAGGGGAACAGCTGAGACAACATGAGTGTGTGACTGCATGGTACATTCATTACACTGGCTTTGAGCAAAGTCTGCAGGAGAAAAGACAGATGCTCCCAAACTACACATCCACTCAAGTATACATGTTCAAGTTAGTTTTTCATACAAATCTCACGTCCTTCCTTTGTTGACTTTATTCCTTCTCTGCACCATGAAACTTGCCCATACTCCTTTCCATATCTTCATGAAGGTGGCAGGAAGTCACTTCAAATCACAGCTGACTTCATTTTCATTGCTGTTTTTCTTCAAAAACATGTTAGTCTGCATCAGAGCCCCACTGCCAGGCACCCAGGAGTGGGTACAGGGGACACATGCAGACCAGGGTCAGGAGTAGCCCAGCCCCATTCAACAGCATTCCAGCTGTGTGCACAACTCAATGCATCCCTTCCATGAGCTGCAAGACGGTGCATGGGCCACAAGTACCTCTCCTTGTTTTGCTTTTCTCTCTAAGAAATCAGGGATCTCAATTCCTGACCTAATACCATGCTTGTTTTGCAAACCAGTTTCAACTAATAATAAACAATGTTGTCCTTGACAGCAGGGCCATTACTGCTGTTTCCAAATACCCTCAAGATACTCTCACATCTGTTTCATTAGACAGGCTGCAAAGGGTTTGATCAATGTGATCAAGAAAGGATTAGCATTTACTTCTATTCTCAGGTTCCTACGCTCACCTACTTTCACTCAATTTTTCTTCCTTTCTCCATTTCACTTTACAAATTGTGATTTTCACTAATAATAATTATCTCTATTACAGAAAAATAGAAGATGGGCAAAAATATGTAACTGAAGATCCCTAAGTATGTATTGATGACTTAAATATCTTTTTGAATTTGATTTTCTAGCAATTCAGTTGTGCGGCTGTTAAAAAAAAAATCTCTTTAAGTACGTCTTAATTTGCAAATGTGCCTAACTACAAGTGAACCACTCATTTAACAGACATTTAATGAGTCTACACTATATAGTATGTGTGGTCTAGAGACACATAGCCACACCTCAATAATCTAATGAGAGAGAGAGATAATATTAACAAGTATTTGTATAATAATAGGAAGTATATATAAGTATCAAATGCACTGAAGACAAACATGCCTTTGACTCCGCAATTCCATTTCTATATATTTATAATTTTAAAAAATCTAACAAGAAATGGGCCAGCCTGGGCAACATAGGGAGACTTCGTCTCTACAAAAATTTAAAAAAAGAATTAGCTAAATATGGTGGCATGTGGCTGTGGTCCTCCCAGCTACTCAGGAGGCTGAGAGGGGAGGACGCTTGAGCCAAGGCAGTTGAAGCTTCAGTGAGCTATGATCATGCCACTGCATTGTAGCCTGGACAACACAGCAAGACCCTGTCTCAGAAAAGAAAAGAAAAAGAAAAAAAAAATGTATGAACATTTAGGTGCAATAGTTTCAATATACACATATATATATAAGACATATATATATGCACTATATAAATAAAGATTTAAAATAAAGCCTAATACCTGGCTACATATCCAAGGTAATCCAGGTTTAAAAAAATAATGTTCTACAAATATTTGCCATATTCTGGAAAGAAGCTAGTTATGTTCTTTTCCTGACAGCTGGCTGTATTCATTTGATGGATTTTGAGTTATTAATATGTTTAAGAGCATGAATGTAATACAAATATTTAACGATTTAAAAATCATTTTCTGTACGTATAATTGCACAACACATTTCATGGGTGATCAGCTGTCAAGCTTATTTTACTGTGTCCTTTAAGCTGTCCAAAATATAAAAATTTCTTCGTCTTTAAATGTCATAGTGTGACCTCAAAAAGCAATGCTGCATGAATGTGTAGTGACAGTTGACACACAGGAGGTGTCATTTTAGGCATCTGCACAGAAAGTACAAAAACATACCTCTAAAGTACCCATTTGCTTCGACTTGGAACTTTTCCCTAAGATGCAAATATGCATGTGCATGCACCCCATTCCCCCCAAAAATCACATGCAGTGATATTTCTTTCTTGAGACTTAGTCCCGCTCTGTCGCCCAAGATGGAGTGCAGTGGTGCGATCGTGGCTCACTGCAACTTCCAGCTCCCAGGTTCAAGCAATTCTGTCTCAGCCTCTTGAGTAGCTGGGATTACAGGTGCACACCACATTTCTATAAAAACATGCAAGTACTTTTTTGCATCACAATAATGAAAAGAATGTGTTCTAACGTTTGTGTCACATAATGAGAACTTGAAATGGAATCAATCAAATTTTCTTAAAGGCAGGGCAAACAAACGAAAACATGCATCCCATTAATGCACACCAAAAAAAAAAAAAAACGCATTTCCTAATGAATGGGAGGTGCTTTTCTCTGCAGAAGCATCATGGTCATCAGACTCTGAGTGTGTATTTTCTCAACGGGGGTAATACTTCAGTGATTCTCCTCAAATATCAGTCCATTCATTTCCCTCTATAATAAAAGTGACACTGGAAGGTTAATGATGTGAAACTCTGCAGACAAAATGAAGCTACTATCCTCTTTCTGCTGACAAGACCACAGTAACGCAATGTGACAAATTAGAAAGAGAGGAATAGAATCTTAGATGGAGATTCCGTTTAGGATGTATTTTTCCCAGCAGTGCCTCCACTTGACTAGGTAGTATGTAAATGTGCATAAACTTTTTAAATTTATGGTTAAGAGGGTTCATGATGTTATAATTAAGGGACAGACTAGGTCAAGTTATAACATATTCTATACCATCCCATAACATATCTTTGAATTTCTTTGTATTTAGTAATCTTTGAAATGGAAGCAAATCACGAAGTATGCAATTACATGATTTTTGCAACACTACAAAGTATGCTTTTTATGAATCTCAACATAGACCACATTAGGCTTTAAAATATCACTCAAATTTGAATTTCAGCAGAAGTGCATAGAAAATTTAAATACTCAAAGGTACAATTTTCTGTTAAAAGGCTCAAAAACATTATAAAATCTATCATAAAGTCTTTAGCTAATGAAAAATTTGTTAATAGTTCAATTCAGTTAAAAAATATTTACCTCTTTGGGAAGCTGAGGGTGGAAGCTTGCTTAAGCTCAGGAGTTCGAAACCAGCCTGGGCAACATAGCAAGAACCCATCTCTACTAAAAAGAAATTTTAAAAAATTAGCCAGGCATGGTGGTATGCACCTGTAGTCATAGCTACTGGGGAGGCTGCGTTGGGGGAGACTGCTTGAGCTTGGGAGATTGAGGCTGCAGTGTGCCATGAATGCACACTGCACTCCAGTCTGGGTGACAGAGCAAAACAGTGTCTCAAAAAAAAATTTACTTAGTTTAAGTGCAATAATTGCATTATTATCAAATATGAAATAGGGCAAAGAGTAACTAAATTGTCAGAGTCACCACAAGTTTTTTATTATCTAATTATAAGAAATAACATCTTGAAACAAATCATAACAACTAAGATTGAGAATAAGACAAGGATGTCCACTCTCAACACTTCTACTCAACATGGTAAAGGAAGTCCTGGACGAGGCAATTAGGCAAAATAAATAAATAAATAAATAAATAAAAATAAAAGGCACCCATATAGGAAATGAAGAAGTAAGACAACCTCCATTTGCAGAAGATATGATCTTACATATAGAAACTGCTGAGAATTCAGAAAACAATGTGTTGAACTGATAATCAACTTCAGTAAAATTGCAAGGTACAAGATCAATATTTTAAAAATTGTTTGCATTTCTATACACTAGAAATAGACAATCCAAAAATGAAATTAAGAATACAATTTCACTTACAATAGCATCAAAAATTAATAAAAGCAAAATAAGTGCAAAATGTATATCATGAAAATAAAGAAAAAGAAGGAAATGTTAAAGATCTAAATAAATATAAAAATGGTCCATGTTCATGGACAAGAAAAGTTAATATTGTTACAATGGCAATACTTGCCCAATTAATCTACAGATTTAATACAATCTCTATCAAGATTTCAGGTGTTCTTTTGTTTGTTTGTTTGCAGAAGTTAACATGCTTACCCAAAAATTCATTTGGAAATGCAAGGACACAGAAAAGCTCAACAATCTTAAAAAAGACTAAATTTTGAGAACTCACACGTCTCAATTTCAAAATTTGTAGTTGTTTATGTAGTTACTACCATATGTTTATGTAGTTACTACTATATAAATTGAATTCTGCATACAAAACATGTATTTCTTAGGCAAGCATATTATAGAATTACTTTCCAATATCAATACAAATTCCAATATTCCAGATTTCAGGAAGTTCTAGTTGCTGAATAAGCAACACTTAACCATTGTGTTTATGTTCCACACGTGATATGTGACGTACACACTGCTAAATACCAAGCACAAAATACACTCGAATCATGCAAGTATCCTCTTATCTCTTAAATCACTGGCTTAATTTGGCCTTCCATAACTTTACATCTATTTTAACTACTCTGCTACAACTTACACTTATTAATTGATGTAAAAGAAAATATTAAAAAGCCAGGCTTTAATATCTGTCCCCAACAAAATCACATTACTTGCATACAAAAAGGTTAAGGTAATTCTCAAACTGTCTAAATTCTTCTCTCTACAATAGGGTAACACTAATTCAAGTGATTCTGCTACTTAAGTAATTTTTAACACCTTTGTTAAAGTATAATTGAAAAATTAAAATTGTACATATTTAAGGTATACAATGTGATGCTTTGATGTATGTATACATTGTGAAATGACCACCGCAAACTAATATATCCATCACCTCACATAGTTAACATTTTCTTATTTCTTAAGAACATCACACACCGGGGCCTCTCGGGGGTGTAGGGGGCAAGGGGAGGGAGAGCATTAGGACAAATACATAACGCATGCAGGGCATAAAACCTAGATGATGGGTTCATAGGTGCAGCAAACCACCATGGCACATGTACACCTATGTAACAAACCTGCACATTCTGCCTGTGTATCCCAGAACTTAAAGTAAAATAAAAAGAAAATAATAATAAAATAAATAAATAAAAATAAAATACATAAGAAAAAAGATCTCTCCTTTCAGCAAAGTTGAAGTACACGATGCAGTATTATTAACTATAGTCATCATGCTGTATATTAGATCTTCGGACACAGACAAATACTGCAGGATTACGTTTATATGTGGAATCTAAAATAGTCAAACTTACAGAAGCAGAGAGTGGAAAGGTGGTTACCGGGCATTGGTGGAACGGGGCAATGGGGTGATGTTGCCAAAGGGCACAAAGTTTTAGTTACAGTCACACGACGTCACATAACAACATTTTGGTTAACAATGGGCCGCATATAAGATGGTGGTCCCATAGAATTGTAATGAAGCTGAAAATGTCCTATTGCCTAGTGATATCATCTTGTTGATGCTGACCTTATGTAGGCCTAGGCTAATAGGTGTGCTTGTGTCTTAGTTTTTACTTAAAACATTTAAAGAGTAAAAAAAATAAATAAATAAAAGTAAAAAGCTTATAGAATAATGATAGAAATATTTTTGTACAGCTGTACAATTTGTGTTTTAAGCCAAGTGCTATTAGAAAAGAGTCAAAAAGTGAAAAGAAATTTAAGAATTTCTGAAGTAAAAAGTTACAGTAAGCCTAATTACAGTAAGGTTAATTTATTATTGAAGAAAATGTTTTCAATAAATTGAGCGTAGCCTAAGTATCCAGTGTTTCTTGAGTCTACAGTAGTGAACAGTAATGTCCTAGGCCTTCACATTCACTCACCACTCACAGACTCATCCACAGCGACTTCCAGTCCTGCAAGCCCTGCATGGTTTAAGTGTCTTATACAGGTGTATCTTTTTTTAAAAAAATCTTTTATATTTTATACTGTATTTTTACTATACCTTTACTATGTTTAGATACACAACTACTTACCATTGTGTTACAACTGCCTACAGTATTCAATACAGTAACCTGCTGTACAGGTTTATAGCCTAGGTGCAATAGACTATACCATATAACCTGGTGTGTAGTTGGCTAGACCACTAGGTCTGTGTAGGTACACTCTACGATGTTCACACAATGACAGAATTGCCTAAGGACACATTTCTCAGAACTCAGGACTTATCTCTGTCATTGAATGACACATGACTGTACTTAAGTAATGCAAAGGTAATAGAATTTCAACACAAGTACGTCCACTGGCTCTCCTTTTTTTCCCTATTTCCTCTCCCTATCTCAACACACACACACACACACACAAATTTAAGTATATGGAGGAAAAAATGGAAAAAAATAGCTCCATGTGTTCTCCCTAACATCATCATTGCATGGATGAAGTTAATGGAGGTTCAGTAAGGTTAAGTGACTAGTTCATCTCAACATGCCTAGCAAACAAAGAATTCAAACTCAGCCTAATTTTGTAGACTATACACTTGATCATTCTTAATAGCAACAATTTACAGCTTCTTTTTAAAGCAAAACTTTTCAAAAAAGCTTTCACTTCTTTGAGTACCATTTACCTACTTTAATTGGACTTTTGACCCCTTCATTTCATTGAAATTGACTTTGCTAAAGTCAATAATGGCTTCCATGTTAGCACTTCCAATAGGTCTTGATTCATCTTACACATCTTCAAAGCAGCACTGAACCCAGCTGACAGCCTTATCTTTGAAGTTCTCTATTCCCAGCCACTGTGACTTAAAGGCTCTATGGTTTACTTTTCATTCTCTTTTGTGGGTTTTTTTTTTTTTTTCTGGTCAACTGCTAAATATTAGAGTGCTTCAGGCCTAGACGATTGGCGTCTTGTCTTCTGCATCTCTAGTTTCTCAAGCAAAACAAGATACTGTTTAATATTATCTGGATTTTATTTCCTTATTTATTGGTTTATTTTTCATCTCCTCATACCAGTGTATAAACTTCATGAGTCACAACAGATAGGAAGTGTTTTCTAAGTGTCTGTTGGATAAATAAATGGAAGGAAGGAAGGTAGGTAGGTAGGTAGGTAGAGGTATAAATTTTAATCCCTCCTTTCTGAGAAAACTGTGATTTTACCTGATAAGGAGTGACTGTTGAAAATATCTCTATCTGGCCAGGCATGGTGGCTCATGCCTATAATCTCAGCACTTTGGGAGGCTGACACGGGCGGATCACCTAAGGTCAGGAGTTCGAGACCAGCCTGGCCAACATGGTGAAACCCCATTTCTACTAAAAATAGAATAAAAAAAAAAACAGCTGGGCGTGGTGGTGGGTGCCTGTAATCCTAGCTACTCGGGAGGCTGAGGCAGGAGAATCACTCGAACCCAGGAGGAAGAGGTTGCAATGAGCCGAGATCACGCCACTGCACTCTAGCCTGGGCAACAAGAGTGAAACTCTGTCTTGGAAAAAAAAAAAAAAAAAGAAAGAAAATAAAAGAAAAAGAAAATATCTCTATCTTAGGGATCTCTTTTGCAGTAAGGCTTGGATCTGCTTTGTCTGCATGCTGCACCCCTCAGTATTCCACATTCTAGGCCAACTGCCCCTCAATGGTTGACTCCAAGTTATTATCACAGCCCTGCCACCAGGAAATCCTAAAATCAACCTAGATTAAAGAGAAAGGCCTGGTCAGCTGTGATACTTGCTATGAGTGCAAATGTTCCACAGATGAACTAGGTCATGCTGGATTTAGCCACTCTCTCAATGAGCAGGAATGCCAAAACTCATGGGGGCAGAGTGAGGTGCGTACCAGGCCTAAAGTGACTGCGTTCTCAGTAGAGGATCCCTTTCACAAGTGTTTCTGAGAAGCTCACTGTTTATTAGCATCAGACCTTGATCTCAATCATAGCAACTTGTCACCCATGAGACACGCCCAGCCCTCATCTCATTTCTTTTGAGTCCTCCAGGATGCTGCCTAGATTGGCCTTGAATTGTGGCCCTCATCCAGGCATTTGGCTGCCTTCACCCAGTACCAGCCCATCACCTGTCATGCCTCCTGCTTTCCCCAGCCAGATGGGCAGCCCCAATTTCTTAGCAGCTCTTGTGGAGAAGCTGTGTTATTTCAACAACCATATGCCAGAGCTTAGCACCTAGCAGTTTGTGATAAATAGACTTAATATAGTCAGGATCTCTGTTTAAGGAGAAATGCTAATGATGATAAAGATTTACATTTTGTGATGCAACAATGTGATTATATAAACCTAAGGAAACAAATGAAAATAAATCACGTTGTGCTATTTGGTTTACAGTTTACGTGATACGATTTTCATTGTTTTCCGATTTTCTATATTTTGTATTTTAAGTCATAGGAAAATAGAGGGGTAATTCGAATTTTCAAGTTGAAGATGTGCTTATTACCATTTTAGAAATATAATAAACATTCATATCAAAGGGAAATTTGGCATGTCAGAAAAATGACACTAAGTTTTTGTTTCAAAATGTGGCCATATATTTCTTAATGTTTTTTACCTTTTAATAGCACCTTCAATTCTACATTCTCCCCCAGCGATCACAAAGTCAAAAACATCCTATTGTAACATCAAGGCACATATCTGAGGACTCTTCTCTCTAACTGAGCCTTCTTTATTATTCTTGGGCAAATTATTTAATCTATTTTAGCCTCTTTTCCCATCATCATTCTCACAAAGGGTTAGTGATAGATAAGGTAAGAGCTTATCTTTCACTTACCTTAGAGAGTTGTTCTGAAGACTGAATGAAATAAACCAGGTGAAATATTTAGCACACTGCTTGCTTAGTGAATGCTCAATGCATGTTTGTCATCATCATTCTCACCACCATCATTAAACATATATACATAGTCAACATTTAACTTGGGATTTTCTCAGCATTCTTCAAAACAGTTTACCACAGATATTAATATTCTGGTTCTAAAACAGTATCCGGCAAAAATTAGGCATTTAGTAAATGTATATTAAGTGTTGGTCACATATTATCTTCTTTGGTAGCTTTACTGAGGCAAAGACCATGTTGCATCCCATCTGAGGCTAGATGAAGTATCAGGAGCAGCAAAGACAATCGATGCTCGTTGAGTGAATGATGCATAGCCGATGTTAAACATCCATTAGGAAATAACATAGAGAGCTTTGCATTCTATTACAATGACAGGTGACAATGGATGCACTCCCAACGAGAACAATTTATAACCTCTCCTTTCTTGCCTTTTGCTGATAACTGATTACATATTTGAAGATCATTGCTGCAACCTATATAGTCTATCCAGCTGTATGAGACCAGCCTCACAGAGCAAACTTAAAGCATAGTGAAGGGAGAGATCTATCCTAAATCAAGCAGACACAGTGCATGATTATTGGCTATTAATTCTGTGGACACACAGCGTGAGAATTTAAATTCATAAACATTAAATAGGTAACTGTTAAATAGAGAGCACTTATTTAATTTGGTCACTTAACATACTTTCTGAATCTCTATGTGTTAGAAGAAAGATTGTAAATTTTCCATGACAAACGTGATAAAAGTATAATTTATTTCTCAATTTCTGTATTGCATGGTTTAGTAGAAAGGACCCTGGGCTGGAAGACCCAGGAATACAGCCATAGCCTTGGCTTTGTAATTTTCACAAGTCACCTTACATTACGGCTTTAGTTTTCATCTGAAACCTGTCAGTTCCCTTCCAGCTGTAAAACCCTAAGTTTCTAATAATAACCCCATCATCAAAATCTGGTGTTTTGTTAGTATCATTCTCCCAAAGCATTGCCGCAGACTACAATCAACTCTATTATCCATGTTAGATTTTAACGTTATACCCGGGCTCTATCTACAGGGAGACAATATCAAATCAGTGCTCACAATGATGATTTGCTATACCCACGCAACTCCTTCTCCATGCGAATGAGACCTTCTCTGTGTAAATTGAAATTGCACATAGAGAACAGAGATATCATAAACGAGTATTTCCCATTCATTCTAATCACAGTTGACTCATGACAAGATGGCAGACAGGACCATAGCAGGTATCAGACTGCATTACTCAGGACCAATTAAGCCAAGTTATTCCATATAGACACAGGTTTTTTTCTTGAACGATGAAGGGAAAGACAGAAATTTTTGGCCATAGAAAAATTTACTATGATAAATACTGTCTCAACAAGCTACACATACACATGTATTTTTGCAAAGAAGCACCCATGCGTTTGAATTACTGTTAAAGTCAAGTTGCTGTGTGAAAACTGGGACACTTTCAGCATATATTCTCCAACATTTCTGATATCAAGTTACAGTGGAGCTATTTGGCATGGTTGGATGCGATGGGCTGGCTTCCCTATGCCATATGCTATTGAATATGCAAGTTTTTCTACAAAAGTTTCCATAACTGATACTAATTTCACACTTAATCCACATATACTAGCTATGCTGGAAGTTTAATACATAATATAATTATGGAGGAAACGATCAGTCTTTTTCCAAGGCTTGTTCCAGCCCTAAAGCAAATCATTCTGCATTATCTGTGGTAATACGTGGAAGCACAATAATGTTATTTTGAAATAACATGAGATTTTTTTTTAAGATTCTACAGTTTCTGATTTGGAGTTGTTTCTACACTTTTAAAAACTTCATATTTTTAACACAAAAACACAAATGTAACATAAGGTTATGGTATCATGTATATCGAGGCACACTTGCGTAACCATCGAGTCTCTCAACAATGAATGATCCTAAATTCCTGCACTCAGAAGCCTCCAATGACATCTTTGTATTTTATGACTCTACACTGGAATAATCACAAACCTACAAAGGGGCATTTCTCAGATGTGCACAGGTTTAGTGGTTCAGTACAGAGTACTAGAGGCTGGAGTCCACGTTTCTTCAGAGAAGAACTTTTGATGAATTTACTACAGTGACAATCTCAGTTCATCTCCAAGTAGAACATAACAAGAAAGACAGGTCCCTTCACTGAGGTCTGAAAAGAACTAATGCACCGGGGACTTCCTGCACCTGCTCTTATGGCTCTCTTTTTTCTGGTTGGATTGCCTCCTCTTCCCTTATCGAAACTCTGCCCCCTTCTCAGCCAGTCCTACTCACTGGTGCCCTTGACCACTCTGCCCTGGCCAGGGCTTACAACAATGAGCCCATGTTGCTGTGAAGCGGGTGCAGGGGGTCTGCACGTCTCATTCTCTCCATCTATGGCCTTCAGTTCTGGTGCTCTATCTGTGTTGCTGTCACAGTGATTCCTCAGCTAATTAATCCCCTGGTTATACAAACTCAACCATGTTTAAAAAGTGATCCTCATAAATCATCATGGGCAGAAATGCTTGTTAAGGAAAAAAGGCCTTCTAGGGCTGGCTCCTTTTGGAACTATCTCAGATAAGGGTAAGAGGGTGGGCAGGAGGTGGGCTGTGAAGCCCTAAAGCCTGGGGCTGGAATCTGTGATCCCCTCACTGCACCCCACACTTGCCCCACCTGTGACCTCCACCTTCCCACGTCCCCTCCACAGGACTCTTCAGCCTTTGCAGACACTCAAGACAGCGTGTGCCCTTTCACCTCCTAACAAAACAGTCATTTGAATTGTTTCCCTGACTTATGACGCCCTGACTCAAACACAATCACACACTAAGGCATGAAATCTGAAAGTACTTTTGTTGTAAGTTGCAGAATGAAATGCTTTTGTTCTTTGGCTAATGGAATTTCAAGCATCAGCAAACAGTGGATTTTTATTGTTCTTTTGTGTCTAGAAGGACCAGTGAAGAGACTCTCCAGTCCTCCCTGGGTTAATGGAGGCTGAGTGAGGACGCTCCTGGTGACACAGGGAACCCTGCATTAACACAGTTTCTTTCCCCCAACAAAGCCCTGCTCAAAAGAATTTTAGGCAATTTGAAGACGGATGCTAGAGGCCTAAGGAAGGAGATAAGCTTCTGTCTGTTCCCCTCCAGGAGTTCCTGTCTAAAAGAGCCCATCTCTCCTTGTTTTAACAAAGTACCTACACACTTTAACAAAATGATTGTCAAAACAAAATTAATGCAGTTCCAACGTTTACTGGTGATAATATACACTAGAGCTTGTAACGTACATTCAACTGTATACGCATCATCACTTCGTTTTGCAAAACTTATTTTGTTTCTCATCATGCAAAGGAAGCAAACCTTAAAAAAAAAGACTACAATGTTGTCCTTTTACTTGACTCAAACATAGCATATAAAAATATGCTATGTTCATTGATCCATAGCTTACTCACAATTCTCAAAATTCTTTGTATGATAGATTTGACAAGGAATTTAAATCGAATATTTAACTAACTTTTACTAATTTAGAAAAGCAGGCTGTCTGAAGAAGCCGAAAGTCATTTTTGTGTTTATTGTAAGATAACCTTTCCCCAGTGGCAGCCAGCAACACATCTGCATTCCTACCTTCCTTATGACACACTCACTATGGAGAGCTCTAGGGCTTTTTAGCTGCAGCCAAACATCCATGCTTGAGTTACATATCAAAGGAGATTTTTCATCCTTAGCCCAACTCACAGCACTTAGAGCACAATGTGCTGAATTTTTAACAGGAAACCGCCTCTTTGTGTAGTCCCTTCCCCAGGAGGCTCTTGTCAAAACATGTGATATTTCAGAGTTCAACTTCCTGGCTGCACAAACTGATACATTGTCTTTTTGTACCATGAGTAACATTTTCAAATTAAAAAAAAAACACATAATCATATTTCATGTCCTCAAAGAATTTAGGAAGAGGTTAAATTTAAACATTTTGATTCAGATCTCAGCCTTTGTAAATAAGGATACATAACATTCCATCACCTACCTATGAGACCACAGAAATATCAAAAGCTAGGACAAGAACAGCAGTACTGTGAACCACACACAGTTAAAAAGCGTTCATTGTCCAACACCACAAGTAAGTTCAGCAGTTCTCAAATAGCATCCATCCCTGCCCAGGGCCACTGTCTGTGTGTCTTCCCATTCTCCCCAGGTCTGCAGAATCCCAAAAATGTGCACATGAGGTTAACTGGCACGCCTACACAGTCCCAGTGTGAGTGTGTGTGGGTGTGTGTGAAAGGTGCAGCGATGGGATGGTGCCCTGTTCAGGGCTTGGTGGCCACCTGGTACCCTGAGCTGCTGGGATAGGCTCTGGGCCACCCAAGTCCTTGAACAGAAATAAGAAGGTAAATCACTATCTTACTTGTTTTTTTGTTTGTTCGTTTTGAGGCAGAGTCTCGCTCTGTCACCCAGGCTGGAGTATAGTGGCACTATCTTGGCTCACTACAACCTCCGTCTCCCAGGTTCAAGGATTCTCCTGCCTCAGCCTCCTATGTAGCTGGAATTGCACGTGTGTGCCACCACACATGGCTAATTTTTGTATTTTTGGTAGACAGGGTTTCACCATGTTGGCCAGGTTGGTCTTGAACTCCTGGCCCTAAGTGATCTACTCGCCTCAGCTTCCCAAAGTGCTGGGATTACAGACATGAGCCACCATGCCCGGTCTATCTTACTTGTTTTTATTAAACTTTCCTAAATGTATGGATAACACACATTCATTTCTTGTTGAATATTAGAAGCGTTTTGGTCTTCATTCAGAAGTTTGGTGATGTTTTTGTGACCAGAAGCCGCCATACAAACTTAACTCTTGTTTATACCAACTCGCCTATGGTGAAATTGGTTCTGTCATATGTTGTTTTGCTTCAAGTCGCAGTTTCCGGAACCTATCGATGACGTTAAGTGTGCACCTGCTGTGTATGCTGCCTTGTTTTAGGCAGTGCTGATCCTCAGGCCTCACTTCCAGGTGCTGGCCCAGCTGGCTGAGGACAGGGGCAGCTGGTGCCTTCGGTAGAATCACGCCAGCCACCACTTGCTAGAGTTTGCCACACGCCAGCCCTCTTCTAAACATGTCTAAGCATTTTGTTATGTATTAACACTTAATCCTCAGAATACCCCTGTGTTTTAGGAACTATCAGCACCCCCACTTTATACATAAGAAAACTAGGGTGCAAAATTAAAACCAAAATTACCACTTGATCCAGCCATTCCACTCCTAGGTACACACCCAGGAGAACTGAAACAGGGACTCACACTGACACCTGTACACCAGTTTTCACTGCAGCCCGAAGTGGAAGGACCCACGTGTCCATCAACAGAGGAATGGAAGAAGAAAATATGGTCTGTCCATACTGTGGAATATTATTTAAAGTGAAAAAGAAAATAAAATTCTGATACATGCTCAATATAGATGAATCTTAATGACATGCTAAGTGAAGTAAGCCAGACACAGAAGGACAAATACTGTATGAATCTGCTTACATAATGTACCTAGAGTAGGCAAATTCATAGAGACAAAAGAAAAAGAAGGTGGGGTTGGGGGAGAGCAGATGGGGAGTTACAATTTATACTTTCAGTTTTGGAAGATGAAAAAATTCTGGAAATGGATAGAGTGATGGTTGCACACTATTGTAAATATACTTAATAACACTGAATTTTATACTTAAAAATTATTAAAATGGTAAATGTTATGTATTTTTTTACCACAATAAAAAAAAAGAAAAAACTAAGATGCAAAGAAGTAGAATACAGTTCTCCAAATTGTCAGGCCTACAAATGGCAGAGTGTGGCTTAGAACTCAGGCAGGCTGGCGCCAGAAGCCTCGTCCTTCCCTACTCATGCAAAGATACACTGTGCCCCACAGTACCTCTTTCAAGTCTCCACTGCATCCCGCACAAGGCCTTCTGGGAGCCTGCCCTGGAATCCCACCCCCTGTACCCTTCCCACCCATCCACCTCTAGGCAGAACTCAGGCTCGAGGTCTCCCCACCTTTGCTCCATCTCAGCCCCTTCCCTTTATCTCCAAGCTCTAAAGCTCCCCTTAGATAGAAGCAAAGGTGGAGTCAATGGCAGTTCCAAGGCATCTCTGAGACTTTTTATCAGTTGTTCCTCTAGTGATAGTTTCTCACCAAGAGCTTGGTCATAGCATGACACTCCTCTAAGCTGCTGTGTCATTATATTTAATATTTCATATAAACCTGTCTTCTAAATTTTACTGTATACTCTTAACGAGAAAGGGTGATCTTATGCTTTATGTTTCCCTGGGCACTTAACAGAGAACAGTGGACACACAGGCGTGCAATAAACATTGTGTAATAAATGTCTTCCTAACAGTTACCCCAGGGTGTAGTCAACATAATGGCAATGGTTTATGACTTGGGTACGGCGCTGCATTAAGGGTGTTTTTCCAAACAGATTTAAACAGATTTCTTTGGAAAAGTAAATAAACTAGAATAATATCATAATAACATAACAATATTAATAGAGTCAATTTAAAAAACCCATGCAGTATGAGCACTCATATAAAGAGAGCCACATTTAAAAGCTCGCGGGGGACTTATCAATCAATGTCATTTTCACAATGGGTCCCCAAGCCTGGGAATCTCATACAGGGTTCAGAAAGAATGAACATATTGTTACTACTGCAGTTGTACTTGGTGTCAAATGACAAGATCATCCATCAAGGAGGCATCACTGTAACTTGGAGACAAGCCGCACAGGTCACAGGCACAGAAGCTTTTGGAGTTGAGATAATTTTCACAGACTTGAAGCTGTGCTCTTAAGTAATGGCTTTCTGGGTTTTCATTTGTATACTCACTTTGTGTCAACAAGTAAAACACAGCAACCCATGAAATGAAGAGTTCTTATTCCCAGTAGTTCACATAAAAAAAAAATGAAATTTCTTATTAGAAATATTCAAGAGTTCGTCCTCCATGTCATGGAGTTATCAAAAGTCAAAGTAATTGAAATATATCAGAGGGACTGGGACAGCCTTGAACAGAGTGGGAAACAACATCCCTTGGAAAATACCAAAAGGGAGGTGCAGAGTCTGGGGCTGGTGTCAGGTCCTCAGGGAACTCTTCCTCCAATGTCCAGCTTCACACTGGTGCCAAGCCCTGCCCAACCCAATGTAAGCCTGCACCACAGAGTATATGGCCTTGGGGAGTTGGCCGTGCTGGCCTTTCTGAGATGCACACCTTACACCCTGGAGTCTGAACCAGGGGCCACAAAGGAAGTGAGCAGCGACCTAGCTCTGACAGAAGAAGGCCTTCCAGTGGGGCAGGCACCTGCCCTGACCTCAGCAGGCACTTTAGACTTCCCCTTTTCATCAGTGGCCAGGTGGCCCCAGAGGCTGCTGGGATGGAGCAGAGCTGTCTGGCTGGGCAATTCATGTTGTCGGCTTCAAGAGACACACTTGAGTTTCTGATCTTCTCACAGAGGCCGGCGTTGACAGGTATGGAGTGATGAAAATATGTGGGAAGGGAACCCCAGGATCACAGTGTGCTAACCAGGACAGACTGGTGCCGGCAGGAAATAGCAATGCGGAAAACAGGGACACAAGGCCATATTTTTCCGTCATTGGCTGTGAAGATCTAGGAAATAAGGGTTGCTTGCCACTGACCAAAAGGAAACTGAAATGAAGTCTTGATCAAAAGGTAGCACTGTCTGCCTCCTACTTAGCATAATGCTCTATTAGCTGTGCAAAAAACTGGCAAAAAACAAAACAAAACAACAACAACAGCAAAAACAGAGATATTGTGTTTAGGAATGCTACTAAATGGATTATTTAATTTCAGTTAAAAAATTCAAATGCTTTATAAAACCAAAGCGTCTTCCAATGAAGTACATTTTATTTGCAGATATTCAGAAAAGGAAACAAAATTCTTCCATAGTTCATAAACAAGAAATACACACTGTGGTTCTACATAATTTGAGCCATCTTTGATCTATTTTTAACTCTGCCTTGGCACTCAAGAAAAACTCACGGGAAAAAAAATGATTCAATAAAAAGCAATATCCTCATGGGAAGATAATCAAATAAAGCTTAGTTTGGAAACTGGTTTTGTAGTTTCCTAAATACAAAGCATGCAGTGGATTTACTACATCTTTAGCATAACTATGAATATGAATGGGGTCTCCAGAGCTAACCCAAGATTATGCAGATAGTTTAAGCTTTATTCCAGGCAAAATTTCAACTAGATTTAGAAACATTTTCATAAAAAAGGGCTGTAAAGAGATTAATGGTATTTTCAAACAATCTAAAATCATGGATTTGAGAGATCTTGCCTTGGTTTATTGTCTTTAAAATTACTCAGAACAATACACACTTGGGTATCTAAAACAGAATTATCAAAATCCTTTTGTACTGATAACCCCATAATTCCTATATTATTTAGAAAAAGTAATTTATCTTGAAAATTACATATTATATGCTATAAGATTGCTTTTTAAAGCTGTACTTTTTCTGAGCTTCAGGCAATATTGTACCTTGCAGTAAGCTTAGTTTCCGAAACCAAAAATGTTCCAATGGAATTGGCATCCTAGATTCTCCTTGACTGCAATAGTTCCTTTGATTTTAACTCCATAAGTGCTCACCTCAAAGTTTTCATTATCAAAATAGTTGGCACAACTCTACTGGGGAAGCAAAGATATGATGAGGATTCCAGGATGACTCATAATATCTCGATACATAATGAGTGTACCAACCAAAAGCTCCCTTTAGTAAATAGCAATAATGTCAGATGGTTAGAAATGGGTAGGAGTTGAATAATCCTGCCTCGATAACCATCACGCAGCTTCAAAGAATGGACTTATAGATCCAATTTGGCCTCATGATCAAGTATTCGTTACCCAGCAAATGCAAAAGGTCTCATGGCCTGTGTGTGTGATTTGGGGAAGTCCCCCTCCCTGCTTTCCAGCCCTGGGACATCTCCGTAGTTAATTTCCAGGAGGTAGAAGAGGCTCACTCCAAGGTGGATGCAGCAGTGTTTTGGGGACAGGCACAGCCAGTCTTCAAGTCAGTTCAGGACACCAAGTCCTTTGGAATTGGGGTGTTGTGGCATCCACAGGGCTTCAGACCTCCAGGCCTCAGCACTGCACTCAAAATACTAGAATGTGTTATTTTCTGGAATCTGACATCCCAGTCACATAAGAGGGGCAGAGCCTTAACAATATTTCTGATCACATATATATCTTAATGCCACTCATTTCGTCTACAACTACGTGTTTCTAGCTTCCCTTTTGTACTTAGCAAACATGATGGTGTGGATTTTGGTACCAATTTTTGAAGGGCCCAGGGATCATACTTAGATTATGAACTCTTGACTGGGGTTTTTTAACTGCTGATTATCCAAGCCTACAGTAAAAAATAATGTGAACTTACAAACGCACACAAAAAGCAGCACTCTGTTTACACTGTAGTATCTTTAAAGTCAATTGCTCTGCAGACAATACAACACACGGCTTTGTCTCCTGCAAGCAACGAAAATAACATCCTGCAGACATAACTGTCATTAGAGGTTTACTCTACTGGCAAGAGATGAAGTAATGGAAAATGTTGATACCTTGTTAGAACTGATCATTCTGAATTTACAAAAGGTGTGGTCAGGCAAGGATGGTGGGTACAAGTGTCTCCAGAAAAGGACACCTGGCCAAGGAACATGGGAATAGTACCATGAAAATATGTCAAATACAGGAACAAAAGCCAGCAGCAAGGAACTAAATAAAGGACCCTACACAGGTGAGGAAAGAGGGAGTCAGGGATGGGAGGGAAACACGGCCCCCCACACAGTGAGCTAAAAAAGACAGGGAGGGCTGGGCACGGTGGCTCAGGCCTATAATCCCAGCAATTTGGGAGGCCGAGGAGGGTAGATATCCTGAGATCAGGAGTTCGAGGCCAGCCTGGCCAACATGGTAAAACCCCATCTCTACTAAAAATACAAAAATTACCCGTGCATGGTGGCAGGCACCTGTAGTCCCAGCTACCCAGGAGGCTGAGGCAGAATAATCACTTGAACCCGGGAGGCAGAGATTACAGTGAGCTGAGATCATGCCACTGTACTCCAGCCTGGAGGACAGAGTAAGACTCTGTCAAAAACAAAACAAAACAAAAAGACAGGGAGAGCCACTGCCATGGCGGATTGTTATCATAAGGTAGTAAATATTAATTACTAAAATGAGACAGCTCAGGAAAGAATAAAGGATGAAATAAAAACACTCAAAGAGCATTTTGATATATGCTTTTTCAGCCTTCCTTTCTATGAATACTTTACAAGTGATATGCTGCACATAGACATTTACATTCTGCTATCTTCACCAAACATTACAATTAATACCACATAACAGCACTTTTTATATTTTATTTGGCTTATCCACCAAATAAAGTCTGGTCACATTATTTCAAGACACACTAACCGCAGTGCACATTGCCACGTGCCTCCCAAACTGTTCCCCCAGCTGCTGGGTGTGCAGCTGCCTCTGGACAACACTCAGCTGTCAACCCCTTCAGGAAGAGCCAGACATTATGCTCCCCTCCAGGAATGGCTCACATCTATAACTGCCTGGCTGTGGACATAGAAAGGTGCAGCCCCTTTGCACCACCTCCAAACAATCCTGAAGGGCTCTCCCACCTCCAGAGCCTCCCTACAGGGCCACTGTAGTCTTGGTTGTGACTACACCACAGCCCAACTTCTCCCTCTGCCAGGCTTGCAGGCTCTTTCCCTTCCCATCCCTTGCCCCTCTCCCTCTTCTCCCTCCTTTTTCTCCAAACCCACCCCCACCCCTCCTCCAGTATTGGCCTCAAGAACATCCCCAATAAACTATTCTCCGTATCTTAGTCGGTTTCCCAGGGAACCTGAATAATGTTTATTGGAAACATAAGATATTTAATTTCCAACATTTTTGAGAGAACATTCTTCAAGCCAACTTCAATTCCAAAATTTTAAAATACTCTCTCAATAACCAAAAGGCCATTAAAGACCTTTGAACTATAAAGCAACTGTTTATTGAGCTATTGAGCACCTACTGTAGGTCATCCACCTTGCCAGGGGCTGAAAATTTATGAATAAATCGGGCAACTCACCAACTAAGAGTGGTGAAATTAACAGAAAGTAAGAAAACTGTGGAAAAAATAGTTTGTTCTATCATTTCAAATTATTTCTATAGGTTCAATATCGCAAAACAAAATCAAGAAGGGCCTTAAAGAAAAAGGACATTTGCTAGTCAGGAAATAGACTTTAATCAATATTTCACTGAATAAATTTTTACATGATCAAGGATCTGGATCAGATGTTACAGCAAGTGACTTCCTATGGCCCCCAGAAAAGGGTTACTTGTTGTTTCTCCAATGACAGGAGAAAAAGAAGGAGGGAGGTGGGAAAGAGTTTGAAGTAGTCACTTTGCATAAAAGAAGTATGCAATTCAGAGGAGAATGTGAAATTATGTTAGCAATTAATGCCTCTTTATGAGATAATAAAGCAATTAGTGGAAACTTGAACACCAGCCACTAGTGTTCCCATGAAGTGGCAGCCCAGGGGGCGGAGAAGAGGAAAGGTGGAAATGCAAGTTCACAAAGACTCTCACTCTGGGCTAAGAGGAGTCAAGAGGAGCTCACATTCATATGCATAAAAGGTCAGCCATCTTTTCAAAAATATTGAATTTCTGTTAATTCTTCTGTCAAACGCAAGACTTCCAATGCAAATATGTAAAGCATATTTTCTAGGAAACAACATGATAGCCTGTGCTTATTTTTCTGTGTCATCAGTTAATAGGCTTCAACAGCCCTTTAATGTAAATTATACTCAGGAGTGTCCTTGAAGTGCTAAGGGGACATCATCTCATGGCTCCTTCCACCTAGGGTGGGATTTAGAGCTCACAGATGCCCCAGAAGAAAATGTTCCCCGGGCTGGCTTCATTGTGAAGAATGAGCCAAAGTCACTGGACCTCAGGCAGCAAGGACCCCATAGCCTTGGCCATGGCACAGAGGTCCAGTGTGAGCCAGCAGACGTGGGGTAGCACAGCCCTAGCTAAGCCCAACACCCAGCACAACTCTTCCTTTCCATGGTAGCCCATGAAGCTTCCTGTCCCTGGCAAAAGACTCTGCTCTGGACATCAGCATTCTCACTTAAGGAAACTTCATCTCTGGCTTCATGGAAGCACCAATTTTTACAATCAATGGACCACTCAGAGCAGCTTTTCTCAAAACCTGATGTGTATTTATGTGGCTTCAGGGTCTGGCCAACACGAAGATTCTGACTCAGGAGTTCTGGGATGGACCTGAGATTCCGCATGTCTAACAAGATTCTGATGTCAATGTTCCTAGGCCTAGAACCTCACTTTGAGATGCCAGGGCTTAGTGATCTGGACTGTAGAGGGTGGGGAAGCTCACACATTATTCTGGAGAGCATTCTGCATTCACACTGCCTGTAAGAATGGATGCATTCACAACATGCAGGCTTCTGTATAGCAGTGAATTTTACAGGACCACCTCATGCAAAGAGTTTGTACTTCCCCTCACCAATAAAAAAATTAACATCCATCCTTTTATTCTTAAATGGTAGGAATATAAAAACAGCCTCCTACCGTGTTTAGATCATTTATATTTTGTAAGCCATTTTCACTTTTCTTAATTTGATGGGTAGAAACACCCTGCAGAAAAATTGAAAACCCCAAGTTTGTTGTAAGTAACTGCTGACTCCCACAGTTACATCAGCTTGTTGTAGGCACTAAAATCTCATATTCTTGGAGGAAAATCTAGGGAACAGTGTAGCCCATAAGAGCAGGGGACAGAAATCCTGAGGGTGCGCCAGGTGACAGTGGCTCACACCTGTAATCCCAGCACTTTGGGAGGCCAAGGCAGACAGATCACCTGAGGTCAGGAGTTCGAGACCAGCCTGGCTAACATTCCTACCAAAAAGTACAAAAAATTAGCTGTGCATGGTGGCATGTGCCTGTAATCCTAGCTACTTGGGAGGCTGAGGCAGGAGAATCGCTTGAACCCGGGAGGTGGAGGCTGCAGTGAGCTAGGATTGCCCCATTGCACTCCAGCTTGAACAAGAAGAGTGAAACTCCATTGCAGGGGAAAAAAAAAGAAAGAAAAGAAATCCTGAGGGTGATTCTATGCGCTGAGACCTGGTGACATCTATTTAAAGCCTGAATTCCTGGTTTCATGATTGAAAACAGGAGTGATGCCTTCCTCTTTAGAAGGTTGTCATCCAAATAAAATGAAGTCTGAGAGCTGTCTGTGAGCTAAATATTCTAAGAAATATGTAAGTTAGTTTTTCCTCGAAGACTTTGCTGACAATCCATTCTCTCTGCTCTAACTTTTGTTCTGAAGTGAACTTGGACAAGGATTAAACACTTCAAAAAAAGATTTCTTGGCCGGGAGCTGTGGCTGACACCTGTCCCAGCACTTTGGGAGGCTGAGGCAGGTGGATCACCTGAGGTCAGGAGTTCAAGACCAGCCTGGCCAACATGACGAAACACGTTCTCTACTAAAAATACATCAAATTAGCCAGGCATGGTGGCGGATGCCTGTAATCCCACCTACTTGGGAGGTTGAGGCAGGAGAATGGCTTGAACCCAGGAGGCAGAGGTTGCAGTGAACTGAGATCACGCCACTGCACTCCAGCCTGGGCAACTGAGCAATACTCTGTCTTAAAAAAAAAAAAAAAAAGACTTCTTATGGAACATTCACTTATCTGTACTGATTTAAAATGCAAAAGGAATTCTAATAAAATGATTCACTTTCTCACTCTACACAAATATACTGCCTCCAGTTCTTGTCAAAGAAACAGCCTGCAATATGGTGTAAAATGTGCTTCAAGATACCCCAAAATATTATATATCACTCTCTCTTGTGGATGTTAGCAGTATGGGATATTTACTTTTCAAGTTTGTTTGCTTCCGTATATAATTTTTTCCTATAGGTAGTATCATGATAACTATGAAATTTCTGGCCTTGTTTTCTTTACTCTCCATTATAACAAGAACTTTTTTTGTAAGTGTAATCTTATAAGTGGTAACTTTTTCCTTATTTATTCCTTGAGTATTTATAGATTGAAGCAAAACTAAATGCATGACTCCATCTGCAATCACACAGAATATTATTAAAACTATGGTATTTTATGCTTGACATAGCTCAGAAAAGTGGAATTGGTAAAATATAAAAAATGCACAGTGGGAAAATTATACAATTCGTAAATACATAAAAGGGTTAACTTACAAAGATCTTTATTCCCCCCGGTGTTACAAGCATGAGGTCTGAACCTACATTACTAAGTTTAAATTCCAGATCTGCTACTTACAACTAATCAGGTGACTTAGAAAAGTGTCTTGAATGCTTGACTTTCCATTTTTCCAACTATAAAAAAGGGTCTAAAACCAGAACTTTCCTCATCTGTAAAACATGGCTAAAACCAAGGCCAACCTCACAGGCTTGTTATAGAATTTAGTGTCATTCTCTATGTAAAGTGTTTGGAAGAGCATTTAGTAAGGGCTTAATAAATGTTAGCTCTTTTATTTTATTTTTATTTTCCATTTTTGATTTTTTAGTGACAAATTCTCACTCTGTCACCCAGGCTGAAGTGCAGTGTCACTATCATAGCCCACTGCAGCTTTGAACTAGTGGGCTCAAACAATCCTCCCACTTCAGTCTCCCACGTATCTAGGACTATAAGCTCGGCCACCACATTCAGCTGATTTTTTTATTTTTTGGTAGAGATAGGGTCTCCCTATGTTACCCAGGCTGGTCTGGAATCCCTGGCCTCAAGCAATCCTCCTACCTAGGCCTCCCAAATTGCTGGGATTACAGGTGTGAGCCACTGCACCTGGCCAAGTTCCTAAGGTATCTACCCAGAGGAAAAGAAGTTATTGTACGAAAAAGATACTTGCACACACATGTTTATAGCAGCACAGTTTGCAACTGCAAAAATATGAAACCAGCCCAAATGCCCACCAGTCAACAAGTGGATAAAGAAAATGTGGTATATATTTACCATGAAATACTACTCAGCCATAAAAAGGAACAAGATAATGGTATTCGTAGCAACCTGGATGGTATTGGAGATTATTATTCTAAGTGAAGTAACTCAGGAATGGAAAACCAAACATTGTATGTTCTCACTTGCAAGTTGGAGTTAAGCTATGAGGATTCAAAGGCATAAGAATAATACATTGGACTTTGGGGACTCAGAAGAAAGGGTGGGAGGGGGGTGAGGGATAAAAGACTATACATTGGGTACAGTGCGCACTGTTCGGGTTATGGGCGCACCAAAATCTCAGAAATCACCACTAAAGAACTTATTTATGTAACCAAACATCATCTGCTCCCTAGAAACCTATTGAAATAAAAAATAATTCAAAAAAGTTTTAATAAATAAATAAAATGCATTTAATATGTTAGAGCAGTCATTCTCAAAGTGTGATTTCCAGATCTGCAGTATTGGTATCTGCCTGGGGATTTAGAATACAAGTTCTTGTGTCCCATCCGAGACCAAGTGAATCAGAAATTGGAGGCAGCAGGTGGGGGGAAGGAGGCAGCAATTAGTCTCTAGTAACCCCTCCAATCATTCTGCTACACTCCCAATTTTACAAACCACTGGGATACAAGCAGAAGATACTATTGACTCTTTTTATAGATACGAATTCCTAGTGGATTTTCAGTTTTGTTTTAGGTATTAATTAATTTGACAAATTTGGGAAAGGCTGGCTCACAGCTATAAAGCACCACTTAAAGATGACCCAAGCGTCTTCAATGTTGGTTCATAATCTTTATAATATTTGGGCATTCTGAAACAAAATCCTTTCTCTGATTGATAAATCATATATCTGAAAAATAATGTTGAACTTATCCTTTTTGTTATATAACTCCTTATACAACTGAGAAATTAGTGTTAAACATCTTATTTGAAAAAAATATGGGGTTGAATAGAATTTATATACATCGTTCAACTCATAGTTTTGAAAATCCATCTCTTCTCAGGTATTGTAGGATTCTTTTGTGTTGGGCACTAATATCCTACAGGCATAGTGTAAATAGTTACCTTAAAATTTTTATTTCCTTTCTACCCTGCTTTTACATGGAAAAGGAATTCAATGATAAAATAAGAAAGACATTCACACTTAGGTTGGGGAGTTGGCACTTTTGTATGGTAGAATTCAGAAGCAGGGACTCTTCCCAAGAGTATGAAGAAAGCAGCATATATATTTAAAGTATAGTACCAGCTTTAGTAGAAAGGATTATGATAAACGTATCTTAGCATCACATATAAAAATACAAGAAAAGCAAACTGAATAAAATACCTATTCACAAACTACTTTATAAATTTTTTTCATTATGTTCTCCTGGAAAATCATATTATGGAGAATGGACTCATAAGTGCTGCTTTTGTGCTCACTAATCATACTTAAGATTCTCTTTATTCACCTACGCTGTTACTAGAATATTCTGAAGCAGCATGAGAGCTTGTATAGCCTTTGGTAGATTCACCATGGACTCAACCTAAAGAAACTCTTCCTGCGTGATTGTCACTTTGGAGCTGACCATCCATTCCCTTACTATCCCTTACTATTATTCTTAAATAGCAAACTAGCATTTTGTCCATAAACCAACTGCTTCTCTAGGACTGGCTGATTCGAGAATAGCCTCGAAGTCTACAGGAATTAGACAGGTTCCAATTTTATTAGAATAGTTTAGAAGTCAGAATTTTCATCTAATGGGAGAGTGGGAAGAAGGAATAATAACGAATAAGGTATGGGTCTTTGCAGGACACTCAGCAAAGCATACCAACCTCTGCTTGTTGTGGAATAATTTTCCGTCAACAAGTAATGCCCATTAAAAGGAAGCATGGCTGTAACCTGAATTCATTCAACTCTTTTGTTAAACTAACCGTTTCCTCATTTAACCAGTGACCACTATGTATGCTTAGCATATCAAAGCAAAGAATGCTGTATACACAGGGCAAAAGAAGATTTATTGTAATAATTATCTTCCCAGTCTTAATCCCAAAGAGTAACTGTGGCTGCTTCTGCTATTTTCATAACACTCTCTAGATGCCCAGAAACCCAGTAACATGGCAATTGAGAAACTTTATTTATAATATTCTATATATTCCATCATTACTCAAAGACATTCTCCTTGAGATACAGATGTTTAATGACGAGAATGTGAGTAATTGATTTCTTGGTGTCCTGTTAGTTATTTTTTTGTGAAGAGCTCTTTCCTAATCAGACTGGATGGAACACTCAGGTCATTGCTTTCTGTTTTGTAGAGCTCTCCAACTATTCACAGGATGTTATTTTTAATGACAAAGTTCTCATAAACAATTCTCAATAGTTTTCCAGAACACTAGTAAGATTTTTCACCTGGATGTCTATAATAAGAACTAAATGGAATCCCAAAAAGCCATACATAATTCTTACAAAAATGATGTATTACACATATACTCAATTTTTAAAAATCTCTAAGTTATTGCTATTAAGATTCATTAATATTATTGCCATTAATTGTTGCTCCCCAGATGCATGGTGTACACTCACAAGTGTACAATGATCACTGGTATCCTATGTTCAGGCTGTAGGGGACAAAAAGATGAAAATGTCAGGGAGTCCACTCTCCATGTGCTCCCCAAGGCCAAAATGTGAGATAAGAGATTTTTGAAACATCGTATAAATGCCAAGTCAAGAGCGTTCTTTGATTTGGAAGTTACTTGGACTGATGATAGAATACCTCCACATCTGAATTCCGGGTGACTGACGCCTGTCACCCAGACTGAATTCTGGGTGGCAGGCGGAAAGAACTTGCCCATCTCCAAGGCCCAGGGCCCAGCCCATGTCTGCTTTGTGAGTTCCATCCCATAAATCTTTCCCACAACCCACTGGAGCTACAGAGCTCTCAGCCCTAATTAAGTGTGGTGTCCACCTAGCTACTTATCACCTATAATAACTTGCTGTTTACAAGTGCCTTGCTGATATTTCAGTCACTCTGTACTGTTGCTGTCTAGGAAACCATTAATACGGGTCCATGTACCAGATGAGCAAGTCATTCAGTTGCAAGGATTCTCTTGTGACGTTTATGCAAGCAGCAAGCCATGGGTCCTGCCAATGGTCAGTGGAATTTGCAGCCTTTCTGCAGCCAATATGAAGCCTTCAATGCCACTGGGGCTCTCATGGCACTGCCACATGCTTGTTCCTCCACCTGAAACATTTAAAATTACCATTGTGGGCCGGGTGTGATGGCTCATGCCTGTAATCCCAGCACTTTGGGAGGCCGAGGCAGGTGGATCACCTGAGGTCAGGAGTTCAAGACCAGCCTGGCCAACATGGCAAAACCCCGTCTCTGCTAAATATACAAAAATTAGCTGGGCATGGTGGTGGGCGTCTGTAATCCCAGCTACTTGGGAGGCTGAGGCAGGAGAATTGCTTGAACCCAGGAGGAGGAGTTTGCAGTGAGCTGAGGTCGCACCACTGCACTCCAGCCTGGGCAACAGAACAAGACTCGGCCTCAAAAATTAAAAATTAAAAATTAAAAATAAACGTATAAATACATTAATTAATTAATTACCATTGTGGTGGGTCAAATGGCTGGAAATTAACAATTCCATATATTTCACCAGCTATTTCTACAAATGGACGCCCTATACAACCCGACACAGGTTAAAATAAACGACATTCCAAGTGTGCCCTCCTGCTGCTCACTTCAGTTAACAGGAATCTTTCTCTCCTCCAGAGTCCCTCTTCAGGGCACTTTTCAGTTGCCAGTATTGCCCTTCTTGACATGTACTTGCTGTTAAGCTGTGAAGCATGTGCCCTCCTGAAGGATGCACTGTTCCCCTTCACCTTTGTATCTTGCAGACTCCCTTACTCCTTGTGAGTACTTAATCATTTTTTCCAAGAGTCACTGGGAATCCCGCTGGGAATTGCTAAGAGGGAGTAGAATAAATGGTTACGACACAGACTTAAGGTCATACTGTTCATGCTGCAATCTTTTGTTTGTTTGTTTGTTTTGAGAATAAGTCTTGCTCTGTCGTCCGGGCTGGAGTGCAGTGGCACGGTCTTGGTTCACTGCTACCTCTGCCTCCTGGGTTCAAGCCGGGCTCAGCCTCCTGAGTAGCTGGGACTACAGGCGTGCATCACCACGCCCAGCTAATTTTTGTATTTTCAGTACAGATGGGGTTTCACTATGTTGGCCAAGCTGGTTTCGAACTCCTGACCTCAGGTGATCTGCCCACCTCAGCCTACCAATCATGTTGCAGTCTTAACATAGTTTTTTCCTACTGGTTTATATCCACCTGATAATGGAAATAATAAGGGTTTATACTTACCTCTAGTATGAGAGTTAAGTAAGTTAACTCATCAACAAGTGCTTTGAACAGGCAGGGGTTGAGTGAATATTGGCTATTATTGTTATTATTTAAAGGGGACAAATGCTCTAAACTTGTCTCATTTAGACTCAGGACTTAGCCCTTTGACAGAAATACCATGAGTCAGACTGCAAAATACGACACCATTGTTCTTATCCAAAGCCCGGGATGCACAGGCAATGGATGCCATCAACTGAGGAGAGCAGCAGCTTGAGAATATGGAGCCAGGCACTGCCCCTGGTTGCATATTAGCCTCACCTGGAGTACTCCAAGAGCTGTAGACCCCTAGGCTCTCCCCACAGACCAATCAAATCAGGCTCCCTGAGGTTGGTCCCAGGGATAAGTGTTTCAGAAAGCTTCCTAGGCGATTCTAATATTATAGCATTTTCAGGAACCACTGGTGCAAAACACTCTTGGAACACACTTAAAATTACTTTTAACAGTTTGGTACCGGTTTCTGGGATAAAGGTAAATAGCCATAAAGAAAAGTCATTCAGAGGAAAAGTTCTTTTCCAAGGTCATCACAATCTCAGGAAAGTATCACCATTCCTGTTTCTTCGATCTCCTCACCTGTGGCCACCACGATAAAAGGACATAGGAGGAGAGAACACATTTTCTAAATTAAGCTGAAACTTAGTGAAAAGCCTGTAGGGATCAGAGGAAAAGCCTAACTAAGCTTCTAGTCTTAGAGAATGACGAACACACTTGAACTTGCATTTTTCTGTACAGGGCTATAGACAAAGACCAAGAAACAGTTTTCTTGTCTTTGCTAAGGGAACATTTAGATAAGACATCTCAACTGAATTGACTGTTTTATTTGCCCACAATAAGCCTTTCTCAGAGCATCTTAATCCAAATGCATATCAGACCCCCGCAGTCTGTGTTCTATATGGTACAAGGCTCCTAATCCTCACGAGTCAGATTTGTCAACTTATTATTTATTATCGACCCCCCCCCCCCGGCCAAAAGCCTTTTCCAACTTTTATTCCTAATTGCTTCCCTCACCCCAAGCAACTTTACCACCACAGATAATCTGTTTTCATACTGTGGCCTTTGGAGGTTCACAGACCACTATAATATCTAAAGTTTTGTGTCCTCCCCAATTAAAAAAAAAACTATTTTTGTCCCCGTAGGGACATCATCACCCCCTTCCTGTTGAAAAAGCACAATGTAATTATTAATAAATGGCTCTGTCAGCCAAGAACATGACCTGCAGGGATTTACCTCAGAGGCAACACAAGAGTATATGCCTGCAAAGCTCAGACCAACAAACACAATCAATAATGAACTGCGCCAGATTCTAACCCGGATCCCTGCATCATGCTGCAGGGACCCACCGCCTGTTAGGACAGAACGCCTTCTTTTCAAGGAAGGTTAGAATAGAAAATTATAAAATAAAGAATGACTCTACCTATTCATTATTTCAAATGTCCTTTTACCTAATCATTCCAGGTTTTCCTGCTCATTTTCTGGGTAAATTCTCAAAATGAGAATTCTGAGTATTAATTTTGATTAGTTTTAAAATAAATGGTTTGATGACTAGAGCAGCCAACATAAGTTGGTGATATATAGCAGCCAGTAATGCAAAATGTTTTATTATTATACCAACTATAATTACTTCCATTTACATACTGCTTTACCATTTAAAAATATGTTCCCATACATTCCTATTTAAATAATGAGAAGGTGGTGAAATGATGTATGTATTCAATAATATACTTAAGAAGGCATATAATCCAGTCAAATTATTATAATTATGCTTTTAAAAGAAATGAAAAGGTCATTATACACTCTTAATTCAGACAATTTTTTGATAAACATTAAGACAATGACTTCCATTTTTACCCTTGTCTGTCAATCAAAGCCTTATGCCACTTCTTGTTCATCACAAAGCCTTGATAAAGTATCACCCTACCTCTGCTTTACGTGGGTCCCCCAAAACCCACAGCAACAGGAAAGGGAGGCTACACTTTTGGGGAGGTCAGGATGGGGAGTGCACAGGATGTCCCTGCATTTCATTTCTGAATGTTATACTCATTTATTAACATCAAATCTTCACATCAAAATCTCAAGTCACATATATAAGTGCACTGGATTGTCTGCCATTGGATAAACATGTGTGCACCTCTTCTACCTCTGCTCCAGGAACAACAAACGAGAGTACTGCAGGTTAAGTGGAATCAACTTTCATCTATGTGACTGCTCAATCAGCTGCAATCAAAATCATCTCATGCCTTTCAAGTCTAACTTTAAAAGTTATTCAAGGGCAACCAATATGGGCAGGGTCCTCTCATCATGTTCTATGTAGATGAAATCTGCAAACAGTCCAGGCTCTGCTACACTTCTTTGGGTTGAAATATAACAGGAACTAATCAGAAAGGTTATGGCAGTGTCCTCACCACTTAAGGTAAGTGTTCTCCACAGATACAGACATTCCTTCATGTAAGGGAGACCCTGCAAGGCTTCAGGGCGGAAGACATTCCTTCTGACTACATACAGGTATCTACAGATAAAAAGCAGTCTGATGTAGCTTGTATAGTTTATGTTTATGACAACTAGATAGTCTGATGGTTTCTTGTTGTCTTGTTTAGTTTTATTGCATTTTACACACTCATTGATAATACAATGAATTAGGTCAACTTCTGTTAAAAGCCGTAAGTACATACTGGAGCTACTAAAACCACTGAATTTTACACTTAAATGGGTGAATTGCATGGCATATACATTATATATCAGTAACGCTGTTTTTTTTTTTTTTTAAACCTACAGCAGTTCTTTTAATGATAAAGATCAATGGAATTCCATTCAATTAATAGCTCAGTCTAAACATAAAGGAGATTCATAGGCATTTCAAAACAGAAGAGTCCTTACTCATGTGGTTTAATGCCCTGTTTACATTACTAATGATGCTCTACCCAATACAGACCAATAATTTAGTTCAAAGTGGTCCTAAGTCAGCAGGATGCCCTCATACTCGGCAGAATAAAAGATACATCTTTCTTGGAAGACCATACCTTAAACTCTGACCTCATGTAATTCCCATAAATAAGTTACAAGGAACATGAATCCACAATCGGAAATCTTACACACATGAGAAAAAATGCCTCAGTGAGCAGGCTGTCATTAAAAACAATAAATAGAAGAATCAAAGTGAAGGACACTGAAGATTGTTGAATTATCAGATGCAGAAAAAATAAGGGAAAAGCATATGTAATATACTTAAAAATTTAAAGGGGACTTTAAAATTAAAATGAAGAGTTCTTCCATTATTCCAAGGCAGATTTTTTTTTTCTTTTTTTTTTGAGACGGAGTCTCCCTCTGTCTCCCAGGCTGGAGTGCAGTGGCGTGATCTCCACTCACTCCAAGACAGATTTGAATAAGAAAAAATTGAACTTCTAGAAATGAAAAATAGAACTTAAAGTGGCATATTAGAAACAGCTTAATAGAACACTGATACACTGCTGATAGGATTAGAAAATGGTAAAACCACTTTGGGAAGTAATTTAAAAGGTTAAGGATATGCAAGCGTATGACTCAATGATGCCACAACTAGGGATTTACTCAAGAAAAAGTAACAATTAAATCATACAAACACCTGTTCACAGCAGCTTTATTTGTAAATAGCAACAACTATAAACAATTCAAATGTGCATCAACTGGTAAATGAATATGCAAATTGTGTTACATCCTCACAGTGGAATACTACTCAGCAAAAAAGGAATGAACTATTGATATGTGCAATTACTAAAACTGAATCATTCTTTATGATGAAACACTTAGCAAATCAGCAATTAAAAGGAATGCCATGAGGGCTGGGCATGGTGGCTCATGCCTGTAATCCCAGAATTTTGGGAGGCCAAGGCCAGTGGATCACTTGAGGTCAGGAGTTCAAGACCAGCCTGGCCAACATGGTGAAATCTCTGTCTCCACTAAAAATACAAAAATTAGCCGGGCGTGGTGGCTCACGCCTGAAATCCCAGCACTTTGGGAGGCGGAGGCGGGCAGATCATGAGGTCAGGAGTTCAAGACTAGCCTGACAAACACCATGAAACCCCATCCCTACTAAAAAAGTTACAAAAAAATTAGCCGGGTGTGATGACGCGTGTCTGTAATCCCAGCTACTTGGGAGGCTGAGGCAGAAGAATTGCTTGAACCCAGGAGACAGAGGTTGCAGTGAGCCAAGATCACGCCACTGCACTCCAGCCTGGCAACAGAGCGAGACTCCGTCTCAAAAAAAAAAAAAAAGGAAAAAAAAAAAAAAGAAAGCAAAAAAATACAAAAATTAGCCAGGCATGGTGGCAGGCGCCTGTAATCCCAGCTACTAGGAGGGCTGTGGAAGGAGAATCGCTTGAACCTGGAAGGCGGAGGTTGAAGTGACCTGAGATCGCACCACTGCACTCCAGCCTGGGTGACAGTGAGACTCTATCTCAATCAATCAATAAATCAATCAATAGAATGACCTGAACCAGATAAAATGAGCCTATAGAAAAGCTACATTTGGCTGGGCATGGTGGCTCACGCCTGTAATCCCGGAATTTTGGGAGGCTGAGGTGGGTGGATCATCTGAGTTCAGGAGTTCTAGCAGTGTGGCCACACCCTGTCTCTACTAAAAATACAAAAAATTAGCTGGGCATGGTGGCGGGTGCCTGTAATCTCAGGTCCTCGGGAGACTGAAGGCAGGAGAATTGCTTGAACCCAGGAGGCAAAGGATACAGTGAGCCGAGATCACACCATTGCACTCCAGCCTTGGTGACAGAGCAAGACTGTGTCTCAAAAAAAAAAAAAAAAAAAAAAGGAAGAACATAAAGAAAAAGAAAAGCTACATTAAACATAAAGTGACCAAGCAATTCTGCTTGTCTAGCTATAAACCTAAGAGAAATACAAACATGTGTGTCCACATATAAACTTGTACATGAATGTTCATAGCAGAATTATTCACAATATCCAAAAGGTAGAAACAATCCAAATGTCCACCAACTAGTGGATTTATGTCATTAAAGTATAATTTATCCATACATACTTCTCCATATATATCTATACATACCTATATCATTAACTATGATTTATCCATACAATGGTATATTGTTTGGCAACTAAAAATAAAGTCCTTATATTTGGTACAACATCAATGAACCTTGAAAACATGATGCTAAGTGAAAAGAGCCAATAATAAAAGATCACATATGGTATGATTCCATGTATATGAAATGTACAGAATGGGCACATAGACACAGAAAGTCTAGGGTTAGAAGAAGCTTGGGGTTTCTTTTGGTGTGATGGAAATGTTCTAAAATGGACTGTGGTGATGCTTGTAAAAATCTGAGAATATATTAAAAACCATTAAATTTTATATTTAACTGGATGAATTGCATGGCATTTGATTTATATCTCAATAAAGCCTTTTTTTTCTAAAAAAAGCCCTGCAGCAGTTCTTTTAATGATAAAGATTAATGTAATTCCATTAAATAAAAAAGGTTGTCTGCTCTCCCCCATTTCTTATCAGTACAAAAAGACAAAACAAAACAAAAATTGTAAGATTTTTAGAAGAAGACACAATACAGTAATTTTCACAGATTGCTTATATAAAAACCCTAAAGAAGTCTACAAATTACTAGAGGTAATTAGCAAGTTTAGTAACTTTGCTTGGTATCAGATCAACATAAAGAATCTACTGCACTTCTATATAAAACAGAAATTCTTAGAAGATGTCTCTTTTTTAAAAAAAAGAACATTTCCAAGAGTAACAAAAACTCTGTGGAGCCTAGCAATGAGAATGAAACAACGAACAACACAAAACCTTTCTGGAAAAATGTCTAAATTTCACTGAATAACATTTGAGAAGAATTAAATGGACATCAAGTTCATGAATGAGAACACTCAAAATCATAAAGCTGTAATTCTCCCCCAATTTCTCAGAAGCAGACTACACATATGTGAAAAATTGACACAAGGCAGATATGGCATTAAAGCTTATGAGACAAATGACAGTCTGCTCAACAGCAGGTATTAGGAGAGCTACTTTACGTGAAAAAAAGAATTGAATCTATGCATCCTAACATGCGAAAAAATCAATGAAAAATAGATTAAAGATTTTAATATAGGTCAAGCACAGTGGCTCAAACCTGTACAGCACTTTCGGAGGCCGAAGTGGGTGGATCACCTGAGGTCAGGGGTTCAAGACCAGCCTGGCCAACACGGTGAAATCCCGTCTCTACTAAAAATACAAAAATTAGCGGGCATGGTGGCAGGCACCTGTAATCTCAGCTACTTAGGAAGCTGAGGCAGGAGAATTGCTTTAACCCTGGAGGCGGAGGTTGCGGTGAGCCAAGATCACGCCACCGCACTCTGGCCTGGGCGACAGTGTGAGATTCCATCTCAAAATAAATAAATAAATAAATAAATAAATAAATAAATAAATAAATAAATAAATAAAGTAAAAAGATATAGCTTTACAATTCACAGAATAAATAATGGGAAATTATTTAAATGTTGTTTTAATTCTGAAAATTGTTTAAATATGTCTTAAACAAGACTGATCAACCTAACATTAAAACCAAGCATTCTATTCATCAAAGGACACTACAGTGAAAAAAAGACACAAACTGGGGGAACATGATTCTAATACATACAACTAACAGATTAGTATTCAAATATATTCAGAATTAAAATAACTAAAATAAAAGACAAACCACCAATAGAAAAATATGCTGAAGACATGATTAGGCATTTAATCGAAGAAAAGACATGAGTAAGTGACAAGTGTATAAAAAGTGCTAATAATGCCTAAATCAGGGAAGTGCAAACTTCAAGCTCACCAGATTTGCAACAACAGCACCAAAATAATTAGGAAAATGTTAAGTTTTGCTGAATATGTGCAGCAATGGATTACATATTGCCAGTGGGAAAGTAACTTTGCACAAGTACTTTTGAAAGTTCTTTTGCATTATGGAGAGAAGTTGAGGATGTTCCAATCCTACAACCCAGTCATTTCTCTTCTGTGCCCGCCCAAGAAACCACTTGCACGCCCACACAAGGAGACTCATATGACAATGTCCCTAGCGATATATTTACAGAAGAAAACCCTGCAGACTCTGCAAATGTTCTCAGGAGAAAGTGTAAATGCCCTGTGGCATATTCAAATGACGGAGTAGGAGTCATCAGTGAAAGAAAAAAAAAATGCATGAACTACCAGCACCCACGACACCATGGGCAAATCTGCACAGAGTGCAGCAAAAAGCAAGGTGTAAAGAACACATAACATATTTATGTAAAATTCAAAATCAGGCAAACCACGTAATACTTTACTTATTAGGATGCATATGTGTGAGAAAATATAAAGAACTTCAAGGGTACAAATAAACACAAAATTGAGAAAGCTGTTTGACATAGTGGAAGAGAGACAATGAGGAGGGGGCCTAGAAGACTCTCCAACAATTACTGGTCAAATTCTACTTCTTCAACAGAGTTATAGCATTTTTTAAAACCATGAATATGCAAATACTGCATATTTGCAATAGTACATATCATAGATTTCATTATATTATGCATGCTACTATCTTAAAATATAAGATTTGTTTCTGAAAATTATATTTGTATAGCAAAATCTCAAACAAATTCTCTTTATAATTAGAGCCTTATTAATCAATGACAACATTTTAAAAATAGTCTATGATGTAGTTCAGTATAATATTTTTATTTGGAAGTATCTTATCATTGTGTCCAATTAACACCTCAGAGCTATATTTGGTTTTGTACTTTTCTGACACAAAATGTAACAATCTTCCTCAGGAACAACGAAGGAAGTTAAATCTTCCGTGTAAAGTGACAAATCCAATCCTTTAACAGAAAAACCACTCGTTTCTTTACATTTTGTTTCTTAAAATTCCCTTATTTTGTAGTTGTCAATATTTCTTTAAATGTTTTAAATATTCTGTGGAGTTTATTTCTTTATTAGTTGATTATTTATTTGTTCTGACTCCAAGATCTGCACATAAAACTAAATTCTGATTAATTTTCTTCCTCTGGAATGCTAGTTCATTAGCCAAACATAATAACTGTTTAAAATGGTCCAGTTGAAGCTTAAAATGCACTTCTGCATCCCTACCCCAAAAGGTAGTTTAACTAGAAAAGAGTTAATTTAAATTTAATTTCTTCTCTTGAATTTTGATCTTGCACTTGCTGTTTTATCTTGGTATTAATTGGCCTGTCATGCTTAGGAGGGTTAGCTTGATATATGTCTTGTTATTGATACCTAGGAAAGTATTTTTAACCAGCACAAGGTCTTGCTATCATCCCTGCTAAGGTATGCATTTAAGGTAGCATAAAGACTATAGGTTGCTTGAGGGCAGGCAGTTTTTCTTATCGGGATCTATATTTGGCGTCTGTAACATTATATACGGTGTCTGCAACATTGTGTAACACATGGTACCTCCACAATTCATGTGTTGAATGAACAAACGAATGGATGGAGGAATAAGATTTCACCCTCTTTCCCATCAGAGCAGAGGATAGCACAAACTCATACTCCTATACATTTGTCCTTGATTGGCTGACCCCAGCATCCACTCACCCCCAACAGGCAGACTCCAGATTTTAGATGCAAATCCTGGAGAATGCCATACATTTCCATAATCCCCCAAATAATAATCCCCCAAATATCCACAGGCTTTAAACACATTCAAACAATTCCAGTGTTTGGGTAACACTGAGGATTTTCTCTATTCCCACATTACTCTCTTTGGTAAAATTCTTTTCTAGTACCAGGTTACCAGGGAATTAAATGAAGCTTATTGGTAGTAGAATATAGACCCCAAAATTGTAGGGACCTTGAGCAACTATCCACCTGAGGGCAATACCATTTTCATAGTGATGAGACTGTGTCCTAAGGAGTGTGATATTTTCATGTATCACAGCTATGTTATCATACACATATTACTACATATTAATTTAAGAACATTGCTGTACTCTAGTGTTCTTTGGCAATAGCTACAATACTTGTCTTTAGCTAACTGAAGACATCATTATCATTCACTAAATAAAAGAAAGAAGGAAAGCCATAAGTAAATAATGTATCTGTAAAAATCAGGGCATTTCCTATCTATTCACGCATATAACATGTCATAAAGATGTTATATATTTCAATTAATTATTTAAGAAGAGAAAGAGCCCACATGTATGGAATACTTTCTCAGTGCCTAACACCATGCTAATTGTTTGAAAACACTTCTACATTAATGCTTATAACAGATTTCTGAGGTAACTGTTATTCTCCCGAATTTACAAATAGGTAAATGGGGTTTACCAGTATACTTTCCAATTACACATCACTAGTAATATGCAGAGCTGAGATTCAAATCTCAAAGTCTATGGTTCCAAACTCCGTTGTCTTCACCACCACCCTGGCTACTACCTCCTTAAATTAGAGCTTCAGAATTTGTTGAGCATTTATGATATGACAAGCAATACATGAGTCCAAAAGACAAAATTGAACTCTTTACCTTAAATGAGACATGTCAAAATGACGAGGACTTCCCAACAGGTGGATGCCATCATTCCCACATTAGGGAGAGAAGGTTAATTGTTAAATTTCGAGGAAAGTTGGCAGTCAATGCCTTGGACAGATCTTTTCAATAAAATCTTGCTGAGAGTCCCATTCTCAAATAAGTGCATAAGACAAAGGAATAATGTGTGACAATTTTTAAACTTCCTCAGCTCTTGAGGTACTAAACAAACAGATGTGTGAGAAGACTGGGACTTATGAATACAGCGTTACTGTCAACTAATTAGGCGACTTCTTCTCTGCCTGCTGCTAACACAGCAATCTCTGAAATTTAACATTCCATGATAGTTTCTCCTGGATAAAAGGGAATTAGAATACATTCACATAGGATGAAAATTTTTTAAAAATCAAAGGGTTCTTGTTGAAAATGGAGAATGGTTGTGGTAAAAGTTAAGCCCACAATATTGGATTAGCCTACCAAATGTTTTGTTAAATGTTTTTTTGAAGTAAGTAATAGCTTCCCAATCCTGCCCTGTGTCCTTTGACAAAAGTGAGCCTCCAGATCTTCTCAGCCCTAGCTCTGCAGCCTCTGGAAGCCCTCGTTACCTTGGGTGAAATTTTTCTGACCTACCTCCTGGGTAAGGCCACCCTCTCTAACGTGCACTGTGGAGCAGCCTCCCTGGGCTTCCATCCCTCCTCTTGGACACTCTATTGCCTACTCAGCAACGTGCAAAGTCTCTAGCTGGATGTGCAGTACGTGGCCTCTCAAAGAATGGGTATGCTCAGTCTCCATCCTTACCCAACACCAGTGTACCCCATCGGCTCCATTTCAACCATACTGATCCCAAATAGCAGTTTGTCTTTTGACTGTTCTTTCCCTCTGAGCAATGCCTTTACCCCATTTCTTTCCCTGCCAATATTTTGCATCCCTGACAAAGAAATATCCCTCTGTGAGCCATCCCCAGCACCACTTACTGGTTTTTTTTTTCACAGCAGCAACATATTTTATCATGTTTTAGCATATTTATGCTTTTTCTTTTTTCTTTTTTTTTTTTTTTTTTTTTGATAAGGGGGTCTCACTCTGTTACCCAGGCTGGAGTGCAGTGGTGTAATTATGGCTCACTGCAACCTCTTCCTCCCACCTCAGCCTCCTGAGTAGCCGGTAACTACAGATGCATGCCACCACACCCAACTATTTTTTTTTGTTTTCTTTGTTTGTTTGTTTTGAGATGGAGTTTTGCTCTTGTTACACAGGCTGGAGTGCAATGGTGCGATCTTGGCTCACTGCAACCTCTGCCTCCCAGATTCAAGTGATTCTACTGCCTCAGCCTCCCCAGTAGCTGGGATTACAGGCACCCGCCTCCACATCCAGCTAATTTTTTTGTATTTTTAGTAGGCACAAGGTTTCACCATGTTGGCCAGGCTGGTCTCCAACTACTGGCCTCAAATGATCTGCCCACCTCAGCCTCCCAAAGTGCTGGGATTACAGGTGTGAGCCACCACGCCTGGCGTTTTTCAAATTTTGGATAGAGATGAGGTTTTGCCGTGTTGCCCAGGCTGGTCTCGAACTCCTGGCCTCAAGTGATCCCCCTGGCCTCAAGTGATCCTGGCCTCAAGTGATCCCCTGCCCTTGGCCTCCCAATGTGCTGAACCCGAACCTGAGCCACCTTGCCCTGCTGCCTCTGTCTTTATTTGACAGTAAAACCCCAGAAGGCAAGAGCCACATCGTAGTCATCCCTGAAGCACAAGGATCACTTTAAGACATTAAACCCTTGGGAATACTACATAAGCATATTTTCTTTTAATGGAACCAAATATTATTTCTTAAAAGGCCCACTCCAAGGTATCCCTCAGTGTGAAACACTATTCCAGTTCCTTAGCTTTAGCTCAAGTTTTAGTCAAACTGGAAAACATTCAGACCATATGAGGCAACTTACAATATACTTATAAATTTCTTTTAAATTGTGTTCTCCCTCATATAAAGTTCATGCCTTGACCTAACAGGAGATTTCTATATTTAAAAAAAGCTAAATAAATCTATAGATAATTCATCTGCTTTCCTTGAAAGTACTAAATCTCATTACTTTTTTACTAAAGTTCAATTAATGTCCCCATCCTAAAATATTCAGATGAACAGCACCAGAGGAGACCACTGGGAAAAGCCAAGGCTCTTTGTGTGTCCTAATTTACAGGTGAGCGAAACTGAGATACAGAAATCCAAATGACTACCTTAAAGGCACGCCTTAAATGTGTCGCTGCCAAGACCACAATCTTCTAGCACTCACTGCAACACTTTCTGCTATACCCCCCTTCCTTTTCCATCCGAATAATCTGAACACTTGGAATCATGTTCATGGTGGTCAACAAGCTGTAGTCATCCCAAGATTGATGACTGACATTTCAGCTGACTTTCCTCTGAAGCACATCAAATGCTCATTGTTATTTTGTTGGCTAAAATATCACTGTTTCCAATGTTCTATAATGACCATAAACAAACAAACAAATATGAACATGCATCTTGGTAAAAGCTTTTGGACTCTCAGCATCTGAAGGAAGACAGAGTGGATATGATGGAGACACAAATGCCTTTCTACTCCTCGTCATATTTATACACTTACAGCAGGGAGAGGAATAAGCGTGCATGATTTGGGCAATCTCTTCCTCTCTTGCTGTTTGCTGTTTGAAGAGTATCTATTCAAAGAGTCACTGACTTCTATATATTAATTTATTATGCATTCCCTATTATACATATGTTATTATTGCACTATCACTCTTCTTTTTACTATCACACAATATTGAAAATCTCATCTTCAGTTCCAGCAGTGCGCATGGAGACCTATTAAGGTGGCCTGCGTGAAAGGGAAATTGATTTAAGCTTTCTTCCATCTCATCTTGTCAATTTCTGTGTGGTTGTCTAGACTATATTATGAAGGAGACAAACATGGTACTACTCTGATACATCTTTTTAGCCCACAATGAGAGGAACAATTTTATAATCTTCTGTAGAAAAATTAGAAAAGAGACTTCAATGAAAGATGTTCTGTGTATTCATCAAAAAGGGAAAATACACATGATTCACTCATAACAGTTGGTATGTGAGATGGTTTACTTACATTTCTCACTTAGCCACTGCAAATTTATAGAAGAGCATTATCCCCATTTTTATAGATGAAAGAAATAAATAAAAGATAAATTATGACTATATTTCAAGGCAAAGCTAGGAAATATCATAAAAACATAACAATGAAATTTAGCTATCATTTATGGAATTACAAACTCCATGTTTTGGATCTATGAGTCTGAAAAAGCTCTAAGAAGAAGAGAAAATATAAAGAATTTTCAACCCTAAATAAATTCATAAAGATTTCCAGTTCTCTACTGATTAGAATATTAAATTTCAAAATTCATTAGAGTTAGTTTTTGTAAAACATCTGTTTATACTGCAATTCTTCTAAATAAAATTAGTTATATTGATTGTTTTTAGATGTAAAATTAATATTAGCTTTTTGAAGTAAGATGACATTTAGGAAAGAAACCACACTTCAAAATTGATATAAAAGCATTAAGATACAGTAATTGATGTAAGAAATATGTCAAATAATTATAACCATAAAGTATTCAACCTTTCTAAGGCCCTACATCAAATTCTTTGAACAGCTGACTATTTATTATTCTCAAATAAATTTAGAACTATTATACGCTTAATATGATGACTGGTATTTTATAGACAAGAATATTAGTATAATTTGTCAATTGGCAATTTGCAAGAATTAATATGAAGGTAATTATACTAATGATAACATAAACTCTTAAGCTTTTAATTTGCATAAAAATAAATCTCAAAAATATATTTTGATGAAGAATCTCAAAACAACTATAATCACTGCAGTGTATGGAAAGGAAAAGAAGCAGAATATCAGTTCAAGAATGTTCGCATCCCTAGGGTGAAAACAGACGAGAGACATTTAGGTGACTATTTACAACACAATTCAAGATACTGTGTTAGACAGAAGGACAGCCTTGTGGTGTGACATTTGAATGCATGTGCTTGGGGAGTACAGATGCCTAGATTCGGAAATCAATGTCTAGACACCATTGAATCTATAGAAAGTGATTTTTTTTCTCTATATCTCAATGTTCTATCTACAAAATAAAAACAATAAGACTTTAAAGGGTTAACGAGGATGACATGGTATAATCTATCTAACCCATTTAATTTTGTGTCTGGCCTAGGGAAACTGCTCAATAAACTCTGCAATTATTATTATTAAAATTATTAGTCATTACTATTGTTAGAACTACTATCATCCTTTTCTTAAGATCAGAGTGAAAGTATGAGACTAAATCAACCATAGTTCCACATTCGGAGGACATCAAGCTATCTGGCCCTGGAATCCAAGATACCACGTTAACAAGTAGATATTTTCATGAAAATTAACTATGATGAATATCAAAATGTAATATTATGACCTAGCAAGATCAGAATAATATATACTATTTAATGTACTGTATAAATCAATTATATATATAAATATATCTACATATATAATACATATAAAATGTACATAACATAAAAAAATGAATAATACAATAGATAATATGTATACTGGAAGATATAAACATAGAAATACTTAAGATTAATAAGACTGGTGATACTGCCAAACAATACCAATGAGATAAGAACAGTAATAAAATCACTGTATGTTCATTCGTCTGTTCATTCATTTATTCATTCCGCACTGATTAAATAAATGAATACAGTATTAGTTGCTGTGTGCTGGCCACTGGTTTCGCATATGCTTGTCATCCCCGTCCTGGAGAAATTACTTATAGACTAGCCAAGGAAATGGAAGAGAAACAGACACCTAGTTCTAGCAGTTGACAAGGCTCAGCAAAGCCTTAGTATGGGAGGCAGCAGCTTTAATCCAGTTTGTGTATTTTGCTTCAGGATTAGGAGATCAAAGAAAACTGGGGTACTATATAGACATGGCTCAGTAGAGTGGCCTTGGACTCTTGGCTAGATGAGAAAGTCTCAGAGCACTAGTGACTACAAAAAAAGAGAGGTTTAGAGGAATAAGAGCTTCCCTGTTAAAGAAGCAACGGCTGTAAATGCTCCTGCTATTCGGGAGGAGAAAGAGAATGAAAACCTGACCAGAAATTTGATGGTGCTTGGGAAGCATGGAGATGAATCTTGAGGACCCAAAAAGTATTTTAGAATATCCCTCCTGCTTTATGAGGAAAAAGGAAAGACTATAAGAAGGAATCTTAGAGGAACAATCTCAGCATTAAAAGGCAAACTACATGAGGTTAGAATTAAAATAAAAAAAAACAGAAATAATGTGAAAGAATAAAGGGGTTATGACAAGAAGAACAATGATTCATAAGGAGATTTTTGAATTAGGAATATTTGTGAGGGAAGGTTCTGCTCTGGAATTTAAATTGGAAGAAAACAAAGACAGAAAAACTTGGAAAAAAACAAAATTGGCAATGCTGAGAAGTCTCCAAAATATGTCTATAGTCCCTCTAATTTGTTCTTCTGGTTTTGTAGTGAAGCAGACACTCTCAAAGACTTTGGAAATGACTACTGCAATGTTAATTCTGAATGACAATTCAATAAACTAATTGTCTTGTTTAAATAAATCAGTACAACTTTATTGGAGCAGTAATAATTTAGCCTCATGAGAAATGGTTTTTTTCCTAGCATGGAAACTAACAATTACTCCCTAACTTTGAAATAGAAATTATATTTAATAAAAAATTTCCAAAAAAATGATCCAAAAGCAATCTAACTTTTTTTTTCCACCTGGCAAATGTGTACTCGCTGTGGTAAGGATATAAATTCCTATGGCTATGGTTGGTAAACAGTAAAAAGCATATTCTTCAATATATAAGATGTCTGGTTTCCAAAAATAAATATTTTGGCAAATTGATTATTTATTTAAGCAAGAATAAATCAAATTATTTCAATATTGTATCCTGCAGAAGATAATGAAACTATAAAATGTCTTACTTTGTGAAACAATTATATTCCTATATTATTTATTTCCTCATGAAAATTCACATTTATCATGCTTTTGAAGAAATAAATTTTATTCTCACAAAATGTATGTGACCACTGGCTTCTGTTTCTTCACTAAATACTGTTAACTATTAATATATTAACTGGAAATCAGCATCTTCTCTAAAATAAGTCTGACTTTTTTTGCATATGTGGAAAAGATTTTTAGACTCTAGTTATAGAACTGTTGGCATTTGGGCTCATGAAATTTAGCTAATAAAGAGAATGGCCTTTGATAGTATTTATAACACGTATTCCTTTTGCCCCCTAATATCCAAAGTATGGCAGACTTTGTTGGAAACCTCTCTTTGCAAAAGTTCAATAGTTCAAAGGTGGGAAGAAAAGAAAGCACTTCCTTATGTGGAGCAAGCAACTGTTAATATTTATTACGTTTTATCCTTTTAGGTGTAGCTAACAACATCAACATCTTGGGAATCTATATAATAAAAATGGTGGGGTTAAAGATGATTGCTTTATTTAGTTGTCCTTATTCTATAGTAAACCATCACTCCACTCCAGATTCAAATTCTACCACTTCTCAGAATCAAAGCTACAGATTAGCTTTTGAGTACGAATGCATGCATATATGCCTGAAAAATAAAATAGGGTATATATATTAAACTTTTGAAGGGAATAAATATTGTCACAGAATAAAATTTATTTTCTCTCAAAAACTTTAATAATTCAGCTTTTTGTAATATATATCTAACATGACCGATTACAAAGCATTGTATTACTTTTCTATCATGCATAACCAATCACCAACAGCAACGTTCACTGTTTCAGCTAACAGTTTTATAAGTTTTGTCAAGTCAGACTTGGCAGGCAAGTCAGACTTGTAAAACTCTGTTTGGAGTTTTACAAGGCTATCATCAAAATTTCTCAAGGGCTACTTTCTCTTCTGCAGGTTCTGGGGAATCATCCCCTTTCAAGTTCATGCAAGTTATTACCTGAATTCAATTCTTTGGGCCATCAGATCGAGGTTCTGGTTTTCTTGCAGGTTGTGAGTTCAGGATCCTCCTCAGCATGTAAATGCCATCTGCATTACTAGCCCACAAAGCCCCTCCGTCTTCAAAGCCAGCACCAGATAATTTATCTTGTGTCAAAACTCTCTAGCTTCGAATTGAATTTTCTGAATTTTCCTTTGTCTCTGACCTCCAGACCCAGATTTAAAGGACTTGTGTGATTAGGTCACACCCACCCAGATAATCTACCTTTCTTAAAGTCAACCATGCTATATAAAATAACCTAATTAGGAGAGTGAGGCCCCTTCATATTTACATTCCTAGGATTATACAGTCTGCGAAAACCAACTGATGACGGGAATCTTGCTGGACACCTTAGAATTCTGCCTACCTCAAGCAGCAACGAATTTTCTTCCACCTAATAATCCTTGGAACCATGCTGGGAATGAGGGAGTTATTGAAGAGACATACACATTTGGAATCTCTTGATAATCCAGGAGGGAATTAGCCTAGCGGAAAATTCCAAAGAACGGTTCATTTTCTTTAGGAAGGGCACAGGTTGCTGCCCATTGGCAAAAATATTAAGAGGTGATTTCCAAAAAAGACAGAGGAATTATTTCAATAATTAACAAAGGGGGAGGTGACTGAAATCCATAAATCTAGAAATCCATAGCGAAGTTGGTTAGTTTCAGAAACAATGTTTAATGGAAAATGGTACAAATCTCAAGACTACATTTTGGAAATTTTCAGTCATCATTTAGTCAATCAATAAGCATTTACTGGGGAAAAGTTCCATGGCAGGTACCATCTTGGTGCAGGGGATACAGGAAAGAACATGTCAAGGTCACGTACAGAAAGGGCTCACAGTCAAGGGAAAGAGACATTTACCTAAATGCAGATAATGGTAATACTTTGGCTGTGAGAAACACGTGTGTGTGTGTGTGTGTGTGTGTGTGTGTGTGTGTGTGTGACACACAAGGTCTCACTCTGTTGCCCAGGCTGGAGTGCAGTGGCACAATCTTAGCTCACAGCAGCCTTGACCTCTCCGACTCAAGTGATCTTCCCAACTTAGCCTCCAGCGTAGCTGGAACTACAGGAGAGCATCACCACTCAAGGCTAATTTTTTGTATTTTTTTTTGTAGAGATGGAGTTTCACCATGTTGCCCAGGCTAGTCTCGCACTCCTGGGCTGAAACAATCCACCTGCTTTGGTCTCCCAAAGTGCTGGGATTACAGGTGTAAGCCACTGGCCTGTGAGAATATATTGGTAGGTATACACAGGTGCTGGGTGGGGCCCAGGTTGTCAGGATCAGGGTCAACCTATAGCTTTGAGTGCAAGAACATGGAGTTTGGAACCTGTGACTGAGGTCTCGATCTCAGCTATGCACTTACTGTCTATGTGGCATTGTGAAGATATTTAACATCTAAGCCTGTTTCCTCATCTATATGACGTGAGAATACTTACCTTGCAAGTGGTCGTGTAGACTAAGTAGGTAACACGTAATTGGGAGCTGTTAGGTTCTACACTAGCACCACTACCACCCCCTTTTCTGGCTACCAAATGTATATTTGGTTTGGGCATCATTGTGCAAAACCATTGCAGAGGAGTCTGGAATTTACAAGATCCCCCAGGGTATGGCTGGCCAAGTGAGGCCCTCTGGGAAACATTTTTCCTATATTTTCATATATCATTAATTATAGAATTAATATACTATATACCTTTATATTTGTATGTGTATATATTTATACACGTGTGTGGGTGGGATTGTGGAAGACAGACAGATAGGATGTAAGTCCCTTCCCTCCTTTCCAGTTCTACATGCTCACAAGTGAGACTGTGGTGCCTTACAACCATCAGGTGAATGCTTGGGAATCAGAGACGTTGACTTAGGGTCATGGCACCATTGAGACATCTAAAGAAAAGAACCCTGTCTACCTTGAGGCTTCATGTTAACTAAGGCTGAGACAATAAATGTTTCCACTGCTCTACTCCATTTTAGTCCAATATTCTATGCTCTCCACTTATACCACATAAAATGAATTTAGCACGACGCTTTAAACTGTGATCCCTTCAATAGTAAAATGGTTGTTGTTCTATCTTCTATACCTAGGTCTTACCTGGAGGATTCACAAGGGTCAGAGCACCCCAAGTCTCCATGCTATGATATCTTGCCTGCTTGCCCAGCCTTCTGAGACGCTTCTCCCCAGCCTCCTGAGATCCTTCTCCCCATTGGAGCCTTCCAGGAGTAGCTGGAGGGTGCACAAGGGCATGGTGCATATAATCAGAACTGCCACCTGCTTCTCTGCAGCTTGCTGTTGTCACCATCTTTCTCCTTCAGTGGGGGCTGTGGCTCTGCTGTCCTTGGGCTACAGTCCACATCCTCACTGCTGGACAACTGACAAGTAAAGTTCCTTCCCTCTACGGCCTTCTGACGCCCAGTGCCAGCTCTGCTAGAGAAGTTACCTCAGCAAAGCCCTGAGACTACCAGTGACCTGGCTGCAGAGGCCATCTGCAGGGATGGTCACCCTCACGCTGTGTCTGATTCCCCTGCCCCTTGCAGCCTCCACCTGCTTTGTTCAATGTGGCCCACATTGCCAGACTCCTCCACGTCCTTGCAAGGATCCATTCTTCCTGCCTTGCTCTGCTGTGGCTTCCTAATTGACGAAGTGGAGACAATGATGACACTTAACTGAAAGGGTTACCATAAGCATGAAATGAGGCAACATGTACAATTCTTCAAAGAGTACTAGCCCTCAGGAAAAACTCAGGAACTGCTGGCCTCACTCTTTATAATTGTTATTATTGTCATAAATCATCATCATTTTCATCAGCATAAGTCTTCTAAGAGTTATGTGTCATTTAGGAGCAGTCCATAGATAGATCTAACTGTTGGTCACACTCCTCATAATTGTTGCTATTGTCATAAATTACCCTGATCGTCAATCACAAGTCTTTCCAGAGTCAAGTCCCCTTTAGGAGATGTTCATAAGAGTGGTCCAACTGTGATTTGAATTCCATTTCTCTACCATTATGTTACTGATGCCTATGGAAATCAAGGAATATGTATAGGTACCTATTAGGTGCCCTTAAATTTTCATCAACACTTGGAGAAATCCCTACCCATTCTTTGACTGAAGGTTAAAATATTCTGTGGTAGGGCACTTATGGTAAAGTCAATGGAGTGATAGCCCCAACCCTTCTCCAACACTTTGTGAAGTTACAACCACTGCCAACAGTCCAGTGAGAAGAACAGAACAGAGAAACAGTCCAGTCTGTGCTGATCGAGAAGACATTCAGAAGGATATGAGCCCTGAGGTGGGTCACTAGATCCATAGGCAGAGGTAACCATGCTAAAGAGGGAGGATATTCTAGGAAGAAAGCATCATAGGCTCTGAGATGAGAAATCATCATGCATTCATAGAACTGCAGAAGTGGGGAAGGATCCTTCACAGACATGGTTCTGGTTTATGTATCCTGCAGATCTAACTCACGCCGTGTAGAGGATGGACTTGGGCTGAATACAGACAGAGGGATGAGTCTGAATGCTGTTATAAGGTTAACGGAGAGTATGACAAGGGCAGGTACTCAGGCAGGTCTCCAGGCAGGAGCCTCAACCTGGACGAGGACTGGATGGCTCATTAAGCTGCCGGATAACACCTCATTGACAGGCCTACAGCCTCAGGAATGGGCCTTGGGCTGAGCATGAGCCAGATCATTGTACTGGCCAGAGGTTAGGGCTGGCTACTACCAAGAGGGACTTGATTATCATCTTAAATAAAGCAGGACTTGATCATGACCCTTCATAAAAAAGCATCATCTGTATAGTGTTCCTGCCTCAGGTCTGCATAGTTCTTGGGAATCATGAAGAAAATATGAAACCAAAATCTCTATTTGTGGGAAAGATGAAGAATCCAACAGCTTTTTGATCTGAAAATAGGTTCTGGGTGAGGAAAGCCAAGACAGAAATGAGATAAGGTACAAAGTAAACCTTTAGCTCTAATAAAAAGCACCAATAACTTCTTTCCAGATGACTCAGAACCCTTAGACAATCACTAAACAGTCTGAATTCTGGAAACTATGATATGCATTTGGATGTTTAGGAAAGTCTGTGAAGAGATTAAGAGAACACAATGTTCCCATTTGCAGGGAGTTATAACCTACAGAGGTAGATGCAGAAGCTGATCTGCTGCAACAATAAAGATCTCCAGATTGCTTGTCCCGCAAATTCCTAGCATCCTCCTGTACTATTGGATGGACTGTTAGGAAGTTGACTTGTATTACAAATGCATACTGATAATTTTTTTTTAAAGTTGAAATGTTGATGTGACTACCTGAAAAGAGATCTTTGGCTGGGTACAGTGGCTCATGCCTGTAGTCCCAGCACTTTGTGGGGTCAAGGCAGGCAGATCACTTGAGGTCAGGAGTTCGAGACCAGCCTGGCCAACATGGTGAAACCCTGTCTCTACCTAAAATATTTTTAAAAATTAGCTGAGTGTTATGGTGCACATCTGTAATCCCAGCTACTCAGGAGGCTGAGGCAGGAGAATCCCTTGAACCCAGGAGGGGGAGGCTGCAGTAAGCCGAGATCGTGCCACAGTTGCACTCCAGCCTGGGTGACAGAGCAAGACTACATCTCAAAAAAAAAAGAGAGAGAGATCTTGGGAATCAGATAGGTGCAATTCCTACCACCATTAAAGTCAGAGTAAAACTGAAGTATATTTATTAGTCATTTCTACCTCTTATATACAAATATGTCTGGCAGTTGTGACTTGATTTTGTTTCTTTTCTCCTAAGAAACTCTTTTACTCACTCGCTAGTATCATTAAGAGGTATGAATCAACATCGAAATTACCAGACTTTTAAAATAGCCCTCTTTTTTTAAAAAAAAGTTGACGTTCTATTTTTGTTTAAATATCCCTTTTGATGTGCTAACTAGGTTAGTCTATCACCTTTAATGAAAACTTGAATTTCTAAAGGTGCATTTCTAAAGCCAAGAAAACAAGTAGGTTATGACAAACAAACAAACAGTGGAAGTGATGCTATGCATCAACTGTTCTCCAGAGAAGTATCAATAAATTGCTTGTAGTTATACAAATGCAGATGCATACATTAGAGATTTCCAAAATACAAAATAATTAAGCTTGATGAAGACTGATATTATATATGGCAAAGGGAAATATTTAGGCAGTGTCATCTTCACTCAACACTATTATTTAGTACAGATTTAAGACAGATTTATTGATTATATATCATAAGCTGTAAGCTAGACATACAAGACACAGTGTAAAGAACCAAAAGTTGTCATGGTATCATTTTTCTGTCTACCTTGGAATTAACTGATGTATTTTATTCAAGACACTTTGGATGTAATAAATGAAATCAACTTGAGATGAATCAAATCAAATGAGGAAAGAGGACAGGTTTTAAGAAGGTATCAGGTAATGTCATGAATGCAACATACATGAAACGTACATTAGGCAGCCAGTCCTAATGAAAACTATACGGCTCTCACTGACTTTCAGGGCCATATGGCTTCTCTGTTTTGGGAGGCTCACTGTTACCACAGAGTCCTCCACTAGCACACAAGCCACTATGGCCACCATTGCCAAGCACCCACTATTGTATGTCACAGATTTTGGCTTGCTTATTTCATATCCTCCAGAGTAAGAGCCCATATACTCACAGTCTGGTCAGGTCCATTTACAATACAACCAGGAATTGGAAATTGATTCACAGGTTACTAAACAGTTCCCTAGACCCATTCCTATCAGGGGCTGGAGTTGCATGAAACCATGTAAAAGGTATACAACATGGGAAAATGTCACACAGAAATATCAGGAACATGAACTGAAAAGGTAAACAGACCAATAGTGAAACAAGAGGCTTCAAAGCCAACTCGACATCAAGTCAATGGTGCATATGGACCTATAAAATCTGGCAGGCTTAGCTTTTCAAGTGTTCAGCTTTAATAGGAAGCTCTTCATGTATATAAAATTAGATGGAGTAAAGCAAAAATACACTTAAAATTATTATTTTTCTCTCTCCCTAAATTCACCACCTTCAATTAGTCCAACTTATAAAACCAACTTCAAGTGAATACAGTTTACTTTTTGTTTTCATTATCCATCCTGCTTTGGTTAATCTGGATGTTTAGGCAAGTCTGTGATGAGTTTAATACACCATGATGTACGTATTTGCAGCAACATATACATTTGGATGCAGAAGCAGATGCTTTCACATATCCTAAATAAGGTTTTATAATGGAAAATAATATTCCATCCACGTGGTTAACCCCGCTTAACAACAGAGAGTGCAGTGCTTTCTATTTAAAGAAAAAAAAAACACTAAGCAATGTTAAAAAGTTTAACAGCATGTGACTCCAATACGAAATGCTGCAATTACAAAGTTATACTCTTACAAATATAAAGTATTTTGGAACAATGAATACAAAGACATTTTTATTCTTTTGTGGCAGCAGGTAGCTAAGAGTCAACCAAACTCATGTTCCTACTTCTGCAGAGTGGCTGCTGACCCCAGGACTCTGCCCCACTTCCATCGATGAGAGGTCATGTGACTGAAATTCACTAATGAACTCTGAGTGCAGTGATGCAATTGATGATGCAATTCAGGATGGAGCCATAGGGGATGGCAAGGTCATCAAGTTAGAAAGAGGGCGTGAGTCACTATATGGAGAAGAAGTAGGCTTAGTTGGCTACCTTAGAGAGAAACAAACTACTATTGTGTTAAGTTCACTGCAGTATTCACTGCAGTTTATTTGCCATAGCAGCCTTGGTTTTCTCCCTAAAAATGTAGTAGAGTGCCAAAAACACACCATCTAACAAGAGCGTTTTTGAGAAATGGAAGTTAAGCCTTATGTCTCTTTCACACACACATGCACACATACACTTACATTTTCATATACGAAAGCCTGGTTCTAAGGAGGATAATTTTATTTTGTGGTCAAGTGGCTAAAAAGTTATAGGCTTTAAAAAATATATATTTCATAATCTCAAACTAATCACTAATTGAATAATCATTTATGTTTATGAATGAGGAAATATTTTTACACATGGGGAACTGCACGTGTGGTTGATCTTCAAGGGGCAATTTCATAACTTAGCATTATGTATTAGCAAAAACAATACTGGTTCCACCAGAATGTTCTCACTTTTATTTCAGGAACCTGGAGCTCTGGATCATTTACGAAAAAAAAAAAAAGTCCCAAACTCGGAGACTGTGACTTGGCATCTCCTGATTTCCAGCAAGCTGGCTGAATGCAAAGCCTTCCTTTGTGTAAAATTACGTATAATTTGCATTCAGGGCAGGCATTAATTTTGTTAAAAGAGTTTCAAATACAAATCAGGACATTTTGGACACCTTTTGAACATCTTAAATCAGGTCAGTTACAATTTCTTTCCAACGTTTGACTGAATGTTCCAATTCCACCACCGGGTTGGAAAGAAGAGAAACATCACGATTTACTTGCAGGGGCAACTCAAAGCACAGACAATGAACAGAGCGGCGCTAGTACCTCATGCTGCTCATGCTGCCAGTCTCGGATCCGAGCTTGCATCGCTCCAGCTGGCTGGCTACGATCTGCCGTTCAGCCTCCAGCTCTCGGGTCAGCCTTTCAAACTGTAATTCCTGAAAGAAACCCATCAACAAGATCAATTCAATCATCTACATGACAGGTGAAATTCAGACCAAAATAATAGGACGGCTGAGGGAGAAAAATATGATTTTCCAAGATGTCAAATTTGAGAAATGTGCAATAAAACTAGGATTCGAAGGTTAGACAGGCTTGTGGCCCACTGGCCATGCAACTTTGAATAAGTTAATTCATGTAAGTATCAGTTTCATCATTTGTAAAACAGACTTAAATACTTATTTAATAAGATGGATATGAGGATTAAAGGAGATACTGTCATGAAAAATTATCCTGTGCTATCTTTGGCAGACGGTCAGCACCCAACAGGTACCAATACTCCTGATACCACAAGTATAGCATTTAATGAGAAAAAGAGTTCAGTTTTTAATTATCTTTTGGAGTTTTGTGTTTATTCCCTACTGGCCTTCTGGCCAACTCTATAGTGTTTACTGCTTTCTTCATATTACTTATATATTGTAGATTGAAGAAAATAATGCTTTATAACCCACACTCTTCATAACTTTGCATTCCAGCAGAATGACAATGATACCAATTCTACACAGCCTCATTACTAAGTACATAACCTTTGAGATATTTGATATATCGCCTTAAAAACAGACAATTGAACCAATGAAAAATGCTTCTACAAAACTGCCTCAAATCCACTGTTGAAAACTTTAATGAATGATTCAATCAGTACTTCAAAAATCTCAGCTGTTCCAACAACAGGATTTTGTACCATATTTTACTACTGATGTTTTCTTTCCTCATACACTTAAGTTTTTTTAAAAATGAAAATAACCAGAGCAAATCATGTATTTTAATAAGGAATGGCAGGGAAAGTTTTTACAATGTCACATTTAATACCTTTTAAAAATAAATTATCTAAACAGTTATGTTTTGGGGATAAGAAACAAGAATGCTTTCTCATACTGAAAAATAGCTCAGGAGTCAGTTTTGGAGAATTTAAACTCAAAAGGTTGCAGGGATATATCTTTCCAGAAAATAAGATTTTATTTACTTGCTACCCCAGGACACTCTTGCATGAGGTCTTTAAAAAGTAGAATCTGGTGTGTCCCCTATATACATTAAAAATATCCTGGCTCTTTTCCATAGGTGCACATTTTAATATTGACATTATTTTGGGAAACAAAGTAAAAGACACTTTGTAAATGAGAGCTTAATTTTCCCTTTAAGGTGCTGAAACTGAGGGAACATTTTGTTTTTTAACCTCAAACTTTTATTCTTACATATTCTGAAGGGCATCAAAGTATTATAGTTAAGAAATTAACAAGATCTCGGCTGAATGTATTTTATGCATCTAACTTCTTCTTCTCTCTTAAAGTCCTACTGCTTTTTTTTCTTTCTGGAAATCCCTTTTCATAATATCCAACTTTTAGAAGATTTTTTCACTTCTAGACTTCTTAACGTATTGCATCTTAAATCTCTCTGTGAAACAGGAAACTCACCCATACTTTTAAGTTGATAACACTTTTAAAAACATAATACTTGAAGACCATACAGAACTCCTCACATGTCGATGGAAATTCATTCTTTGTAGCATCTAAAGTACTTTGATTTGCTGCCCACTTTCCTGTGTTACCGAAGTTCAACATGGTGAAACAGTGCAGTATTTGGAGTCAGAATTCATCAACCAGGGGCTTCCGCTAGGACGGATGTTGCTCTTGGTCATCCCCGCTTCAGGTGGTGACTTCTCCATGGTTTCACCTCTTGTCAGTCTCACAGGAGGGGTGACAATGGGAGATGACTTTCTCGTTTGCAAGCTTCCTTCCCAGCACGCAGTCAGATTTTCCAAGACTCTTCATCCATTCATGTAGATCTGTATTTGCATCTGGCTTTATTTTCCTTCCCTCTGAAAGAACAACCTTAGAGTTGTTATTATGGTGCAGTTCTTTGGGTAAAGAAGTCTTCCAGCTTGACAGGCCTTCAAAAGGTATATATGTGGTTCTCATTTTGGAAGACGTTTTTGCTCTGTCATCCTCTTGTTTGCACTGTTTCTAACACCACCACCACCACAAAATACAGTTACCCTTAAATTTATTTCTCTATATGTCTATAGTGTTTATTTTGTATTTTTTTATTTTTTTTTTAATTGAGATGGAGTCTCGCTCTGTCGTCCAGGTTGGAGTGCAGTGGCACGATCTCTGCTCAGTATATAGTGTTTCTTTTTAATTTTTCTCTGCTTTTAAGATTTTCTCTTTACCAGAAGCACTGGGCAATTTGATGATTATGTTGCTTGGTGTAGTTTTCTTCATGTTTCTTATGCCTGGGTTATTCAGCTTGGATATCTGGCTTTATAGATTCCAGCATATCTGAACATTTTAGGCCATTATTTCTTTATGAATTGTTTTTCTGTTCTCCATTATTTCCTTTCCTTCAATGACTCCAATTAAGTGCATTTTAGGCCACTTGGAATTGTCCCACAGTTCATGGATTCTCTTGCAATTCAATTTTTTTTTTCCTTTTGTGTTTAATTTGGGTAGTTTCTATTGTTGACTTCAAGTTAACTAAGCTTTGCTTCTGCAATGCTTAACCTACCATTTATCCCATCCAGTGTATTTTTATATCAGACACTGATGAATCAAACATCTCTAAAAATTTCATTTGGGTCTTTTTTGTATCATTCATGACTTTATTTAACTTTTTGCACATGTTGATTATACCTATATTAATTATCCTTTTTGTTAATTCTAACATCTGTGCTAGTTTCAGCTGATTGACTTTTTTCTCCTCAATCTGGGTCATATCTTCTGCTCCTCTAGACATGTAATCATCTTTCAACACAGACATTTTCATTTTACTTCTTGGGTTCTGGATAGGTTTGTATTCCTATAATTGTCTTCAGCTCTTTTATGAAGCACATTAAGTTATGTGAAAGCAATTTGATACTTTTGAGCCTTGCTTTTTAGATTTGTTAGGGGGAGCAGAACAGCATGTAGTCTAGGGCTAATCATCCTGCCCTATGAAGGCAAGACACTTCTGAGCCCCAACTCAATGCCCCATGGACTATGGGTTCTCCCAGCTTGGCTGGTGGGTGCTGGCAAACATTCCCACCTCTGTGTGAGTACCAGGCACAGTTTCCTCACATCCTTTCAGATGGTTCTTTCCCTGGTCTCTGCTAGTTTCCTTACATACATGGGCTGCTAAGTTGTTTGCTGAATATGAGAAAGGGCACCTTGCCTTTCTGATATTTGGACCCATGAACTCCCTGGACTCTCAGCACTGTCTTAACTACTGAGACCCTGCTAGGCTTCCTCCTTTCTGCACTGCTGTGTGGAAACTCTCTCAAGGCAATCATTTCCTACCTTACCCCAAGCCAAGGGTCTATGGCTTACAGGGAAAACTGTTTGGGCCTTGCCACACCACTGAGGCTAGGATCTGTCAAGATGTAACCACCCTGAACTGGAATGGTATTCTCTTTGGAGTTGATAACTGAGCTTGTGAATGGAAACAAGAAGAGCTAGAATGGAGGTTCTCTAACTTGGAAAGACTGACTGATTTTTCAACTGAGGATTAATTTTTCTCCTTGGTATAGACATTTTTGTGGCCCAAAGGCATCTAGAGAAGACACAGCATTTTCACAAGAATGGATGAGATTCTTTTGCACTGGAGGATACTTAAACTGTGGGGTAAATGGAAAGATGACATTATCCATCTCTAACACAGTTTGGGGTTTGAGGGAGGACAGACCTCTCAGGAATGAATAAGCTGCTGAGTTTCTTGGAAAATTTGAGATGAAACAGCATTCAAGAGAGGGATGTTGCTAATAAGGGCAGGTGAGTATACAAGAAGTTAACTGGAAAATTAGAACTATGTGAATATATTTACTGAAACTTGTAATTCTGGTTATAAGTAAATATGTAGTACTAAACTAATTCAGCAAAAGTGAGACTGTCAAGAAAGAAGAAATATCTCTAAAGATTATCTAGATTTGCAGAATAGAAGAAACAATAGAAGCCAAGATAATAAATAGAAGAGTAATTCTGGGGTAAAGGATCACTAGTATGGCCTTCTCCTGGGTAATTCTGGTGGAGATGTGGTGATGTAAATCAGGCTGCATAAAATGTAATACAGAGACTGCCCAGAGACATTAAGATTTCATGGGAATTTAGAGTACCTGGTGGTTTAGAGAGGACATCCAATGGTAAAAGAAGTTATAAGAAAAAGCAGAGCAGTGTTAGAAAGCCTAAATCTCCCCACTATGTGGAAATCAACTTATGTAAGAGATCATAAATATTCATAAAAGTATTGGAGATATGATGCAAAAGTTCATTAAAATGTACAAAGAACCAGATTTAAATGGTTTCATCCTAGAATAGCACATTATTGAACCATATAATACATTAGGATTATTATAAGAAAAATTATCAAACATTTTATAACTTTTCCTAAACAGCCTAAATTAATGATTTATTTGGTTTAATTAAATGGAGTTTATTAAATGTTTTTAAGTAGATAAAAGCATGTAAAGTCTCTTGGGGGGACTTAGCTAACTTAGTATGAAAACTGAAATCAGAAAACTCATCGCCATAGTTTCATTACTTCCCTCAATAAATATGTTACTTAACTTTGTGGTATAGCATTAGTTGGGATGGTATCATCCAGATTTAAGGAAGTATAAAAATGGACAATTGTTAAGTCTTAACAATATTGAGGCTTCTTCATTTCTATGGTCTAAATGCCTGTGTCTCCATCCCCTGCCCAAGATTCACATGTTGAAATGCTATCCCTCAAGATGAGGGTATTAGGAGTTAGGGCCTTTGGGAGGTGACTAGATGAACCAGGAAGTGGGCCCTCACCAGACACCAAATCTGCCTGCACCATGATCTTGTGTTTCCCAGTCTCCAGAACTGTAAGAAATGTTTCAGCTATTTATAAGCAATGCAATTTATGGTATTTGGTTATAGCAACCTAAACAGCCTAAGACAAGATGCACATACTATTTTTTGCACAGTTTCATTTCCATTCACATACAACATTTTGTTTTCCCTAAGTTAAGAACTTGGAGTTTTTTGTTCCTTTGCTCAGTTGTCTATGGACTTATCAAACCCCAAACTCCTCCGATTTGTATAAAACTTCTCTTCACACAAACATATGAAATAATATGTCAACTACTGAAGAAATCTCTCCTGGAGTTTTTGACCTGCTCCAATCTGGCCTGGCTGCCTTCTTTGCACAGCTGTCTTCTGGGATCTCTCTCCATCTTCAGGCGGGAGATTTCCTTTGTCCCTCTCTTCCGTGGATTCCTGTCTCCTCTATGAGTTGTCTTCTTCATTCTCCTACTTTATTTCCTTTTCTGGTAGAAAATGTCTTTCCAGATACACAGAGATAGAGAGAATGAATGAGAGGTATTATGTTCTGACACTTTGCACATCTTTATATGTTTTTATTCTACTCTCACACTTAGTGAATAATAGGACTTAGTAAAGAAATAGAGAATTCTAGGTTGGAAATCATTTTCCTTCAGGGTTTTGAGACAGTGATTTTTTGCTTCATTATCTTCTACTCTCCAATGTTGCTGTTGAGAAGTGTGAAAACTTTCAGAGGTTTTCTTTTCTTTTTTCTTTTTTTTTTATGAAATCTGCTTTCACTTTCTCCCAGAAAACATGTTGTATGTGGTGACATATCTTGATATACCTCTATTTTTAGACATGTTTGCTGGATATTTTGTGATCTATTTATTTAGGGATCTTTCGATCAAAAACCTATTGTTTATTCTAAGCAATTCTTTTGAAAATTTTTAATGCTTTTCTCCTCCTTTTTAACATTACTCTTGCTTTTTCTTCAACTCTCATTATTCAGATGCTAAAATCTAGTCCTCAAGGTTTCTTCCTTTAGTCTTCTTCTCTTGTATTATTCTGTTTCTTTATCTTCTGTTTTACTTTCTGAAAAGTTTTATCAATTTAATCATGTAAGTCTCTAATGAATAATTCATTGCTATTATTATGCTTTTAATTTCTCGGAGCTAGTTTTTATTCTCTGAATATTTCTTTTAATTTGCATCTGGTATTTATTCTATGGATGTAAAATCATCTCTCTTCTTTCTCCACAGTATTAATGTGGTCATGTTTGTTTTCTTCTCTCTGCATAGTTCCTATTTTATGATTTTTCTGTTTGTTTTAAATATGTATTTTTGAAGGTATCTCAACTTCCCTGGCAGTCTGCTCATATGTGACTGTTGGGGTGAAAGAGCTGACACTTGTATGAGCGCCAGCATGAGTGAGGCTTGTTAGCTGTGCCTTCCAGGAGAACCACTGTGTGCAGAACATCATGCAGAATCCCCTGAAAAGGCTCTTCCTAGCTCCAGCTTTGTGCATAAACATTTGCCTGCTCTTTTTCCGCAAAGCTAAGCAAGATTGAGGAGGGGTGGGTCTCAAAATTTAGCAAGTAAAACTGTATTCAATACCTCACTTTTAACAGTTTTTCTTGTGGTCCCTGCGTCAAGAGAATTAATTTCACCCCTTCCAGAGAAAAAGCCTCTAGTTTTTGGCATGGTGGGGTAGGGGATTTGGAGATCTAGCTGATATCTAAATTAGTGTTCAGCCAATCTCCGGAGCTTACCACTATACTTCATGCCCCATGCACCCACACCCCGCACCTTCGAGAGATTTTCCTGTGTAAATTGGTCTACGATTTAACTCACCCCCCTGCTTAGAACTCCATTCCCTTGGGTATAATAAGTCACTTCCCACTTTGTCCATCTACCTTCTTTCATCCATTCTAAGTCACACATTTTTCACACTTTAATATCTCTGGGTTTACCAGCTCATGAATTGGGATGACTTGCATTTGATAGTGTGTGACTCTTTATTGGAAGTACTGTTGCTTTCTTCACAGTGCTTTAAGTAACCCTAAAAATTGATGGCCTCTCAAACTTGATGAAATATGGTTCTTTATTTACCCACTCTCTATGTTTAGGGGGTTATAACCCCTTTTAAAAGTCTTACTGCCATTTTGGCAAGGAAGCAGGGGTTAACACAAGGGTTCAGTGCATCTTCTTTATTTGGCAGTCAGATCATCTTTTAAAATAACTTGGCAAGCTCAGGGCAAAGAAGGACAGGTCAGAGCAGGAGTGAATCTAAAACGCCCCAGGTCTTTGTGACATCTGCTGAACCCCTGAGCTGGAATATTCTAGTGGCATAGGTTGGTCCCTCTGCTCTCCTTCTAAGCATAACCATATCCTACACCAAGATGCTGATCATGTTCCTGTTTAGAAAGATTTAAAGAATGTCTGAAGTCCCATACTTCAGGTTTCGGTCAACTTTCCTGCTGTGTCCTCTATTTCTGAAATTTGGGTTCATACCTAGTTCTATTTTGAGCAAATCCCTGGGTCAATAATACAGAGAGAAGTCCTTCTCTAGGCCTGGGCCTTTACAGAAGCATTTTGTTGACTACTCAACCTTCTTGGGGAGGATGTTCTGCCTCTCCACACCTGTTCCTGCTGGTGGCTCCACTGGATGGTAGGTTGGGCCTATTAGATGACATCCTCCTGATACATCCCTCTGCTCCACTTCAACTTCTTCCCTCCTCCTTTCCTACGACTGACCACTAGCTAATATACCCACTGGCTCCTGACAGAGTCTCAGCAAATTATCTATTTCCCCCAGTGGCCCGCTACAGTCCCCATGCTTCATTCACTATCCCTATGTCTGGCCCATCCTGTCTATAGATGAGACCTGGTTCTCAGATGCACAAATGCCACCACGATCGAGTTAGCTGCATGTAAAATAAGAGAATGAAACAGCAATTCTGTATTTCTTCTGCAGCTAAGATTGAATGGTTTTATGGAGTCTGACTTAGTGACAATGTTTGCAATAATAGAGCAAAATAACCACTCAAGTGCTCTGAAGTATTTAATTAGAAAGCAGATTTCAGTCATTATCATTGTCTAAACTTTTTCCTTAGATGTTCTACCTGGGAGAGGATCAAGGTACAGAACTGTGGTTTCTCTGTCCTAGTTTCCCACTCTGGGTTAGACTGCTTGTTACAGTTCCAGCTAATCTTTGGGAAGCTACTTAACATCTCTAAGTCTGAGATGTCCCCGACAATCAAATGCCTACCTTATTGAGTCAACATTGGAATAAATAAGTTAATACATGTGAAGCACTTAGCAGAATAAGGTACATGATAAGTAATTGCTTAAAATATTAACTGCCATTATGTGCTGTTATCATAAGTAGATATGATAGTATCACCACTCTGTAGGTGAGTTCTTGCCGCCTGGTGTCTCTCCTCTCTGCACTGACCAACAATTAATACCATTGAGTATGCCTGGGTGATCTTTTTTCTTACATCACTTTTAATTCCCATTTCACATGAATGAGTTGACTCTACAGCCACGTCTCTTGGCAATGTTAATTTTACCCCACTGAAACATGTTGCCAAGCCAAGTTTGAAGGGGAAGTGGCACAAATGACAGGGTAATAATTGGAAGCCTACAGCAGAGTGTCCAACAAATCTGGACAGAACAAGCCATGATGTCAAGATGGAATGGAACAAATCAATGTCAACTGTAAAGCCGTGTACACCTCATTGGTGAGTCAGAAACTGTGGCAAAGAGCTGTCTGTGAAAGTTTACAAAACTGACAGATTAATGTTTTCAACAACGACAGTGTCATCCTGGGTTACCCAGCAAGGCAGCAGATGACAGGAATCAGAACTTGGAAATGGAATCATAAGCACCTTTCCAGAACACATTCAATAAAATAAAAATATAACGAAACACCTCTTTCTCTCCAACTCCTTCATTCTGCAGTGTTCCATCTGCTTTTGCTCTGCCATTTTCTCTTGCCAAATGCCTTGTTAGCCAAATAAAGCATGTTTAATACAGTTTATTTAATTCACTAGCTGACAGGACTCCATGAAATTAACAAAGGCTACATGTCTTGGTATTTGAAGATGATGTATAATTCCATTATGCTTAAAAAATTAGTAGCAATATTATATGGGTGACTCTAAACTCTATCACAATAATCTCTAGAACTGTTTAAAATGCCTGGGTCCATTCCCCGAGAACTGAAGACACAAATGTGGAGGCAACAGAGCCCAGCATGTGCATTCTGAAAATGTTCCATTAGTGATTATTATGCTCATATCTGCTTGGGGATGACTATTCTACTTATGATAACAGCACATAATGGCAGTTAATATGTTAAGCAATTACTTATCATGTACCTTATTCTGCTAAGTGCTTCACATGTATTAACTTATTTATTCCAATGTTGACTCAATAAGGTAGGCATTTGATTGTCGGGGACATCTCAGACTTAGAGATGTTAAGTAGCTTCCCAAAGATTAGCTGGAACTGTAACAAGCGGTCTAACCCACACTAACAGTTCAGAAACCCATTGCTTCCAAGCTCTAGGAATATTTATTTCCACTGTTTTAATGAAGGCTATATAATCAGGAACAATACAGCAAAAATAATAGCACAAATTTCTTTAATGAGGAAGAACTATAGCTCATCATTTCACACTCTCTTTTATTTTAGTTTTCCTCGCCTGCCTGGAAATAAAATATTAGAATTATTATGTCCAACCACAGAAAGAATTATACTTATTGTACTGTTCAAGTTCACACTACAACTGAAATAATTCCTTCAAATAATGGCCCTTAACTTTTAAGAGGAGCACTGCCAAACTCAGATATACCAAACAAGGGCAATGAAGACAGAGAGGGGGTGTACACCAACATCTTTGCCTATACTTATACCACAATAGAGAAAGCAGCCTTTCTATATTTAAAGGGTGAAAGACAAAAGTACCAGAATCCTAGCCTCAGCCAAAATCGATGACTTGCATTTCCTCAAATGGACTTTGCATGTGTTCAATCTGCATTTATTCACTCATTGCTCCAAATATCCATTTCCTCTTCTCTATCCTTTCCTTGTTCCTCAAGTCTAGCAAAAATGCCTTTGCCTTTCAATTTTACAGTGATGAATCACATTACTTCATTTAATTGCCATCTGTTCTATATATATGCACATTTCTGACCTCACCCTCAATCTCAGCACCTGAGAAGAATTGTCCACCACTCTCATAGCACTAACAACGCTTTCCTGAATTCTGTTATTTACATTCCTGTCTCCTCTCCTGGACCATATATGCCTTGATGACAGGCACCATGCTTTTGCATTATCACCTTCTTCTCATCTACCATAGAGTGCTCTCAGTACATGAGGAATAGATGGATGAGTGGATGGATGCCTTACTTGACCTCAACAAATAATGTTTGCATCCATATGAGAAAATGTGCAATAGTGAAGAGCAAACTCAAACTATCGATCTGGGAAAATCTAAAATATGACATTAGATCACTTTTATAGCACTTCCAATGCAGAATTTCTGTTCAATGATCTTTTTCCATGAATTGCTCCCTCACTCTACCTCTCTCTCCCCTCTACTCTCTGTGTCATCATTGTACATCCTTTGTATAACTAACCCGTTTTAGGAATAATGTTTTTCAGAACAGAAATATTTGAGTGACAAAGTATGATGTTTATCCTTTCTTACTCAATGCTCTTTGTTGAAACTTAAATAGCTAAATATCCATATCAATGGAATAATTATACATGCTCTTATCACCAAACATCATGTACTCGACTTGACCTGGTAACAGCATTTTACTTTGTTGGTCTCCTGTTCCTTCCCGCACAAACTCTTCTGATGGTTTCTGACACACCACCTCCTGCTTTCTTTCCCACCTCTTTTGCTGACCCTCTCATTTTCCTCTGTGGCTGTCTCTTCCTCTCTTAAGCCACCATTCTCCTTGTGATTCTTATACTTTCTCTGAACAAGCTCATCCATTCCGAAAGCCTCAATGACTAGTTCTTGGTGTTTATCCACTGACATTCATTCCCAAAACCAAGAGGTTCACATCCAAAACCAAAATCAACCAAATCCTACAAACCTACTCCCACTTCTTCATTTTCCTATCTCACAGAACGACAGCATCATTTGCCCAAGTTGCCTGATCCACAGATTTGCAAATCTTTCTAGACTCTGTCCTCTCCAGACATACATAACAAATCATCTTTAATCTGCCGAGTGATGCACTAATACCACTCCAGTTTTGGCCACAAGTATCTCTTGCCCAGATTCCTAAACTCAGTATCCTAATTAATCTCTTGCCCTGTTCATACTTGCTTTCAATCTGTTTTTCAAAATACAGCCAAAATTTTTCATGAAAAATAACAAATGTGATTATGTTACTCATTTATTTAGAATATTTTAGTGAATCCTAATTTCCAAAGGATAAAAATTAATTTTTCTTAACATATTAATCATATAAAATATAGTTAAATTACATACAATTAAGATTAAATAATTATATATAAATATATATAATTTTAAAAGGTTACTTATTACAGTACAGTTATATTAGAAGATGACAGCATCTTCAAAGTTATGCTCCATTTATTGGCCACCAAGAAATGTATGTAAAACTTTTCAGAGTGAGGAAGAACACTGTTCTGACTTTTCAGAAAAGCATCAGTAGATACTTGATTTCTATCAACCTAGCTGCAAAGCTCTCTGTCCAAATTGTGAAATCTACATTAAAAAAAATAAACTCAGTCATAAAATTGACACTTTCAGATATTTTTATCCTACATCATTACATGGCAGAATAATCCATTTTCTCATCATTTACCTCCTTCCTAGCAGAACAGTCTGTTTTCTCATCATTTGCCTTCTTCCTAACCTAAAACGTTCTAATGAATTTCAGAGTGCAGTAGCTCTTTGAGAGTTGAATGTCTGTCAGTATTTCAAGACTAGGAATAGTTTCCAGTCTCTTCGGTGGCTGGAGAATTCCCAGTGAGTTACCTAATTTGACCACTGGAAATCAAAATTTGCCCCCAACAATATGGTGGTACTGCTGCTGAATTTCTGTTAAATACCCACAGTGTCGGAGTTTTCTAGTATATATATGAAATGCCGAGAGCGTGCCATCTTCTCACTGACAATGACCACAGGGGTGTATTGAGTCTTTCGCACTTTGCCTGGCAGCTAATCAAAAGTTCCAATTATTTTTGACTTATTATTATGTTTTATTTCAAGGCAAGAATGACATTATCTTCTCATCGAAATCTCTGGTATATTATCACATATTAGGTATCAAATCAACATTTATGGAATAAATAAGTAAAACAGCAGTAGGGCAACAGATGCTTATGTGGAAAGCATTCTGCAAGGTGCTGAATGACGCAGTCAGGGAAGATACGAGCATAAAATTAATTCAGGTGTGGATCCTGTTGACAGTTCTAAGTCTAGTAAAATAGTTGAAATCAACACATCATTAAATAGAATGCAAAGTAATGCTAAATTGTAATGAGATGCAAATGAATTTCAAAGATGACTTTCCCTTAGAAAAGATGGAAGGGTGTGGGGACAAGGAGGGCAACGTCACATGCAGGAACTAGTATTTGAGACGGACAATGGGAGATTATTATTTGACCATGTGAAAGGGATGTCATTCCAGGCTCAAAGAACAGCAGGGATTTAAGCACAGACCTTGACAAATACTGAATGTGTGTGGTTGTGTTTCAGAGAGCAATTAGATTCCATCTTATTGGAGTTTAGGGGCAAATTTACCATCAGGCAAATTACATTGGAAGTTTGACATAAGCAAAAGGTTGATATTCAACAATGATCCTAATTTTCTTCGTTTACTGAATTTGATGCAACATCTCATCTATTTCCATACTCCAAATAAGAAACCCTTTGAAATTTTATGGAACTCATGTGTTTCACTGACAAGAAAATAGTTAATAAAATTTAACTATGTTTTTGACATTTGAGGGTCAATAGTGTAAACATGGATCTTGCACTATATTGCACTGCAAGGATGTTAGTTTGCCAGTCCCTAAATGTCCCTGTCAACAGTAGAGCTTTTCCGTAATTAGGCAAACACAATAAAGTCCACTGGGGCTATGGACACCAGTAGATACAGGTTCTTACACCCAAAAAAATAGTCTCAGTTTCTTCTGCTTCATTTATGTTGACATTTTTTTTCACCCATTCCGTGTGTTATTTTTCATAGCTCCTGCTCCTCATTGCCTCCAGAGTGAATTTTAATTGCTGCTGTCACATCCACTGTTGATTGAGGGGACTGAGGTTACCATAGGGCTGACATCAGGTAAGAGGGAGTTATTATTAAAATTGTACCCTAACGTAATAGCATAATAGTTTTATTATTTGTACAATTAACAGCCATATTGTTACTCTATTTTATCTTCACAATGACCCAATGATTGATTTAGGGTATAAACTATAATCCATTTATGTAAAGAGTAGTGAACTGGGCCAGGCGCAGTGGCTCATGTCTGTAATCCTAGCACTTTGGGAGGCTGAGAAGGGCAGATCACGAGGTCAGGAGTTCGAGGCCAGCCTGGTCAGCATGGTGAAACCCCGTCTCTACTAAAAATACAAAAATTAGCCAGGCACGGTGGCACGCACCTGTAGTACCAGCTTCTTGGGAGGCTGAGGCAGGTAAATCGCTTGAACTCGGGAGGCAGAGGTTGCAGTGAGCTGAGATCGTGCCACTGCACTCCAGCCTGGGCGACAGAGCGAGACTCCATCACAAATACATGAATAAATAAATAAATAAATAAATAAATAAATAAATAGAGTAGTGAACTGGCAATCACACAGGTAAAGTGAACTGGCAGTCAGAGAGGTTAAGTGAATAAATCAGTATCACTCAGTTAGTGGGATAGCAGAGGCAATACAGAGATAGCTGGCCCATTGGTATTTCCTATTCTTGATAAGGTATGTAATATATGTATGCATGTCAACGCTTTTGTTTCATCTGAGAAATATATTTCCCTGCTGCTTAGGAAGTAATATATTCAAAACATGAACATTCTTATATTAACTTGTTTAAACCCATGTGGGACAACAGGATTGATTTTACTGTTCATTTCTTACAATACTGCGCATTCAATTAAATACTCTCTCTACTAAAGCAGCTTAATGATTTGAACATTTCAGTGTGATCCGTTCTCAGATCAACTTCAAAAGACTGAATTTAAACCTATCTTCAAGCTGTGAAGGTTTTAGTTCCTTTCCTTTTTTTTTTTTTTTTTAACTTTTTAAAATTCCTCTGCTGGGAACGAATTAAGTACAGCCTAGCAAAGGATAGATCCATATTTGCATCCTGCTAATCAAACAAGAACTTGTAAGAATGTAGCAGTGATAAATGTACCACCGTTGAAATCATTTGTATAAGTTGGAGCAAAATGAACTGTGACCAACAGATTCCTTCCACAGCCATCACCCGTCTACATTGCTCCAATGTGCGGAAGTGTCTTAATGGATGTACATTATCAAGTTTGCAGGCTTATTTTCAGTCATAAAGAATAGTGTACCAGATGCTCTTGGTACACTGAATTTGTCACACCGTAGACAAGCTAATATCATTATGTGAGACCACAGGGGAAAAAATAAAAGATTCACATTTAATCCATATTAACTACCAGGAGACCCATCAAGGCAGTTGGGCTGGCTCATGATACAGCAGCTTCTAGCAAATTAGCAGCCCATAACAACTTAGTTATAATGAGCTGCAAGATCTTACACCATAAGCTCAACTCCATTAAACCGAGTTCAAGTACATGAATTCATGTACAAAGTATAACCTTAACATCTGTCTGTGCTTAGCCAATATTTTGTTTATGCCTTTTTAGGAACAACCAAATTATCTTTGTGTCCCCTGAAACTAGGGACTGTAATTTCCATCAACTGCAGTTTTACCTGATAGAGAGGGCTGGACTGATCACCACTGGCCTCCCCGGCTGCGGCGTCCAGCAGCAAGCTATGCATCATCCCGGCAGCTGTTCCCTACATATTGGGCCAATTTTTTCCCAAACAATTTTCCCTTGCTGTTCAAGTGGGAAAAGCAATAGTCTCCTCAGAAATTAAACAGTCAACAAAGCATGCATATCTAATAAATACTGTAGACCTTGTATTTACTTAAGCCCAATGAGTTAAATCCTATCCTACTCTACTCAACATGGAGAACATGTTTTAATAAACTTAGGCCATTTTTTTTTTTCTCAAAAAGCAATGTCCTCCTTCTTTTCCCACAGTGGACTGACTACTCTTTAGGGACTCAGGAAATACTATCACCATTATTATAACTGTTATTTCTGTTTTACAGATGGGGAAATAGAGAGATAGACTACCCATGGTTAACCAGTTGCTAAGTGAGGAAACAGATATTCAGTATATAATTTAAGGTATTTTCCATGGAGTTTTATGTAAAGAATGAATACATATTTATGGGAATAATCTAACTTTCTTATTATTTTCTGTCTTACATAACAAGTGTACATTATTCACTTGGGCAGTGTTTTCAAAATTCACATCTTACCTGCAGAAACCTTAGCATGCAGAAAAATGGGTACTGCATATATTGTTATGTCTTTTCTAGAGTTTTACATATCCAAATCTGATCTAGTTCTAATCAATCTAGATGCAACGTCTTAAAGTCTCGTAGAATTTTATATGTGGATGGGATCTAGAAAGTCATTTAGTTCATCATCCTTCTCCTTCAAGCGTCAGCCTTTCCAGCAGTTTCTCAATGAAAGTTGACAACAAAAGCAGTTCAAACCCCAATGCATACCATTCCATGGAAGGATAGCTCTGGTAATCAAATTCATAGTATGGTTTCTTATAAAAATAAAATGATTCTATCTTCTGTTCTACTTCTGGCTTCTAATTTACCAAAGCGTGAGACTGACTTTTTCACTGACACAGTAGACTTTGAAAAACCATTTGAAAAATCTTCTCTTCTGTAATTCAAACAGGGGTAGTTTAGAGGTTTCATCATTGTTTTTAGAAGCCCCCTCCTCCTCTGCCCACACCTTTGCATTGCCCTCTTGTTTTCCATGGCCTCTTCCACAACTCAAAACACCCAACAGTTTATATATGATTTCACATATGGCCTAAAAGTATCACTTTTCTTACAACTTTGAAATTAAACTTCCAATAATATAACTTAAGGTTACAGTAGCTTTCTTCCCATTATGAAATAGCTGCTTTATAGGAAACCTGAATTCAACTATAAATTTTTTTTTTCTGAACCCCTGTCAAACCAGACTTACCTACGCTACAGACTCTTCAGATGATAACTTTGAACCTGCAGACAAGGTGGGACATGCATCCCAAATTTTTATTTTTTTATCTTATATTTTTCAGCGTTTTATGTTCTTCTTGGAACAGAATTCTGTATCAAACATATGCATATTTTCTTAGCCCTGTGTAACCTGCAAATTCTATAGCTTGCTATGAAGATATTAGTCCAAGTCTTTGATTATAGTTTTGAATAGAAAGTACAGAGCTCAATGATTTGCCACAGACTCTTTTTCAGGTTGATAGTGATCCATTAAACAGCGTATCCAAAGGGATATATAAACATATGTCTACTATATGTCATCAACATACACAGATCAGCAAACACCTTGGATTGTTTTCCAGCCCCTAGATGGATTGCACTGTGATGTCAACGTTATCTTATTGGCTCCCTATCTGCAGAATCTCTGGTGGTGATGGACTCCTTTGCAAACCAAGAGCAATCATTCAAAATTATATAACTGTCATCTTTGGTTGACCCCCAACTCCAGTAATAATCAAGACAGGACAAGGATAAATGTCTAAGCTTCATAAATTACCTATTTCTCATATCTCAGGTTTCAAATTTGATTGTTAACTTCCTTACAATATGCTCAGCGATGCAGCTTAGCTAGTAGGGGCAGCAGTTGCCTCTGAAGTGGGGCATGGGAAGGGGAAGGGACGGTTTGAACTTATGTTTAAATGTACTGTTCTCTGCTTTAGTTTTTATTATATTTTTATATCACAAATGTTAGTACAGTAGTATTTGTATCATGTATAAATAAATGAGCATAAAATGGATGTTCTTACTCAGAAGACTTTTACTGACCAAGGACTGAGATTAACAAAGGATGGAGACCAGTGGATGAGACACCCACACAGAATAGGCCACAGAATGAAGTGAGAGCCCATTTCTGCTCATCTGGTCTGCATTACAGCTACAGTATACCCTAACTTGGCACTGGGAAGCCCCTGTATGAGAGACAATAAATTCCTACTCATTTGGAAGGGATCATAGAATTGAAGCTTTTAATTTTGCAGTTATGGAAACTGAAGTGGAGAGAGATTAACTGACTAAAATGAGCAGCTTTAAAGCCCATTTGGGACATTCCAGGGAAAAGAAAATGAAATGAAATAAAGTTCACATCAGAGTGGGACCTGATTCTATTCCATTGTTCTTTCTCAAAATATATTGCCCCAGTTAGGAAATAAACAAACCAAAAACCAAAACAAAGAAAGAAAAGAAAAACAAGGAAATGGAGAACGACCGTCACTGAACTACACCTTTTGGCACCACATAAATGCTGGCAGATGTTCTGGTGAGAGCATCAAGCACAGTGAAGTAACAGCAGTGCATTCCCTGTGCCGAATATTCACCTTGTAACTTAAATTCCGTCAGCATTCAGCTTTCAAAAATTGTGACTATCCACCTTTTCTAAAATAACACCAACACATCATCAAAAAATAAAGGTTTACATATAGAAATATTCAGTCCTAATCTTGCTCCAGTAAAATATTCTTCTACAGATGGAAGAGGAAGACACCACACACTTCATAGACAGCATCATATGGAGCCTGGACCACAGTGATAAGAAGGTTGCCACTGTTACTCTGAGAAAGTTATATTAAAAACACATGCATCTTTTCTTAGAATCATACAATTAGAATGCGTCGGTGCTAGCACAGAAAACAGCCTCTGACCACCAATCTCATATTATTTCCTCTACACTACAATGAAGGGGCCTATTTCATACCTGGTTAAATACACTAAGAATTTTGGATCTCATGAAAACTCACGTTTTCTCAAAGTTTCTCAAAGACATGAATGCTATTTTTAAGCAAGGCTGATAAAGTTTTTCTGGCTTCCTTCTAAAAATGAATGCAAACAGTAAGCTCTTACATAAAATTGACAGGGATAGACTCACTTGCCCTCCTTAGGATGGGCGTAGCCTCTATGCAGCCACAATGCAACTGAGTCAGGAAGCTGCATTTATAACAGTTGCCCTGGGAATTCTGACACCAGTAATTCACATGGTATCCACCATCATCCTGAGCTCCATGCTGATCAGTGGCTCAAAAAGTTTCTTGTAAGGGAAAAGTGCCTGGAGCACCTGGATGGAGGTAAATCGTAAAACAAAACAGAAGGGGCGTATGCAGTGAGAGTGGTCTAAGAACAGGCAGAAATCTAGGAGGGTTTTCTAAAATCTAAGTGAGATGCTTAAATTGAGCAATGCCCATGGATAGAAGAAGGCTGAAGGAGGGAGGGTCAGCTTCAGTTAAGTACACGTGGATACAAAATCCTGTGTTCATTTAATTCTGTGATCTCAGAAATACCATGTAATGGAATAATTACTTAGCGTAAATTTTCACATCAATCATACTGAGATAATGTCTAACATGTAGGGCCCTTGTGAAAGTTTAATGCGATATTATGGGTAAATAATCAAGAGCACACTGGATGTGCAAAATAATTTTATTGATTTTTATTTCAGAATAATAACAAAATAAACAGAGAGGTCAGGTTTATAAATTTTTAAATGAAGAAATGTAAATTTCCTATTTAATTCTACACACCCAGAGATAAAATAAGTTCCTAAATGGAATATGCATGACATCTGGTCAATATCTATGCATTCTATTTGCCAAATACATGCCCAAAAGTACCAGCATCTACAAACTAAAGTCAGGGCCAGGGCAGCACCTCAGGGTTACGTCTGATTCTACAGACACAGCCTCACAATTAACTGAAAGTCTCCCTTTTTAATTCTTTTTCATCTCCACCTCTGTTTTTACGGTTTCCAATTTTTGGAAGAAGTACTCCACGATAATGTGGGTGCAGTTAATCCCCCACCTCGGCAAGTAAATTTAATTACATTTAACATTTCAACACTGAATATAGTATCTCTTGAAGAGATTCCATTAATGCTGATGAAAATTACCAGAAATTGGTTCAGAAGAGCATGGGGGCTTGAAATGAACTGAGGCAGATAAAATTCATGAAGAAGGAACGTGTGACTAATGCGAAAGCTATGCAATAAATAACCATCTTCAGAGTTGCTCTCCTTGTAGGAACACGTATGCAAATGTTACTCTATACATGCAAAACAGTAGTGGAGGCGGAAAGGATGCAGAAAGGCTCTAATAATCGTTTTGCCTTGTACTAAAACAATTAGACAGTTGACCAACACTTAAAATTAGTTTTTGTTCTATATATACATATATATATATTTTTTTTGGGGGGGGGGAGGAGGAAGCTAGTACTGTTTAAAGTCACCGACTAACTCAATATTTTTTATTCCTAGAGGAAGAAACGCCCATAATGTTGAAAAATATTTACACACTGGAGAAGATCACAATGTAATTAGCCACAATGCAGTGTTTATTAAATTCCTAGAGATTACAGAGTTTATTTTTAAAATCATATGTGCTGAGTTTAATTAAACATATCAAAGGTAGCATGAACTTCATGGTATAGAAGCACGTAATTTGATTCAAAAATAACAAAAATGCACCCACTTTTGCTCTGTTTTCTAGGTAAGCTAGTATTAGATATGGCCAAATAATATCACCATGCACATGATTAACACTGATTGGTAATTCTTAGGACCCTAAAGATACGTTTTGTTTTTTTGAGCAGAACTTGATCAGAGCTACTGACTGAATATGATTCTGTAAAAAATCCAGGCCACTGCATCATTTTTCTCATGCTAATAGAGGATAGAAACATAAAGAAATACATGATTTAGTATTTTAGAAATTATATATACTTCTTCATGTGTTCTGTGTTGAAAACATACTTTGGAGAAAATGCAGATAAATCACAAAACCCTAGGGAGAGCTGCGGCATTACAATAATGGCCATGCTTTTCACAGTGGAAGGAACAGGCAGAGCATACAGAAGTCAAGGCATTTGTGACATTTCCATAGCTGGAGGGTGGTAACAGGAGACCACCCTGTTTAAGGTTGTTTCACTAAGAGTCTGTCTGATATCATATACCATGCCATAGAAGGGAAATACTCAGGTCTTACTCTGCTCCGATGCAGAGTAAGAAGGGTGTTGGAACATAAGCAATTGTGAATCTGCTGCCTGTAACTGACCACTTCTCTCCTACTTAAGAGAGAATACGGGGTTGCAAGTGATAACCTTCAATACTCACTACTGTATCTGTTTCACTTTTTTAATCGGGGGAAAAAGAACACTGTATATTTGATGTTAGAAAAAAATGTATTTTTTCTAACACACTATATTTATTTATATATATAACACACTATATTTATATATTTTATCTATGTATATCTATCTATCTATCTATCTATCTATCTATCTATCTATATCAGATTCTCATTTGTTTGTTCAGTAAATACACCAGGCACAGCCTAAGTGCTAGAAATGCATCAATGAAAAAAATCAGACAAAAATCCCTGCCTTCATGAAGTTTACATTCTAATGGAGAAAACAGACAGTGAACCAAATAAACAGATTACATAGAGCTACCTGTGGTCAAGGCAATTTAAAAAAGCAATTCAGGAAAATAAGACGATGGGGAGACAACTTAAGTAGAATAATTAAGAACAGCGTCATTGACAAGGTGACATTACAGAAAAGATGGGGAAGAATGAGGAGGTGAGGCGTGTGTATACCTGGGCTGGGGGGTGAGGAGAAAGGAGGGGCTAGGACGGTGCTTCATGCAAAGTCAACAGAAAATGCAGAATCCAAGTTCTAGGGGCATGTTCTAGGAGAGGTGAGGAGTTTCCTCTGCAGGAGCAAAAAGTGAGAGGAGGAAACATCTTGGGAGGCGTGGGAGGGATGGGTGGCTGGTGGCAGAGCACAGAGGCCCTTGTTGGCCACTGCAGGGACTTCTGCTCTGCATAGAGTAGTAACATGATAGGATTTACATTTTCATAGGATTCCTTTGCCTGCTATTCGAAAATAATCTTTATATTCATTTATTAAAGGTTATTTTGTGTGTCACTTAATATTTATTCATCTCAGCTACATGGGGAGGACCTAATAAACACATATAAATGCATCATATAAGCTATCTCACTGTTCATGCTCTCCTTGGCCACGACACCAGCACAGCAATTACTTTACTACATCCCAGGTACTAGTTCTCACATCTGGATCCCACCAGACTTTTTAGTTCTTGATCCCTAGGGAATGTCTCTTCCATTTTTATATGTGGCAATTCAATATTTAGAACAGAGGAATGACTCAAAAAACATTTGTTGAATACAAGACATTTCGAATGCAAAATATAAGACTTCTAAAATAGCCACAAAACTCAACTCTAAATCAGAATTCACACGTTAATAAGCTACCTGTAGAAACACAAACATAAATCTTTGTTCCCACACCATTCCAACTGGAACTTTTGATCAGACTTATTAGATAGGATTTTCCAACTTGGCCATTATCATCACATAAGAGTTGAACCACATCTGGAAGTGTGTGGACAAATAAATACATATATATTTAACAATGAAAATTCTTTTTTCTTAATTGTGTGGATAAAATTTGTGAGTCAAATGGGCAAATATATATTTTTAAACACTTGAAACTATTTTTTGTTAATTGTGTGGATACAATTTATGAGTAAAACACCCCAGAAAAGATTTTGTAACATGGCATTAGAAAATTCTCACAATTTTTTTTATTATGTTTGACTCTCTGCTTTTGTTTAAAATGCCACCTAAAGGGCCTACTTAGTATGTTTTCAGATATATCCACATAATATAAATACCTGGATTAAAAAAAAGTAAGTGTTCAAATTTAAAATATTTATAGTCGGAAATATAAGGGAATGGGCAAACATAATCATAACATCAATGAGTTAACTTAATTGCGTTTTTAAACTCTTTATTTGGATCACATACATATACTGTGTCCTATAGTTTGAAGACTTAGTGTCACGTAAATCTATTAGACTGATTTACAAAAAATGTGAGCACCCAAACACTATATTCCTGATGTGAGACTTCATAGTCATTTACTTTTATAGTTCAGCAAAATTATTAAATTACAGTCAATGTGGAAAACACTTCCAAAGGTCAAAGTTTTCTTAAATCACTTTCTAAATCCATAGCATTGAGATTGACTTTCACGCCTTAAAAATAAAAAGATTTCCTAGCTTTAAGACAATAAACATAAACTTTTACTTTTATTTAATAATTAGTTGAAATGAAATACTTAGTAAGAGATGCCCTCAGAATAATATCTTTCTTCTGATATTATTCTGATATTCTGATATAATAAGGGCCTTTCTTCCTCAGTTTCTTTAAAATAAAAATATCCATGGGTAGGCAATTAACATATTAAAACATGAAAATATGTTTCTGATAAAATTAAATCATTTTTAAGTCAACATGGTCATTCTTCACACTTAGTTTATAACTTACAAAGTCATTCAAATTTCATATAATATTAATCAAACATAAGTTTTATCTTGTGTTTGTCAAAATTAAGGTGAAAATCATTTTGTATCACTATTATTATTCATTTGAAAATACTTTAAGTTTAGAGATAAATACTTAAGGACTTTTTTATAAAGACTTTATAAATACTAAAGAATCTCTCAGGCATTCCATTTTACCGCACTCACAATTCTACAAGGTACAGCCAACTTAAATATATAACAATCTAAAATATAATTCCACAGATTGTCATTTTATTCAATCACTGGTTTCAAAAAATCAATTTGTTTCTTTAATCTGTTGGGTATCACAATTTTTTTTTTTTAACTACAGTGGTGGCACAGGTGAAATCTATGAAGCCATTGTAAATTTTGGGCAACAATTTTCTCAATGAGTTATTTGAATAAAAGCAATCTTGAAACACTTGGTAAAGGTTTTCTATAATTAAGGGGTGTGTGCATCTTATTTACACCTGCACCATTTAGAGTGTTCAAAACATGTAATTATTGTATTCTAGTTCTAGTATAAACTTATCACTGAGAACCAAATAATCTCTGCCAAAAAGAGAAAGCTATGCAACAAGTTAGCTGCCCAGTATATTAAATTTTTGGCTACTTCACATGGTGACTCTGGTTGGGTGATTTTTTTTCCTTTACTCTCCATGAATAATTTCTTTCTGGATGGGGTTATTCCTTTAACTGCGCATCGAAGGAAAAAAAAAAAAGACCTACAATTTCCAAATTAACTCTTACTTAATTCTCACAGAATTGTATGTGATTACTTACATGGATAATCATAACTTTCATAAAATCTAAAGTATATATCTATGACACACCAAGTCTTACTAAAAACAATAATTAAATGGTTATAATGGTTAGTTAATAGGGAAATGACCCATGAATTCTTACAACCACTTTCTGTTTAATTTGGTTATTTGGTTTTACAATTTCAATGTTCAGATGCTGAATAAATTGATAACTGTGAGGTCAGAAATAAATTCTTACCATATTTTCTATACAGAACTTTAACCTGCAGTTTTAAAACTTTAGTTAAAATTATCACAAAAACAACATTCATAATGAAAGCATTGAAAAACCAAACGCGGTTAGTTTTCACTTTTTGTCTTTTACCTTTACTGTACCTTTTGAAATAAATGGTCCTTAAATACTTGAAAACTGTAGTCTAGGCAAACAAGACGACTAGTCCCAAAGATGAAGGGTTACTCTTCCCTCCTTCCCCAGGCTGTGGAGCAGGCGGTTCCTGGCATCCTACCCACCTCCCTCCTCCCTCCCTGCACCACGGCTAAAAGGAACCACAGAGCAGCTCAAAAACCGAGAAGGGAGTGAAGAACAGCCTCGAAAAAGTCAGGACGCTGAATTATCCTATGGTAATTTCTGCTTTCACTCGCAAACAGTTTAAAAGAAAGCAAAGCAAGACATATCAGAGATACCACAAGCCCAGTGGTTGCTGTCTTAAAAGAGAAAAGAATAGAGTTCAGCCAGGCACAAAGGTCTCCATGGCAACAGTGAATTTAGACCCCCATTGGCATTATTTATGCAACATTTCATCACAAAAGGACCCTCCCACTAGCCTGCCTGGCAAATTCTAGTTTTCTAATCTTCCGTTCCTTTGCTTTGAATGTATCTGGATTCTTAGCTATCTGTATGTTAACATTAAAACACACACACACACACACACACACACACACGACAACAACAACAACAAAAAAACACATCATGAAATGATTATCAAACTCAAAATAGACTTTATTTCCTTGATGAATTCAAAAGCAAGAGGCAGATTCAAGATTGTTTAGAGTTCATATTCAAAGCCAGTCCGGTTTTGGTTTCAAAGATGAACAGCTGTTCAACAAATAAGTTTATTCAAATTATTTGGTTTTTTGAAATAGATTACAATTCAAAGAGAATACAAAATGGCAAAATCCTACCAACCCAAAAGGCTCACAGGAAAGACAGCTTGCTAGATACGGACTTTGAAGCTAAATTTTATATAATGATATCCATCCCCACCCACTCCTAGCTATTATAGTACCTCAAACAACTCCTTTGAGTCTTTTACCTGATTCTTTCTATTTTAGCCACAGCTTCCAAAAACATAAATTCGGCAAAGTATTTTAAGCACTTTTTATTGACCTTTGTACCAAATGGATCCCAGGTCCACATTTTATAATTAGACGACCTGGGACAAGTTATTTAAAACAGAGGTAACGCCCCAGTGGAATTAGGTTGCTGTGAGTATTAACAAGATGATATCTGCAGAAGTACTTTCTTCAATTCTAAAACAATATACAAATGTAAATGGTTAGGATAATATTTGATGGCACTGAAGGGAAACACTAGTCTTCATTTGAAAAGGGCTGTATTTAGTATTAGTTCAAATAGGAACTAAACAAGGTGACTTCTTAAAAATAAGATTTTGTAAATTTTTTTTTTTTTTTTGAGATGGAATCTTGCTCTGTTCCCCAGGCTGGAGTGCAGTGACGCGATCTAAGTGCACTGCAAGCTCCGCCTCCTGGGTTCACACCATTCTCCTGCCTCGGCCTCCCGAGTAGCAGGAACTACAGGCGCCCGTCACCAGGCCCGGGTAATTTTTTGTATTTTTAGTAGAGACGGGGTTTCACCATGTTAGCCAGGAGTCTTGATCTCCTGACCTCGTGATCCGCCTGCCTTGGCCTCCCGAAGTGCTGGGATTACAGGTGTGAGCCACCAGGCCTGGCCCTGTAAATTATTTTTTAAAAACATACAAGCTTATTATTAAAAATTCACAGTACATACTTTGATAAAGTACAGGGTAGTCCTTATTCCATACACTCCCAGCATCAAATCCATTCTCCTTTTTGTAAGGTCCTCTAAGCTGGCCGCACCATGGTCAAGCCATCATGACATCCCCCTGCCCTTGTGATAATGTACTTTGTGATATTCCCCCGTCCTTGTGAATGTACTTTGTACGATACATCCTCCCCGCCCTTGTGAATGTACCCTGCCCTTGTGACAATACACCCTCCCTGCCCTTGTAAATGTACTTTGTAACACCCTCCCCACCCTTGTGACAATACACCCTCCCAGCCCTTGTGAATGTACTTTGTATGATACATCCTCCCCGCTCTTGAGAATGTACTTTGTAACATCCACTCCCTGCCCGCAAAAAAACTGCTCCTAACTCCACCACCTATCCCAAACCTATAAACTAATGATAATCCCACCACCCTTTGCTGACACCTTTCTCAGATTCAGCCCACTTTCACCCAAGTGAATAAACAGGCTTGTTGCTCACACTAAGCCTGCTCAGGTGGTCTCTTATAGGGACACATTTAACACTTTTTATACAATTGCTTGTCTAGACCTAGATGCTTTATTCACCTTTACTTAGGTATTGATTGACACTATGTTGTCTTTAAAACAATTTTGCAAGAAAGTTCATGGGTGCCTGTCTTTCCTGTTAATGCATGTTTAAGAGGATTTTCCATTACCTGCAAGGCAGACAAATGTCCCCATTATGTAACCCTCAGAGGCATTTTTCACCTAGAATGGAATGTTTGTGGTACCTCCAGAAGCACAACTCACCATCATTCTCTGTGAAGGTGTCCCTGGTATTATGCCCTACTTAGAAGGTTATACAACTTTGGGATCACACTTTTCCTCACTCACAATTCTGAAGAAATCATTCAGTTACCTCTGACACTGAAAACTGCAGAATAGAATTAAAAAGCCAGATTGATATATCCCTCTTGTAAGAAAATTACTTTCCCAGGTGAGAACTATTGTAAAAATAACAACCCATACATTAGCTCCTAGTTATCTCTCTTCTACATCTATTGCCTTTTTTTCTCTCTTCTGCTTTATTTCTTCATACCAGTCCCGTTTATTTCTGCACTATTTGTCTGCTTGATGCTTCTAACATGGTTTCATTTCAGCAATAGCTATTTTTTTCTTTTTTTTGAATAATCTTTGCCAGCTCATTGTTACTCCTTTCATGCCTCCTGTGTCCTATGATTTCTTCTTTGATTTCATTTTTGCTCATAATTTTAAACTTACTCAAGTTACAAAAAAATTGTTAACTTTCCCTTACATCACCTGGGGGTAATTTTATTTTTCTGTGGTTATACTTTCTCTGCCTTTTGTGTATTTGTGTTTTTGTGTTCCTTTATTCTCTTTCTGATTTCTTTGTTTCTTACTTTTTATGGACAATGTCAACCCACTATCTTTAAACATTCCAGTTTATTACTTATTTTTGAATTATGGCAACCTTTTCTTGGCCTGACTTTTGCTTGGTAACAGATTGGGGAGGGGAGCAATTCTAAGTATGAAAAAAAGTGAAGGCAGCTGGTAGCTGAAAATGTAGTTCTTATGCTACCCACCCCCCAACCCCTGACATTATTTTCTCCTATTGGGACTTGTCCTTCATAGAGCTTCATCTCTCCTGTGTCCCCTCATGTCTTCAGAACTCAGTGTTTCAGTTGAGGATTCTGGCTCAGGAACCTATCTACCTTCCTTCCTTCCTTCTTTCCTGCCTTCCTGCCTTCCTGCCTTCCTGCCTGCCTGCCTTCCTGCCTGCCTGCCTTCCTGCCTGCCTGCCTTCCTGCCTTTCTTCCAGTCTGCCTTCCTGCCTGCCTGCCTTCCTGCCTGCTTGCCTTCCTGCCTTCCTGTCTTCCTTCCTTCCTTTCTGCCTTCCTTCCTTTCTCCCTTCCTCCTGCCTTCCTTCCTTCCTTCCTCTTCTTTTTTCTAAAATGAAATATGCATAATGTATGATATCTGGGAAGATACGTGTAAACTCACATATCTCCTTCATGAGTTTGTGCTGATTTATTTCCTAGTATTATTGTAAATGGAATTTTATTCGCAATCCTCTTGTATTTTTGGTTCATTTTAGTGTTTCCAGGAAAGAAGTACAATAAAATCAACATTGTGAGATAATCATAACAGTGGTTTAAGGGAAATCCCAAAGATGCAAAAATGTTTACTCTTGACAAAGTTCAACAGTATTCTTAAGTAAAAAAAAAAAATCTTTGCAGACCAGAAATAGTGGGGGAAAGCCCTCAATTTGATCAAAACAACAACCAAACATCTACCTAAAAATTATAATCAAAACCTCAGCATGCTTTTCTGGGGGGGTAAGGGGCCTGACTTAATGGACAGTGGATTCTAAAATTTATATCGAAATGCACAGGGCTAAGAAGAGCAAGCAGTCTTAAAGGAAGAGAATAAATCTGGAAGACAGCCTACCAGATAACATGGTGGACTAGAAAACTGCAGTCATAAAGATTGTGTGGTATCCACATAAGGAGAGACAAAAAGAACAGTGGAGCAGAAGAGAATCCAGACATGAAGCCACACATACACCTGATTTACAAGAAACATGACACTGCAGTGCAGAGGGAAAGATAGTGCCTTCACCTGTTGAAAAAAAATGCAACGTGACCCCAGTTGCGAAAAAATAAAAAAAATCAACTCCATCTGGAGTGAAGGGCTAGATGTGAAAGATTAAATGAAAATGCTTATATGCAGCACATGCATGACCTTGGAGTAGCCAAGGCTTTCTTAAGCAGGACACAAAATGAGCTAACCATAACAGAATATAAAAAAAGTTATAAATTGGGCCATATTAAAATTGAGAAATTCTGTTTACCAAAGACCCCATCAGGAAAGTGAAAGTACACTAATGGGAGAAGATATTTTCATTCTGTCTTTCTCTGTATATGTGTTAAGTCTGAAATGCAATGTAATATGACATTAATAGGCAACCCAATAGAAAAAGGGTAAAATACTTAACAAGCACTGCACAAAAGAAAACAACCACATGACCCATGTGGCCAATAAATAAATTGGCAAACGATTGATATAGTTTGGCTGTGCCCCACCCAAATCTCATCTTGAATTGTAGCTCCCGTAATTCCCAGGTGTCATGGGAGGGACCTGGTGGGAGGTAACTGAATCATGGGGGCAGGTTTTTCCCGTGCTGTTCTCATGATAGTGAATAAGTCTCAGGAGATCTGCTGGTTTTATAAAGGGCAGTTCCCCTGCATATGCTCTCTGGCCTTCTGCCATGTAAGACGTGTCTTTGTTCCTCCTTCACTTTCCATCATGATTGTGAGGCCTCCCCACCCATGTGGAATTGTGAGTCCATTACACCTTTTTTCCTTTTAAATCACCCAGTCTCCAGTATTTCTTCATAACAGTATGAAAATGGACTAATACGACAATCAACTTCACTACTCACCAGGGTACAAAATTTTAACCACTATAGGGTGCCACTAAGTACTCATTAGAATGATTAAAATTCAGAGAGACAGATAATGCCCAAATTGGCAAGTATTGGGTGTTATTGGAACTTTCATAAAACTGTAAGTGGGAATATAAAATGTTAAAATAAATGTGACAGTTGTGAATTTCTTCTAAAATTCTTGATAAACATACTCTGTTTCTCAGCAATTCTACTCGATAATGCCACAAACTAAAAAATGTGCACATAAGCACACCAGAAGACATCTCCTATAATGCTGTCAGTCCCAACTGAACACTACAGAAATGCTCAGTCACTAGAATGAATATAGTATAGTACACGTACACAGTGAAATACTATTCAGCAAAGTAAATAAATCATGTATAACCAGGCACACTATTATGACTGAGTCTCACACACATAACAGTGAGCAAGCTGCATTTGCTGGAATATATTAGGCTGGTGCAAAAGTAATTGCAGTTTTTGCCATTATAGCAAAAACCAAAATTTTTCTGTATGTATATTCTACTTTTGAAAAGGTTCTAAATTATTTTAAATCCTAGATTTTTGAAAGCTATAACAGGCATGCATGTATGAAAACAGGAATATTATTTACTTACTAAATGTTCTTGATTTTAAAAAATCAATTTCAAAGGTTTCTAGCAATATTGTTGCCAATTTCCTTTTTAAAGAAAATGAAGGATTTTTACTTTTTACAAAATAAAAGTAGAACTAAAGTATAAAGGAATCACTATTTGCTGTGGTATCATTAACTTTAAAATAATTGACTATGCTGTGGCCCTTTGGACAAATAATCCAATCTTTTGGACAAAAAACAAACAAATATACACACACAAACAAAACCTACATGTTCATGATGTCCATGTCCTGGCAATTTTTATCTACTTATATGGACAGAGGGGTGGAAGAATAAGTAGCATTAACACAGAAAAGCTTTAACATGAAATAGGTGACTTGGTAGTGATTTACAAATAAGTTAAAGTTAACATTTAAAATGTTTATGCTAACAAAACTTGATATTTAGGAGAGACTTTAAAAGACATGACTCCTGAAATTTTGGCTTCTTATTTTCTGATAATCAGCATTTCAGTGTAAAACTGTGTAATTCTATTTATTATCCTTCCAGACGCTAAGGTATAAAATTACACACAATTGACAGCCAAATTACTGCGTCTGCCTTCCAAGGGACACGGGGAAGCTCCAACACAGATTCTTTTGCAATTAAATCCTTGCAAGGAGTAAGATTTTTAGGGCCAGCTCAGCTTTTATCTGTAATCCAGCAGTTATCGCTGCTGAAATGGATTGCAGGAGGTGGTAAGGAAAAAAATGGGAAAACAGGATGAGGAAGGAAGTCAAACAAACAATGCTGGACTTTTGCCTAGGGGCCTTGTAGTGACAAGTACTCAGATGCAACTGAAACCCCAGTGCTGCCTGCTGCTGCACTAAACTCTTGAAACCAAGTGTCAGACAGACTCAAAAATAGAACCATTGGTACTAAGAGACTAGATGTATATGTTATCACACACTAGCTAATATCCCTGAATCCAGTGTAAATTCGAAGTCTGTACTAGCAGTGTAGGGTATATTAAATCTATTAATAATATATATTCTGGCAGGGTATAAACCTCTTATTTGAGACCTCACAAGCCTTTCTTCAATCTGTGCCTCAAACTAAAGCTCATGCAATGACAGATGAAGAAGACAAAATCATTTCAGAAGTAGCTCTCTACCCTGGCATGAAATTAATTTCACTGTATTCAAAGCAGGGTTTCTCAAATGGAATGTATAGTTGACCATCTCGGTAATAGTTCAGCTTTAAACCCATTGGCATACCTGATGTTGTAAATTATCAATCCATGAAATTCACATGCTTTTACATTTTTGGGATTAAAAAGCTTGAAGACAGCAATTTCCATCCAGTTATCAAATACACAACGACAACGATTGCCAGAAAATTAACTTAGAACACACTTTTTAAAACACATTAATTAATTAGAGGTAAAGAAACACATCTGCTATATGGAATCAGCACCACTGCCTCCTAAAATGCCACAATGCACCAGTTTTACTATAAATATATATTCTTTCCAAATAATATCAATAATAACAAAGGCAGGATCTCATTTTTAAAGTAATCTCTTTCTCCAAGACACATACAGACATGCACACACGCAAGCGCAACTTTGCAGAATGCAAAATTTTCAATTAACAAATTGGGAGTCTCTTTATGGCAGAACTGGGAGTATTTTTTGTTTATTACCAGATGGAAAGCATCTATCATATTTTATCCTTTTCTAGACCTCAGGCATAAATTTAAGGCACTGTCTTCTAAGAAATAACTCGACTTGTTTGACTACTAAGAATACTGCATCCTAATCACCCAGCATTAAGAGTGGCATTTGTTTCAATTTTTTGCATAATTAGCTCATGTCTTTACTTGATATCCTTTAACATTTATGTAAAGTGGTGATCATGAATAATACTCTGTCAAGACAGAGTGGGCCCTGTTTCTTTGGCTGGGCTTAGGTATTATGTCATTGCCCTTGGCTGAGGCACCTAAGGAATACCAATAAGAAAAAGGCACATGACTAAGCATTTTAAGTTCTTCCCACAATGTGCTTGGCTAAGGCACTAGCCAAAGAGACTACTTTAAAAATATTTATTTGCAAAGAGAAATAAAACAAATGAGTAATTTCTTGAAGATATATCACATTTCAATACATCAAAGCGTAACTATATACATGTTTTTGTATAACCATTCCCTGTAGGATATATTTGCCTTTGGTATTATAAAAATCCTTTACATTTAGGCTGGAACATTTTGTCCTTTAAATAGTTAACTTCCTACAGCCTTGGGAAGTTCAGATGCGTAGAGGGTAGTGGTTAAAGGTGCTGCCTTGGAGGTGAGGGTTACAGGTGGACAAACAGGCTGAACATGACTGGCATTCCCCTATGTCTAGGACTCTAGTGTTCTCTTTGTGCTTTTTGTTTGCTTATCGGCATTTTTTTAACTGATAGCAGTATTTAAATATTTGGCAATCAATCTTTCATGAATTCTAGTATATTTGTTCCATTTCTTCTTGACTGCCTGAGAACAAGCTCTCATTTGTTCTTTGTACTATGGTGAGGTTTGGTTTGTGTGGAGCAGGACAGGCAGCGAACCCAAACAAGTCCAGCGGAATCTCTGACGATAAAAGGATGCTGCTCACAGATATGGCAGCACTGTATATTAAACCGATGTGAATCACAACAGGCTCCGTGACTTATCATTTGTAGAAACAGCACATTGTTCTTCTAGAATTTTGAAGACTTTTCTGTAAGACTTGTTGAATATACCTCTATTTCCGAACAGTGCCTATACATTGGTATCTTAAAAATGGGGCCCTTCCGTGTATGTTACAGCTTAAGTTCGTTCTAGAACTGATATTGCATTATTTGAAATCAATGTTTAGGTGTCCACAGGCTTTGCTTACAGCTTTGTAAAGGTCTTAAATACTGAGTTTGCTCCCTTTATTACCCAGTCAATCTGGAATGAGATGATTCCTTGGTATTTCAAAGCTGCTGACATATCTGATGGACTGGATGAAAATTTAAGGCTCATTTAGCTCTACAGATTTATGTTATGTTCTCTATTTCTTGCTCTAAGCTTACAATTTGCCTTAGCCAATAATGTGCTTTTCTTAATTCATCAATGAGCAGTCCGAATTAGGGAATATTCTTTTTTTTTTTTGAAACAGAGTGTCAGTCACCCAGGCTTGTGTGCAGTGGTGTGATCACTGCTTACTGCAGCCTTAACCTCTCAGACTCAGGTGATCCTCCCACTGTAGCCTTCCAAGTAGATGGGACTACAGGTGTGGTCCACCATGCCCAGCTAATTTTTGTATTATTTGTAGAAAAGGATTTAGCCATGTTGCCCAAGCTGATCTCAAACACCTGGGCTCAAGTGATTCGTCTGCTCCGTACTGAGACTATGGGCATGAGCCACGAAGCCTGGCTTGGAATAGTCTTTGAAAATATAATAATAACAATGAAGATAAGTAGAGCTGGTATTTTATTGAGAAGTCAACTCACCACTGGATAATGAGGACAACTCATTTCCTATATCACTGAAATTACCCTTTTCCATATTCTCATGTGATAAAAATAGCTGTATTTTTGTTGTTGTTGTATCCAAAAAGCAGTTTAGCCTTAAAGTAAAATGTTATCATTGTTTCTGTGTACATCCAATGAGGCAAGTTATTATTATCTCATTTTATAAATGAGGAAACAGATTCAGAGAGGTTAAATAATTTGTCCAAAATCATGTTTGTGTTCTTAACCACTAGACAGACCTATCTATAATCATTTATAGTTTTAAGTTTGTCTTCTAGGAGCCATGGCTAACAACCACCACATCATGTTCTTATTGGGTTTGTATAATAATGATAAATCAGATTCTCCATCCCTCTACACCACAACCAAGGGGGATACGTGCTGATGAGGAGAAATTCCAGCTTCCTCAGAATCAGGTAAGTTTCTAGGTGTGCCAGGACTCCAGGGGGGTCTCCTACCCAGTAATCCCACTAAGCGATTCTTTACCACCATGGTTTTGTCAACCATTCTAAAGGTAATCAAGGTTGATATTGTATACACATTTTAAAATCCTTTATCTGATTACATTTAAATGGTATAGTGTTGTGCCTCCTTAAATAAGAGGAAACACCTATCACCTTTCTTTTCATTAAGCCTCCTATGAGAGGGTTTACAAGTTGAGGGAAAGGAGGAAGTGTCTATTTCTTATAGTCTTAATATACGAATTGAAGATGAAGAGCTGGGAAAATATATCTTCTCCATGAAAACTGATGAAAAATATGAGACTTAACCAAAAGATTTCACAAACAACTGTAAGTATAAAACTTTAATATTTATTATAGTGAAACTCATTAACAGCTGGGTCAGAAAACATGAAAAGGAAGTAAGCATCTTGTATTAGTGCATTCTCACGCTGCTATCAAGAACTACCTGAGACTGGGTAATCTATTAAAAAAAAGATGATTAATGGACTCACAGATATGCATGGCTGGGGAGCCTCAGGAAACTCACAATTACGTCAGAAGGCGAAGGGGAAGCAAGGCATGCCTTACATGGCAGCAGGAGAAAGAGAGTGAGCAAGCAGGGAACTGCCACACACTTTTAAACCATCAGATCTCATCAGATGTCAAGAGAACTCTATCACAAGACAGCACCAGGGAGATGGTGCTAAGGCATTTGAAACCACCCCCATGATCCAGTCATCTCCTACTAAGCCCCACCTTCAACACTTGGAAATTACAATTCCACATGAGATATGAGTGGGGACACAGATCCAAATCATAACACATCTAGAGCAACATCAAAAATGTATGGGACAATCTACTTAGGCAGTTCATGATAACATAGCAATATTTCCTGGAAAACTAAAAAAAATTAATAATAAGGGTTAAAGGAGGAAAGTTAACTATTCTAGTAAACTTCATCTTGAACAGGTATTTCATTTCTAATAGATGTTTTTGGAAGCTTGTGTCTTCTAGAACTTTTCTGTAGTTATAAATACATTTACACATATTTAATGACCATTTTTGGAGTTTTGAAAAAGTAACTCCTTTTGTGTATGAAATTTTGAAGTTGCCCGCAATAGTTCTTGCCATATATAGCATTTCTTCTCAAACATGACATCCATGACTGGCAAAGGATTTGGGTTTTTTTGCTTGTTTGTTTGCTTTTGCTAGTTCTTAAAATCCCAAACAAGTAGAACTTGTACTTATTCATGAGGTCCACGTAGATCAAAGGTTAGATTTATACCCGTGAGTACAATTCAGTGAAAAGTCAGGAAAATAGAAAAGTGATTGCGAAAATGGAGTTTAGACTTTCCCTTGGGGTTCTCAGACCAGGAAGCTTGCTATTCTGGTGATGAGAAATGGCACACTGATTTGGCTATCTAATTTCTTGAGAGTCTTATTGCATGCCCAGGAACCATAAAAGTGGAAGTTTCTTCTGCTCTTCTGTCGGCATTCTATGGCCATAGAGTTAATACTTGGGTTACACTCAGGAATCCGAGTTAAGAAGTGCCTCCAAAATGCATCAAGGTACCTACTTTTAGCAAGTCCCAAATATTGAGACCACAAATGGTCTTTATCCAATTCTAAAGCAAAACTATAAATATGGATCTGAATTTAAATTGTCTATGATTAAAATATGTGACTTAAATTTCCATTCCTCCATCTACCATCTAGAGTTTTCCTCAGCTGACACTGTCAGTGTTGGAGGCAATCACTGAAGTATTTACCTGCTTACAGAATTACATACCTATGCTAATACAGCAAGTGTGTGGACACACTGTTTTGTCAAGTATGGGAAAAACATTTGCTGACACCTAAATTCTAAGCAGTATGTGAAGTACACTAAAACTAAAAAAACAAAACAACAAAAAAAATTTTGTATTATATGTATCAACTATTTTCCACAGATATATTAAGTATATTGTGTGTTATAGGTGAACAATTGTACCAACATGTGTGCAAATTTTTTATATGAAGATTAGGCCAGGCATAGTGGCTCACGCCTGTAATCCCAGCACTTTGGGAGCCTGAGGCAGGTGGACCACTTGAAGTCAGGAGTTCGAGACCAGTTTGACCAACATAGTGAAACCCCATCTCTACTAAAAATAGAAAAATCAGCCCAGTGTGGTGGTGCATGCCTGTAATCCCAGCTACTTGGGAGGCTGAGACAAGAGAATTGCTTGAACCTGGGAGGCAGAGGTTCCAATAAGCCAAGATCACACCAATGCACTCCAGCCTGGGCAACAGAGCAAGATTCTGTCTCAAAAAAAAAAAAAAAAAAAAAATGAAGACTAGCCCAGGAAATTGTATTTCAAAATTATTGGGCAGAACACTCCCAGACAACGATGTTAGTAAATTAGCTTAGTAGTAATAAATAGCACAGAAATCAGAAGGTAATGAGAGCATTGGTGGTAAAAATGTGGTGGGAAGAAGGTACCAGTAGACATTGTGAAGTCATCCATGAGTGCTTGCCTCCCAGTGAGAAGGCAAGCTCACAGGTAAAGAGCTAAACTAAATGAAATGAATCCAAAGAATTCTAAATCTGACAAATATTCTAATTTGACTTGCATAAAACAGCAAGGTTTTTTTTTTATACATGATACTCTATTTTAGTAACACTATATATATAGATGTAGAAATATCTTAGAATGCCATATCTCTGAATGTATAACTAAGGACTATGCGAATAACGTGTTTGTATCCATAGATGTATAAACGAGAACATGCATATGCATATTTCACATAAACATAATGTTGAGCAGCAAAATATTTGAGAACAACAGGAAAGCTGGTATCACATTGTTTCTGTTTCCCATAGCATTATTTTCACTTTTTTTCTCTTTATGACCTAATTGGAATGATCAGATTCCATTCTTCTCCATTTTGCATAGACTCTTTCTTGCAATTCTATGGAAAATGATGTATTGCTCTGTAAGAATTTTATTTTTTTGTGAAAAAAATGAAAGGAAGGCACATCATATTAAGTGATAAATAATTGGAACAGATTTAATTCCAGTTATTAAAAATAAAATTTAGATCTCTAAATTTTAATGTGGTCTATTTGAAAACCCTTAATCATTTTAAATTTATTCAAATTATTTTATTAGATGTAATTGTTAATATTTAATTGTTCACTTCTCACAACTCATTAAGATTTTAATAACATATTTTTCTAAATGAGAATATGTCATAATAATACATAAATATATCTGCTGCCTTATAGTTTATAAAATGGATTTACATAAATTATCACTTTTGATCTTCTTAATAATCTTTTAAGTAGCTATTAAAATCTAAAACCAAAGAGAGATTATGAATTTAATAACAGAAAGCTAATTTAGATCAAAATTCTTATTTGGGAAGTTAAATTACCAAGCTAATTACTGAAAATACTCAGGCACACATTCAAATATGCTTCGGTACTTAGGTACTGCTCATTAAAGAAAGCACCTAGATAGTAGTACTATGTCTCAGAACATTCACCAGAACCTGTTCAACTCAAATCTGCCCCCGCCAAACACTCTAGAAGATTTCGCCAGGTGGGGAAAAGTGCCCTCCTCCCTACTACCCTGTGTTTCCAAGGCTCAGGCAGGCATTCCTCCAAGAGGGTGTTAATTAAGTTCCCTTAATAATAAAGGGATGTAAAGCACTATGGGATACAATTTCTCCCCTTAAGAAAGTTAATAATATAATTTCCTTAAAAATATATTTTATTATTATAAAATACTCCATCATAATTTAATTTTTAACATTGTAAGTGGCTCATAACAATGCAGTAGCATCATCGCTTCAATATCAATATAATCATAATTAGGAAATTACAGATAGAAATCTATTAGAGTTTTACACCGCTGGTACCAAGAACTCAATGATTTTTGTCATCTGGGAAGATCTGAGAATCCAAAGAACACAAATGAATATTTCTTTTCAGGCAAGTTCCCCATGGACATGTGTCAGTATGCATAATAAACACGATGACATTAGATAGTGCTATTCAAACACCCTCTTGGCAGTTGAAGCAAGAAACAAGGGCACTGCCCTTTGGCCACAGAGACCAGAGCGTCTCTTCCAGTAGTCTGTCCAGATGGGAGAGTGACACACTGAACCACTGGGGGCACTAATGGAATAACCTTACAATATTCATGTTCGAAAAAGACAGAAACCAAGAGACAGCTTTGCTTTCTCTCTCTCTCTAGATATATGTAAAATATATATATTATATATAATATATATTATAGAAAATTATATATAGTATATATTTCATATATTATATTATATATTTTATATGTAATATAAATATTATATATAATAGATATATTATTAATAGATATAAATTAATAGATATAAATATAATATATATTAATATATATTTATATATTATTTAAATCATCTGTCTGGAATACTACTTTCCATTTTTCAAGCTAATATTGAAGTATGATGATAGAATGAAGCAAACTTTGTCCTATAATTCTCCTGTGCCTAAAATTGATGAGGGAAAAAATCCAGCACATTACAACATAATACGTAATAATGATTTACTTAAATATTTTGATAAGTATAACAGAAACAAATAGGTTGGTAATTTAAAAGTAAAAATGCTTCTCAGATTATTCTCTAACCTATTAGAAAGAGGCATTTAGGAGAGGGTACTTCACAATGGGCATCTTAACAGTAACAATCACAACAAACTGTTGACCCTTTATGCCTCTGCTTCCAAAATGCAACCCATACTCATCATTGGGATAGAAGTATAAATGCCATTGCTTCGTAAATCTACTGAACAGATTCCATGTATACTTAGTATATTAAAATGTTGCCCACCTACTTTTGCAGTATGAACATCAACAGTTCTGGTTTCCAAAATAGATCCCACAATGAACCATCCCATGAAACAAACACAATTAGTTTATCCACATTATAATTTTAATGTCACAGTTGCAGTGGCTCTCAATTTTCAACTTTGCTGCCCATTGCTGGTGTCACCGTCAGGACCTCACGTGCTGCACCAGGACTCTCAAAACATCTTGCCTGTCTGTAAGTATCCAAGATTACCCTGCCACATTCCTGCTTTGACAGTGAAATAGACTAGAGGCCTCAAAGGAATTCAGAGTAAATGGCTAATTATAGAGTTTGCTACATTCAGCCTTATTATCATATTATTTTAATGTAAAATGCAAAACTCAGGATGATTATTTTCCCTAAAAATAAAAGGCAAGGCTATATGACAGAGCTTGAGATAATGATAATAAACAGTTCAGAGAAGTCTATTATACAGTCCAACAAATTACTAGAAGAATCTCATTTTTATTATCATTCTACAAATAGTTATTAAATACCTATTTTGTTCCAGGAACTCTTCTGAAGGGCAACGACAGATGTGGTCCCACCCTCACACAGCTTACCATCCAGTTTTATTTTGGAAACACTCCATATTTGATATCTGCTTCTCTTTCTTCCAAAAGCTCAATTTTATCTCTTTTAAACAAATCAGCATATTTATTCCTAGAGTTACTTGCATATAGCAAACATTTAATCATTGCCTTACAGATTGAATTGGTATTTTCCTTTTTAATTAATAAGCGTATAATATTAAGGCATAACTGAAACTTCAATATTATTGGCTACTTCAGTGTCACAGAGGGTAAAAATAAGAACACAGAAATTTACTATTTCATGTTTTGTGAATATTCATATTCACAGGCTTCTTCTCCTTTTAGTGTTGAAGTTTCAGTTTCTGGAATGTGGTTTATGGGGAGTGAGACTTTGGAATAAAAACAGTGTTTCATTTATGCAGCAATGAGCTGAGGCAACCTGTGACCCATGTCTTCACAGCCATACAGTTGGCATGAAAAATTTACAAACTCTCTACTTGCTGCCGTGAGTTGGACAGTGTCCATGATCTAGACATAGTACAAAATTCTTTACATATACCATCAAAAACATTCACCGTGGAAAGGAAAGCACTATTGATCTCTTTCAAAGATGAGGGAGATTCAAGAATGGGAGTGACTCATGTCAAGCCCCGAAGCTGATGTCTTGTGGAGCATGGGTCTGCGCACAGCTCCGCCTCCAAAGCCTTGAGCTTCCTCCCACAACATGTGAACCCCAAGCTTTGCAAGTCCCCTTGCCTTTGTGTATACAGTCCATATTCTTCTGCCATCTACCTGTGTCCTCTGGCTTTTCACATCTTAGTTCTTCCTCTCGCTCCTAGAAAGTCTAATTCTCACCTTCCCCAGATGATTCTAAGGCTCTGATATTACCTGGACTCAATTAATCACCCATGTCCCAAGATCTCAAAAAATATTCTGTTAAAACATTTGCTTTGGTATTTTCAGAAGCATTTATAATACCAAGTACATCAGTGGAGGAATGAGGGAGATATTCATGGGCATTTGTGTCAGCTTTTGGTTTTAGAGATGGAAGACCTACTTGTGCATTTGACCAGTTACATTTGTGCAATTTATTTATCTGTGCTTTAAGAATGTTGAGAATAATTACAAGTTTGGTATGTTGCAGAAAGGTATTTGGAGCAAGGAACAACAGCTCTGAGTTTTAGTTATAGCACCAGGATTCCTTGGAGAGGTTGCTGAACTCATCTTAAATAAAGTTCCTTTATTTATGAAATGGGAAAAACTCTTGTACCGTACAGTTCAAGAGAAGATTATAGGAATACAATGAGATGAAACTACAAGTTCTTTGGGGTCAAGGGCTCAGTGAGATGCACATTCATTCTCCTAACAGTGCCAAGAGGGACTCTGAGAAGAGGCACAGCAGTGCCCACACAACAGACATGCTTACTAAATGAACATACACATATGAAAGCAACTTAAATTATACACAATGACCACGTTTATGTCAATGTGCTGAACATCTGAGCTGTAGCAAACAGACAAGGGTCTTACATTCTAATGAAGCATCACAGACAAATTTATCATACACACTAAATGAAGAAGATGGTTTCTCAAGGTGGTAAGTCCTATAAAGAAAGTCAAACAGTCTGGTAAAAAGATAGAGCCTTTGCAAGAATAAAAAGCCCCTTATAGACCATATTAAGGTTTGGATTTTATTCTAAGTACTAAAGAAAGCCATTAGAGGTATCTAAGTGACATGATCTTGCAGGTGCTGTTTTTAAAAAAGATCCACTTAATGTATTATGCTATATTTAATGTGACCCTATCTAGAATAATAGGAGTCATAAAGAAATAGCCTTGTTTGGATCTGAAATGCCATGGTTCATAAAGATCACATAAGGGAACAGTGAGGAGTCTTTTGTAACTATGCAGGAACGGTGGTCACTGGAAATCTGGTGGTAGTGATGGAGGGAGAGAAGAAAAGTGTGCTAAAATACAGCTAAGAGGACATGGCAGTTGTGAGAGGAAGAATTCTAAAGATGTCCCCCGCCCAAGTCCCTGGTCCTGTAATTACTCAGTCAAACATTCACTGAGGTTCTACTGTGAAGGACTAAAGATAGACTTAAGGTTACAAGTCAGTTGACCTAAAATAGGGAGGCTAACCTGGATTATCCAGGTTAACCCAATCTAATCACATGAGCTGGTAAAAGCAGAGAATTCTCCAGCTGTACCCAGTACTGTATGTCAGAAGAGGCAAGAGACGAGACAGAATAGGAGGTAAGAGAGATGCAAAGCCAAAGATGGAGGAATGAAGCCACGAGCCAAGGAATACAAGTGGACTCCGGAAGTCAAGAATGATTCTTAGCCACCAGCCAGTAAGGAAATGGAGACTTCAACACAAGGATGGCATGGAACTGAATTTGGCCAAGAACCTAGATGCAGATACTTCCCTAGAACCTCCAGAAAGAAATGCAGGCCTGAAGACAATCTGATTTCAGCCCAGTGAAACCTACATCGGACTTCTGAGGCAGTGAGATACATAAACTGGTGTTGTCTTAAGCCACTAAGTTTGTACCAATTCACTTTGGCAGAAGCAATACAAAACTAACACAGCAGTGGAAAGTATCAGAAGGCAGTAAGGGAAAGAGACACATTGGGATGGCTCGGCTCTTTGGACAGAGTTTGAGGGAATGGAGGGATCATTTACTGAGATAGAAAAACATGCTGGAAGAACATTTGGGGAGAAAAATGGAAAACAAACACTTTGTTTTGAACACGTGAAGCTTGAGATATCTTATCATTCATCCAGCTGGAGGTGACAGGAAGGCAGGTACCAACACAAGTTTGCAACTGAATGAAGAGGTGAGGGCTGGAGGCATCAGTCAGCTTTATAAGTGTGTCATAAACATATCAATGATGTTTTTAAATATGGGACTATATATGTGTTCCCAGGATACCTATATGGACAGATAAACAGAGAATGTCTTCAGGATTTGTTCATCAACAATGTCTAAGGAAAATCAGGAACATTAAGAAGCACAGGAGATTACACCTTGTTATGGGTGGAATTGTATTCCCTCCAGAACATATGTTAGCATCCCAATCCCCAGAACACATGAATGTGATTATATTTGAAAATAAGGTCTTTATAGACGTAATCAAGTTAAAATAATATCAATAGGATAGGCCCTAATCCAATATGACCAGCATCCTTGTAAAAAGGAGAAATTTAGAGACAGGCACACAGGAAGAATGTTATATGAAGATGAAGTCAGAGGTCAGGAACCTGCTTCTGTAAGCCAGGGAACACCAAAGACTTCCAGCAAACCAGCAGGAGCTAGGGGAGTGACCGGGGACAGATTCTCCCTTGCAGCCCTCAGAACAAACTGATCTGATGGCACCTTGATCTTGGACTTCTGGCCTTGAGAACTGTGAAACAATCATCTTCTGTTGTTGAAGCCACTTGGTTTCTGGTAGCTTTTAATAGCAGCCCTAACAAACTAATTCACGCACATAATACTGTGAAGTCGATACCTAAGACAGGCGTACAGATATATTTTGAGTGGTATGGTCTCTGTATCTGACATATATAATATTATCTCCATCTTTAAAATTAAAAAAGATGAAAATATGGCAAGAAAAAAATAATTTTATTAAAATGATTACAACAGTAATCATATAGTTTTGATTACTGAGTTTTAAGAAACAGCAAACATTTATTTCTCAAGCACAAATTACTCAGAAGTTAGTTTCTTTCATTAGATGATCTTAAGATCTATGGCAATTCAATTGACACAAATGATTGTTATTTGAATATTAATCCTCCATTCAAAATTATGGAAGGGAAGTTGCTCAATAGTCTTAGTTATGAATCCACTTCTGCAAGATATTCCTTGCATTTATTCAAATATTATATTACTTAACTTAGACCTGTTAATAATGTCAAACTGTCAACATCCCCAATGAAAGAAACTCAAAACTTGGGCTGAAAGTCTGTGAACACGGCAGGTATCAAACCACATCCAACTTTAAAAGGACCACACCTTCTGCTATGAGCAGAAATTGATACCTAATTAGGCCCCATGCAAGGAATGTGTTTCACGTTGACACTGTGCATTAGAAGAAATTCTCAAGTTCATTATCAACCATAAAAAACCCAGGGGAAAATCCTCTTATAAAATACAACATCTCTGAATTTTATCAACAGTTCCCAACAAATCTAGAAATAGATGCTGCTGTCTTAAGATATTATGCTGTGATGATTAATACTGTCAATTTTGACCCTCAAGAGAACCCTGATGAACACACATACCAGATGCAATGTGAACCTACCCACAGCAGTGGAAGCTATGAAGAGTCCTGTTAGATTCTGAAACACTATGATTCATAGAAACCCAGAAAACACATAGTTGAAAGTAGAAAATTAATGCAGTGTTTTCTCAGCCTGGCCTAAGGCTTTAAACATCATCTATATGCTGATGATTTCCAAGGCTTTCATCTCCAACTCTGCCCTCCCCACTGAGCACTAGATTAATCTAGGCAATTGCCTACTTCCCATCTCCACTGGGTATTTACTTACTAGACTTCTCTAAGTTCACACACCCAGAATAAAATCTGGCATTTCTCCCATTATTCCCATTCCACCACTCTCCACCTTTCCTCTCTCCCAGGTGGCCTTATCTTTGTAAATGGTACCACCAGCAACCCAGTTGTAGGGAACATACAGAAAAGATTCTAGAACAGCCTCTTTCCCCCTACCCCACACAAATACATCAGCAAGTTTCTGTTGGTTCTGCCTACAAAATATATGCTGAGCTCCTCCACTTCACATAATCTCTACTGCTGCCAACTAGCCCATCATCTCTATTCTAAATTTCTGCAACAGCACCTTACTTGGTTTCTCTGCTTCCCATCTTGCACCCCCTGACACCCACCCACCACCTCCAGAGTCTTATTTTCCACAGAGCAAGCAGAGTTTTCCAACTGTTTAATCACATCATTTTACTCTTTTGCCTAAAATGTTCAAATGCCTTCCCATGAAATCATCATCAGCAGCAGCAGCACCATCATCATTCCAAGGGTATCTGAGGCTTCTGGATTTGATAGGACTCTGCCTACCTCTCTGATTTAATTTACTTTCATCCTTCCCACTTTTTACTAAGCCCCAGCCATATGGCATTTTTTCTTCCTCAGATCCATGAAGCAATTCCTGCAGCCTGGACCACGTTTTCGTCACATGGCTTCCTCTACTAGTCCTGTGAATCTGAGCACAGGTGTCGCTCATCAGAGACACCTTCCCCTCAGCCAGCACTGCCCAAGTCTCTCTGGTTCACTCATAGTTTTTTTCTCCGTGTATTTTGTTTCCTTCATCCATTCATCCCTATCTGAAACTGTACATATTACTTGCATATTTTTTCATTTTTTGTTGCTTATGTTGTTTCTGCCTACATAATTATCACATGTCTCCCAGTAAGTCATGTGGTTTAAGAACTATGCCTTCCTATCTACTGTCCACTAAATCTGAGAGTGTTTTATTTATTTTTTCTTTTTGATGAATTATGAATAGTTGATCGAAAGTTTCAGCTTTTGGTTTCTAGTGAACACAGAAAATGTGCCCTCTTTAAACGTATGAAATTTCTTTCCAAATCAGTGACTCTCAATGGACCCTCTGTCACTGCAATGGTCAGTCTTACCTGACAGAGAATTATTAATCACTCAATGACACTCTCATGGAGAGAATGATATTTCTTGAACTTTTGGGAGGACAATAGTCTATTTTATAATACTATTATATTAAATAATAGTATTGGACAATGAACATAATTCCAATACTTATTTTTTGGCCCAGTATAGACTGATAAGGCCCAACACTGACAAGTGAAACAACACAAAGGAATGCCTTGTCCATGTGTCTGAGTGTGCTCCAGCCCTGGGAGGATGTGTCTTGGCAAAGCCTGGCTGGGACCCAGGTGGGTTTGAAGCCACCTGCCCCAGGGGAGGCTTGAACCTGGGAGCCTTCTGCATCTGCAGCTGTGGGATCTTGACCTCATGACCAAGTGACAATGAACTTCTTCCACTTAGTCAGGCTCTACTAACCTTTTACCATTATAGTTTGTCCCTAACAGAATCACACTGAGAATCTTTTAACTTACACAATGACCTCCTTTAAACATGAGGAGAAATTTAGTCTTGATTTATTTGACAGCAATTCGGTTTGAGTCCTAGTATTTGTTATGTTGATTTATGACAACAATATAAGTGCCGATGACAAAGAGTTTTATGACTTGTTCCAGACACAAAGTTCCACTTTAGCTCCCCATACACTGAGTTCTCTCTACATGCACAGATCAAAGCCGCTTGGCTGTTCCCTGGGAATGGAGCCCAGTAAGACCTGGCCAGCCCAATTATAGCAGTGACCTTCATAAATGGATCCTAAGCAAAAACCCAGTGCCTTCTCTTGGCCGGTATCAATGTCATCAAGGAAATAACATTGAAAAGCTTCATCTCGCCTCATACACTGTAGCTTGAAATACCCAACATTTCAAACTCTTTAGCTGAAAAGATGTCAAATAATTTATTTGTGAGAATAGCCGATTTTCACAACCCTGTAAGGCATGCAATTCACAAAAGGCAGCAATAATATCCCCGTTTCAGTGGTGAGAAATTGAGGCCTAGAGAAGTGATGTGACTGGCATGGATCTATAAATTACTATGTTTTAATGCCAGAAGGCTGCCTCAATTTTCACCCTCAGCCCAGGGAACCCACCGTCCAATAAGACACTCTCCTCCACCTGCCTATCTTTGGGTTCTAGTTGGTAGTTTACAAGTTTTAAGTAATAGAATGTTATTTCAATGAATGTTGCCTGAACGGATCATAGCAAAAATATAATGACCCCAAAATATCCAGAGAGTTCTATTTATCTCTAAGCAGTGTGATCAATTCATATTTCAGCTATCAATGACATATTAGAGGTTTGTCTACACTGTTGTCTTGATGGATGAATTGTAGCTGCATATTTGCTCAGGTAGAAAACAATATTTTTTACAAGTGATCAAAGGAAGCTCTTGTTCACTTGAATGAGAAGATATTATACTTTACTGAGGTCAAAAAGCTTAGAAATAGATGGTAATCTGGAGTCAAGATTTAGGATAAAATCTAAAGTCTAAGTCAGTAGATGATATGGTTTGGCTGTGTCCCCACCCAAATCTCATCTTGAATTGTAGTTCCCATATTCTCCATGTGTCATGGGAGGGACCTGGTGGGAGGTAATTTAATCATGCGGACAGTTACCCCTCATGCTATTCTCATGATAGTGAGTGAGTTCTCATGAGATCTGATGGTTTTATAAGGGGCTCTTCCCCCTTTAGCTGGGCACTTCTCCTTGCTGACACCATGTGAAGAATGATGTGTTTGCTTCCCCTTCTGCCATGACTGTAAGTTTCCGGAGGCCTCGTAGCCAAGCTGAAGTGTGAGTCAATTAACCTCTTTCCTTTATAAATTACCCAGTCTTGGGCATGTCTTTATTAGCAATATGAGAACAGACTAATACTGTAGAAATATTCTAACAGCAAAACCTGTCAAGTCTGCAGCCTTCAAAGCTTGCTTTAAGCAAGATTTAAGACTATCATGGTTTGTTGTCACTTAATCACGAAGTCTACATATCTTCCCTTTATCAGGATGCAATGACAAAGGTTTATCTTGGGCCAGGTGCAGTGGCTCATGCCTGTAATCCTAGCGCTTTAGGAGGCAGAGGCAGGTGGATTACATGAGGTTAGGAGTTCGAGACCAGCCTGGAAAACATGGTGAAACCCCGACTCTAATACAAATACAAAAATTAGCCAGGCATGGTGGCATGTGCTTATAATCTCAGCTTCTTGGGAGGCTGAGGCAGGAGAATCGCTGGAACCCGGGAGGCCGAGGCTGCAGTGAGCCGAGATCGCGCCAATGCACTCCAGCCTGGACAACAGAGTGCAGACTGGACTCCATCTCAAAAAAATAAAAGTTTTTTCTTGAACTCAAAACAGATTAGATAAGCACACTATCTAGATATTTCCTTCTCTTCTGCATCTCTCACTACAATGTATTATCAACTTTTGTCTCTCTGACAACCAGCTCCCTCCAGACTCTGAGCTCTTTGAGGGCAATGATTCTATTTCATTTCTAGTTGTGTTCCTAATACAAATAAGTGATCAAGAAATATTTGACATTAAAAGCAAAACATATCATATTCATTTCTATTTACAGAAATCCTAATATCAGGGGTTCACCAAGCCTACGTAATGGAAAGTCACAAAAGTTCGAGAATATAGCACCTTAAAACTAACAATGTATATATATGATCAGGCTGATAGATAGGAAATCCCAAATACCAGAAAGTAGACACTCCTTTCTGTCATTTAAATGTTGTTGACTTGGGGAATTAAGAGATGTGACTTTACAAAAGGAACATTTGAAGTGAAAAGTTTTGCTTAATTATAATTCCTATCAGTAAGTCATTACTCATGCCTTCTGACTTGGGAATTTTGTCTTTAAAGAAACCAAAGTGTTGCAGAAGTAAGAGTTAATTATTTTTAAAGACTAGTACTAAGTAGTTCAATATCCCTGAATTATATTTAAATTACTAATGGCCTAAATAAGCAGATTTATGCTAAGATACATGGGATCTTAGCTATGTACCTTCTTCGTTCTTCATGGTATACACATTAAGTAAATTTGATTGTGAAGTGAAAACTATTCACTGAAAACATAGCTGAAAGCAACAGCATTAAAAAGGTATATTGCTTACTAATACTACGATGCTTACTATTTCTAAAATCAAAAATAGGTTGGGTACAGTGGCTCATGCCTATAATTCCAGCATTTTGAAGGGCCAAGGTGGGAGGATTGCTTGAGCCCAGGAGTTTGAGACCGGCCTGGGCAACATACTGAGATCCCCACCTCTACAAAAAATAAAAAATTAGTCAAGTGTGGGAGTGCATGCTCGTAGTCCCATCAACTTGGGAGGTTAAGGCGGGAGGATCACTTGAGCCCTAGAGGTTGAGGCTGCAATGAGCTATGATAGTTCCACTGCACTCCAGCCTAGGTGAAAAAGGGAGACCCTGCCTCAATATAAATAAATAAATAAAATAAAATATAAAAACACAGACTTTCATCATTCTCCAGGAGTAATTAACAATAGCTTAAATTAATTTCCATAATTAATAGAGTCGCAGAATTTGTCTCCTTGATAGTGGTATTTATTTCTTGAGTGCATACTCTTGTGCTTTGGTTGAATAATGCTGCCAATGAGATACATGGGCAATACAAAACAGCTTCTTTGTGACATTTTCTAAGAAGTTTTTGCCAATGTCAAGACTTCTTAATCAAAATCCATTTTGCTTTGGGGTTTTTATTTTAATGTCAAGATGGTATTCATATGGCAATTATTCTGTTGCAAGTAGCTTGGATAAGTAATGAAATTGTGGCTTACCTGGCTTCTTCTCCATAATTTTGTAGATAAACGTGTGTGTATATGTGTATGACACTTATTGAAGCTTAAATTAAAATAATCTTTTTAAAGTGCTTCTTATTAAAACCACTGATGACATTTATGAGAGATGTAAGCAAACCCTGATGCTTCCTTCAAAATGATAAGAGAAAAATGTCACAAGAACCATCATTTTATGGTATTCAGAATTCATGAAAAACCACCACTAGAAGCTAAGGAACTAGCCAAAGCTGCTGTCCAATCAGGCATTCAAAGACATTAATGGACGCCTCTGAATTGAATTTGTATGTATTAACCTATGTTTTCTTCTTCCAGCAATATATTGCTTCAGGGCTGAATTAAACGCTGGTGTGGACTCATTTCCTGGAGATAACCAATGTAACTAGCCCATGGAATTAGAGCCTGTTGCCTGCTAAAGTCTCAGCTCTTGGGTCATCTCTTTCTTACCAGCTCTCTTACTGTCCTCAAGCTGGGTAAAGCTAGGATTAGAATTAGGCCTTAATCTGTGTTTCCATGATGGTTAGTACATGTCTGTAGCTTAATATCACCCTACCAGGGACTGACAACTTTTGCTCCCCTGTCTCTACATCTGACTCCCGAACAAAACCCCATGTCCCCTTCATTCAATGCATCAATTGCTTTAAGTCCTTTAAGTCTTGTTTATTTTTTCATCTATAATGACATGACAGAACTGTATTTAAAATATACATGCATTTATGTAGTGAAGAGTAAAATGTCTGCCAATTGAAAAAGTTTGAATACTTTCAATAAAAAATTTTGAAAATTCTTCCTTGACAATGGACATTTTTCCTATACTTCTTTTTTTAAAATAGTGTGATTATTTTGAAGGTAACTTGCTTCTTACTAAGAGTACAATTATGCTTCTGGTTTATCTGCATGCCCTTTACATTTTCAGTTAACTTATACTGATCACCTTTTATGTAGAGACTATGTTTAGCAGGTTAAATAAAATATCTTTAATTTACAAAGTTACATAATGATGTTCAGACAGGTTAAAAAATGTGCCTGAGGTCTGACTTGTGGTAAGTCTGAAGAAACAAGATTTCTGCCTCCCCTTTTCCCACCTGATGTATTATTTCTGCTTCATTCTACCAAGATTAAAAACTCCAAGTGATGCAAAAAAATGTGAATCTACAGAATCACTTCCACTGCTGATGGGAAAACAATTAGACAACCATTTTGGAAAATAATTTGGCATTAGCGTATTAAGATGAATTTTAACTCTTGGGCGTTTAACAAAGAGAAACTCCTGAAAAATGTAAAGGCAGAGACATGTACAAGGCTGTTCATGGCAGAAATGTTTGTAACAGCAGAAACTCAGAAGCAGTCCAAATGCTCATTGAGGAAAGAATGGATGAATTGTGGGTATAGTCACATGACGGAATATTCTAGGGCAGTGATGAACTACAGTGGAGCACAGCATACAGGCATATCAAACTGTGTTTCATCACTGAGTGGGGTGGCATAACATACACTTGAGAGTCCAGACAGGGGAGCCAGACCTGCTGTAGCACCAATATCAGTGTGGCCCTGGACAATTCTGGAACCTCTTTCATCCTCATTTCCACATCTCTGGAGTGGGGACAATAGTACCTACCTGATAAGGTCCTTGTGAGAACTAAATGAATATACATATAGCAATTAAAATGGGCAATGATGCAAAATATGTGTTTTGTCTCACCATTTAAACATCATTTAGTAGAATCTAGTAGAATTTGAGTAGATATTCAAACTACTTATGTTTCATATTCATTAAGCAATGTAGAAGAGATCATTTCTATATCTTACAGTAGAACTATATTTGCTGTATTTAACATACGAAAAATTTTGACACATTTATTAGGTTGGTGCAAAGGTAATTGCAAAAGTAACTACTTACTTCCTGAGACATCTCTTCTTTCCTATTTAATTGCAAAAGAAATCACCATTACCTTTAATGGCAAAAACCGCAATTACTTTTGCAATGGCCTAATAACTGAAACCATGAAAAACAGTGGTTATAACTTTGAAGGACAATATTCATAATTATTTGTATACAGTCCCTTAAAGAAACACGTATACACTTAATATAAAGTATTTTCCCCTATTAATTGAATTTATACTTAAAAAATTATGTTCTTAAAAATAATGTAAGGCCATTCATCAAATAAGCATTTTAGCATGACTATACATTTTTAAGTACTGAAATTAGAAATGATGGAGATAGATAATCTTAGAAACACAAATAAAAAAATCCAAATTGAAGTAGTAGATCTTTGAAATCATCTACTCAAAACCCTTGATTTTTCAAATGAGGAAAACTGAGAACCAGAGAAGTTAACAAATAATCAAAAAATCACATGAGTTGGAGGACAGGACAATACGTAGAAACTCTATATTCTGGCTGTTAGTTCTCTCTCCAGTGTGTCACATAAGTGTATTTTAAATAAATGTACCCCATGACACAAGAGCTATGCATGTGATAAGACCATAGGCATTTATTCTATGGCCTGGGACTATGTAGTGGACCATCAGAAGTCCCAAGATCATCAAGGATGGCCAAGTGGCTACTGAAAAATCACATGCATGACAATGGTATTCTCTTTTACACAAATATTCCTGTGTGGTGGACCATCAGAAGTCTCAAGGTCATTTTAGCACCATGAGATGGTCCTCTATCTCCATGATGGCCAAGTGGTTACTAAAAATCATACACATAACAATGATTTTTCTTCCTTAGACAAATGCTTCTATTTCTGACTTCTCTCTCTTGGTTTATGACATTACATTTTTCCTGTTACCCAAGTTTGAAACGGTGATATTGGCTTTAAGCTCTCATGCTCCTTTGCCAACTACATTTGCCTACTTACTCGCTGAGACAGCTTTTCTTTCCAATTTAATCTCCTTCTCTCCTCTGGGCCATTTTCTCGCTACAAAAATGATCACTTTTTACAGTTTTCTTCAACTCTTTTTTGTCAAGGCATGATCTACTATGACTTTGTCAAGCACCTAAAAATATTTCCTTTTATTTTTCTCATGCATTTACATTTTAGTCCACTGCAAAAGAGTTTCTATCATTCCCACTCTACAGAAATGCCTTGTCACACATGACCAATAGTTTCCTATTTACTTTCACATCTGCAGTATCTGATGGTTAACTACACATCCTTCTTAATGTGGTTCACATACTTTGGCCTTGGTGTTAATAATATTCTAATTTCTACCTGTTTTTCCTTCCTTCCTTGCTTCCTTCCTTCCTTGCTTCCTTTCTCCCTCCCTCCCTCCTTCCCTTCCCTTTCCTTCCCCTTCCTTCCTTCCTTCCTCCTTCCTTCCTTCTTTTTTTTTTGATGTAGTCTCATTCTGTCATCCAGGCTGGAGTGAGTGGCGTGATCTTGGCTCACTGCACCCTCCACCTCCCAGGTTCAAGCAATTCTTCTGCCTCAGCCTCCTGAGTAGCTGGGATTACAGGCATGTGCTACCACGCCCGGCTAAGTTTTGTATTTTTAGCAGAGACAGCGTTTCGCCATGTCAGCCAGTCTTGTCTCAAATTCCTGGCCTCAAGTGACCCACATATCTCTGCCTCCCAAAGTGTTGGGATTACAGCCGTGAGCCACTGCGCCCAGCCCTGTTTGCTGTTTCTTTTTGCCAATCTCTTTGTTCAGTTTTGTTTCCCTCAAAATGCAGCCTTTCTCCTAGGTATTGCCTGTAAGGATTTATTCCTTTGCATACATTTTCTTCCATTATTTGGTCTGTTCTTAAAGCATCATCCATCATATCTACTCGTATCAGACCTGTGGCTATGCATGTGCCAAGGTTTCCAGAAAATTCCAGGAATACATTTCTAATTGTCCATTACCTCCGAGGATGGCCAAGTGGTTACTAAAAACCATACACATAATAGTGTTTTTCTCCCTTACACAAATGCTCCTATTTCTGAATTCTCTATCTTGGGTTACGACACTGATGTTGGCTTTGAGTCATTGACCTCTACTGACATCATCTTCATAACTTCTCACCCCTGGAAGGAAATTCCTTGGACATTCCTCAGTAGCTGGATCTCTGATACCCCATTTCATTCTCACCTCATCTAACACTATTTGATATCACTTGATGTCATAGTTTCTAGATCTGGTTTATGTTTTGCCTTCTATGTTGCCATATTTTAGCTCATCCATCATTCATTCATCATATATTAACTATGTATACTATAACAGGTACACACATTAGAAGTTTTTCTTCACCTGGTTACTTAACAAACATTTACTGAGCAGCTATTATTCTAAGCTCATTGTTAGGTCAGAAGCACATTCATACAAAAATGAATATTAAATGGCTCTTGATCTTAGTTCTGTGTCATATTGGTATATAGAGGAATATGAGCCAGTTTGCAAAATGTCTTCAAGGGAACAATATTTCCACAAGTGTTACAGAGAAATAAATAAGGGCACACACTGGGTCAAAGTTAAACAAGCATCTTTATTATGGAATTCTCAGAGCCACTTATATGTGAATTCACATTCTCAATTTCCCAGAAAGGGAAGGGAATACAGAACTGCCAAATTATTATACCACAGGCTTTTGCCTCTTTTCTCAGTCTGATAAAGTAGGTGTGTTTGACTGCCCACATTTTATGGATGGAAAAGGGAATTCAAGTAAATATAGTAATAGATGGTACACTGATGGCTAATATCTATCCTTCAAGGGCTGCTAAAAGTTTTGGCTCCTTTATTTTTCACGTATTTAGGACTTTAACAACATGCCCTATACCTTCATCATTCTCTGCCTCCTCTACCTAACCCTATCAGGCTTTTTTTTTTTAATACCATTCATATCTAACCATACCAGCTACTTGTGTCATGATGTCCATTTCATGTCATTTGAAAAATCTCAAAGGAAACTCTCCATCAATTACTGACCCACAATCCCCTACACAAAACACTTGGAGCTAGACGTATTTCTGAATTCAGAATGTTTGAATACAAATATATTACTATAACTACACTGTGGAATCAAAGAGAAGCACTTAGGATCAACACGTTAAAGTTTCTGCAAAAATATGCGCAATTTTGCTCACAGTTAGTGAGATTAATAAAACTATAAAGAGCTGCATGCTAGTTCAGGTCAGGTTTGGACCCAAAAAGGAAAAAACTTCTGGCCACTTGTGTCCTTAACATCTTGCTTAGAACAAGCTGCTAATTGCTCCTAGGAAACGTCTTCACAACATTCACTACACACTCATAAACCCACATACATGTCCACACAGGTGCATGCACATATATCTTATAGATTTTGGAGTCAAATGATAATAAATGTAATTTGGTAAAAATACTACTTAAGCCTCTTATTTTTCCACACCTCTGACTATCCGAAATTTTACCAAGAAATAATTACCACTGCATGGTACAGTTTACCATAAATTGATTTTTTTCACAGTCATGTCACTTTATTCTACTCAAAGCAAACACTTATGATTATTACCCAATCAATCTTTCAGGAATTAGGCGAGCTTAATTTTACATATATTGAGTATCATTTGTATACTCATTTTATATGATTTTATCCGATTATTGTATCTATCAGATATTCATTCTCAGCTAAATGTAAAATACATTTGAGGAAACATAATTAAGTAACTAGAAACCATATTCTGTTTACCTCCATTTTTAAAAAATTATGCAACTTTGGAACTTGTGTGAATTCAAGAAATATATTTTGCAAAATTAATCGACAATCATTTTTAAAAGTTATTATGTTATTTCTGAAGTTTTGTGGTGTATGACTTTTATTTACATGCACTAAAAACATAAAAGTCCTAAAAATAAAAACAACTCAAAATTATTCTCAGGCCAGGCACAGTGGCTCATGCCTGTAACCCTAGCACTTTGGGAGGCCAAGACGGGAGGATCACCTGAGGTATGGAGTTCGAGACCAGCCTGGCCAACATGATGAAAACCCATCTCTACTAAAAATACAAAAAGTAGCCAGGTGTGGTAGTGCATGCCTGTGATCCCAGCTACTCCGGAGGCTGAGGCATGAGAATCACTTGAACCCGGCAGGCAGAGGTTGCATTGAGCTGAGATCATGCCACTGCACTTCAGCCTAGGTGACAGAGTGAGACTGTGTCTCAAAAACAAAAAACAAAAACCCCAAAACCAAAATTTATTCTCAGTATTTTTTCTTTCCTTTATCTGGCACTGCATGCAGTCTGAGAGTACAGTTGATATGTAGTCCTAGTGGGTTACTCATTAATTAGTCTTTTTAAATCCTATGTACAGGAGTCTCTGTTGATCAGAAGCCATATGCACTCTCTACATGGGTTGTAATAAATATATTTTAAATTTCTGAACTTGTTTGCATGATGGCATAGAAAGAAGTTTAGATAAACATTCCAAACAGAAGGCATATGCATTTTGGCTTGGCTGAGTTTATAAAAATGACATGATCTAAAATATCTCAGTTTCTTAATGCTGCACAAGTAGCTGGAAATTTCTCTCACTGTACTCATCCCAGCTAGAGTCGTAACCCTTCTCCATTAACTACTGGTGCCATCTGTTGGTATGAAATGAATGGGCATCCAGATTGGTGGGTATTTAAATCACTCACAGAAGAAAAATCATGTGATTCACCTTATTATCTGACCTGTGAAGTTTCCATCATACTTTAGTGATTAGATATTTTCAAATATGTTTTCAATAAATGTTTAAAATAATGTATGAAATGCATTTCAATATCAACAAAAAGCATTTTAATCGATGATATTTTGCATTTCTTGATTTTAAAATATAAATCTTAAATAAAAACTTTGAAAACAGTAGCTTCATCATTATTTTTGGTATTCTTTCCAAGAAATGAATAATGGCTAATAGGTATCCTAATCATCCTTTTTTATTTTCTGTAATGCTGATGTTTTGACATCTTGGGACCTGGCTGACCTGGAAGGGACAGCTCCTGCCAGTGCTTGTGTACCCCTAAAGAGAGTAAATGACCAGCCCAACAGCCTACCTTTCATATGCAAGGTAACCAATCCAGTGCCCAATCACATCACTGCCTCCTCTACAGGGCTGTCACATTCAGGACCAATATTCCCCTGCCTAGTCATCCCAGGGGCAGAGAGCACACAATCCAGGACAGCGCCTACAGCCCACAGCCTGCTGAAATTATTCAAACTATCCAAACCTAAACCTGTTTACCCAGCCTTATTCTTCCTTCATACAGAAAGCCAAATAAAGGCGCTTGCCCACATTTCCCCTTTGCTCCCTCTGCCTCCTGACTGGCCCAGTGCTTGTCCGTATAGCCTGGAATATCATGGGGTGCCCCTCATTTTGGGAACTATGAGTAAAGAACTATCTTTTAATAGCAGTTGTCTCCTGGTCTGTTGGTCTCACAATGCCTGAGTTATAATAAAACTTACCTTTCAAAACAATAGGTCACTGGGTCTATTATCTGTTTTGAAGTCCCCATGATTATAACCTGTGACATCCTGGGCTCTTTATATCTGGAGGCTGGAGTTGTTCTTCCTAGTTCCAGGCAAAAGTGCCAGGTGACACTTAGCCTAGTGGCTCGGAAGCCTATTCCCAGAATTTCTGGATGTCGAATACCTGAATAGTCTATTTAGTGCTCAGGGCATATGAACCTCAACATGGCCCTGATGGAACACATGACTTATTAGCCAAAATGTGGTCTGCTTGACCCTGTCTGTCTCATGCCAGAGATCAAGAATAGTTGTAGGTCCTGGCTCACTGCTGTTTACTCAGCCATTCTCAGGAGTCTCCTGAAAGAACGGTGTATATGTGAGTGGATGAGTATCTGCATGTGTGTACACACACACACATGCATCCATCTAAAATAATTCTGCCATATTCAAACATATAAAACCAATATTTAAAACATTATGGAAAATAAGTATCAGATTTTAGACTACCACATTTATACTTCTTAAAAAGTAATTTTGTAATATGGATACATTGGTGGATAATTACTGGTAATATTCTGGCAATGCAAAAAAATCTGTTCAGTGTAAATTTCATGTTGATTACATTAATCATTATATTTTATTTGTAAGTAGGTTTGAATTATCAAACATAAAAATTTTATATTTCCAGTAGCATCTTTGCTGATTTCACTATTGAAAATTAATGCAGAGTTGATTCCAGATTTTTCATTTATATTATATTAGAGGTTTTTGTTAGATCACAGATTTAACTTTGGAATTTGTATTTTTGGTTGAGAAAAAATCGTGTAAATGGCATGCATTTGTAGCTTATAGAAATACATTTAAATCATTTAAAAACATGAAAGAAATCAAATATAAATACATAACAAATACAATATGGTACAGTTTATTTTATTTAGATGTTTATAGATAATATATCAAAATGCACTTAGCTTCCTTCATGCAACAAAAGAGAATGTTGTAAAAAGGTGACTCTGGGTAGGAAGCAGCTTTACTCCCAACCTTTAGCATTAATATCTTGGGAAGAGTAAATTATCTTTGTTATATGTTTCCCATCTGAAAATTTTAAACATCTAAGCTGTCTCCTAATGCTAAGGATTGCCTCATTAAGCATATGTAGGCGGGGCTGTCATAGTTGGCTGATTCTATAAGCTGTCTTGAAGCACTTTCCTTCCCTTGTCCCAAACTCTTTGCATCTTGCAAATATAATACACAAACAAAATACAGTATTTTTAGATGAAATATTCAGCATCACTTAAAATTAAAACTAAACTCAAATTTGTCAAATGGATGCTTAAAAATCCAAAAAGATCTAAGTATGAGTAACTGGGACCTGATACCAGGTTTATCATAATGCTCACTAAGAAATAAGACAGAAGAACATCACCCCATGCCTTCTTTGGGATTTACAAACAATTACCCAACATAAATTTCTGGTAAAAAATCATGCAAGTTGTTCCTCAAGGTCTAAAAATACCTTAAAATTAGGATTTTTCTGTAGAAGTTTATAATGAATAGATTCTGTTTCCTAAGCTAAGATTTAATTTAAATGAAGACCAAAAAGTAAATGAACTTATTTTCTTGCCAGCATAAAACAAGATGACTGTACCCTTGATTGAGGGTAAGAAACTAGCCAGCTTAATATTAAACATCAATTGCATGCAACTACATATAATAGGTTTTGCAATAAACACAATAATAATGTAAGTGTTTTGACTATTTGCTGTAAGAGTTCTTATCAGAAATGGACATCTCAGTTATATTCATATGGGTTCATAAACTGAAGAGTTTTTGATGATTTGGTCGTATTCCAAACCATTCTAAAAGGTGCAATTGATTGAACTGGCCATGCAGTTAAAATGGCTAAAATGATCAGATTGACTATAGCTCTGTCAGGTGCTTATCAGAAAAACACGATCTTACAGAGGCAAATCTGCCCCCACAAAAGCATGGCTCAGAAGCCATTCCTACCTCCATACAAACCTGGACCCTCAAAAATATATTCTGAAGTATTCATTTATATCCTGTCTACTTCAAAATGGAGTTGAGACAATTATATCAAGGGAGAAAGAGCCCTAAAAGCAAACACGCAAGTAAAACTAATATCATTCACATTAATTTCAGAATGATTAAAACAACTGTTTTACCCCTTAAGCATGTAAGATTTCCACTTCTTAAATCCTTCTTTTATTGTTGCTATTTTTAGTCTACTATGACTATATCCTTCAAAGCAACATTAACAACACGACTGGTTTATTTTTGGTACCATAAGAGGACAATTTACTGGCAAACTGTTCCCACTGAATGAGAATGAGAAACTTAACTACGCTGTTGGTCTTTGATATTTTTCCAGCAGAAATAGTCCTTCCTCCATGTAGTACATGAGACTTTCAGCCTCCAGACAGGCTCTTTATTTTAGAGGAAAAACAATATCAAATCGGTAGAAGTGTTCATAACTTTGCTTTATTTTCATTTTCTTATAGGCTCGTTGATATGGTTTGACTGTGTCCCCACCCAAATCTCATCTTGAATTGTAGCTCCCATAATTCCTACTTGTTACGAGAGGGACTTGGTGGGAGATAATTGAACTATGGGAGTGGTTTCCCCCATACTGTTCTCATGGCAGTGACTAAATCTCACAAGATCTGATTATTTTATAAAGGGTTTCCCCTTTCTCTTGGCCCTCATTCTCTCTTGTTTGCCGCCGTGTAAGATGTGCCTTTTGCCTTGTGTCATGATTGTGAGACTCCCCAGCCACATGAAACTGTGAGTCCATTAAACCTCTTTTTCTTTATAAATTACCCAGTCTTGGGTTTGCCTTTATCAGCAGTGTGAAAATGGACTAATACACCCATCTCACATGCAACGACACCCATAGGCTAAAAGTAAAAGGATGCAGAAAAATCTTCAAAGCAAATGGAAAACAGAAAAAAGTAGTGGTTAATATTTTAATTTCAGACAAAACAGACTTTAAACCAACATAGATCCAAAAAATACAAAGGGTATTACACAATGGTAAAGGGTTCAATTCAAGAAGAAGACCTAACTATCGTAAATATATATATGTGTGTATGTATATATATATATATATATATATATATATATATATATATATATATGCACCAAAAAAGGAGCAGCCAGATTCATAAAAGCAAGTTCTTAGAGGCCTACAAAGAAACTTGGATAACCACACAATAATAATGAGAGATTTCAACACCCCACTGACATTATTAGATCAATCATCGAAGCAGAAATGTAGCAAAGATATTCAGGACCCAAACTTGACACCTGACCATATAGACTTCTTTTTGTTTATAAATCACCTAGCCTCTGGTATGTCTTTATTCGCAATGTAGGAACAGACTAATACACTCGTTAATAAGTGAAAAGTTAAGGGCATGTAAACTCCCATGCATTGAGTATTTCTGTGTTAGAAAGAACACAAAGGTTTTAAGGTAAAATCTCATTGGATCCTTGGGACAAATCTATTGTTCTCTCAATTTTAGAGATAAAGATACCAAAGCGTGTTAAATTTACATGTCTTGACCAATACTGAACAGTAGTCACATAAGAACTCTCAGGTCATCTCCTTTATTCTAAAGAAATAGTTTACATCAATTGGCTTGTTGAGAAGAAAGAGGAACATGTGAAATGTGAGTATCTCTATTTATGAATAAAAATGTTGAATAACCTTGCTGTTTTCATTTACAAAAGAGCGCACAGAATTCCTTTAATACTTGACAATGGTGTTATTGTATTCATGGACAATGATCAGTCAAAATGTACTCTGTAGGTTGTATTTTATTAAACAGTTTTAATTTTAGATGTAATTTTGTTAAACAGATGTAATTTCAAGTACAAAATTAAAAGGAGACCTGAATAGAGCAGTAACATTCAGAAAAATTAACTTTTATCAAGAGTATCTTCTCTTAAAAGTGGCTTTTGTGATTTTGTTTTATAAGAGGTTAGAAAAATAAAACAAAATGATTCTGCTCCTGTTAAGGAAAATTAACAGTTGGAACCCACACAGGGATAGTTCCTTTCCCTCCCCCAACATTAAGGAATTCCAAATTTTTACCAAACAACCACAACTGCTAAAACTGTACCTACCTATACATTTATTCCATATATATTTATTTAGCATCTACTGTATGCCAGGTACTATGCTTGAAGTTGCATGTAGCCTAATGTAACTTGTGGTTTATATTTTAGAGGCAGCTATCTGTAAAACCAAAACAAACAAAAATCCATTGACAACAACAACCAAAAAAAAACAAAGTATTTTTGAAAAACTAAACACCCTTCAACAATATGCACTGTAAGTAGCATACAAAGATATGACCACATGGCTGAAACTGTCAGAGCACAATAGCAGATAAAAGTATTTAAACAACGACGTTACATGAAATTGCTATGAATCAGTGTACCTTTTGTTTCTTGCTTCTAATCTTCATAGGAAAATGACTTGGTCCTCAAAAATTCACTCCACTAACTCTCTTGTTAGAATGATTGGGGAAAAATATTTTGTCTAAAAGTTTGAATATGACATACATGCAAAAACTGATTTTAAACAAAGAGGTCAACCAATCTCATAGGGAAAGAACAATGTTTTCAACAACTGATGCTGGAACAACTGGGTAATGCAAACAGAAAAATCTCTCTCTCTCTCTCTCTCTCTCTCTCTCTCTCGCTCTCTAGCCTACTCTTACTTCACATCATTTACAAAAAATAACTTAAACTAGGTCATAGACTGAAGTGTAGGATGTAAAATTATAAAACCTCTATAAGGAAATAAGGGAACAAAATCTTTGCAATCATGGATTAAACATTTCTTTAAAATGACATGAAAACACAAAATAAAAATGGATATACAGTATTGCAATTCATCAAAATTACAAAGTTATGCTCTTCAAATAACAGTTGGAAAAATTAAAAGGGAACCACAGACTGGATGAAACTAGTTTCAAAACACCTGTCTGATACAGGACTTGTCTCCAATATACATGAAGAACTTTCATGACTCAACACTAAAAAGAGAACCCAATTAAAAAGATAGGTAAATTATTTGAATGAACTCTTCAATCAATAAGATATGAGGGTGACAAATAAGTATCTTAAAATTGGTCAGTATTACAATTTGTAAATTTACCTTAATAATGCCAACAAAAATTTAATGCCATCGGTGTTTGCTACAGTTTACAGATTATAAATAAATTTAACTTCAACTGAAATTATGAATATATTCATTTCACTCCAAATATATAACGTTTCTGCTGACAAGTATAGAATGGTATTGTCAGCCTATTTCAAAGACTGAATATAAAATAGTAGGTGTCTCAGATGCCTAATGTGAAATAAAACATGAGGCCATAATGTAAAGGCAACCCAACTCAAATGCCAGAACTCATTTGGTCACAGAGATTTCCATTGTAACCTCAGCAAAAGGACAATTTTCTTCCACTCGAAGTCTTTTGTTGCACATTGATGCCAACTTGTCTACCTTCCCCTTAATGCTCAGGAGTTTTGCCTTCGACTCCATTTCATTGCATATGTAAGGCTGATTGCTTGTTGTGCTTACTGATTACCTCATTTAAAGTTTTAAATTGCATTGTCTTAAAAATGAACACTATACTATATGTGATATTTAGTAATGACGTAAAACCTAAAACATAAACTTGCAGGTAGGAAAGATTTGCATAATTCATTGAGATTCTATGAAACACTATCATATTAGGAATGTACACATTGCTAATTGTAAAATTATATTCCATCAACCATCACAAATTGAAGAGTCAGAGTGTTTAAGTCACTTAAGTTGTTAAGTGGTTGAGTCCTGGAATGTGTTTTCAGTTTTGCTAGACACTCTGACTTTGTCTCTGGTGGCTGCCACTGTGTAATTATGTTCCTTCTCCTTAGAGAAGCAAAGACAGCAAAATTAACACTCTCAGATATAGGAAGCTATGACACTGCACATCACATCCACAGAAATATACCTACTCATGCTTTTTCTAAAATGAAATATTTGCTCCATACAAAGCATTAAACTTCACACGCAAATCGGAAAAGTACAAGAAGAGTTTTACAAGTGCATGAGCACACACATTCACACACAAATTGAAGAACCCATTAGTGTTTTAATTCTAAGTTTTAAAAATTGTGCCAAATTGTTCTTATTTCTTCTTTTTTTGGTGTGCTGGAGGCTCTCTCACTCTTTCTGCTAAAAGTGAGAGCCTTATTTCATCTATTTTCGCCTGCCAGGTAGAGGATAGATGATGAATAAAATTTGAGTTAATTTGCAGAGGTGTTAGGAAAGTGTTTGAAAAATTGCTGGTGATCACTATGCTCCAAAATTGGGTCATGAGGAGCAAGTCCCATAAGACAGCTCTTTTGCCTTTTGGATAGATTTATTAACACTGGAAGAACTAGGGAATTCTGTAAAAAATAATGTTTCTGGACTTTGGCCAAACATCTGAGAGGGCTAGTGGTAGTGCACTGAAATGCCCTTCTAATTCTCATCACTTCTGATAATTCTTCAAGACCTATCCAGATGTCCCCAGTTCTGCAAAGCAGACCCTACATAATCCAGGTGGAGTTACCAGCAGTTCTTCAGTGGCTCCACAGAACAGATGCTCTCTATTGTGCCCTTTTATTGGCTGTGTACCATGATGTTTTTAACAATTGGTTTTAACACAGCCTCATCTACTGGACCATGATTCTATAGTATAACAAAATGTTCAGACTCCATGCAGGCATCAATAGATATTTGATGAAAGCTATGGTTGAAATCCTGCAGACAAAATGAAAAAAAATTACTATGGGTAACAGTAGATATAAATAGATAGTCACAATGTGGAAATAGTATTTGCTATTTCAAATGATGAGGAGTACCCTTACAGCAGTGGTCCCCAACCTTTTCAGCACCAGGGACCAGTTTCATGGAAGACAATTTTTCCAGGCTGGGTGTGGGGGAGGGCAATGGTTTCGGGATGATTCAAGTGTGTTACATTTATTGTGCACTTTATTTGTAGTATTACATGCTCATCACAATGTACAATCAGTGAGAACCCTGAGCCTGTTTTCTGGCAACTAGATGATCCCATCTGGGGGTGATGGGAGACAATGACAGATCATCAGGCATTACATTCTCATAAGGAGCGCACAACCTAGATCCCTCACATGTGAAGTTCACAATAGGGTTCACGTTCTTATAAGAATCCCTTGCTGCAGCTCATCTGACAGGAGGTGAAGCTCAGCTTGGCTCGCTCACCCACAACTCATCTCTTGCTGTGCGGCCAGGTACCTAACAGGCCATGGAGTAGTGCCAATCCATGGCCCAGGGGTTGGGGACCCTTGCTTTATAGAATACAACTTTTTAATCAAATTTGTGATTTGGATAGGGATAGCTATTATACAGATTCCACACGTTTTCACCATGCGGAACAATGGGTAAATCCAAAAAGACAGAATTTAAACAGGATAAATTAAAAAGTCTTAATTTTAGATTAAAATATTTAATGGTCCAGGATCAAGACACTGAGGCTTAAAAATCATAATATGCATATAAGACCACAAAATAATGGATAATGTTCACTAAGCTCTTCTTCTGCATTAGCTTAAGTGAGAAGTGCTTGCCAAGTGTCAGGTAACTCAATTCTCAAAACAGTACAATGTAGCAATATCAGAATCTGCATGTAAAAGATGAGGCAATTGAAACTCAGAGGGCAGAAGTAACCTGCCCAAGGTCACACAAAGAGTATGTGACACAACATGAGTGTGATCCTCAGCTCTCTGGGGTTGAAATTCCCTATGCTCTTTTCCAGTTAATCACTGCTTCCAACCTCAGCTATAAGCACCATGATCTACTGATTCCCAAAGCCGTCTGGGAGTTACTTGGCCTCTAAAAAATTATAAGACTCTATGCTACATTAATAGATGTATTACGGCCAGACTAAGAGGGCTGATTGTTCTTCACCACTTTTTGTACTTTTTGTAAAATTATATTTGTCTCAATTATAGTATCCCCAGGATGGGAAAGTGTCCAAAAAAAAAAAGAGTGGTTAAAGCTTTTGAGAAGACTCGGAAAAACACAAAACACAATGGCCATCTTGGAATGCACAGAGAACGGCAGATGCAAATGGCACTTTTACTTTTTGCATGCCTCTTGGTGATGGGACAAAAGCTGGCAGGAAAAACTTTTTAGCAATTAGAAATGTCTAAAAATAAATAGACTAATTTGTGAGATAATAAATTCCTCTCTACGGGAAACCATTTTTGTGGAAGGTGGATGACACATAATTGGGAGTGCTATGAGGCTAGCAGATTTGACTAGGTGACTGCAAGTTCCTTTCCTACTCTAGGGATCCACACCTTTAGTGATCAATGACCTAGGTAGCAGAACAAATGAAAATGTTAGAGCTATGCTTAAATAACTAATTTCCATGCCAATATTTTTGAGTAATGTATATCAAGCATTTCTTAGTTACTGACCATTAGCCTTGTTGCCACTGCCTAACCCGGAAAAGTTAAACAACAACAACAACAACAACAACAACTCATGCAAGAGACAATAAGCCTCTTAAATAAAGACAAAAGATACACAGGAGGTAGAACAGATCTATCTGGTGTCTGATATGACAGCTGTTTTCTACAGGTGGTTCATAAACCCCATTCCCTACCCCTGGCATCTCGTTAAAATTCTCCAGGTCACTAAAAGTGATAATAGTATTTGTTTAGAAAGAATGTATTTCCACCCCCGAAACATAAGAGTTTGAACATATCAAATAAAAACTACCAGCAATTGGAGGAGAGATCACGACATAAACAGCCAAAGATGGAGTAACACCAGTGGTGAGTTTTCAGCATTTACAGTTGTATACATTTTATGTTTCATTTGTAGGCACATGTTGTTTATATCTGAACACAAGTTCATTTCTTATTTTATTTTATGTTTTTTAGAGACATGGTCTTGCTCTGTTGCCTAGGCTGGAGTGCAGTAGTGCCATCATAGCTCACTGCATCCTTGAACTCCTGGGCTCAAGCAATCCTCCCACCTCAGCCTCCCAAGTGCTGGAATTACAGGCATGAACCACCACATCTGGCCTCACTCATTATTTTAACATACCATTGGTCTCCAAATCAAATAGGCTATGATACGTCATGCTTTAATTGTTGAAAAAAATGCTAATTAAAATTAATTGAAACTTAAAATGCCTCATTTTATAGGGGAAAAAAGTAAACTTTTTTTCCCCCAAATAGTAATAAACTCTAGCATATTTAATATATGTTTCTTAAATGTTCCATATGGTTTTCTACTTATACGTGCATTTTTGAAAAAGACATACTGTGACTTTTATTTCTCATTCTATTTCCTATTTTTCTCACTCAACATTGTGCTTCTTAGTCCTGGCATCTGCAGAGAGACATAACTCATTACCTTGGGCCAATGCATAGTTCACCATGTGCTACACTTTATTCCTTGAGGGATCTCCTAGCTCTTTCAACCCATACAGTGCTGTGACAAATGTCTGCTACACACATCTCCTTGTGATCTGCAGGAGGATGTCTCTAATAATGCACACCAGGGTGGACTGCAGGACACTGGGCAACATGCAGACTGAATCTCATCAATTCAGTCCACTAGCTTCCGGAGGGACTGATCAGCAAACACTGCAACCAGGGGTGCAGGTGTGTTTCTATTTCCCCAATTCTTGACAGCACCTGGTATCTTTCGACTTTTGGCAAACCAATTGGTGTAAAGAGGTCATCTTTTTCTTAAACTGCATGTAGAAATTACTAAGAAGAATTCTACTTTGGTTTGGTAACTTACCCATTTATGTGCTTTGCTCAGTTTTCCATTAGGATAAGTTTTTCCTTTTTCCTTTATTGATATTGTTTCCTTATATATCCTACTTCTTAGGATATCTTGCTGTCAAATAACCCTACTGTCAATAATCACACCTGTAATCCCAGCACTTTGGGAGGCCGAGGCAGGTGGATCACCTGAGGTCAGGAGTTTGAGACCAGCCTGGTCAACATGGTGAAATGCCGTCTCTACTAAAAATATAAAAACATTAGCCAGGCGTGGTGGTGGGTGTCTGTAATCCTAGCTACTCAGGAGGCTGAGGCAGGAGAATCACTTGAACTTGGGAGGTGGAGGCTGCAGTGAGCCAAGGTCATGCCACTGCACCCCAGCATGGGCAACAAGAGCGAAACTCCATCTCAAAAAAAAAAAAATACATAAACAATCATATCTTCTCCCAGTCACCTGTTTCATACATCTCTTAACTCTTCAGATTGTCCTTCACTAAATAGAGAGATCAATTTTGATGTAGTAATATAATGTCACTTTTTCCCCTTAGGATTTTCCTTAGTGGGGGAAAAGAAAGTCCATTCAATAAAGCTTTTCCTATCTTGCTGTCATTAAGATATTCTCCAATATGTTATTCTAGACATTTTATAAGACTACTTTTCACATTTAGGTCTCCAAAATATTGAAAGTTTTAAAGGATCTTTCCATGATAAGCCAGGTTTCTGTACAAGGTTATGCTACCTTTATCACACATCAAGTAAACATATATTCATGGGGATACTTTCTGGACTCCTCTATAGCAAGGATCTATGTCTTATCGTGAAGACTATACACACACTTTACTACTATAAAAATTTTCTTATTATTTGGTAAGGAAAGGCCCTATTTACTCAAGATAACCAACTTAATCTTGGAGGGAAGAGAGTCTGTGGCATTTGTGCCACAGCACACTCCTCTTTTTGCTAATCAATGTGAGAGAAGCTGTACTCTACTTTGAGTGGTTGGTTCAAGAAGACAGGGCTCACTCGCTCACCACCTCCAAGTATAGAGCTACGCAGTGTTTCCAGGAGGGGAAAACCACCAGAGTTTCTCATCCTCCACAGCTCCATGTTGTAGAAGCTCCCTTTCAGACAAATATGATTGAGAGGTATAGGGCACCCTTCTTTCACCCAGGCCCTATGTATGGTGGAAGATCTCCCCTGCTGCAGCATGCTGAGACTAATGACTCTGATTGGCCTTGCCCCAGCTTGCTCCTCAGGAGAAGATTCTATGCTGGGAGGAGGAAGTTTACCATCCAGCCCCATCGCCCACTTACAGAGCAAGAGTGCCAATCCAAAAGACATGGGGCATGTCCCGGACCCCACCTCCAGAGAAGTGGTATAAATGTGTTGCCTGGGAGGACAGGCAAGGCATATGAACAGAGAGTTCCAGTGCTCTCCTTAATGGGAATGGCTATATTTAAAATAGAGCGTACAGAACTGAAGACCAAGTGTTTGTTTAAAACAATGAAGCTCTTGGTGTTGAACAATTAAGAGAAGAATGGCAGCTCCTTGATAGCAATAAATGAAATGACAGATGATTTAGAAGTTAGAAGTTTTCCAGAAGGACTCTAAGAAAGAGATAGCTAAGATGATCCCTCCTGTAGTTGGAACAATTCTCAGAGACTAGCAGTTAGTGAAGGTTAAGTGAGTGTGATATCAACAGACGTATACCAGCAGGAAGATTCATAGGGGGATGAAAAATAAAAAGAGACAGTGAGACAGCCTAGCTAAAACCAGTCAACCTGGGGTCCTGCGGTGAGGAGGAGGACATTAAGGAAAACTGTGTACCTGACTAAGGATGCAAACTCTGAGGAGTGACAGCAGAAACTGAACAGAGAAAACAGACCTCAATAAACTATTCCAGTCAAGTTACCAAATAAATAAACAACAGAAACAACAAGCACTGGTTGGAGGGTGGTCAGTATTCAGAGTAGCTTCAATACATTATCTAAAATGTGCAGCTTTCAACCAAAAAAGTTATGAGTCACCCAATGAAACATGAAAGTGTGACCCATATAAAGGAAAAACAACAACAACAAACCAGACATTAGAAACTGCCTCTGAAGGAGCCTAGATGGTAGATTTAGGAGATGGAAGATTTCAAAGCAGCTATTTTAAATATGTTCCAAGAACTAAAGGAAACCATGCTTTAAACCATGAATTAAAGGAATATATTATGATGACTCACCAAATACAGGATGTTAATAAAAACAGAAATTATTAAAAAATAAATCAAAGGAAAATTCTGGAGTTAAGAAGTACAATAGCTGAGATGAAGAGCTCACTAGAGGGAATCCACAGTAAAGTTAAGCTGGAAGAAGAAAATCTCAGCGTACTTGAAGAAAGACCAGTAGAGATTATGCAACATGAACAATAGACAGAAGAAAATAAATTGAACAGAGCCTCAGAGAAGTGCAGGACACTATTTGGCACACTAACACGCATGTAATGGAAGCGCCAGAGAGACAGGAGAGATAGAGAGAAGGCATGAAAATATCAAATGAATAATAGTTGTAAACTTCCCATATTCAATGGGAAACATTAACCTTCACATCCAAGAAGCTCAATAACTAAAAATAGAATGAACACAGAGATCCATATCCAGACACATCAGAGTTAACACGTTGAAAGTGAAAGACAATGAAAAATGTGAAGGCAGCAAGAGAAAAATTACTCTTCCTTAACAAGAGAATGCCAACAAAATTAACAATTGACTTCTCATCAACAACAATGAAGGCAAGGAGGCAGTGGGATGAAATATTCAAAAGAAACATACCTGAAACTAACTACGGAGCCCCAAATTAGATGAAGAAAAAATGAGAAAATTGAAGGAAGAAACAGAAAATTCAGCAATGTTAGTTGAAATTCAGCAATATTAGTTGATTTAAATATCCCATTTAAAATATTAGATAGGCCAGGCACGGTGGCTCATGCCGGTAATCCCTGCACTTTGGGAGGCCAGAGTGGGTGGTTCACAACGTCAGGAGTTCGAGACAACCATGGCCAACATAGTGAAACCCCATCTCTACTAAAAATACAAAAATTAGCCAGGCATAGTGGTGGGTGCCTGTAATCCCAGCTTCTATGGAGGCTAAGGCAGGAGAATTTCTTGAACCTGAGAGGCAGAGTTTGCAGTAAGCCACAAATGTGCCAATGTACTCCAGTCTGGGTGACAGAATGAGGCACTGTCTCAAAAAAAAAAAAAAAATTAGTACAACTTGATAGAAACGTAGATCAGTAGGCTACACTGGAAGGTCCAGAAATAAACCTGGACATCTTTCTTCTTCCAATGTGAAGTAGTATTTTAGGCTTCAGTGGTTTGGAATGGATAGTGGTACAGTCCATCTTCTTATGCCTGATGTTTTTTCTTGGGTGATTTCCCCCCTCATGACATCTGTTTCTATTTTCTGTCCAATACCCAGTCAACAGAATCAGGCTCATGCTTCTCCTGCACACAGCTCTCTGCCCCATGAGTTGGCACTGCCCATTTATCCAGCCACCCCAATTTCACCTATCCTTTTCCCCAACTCTTGAGCATTTGGCCACAATCAGTCAAGTCTTCTCTACATTCAACCGACTATATACTCATCAGAAAGAGAGAACTTTACCCTTTTCTTTGTCTGGTTGTACATAATGCCATATTTTCCCCATATTCTTTTTCAGCACCCAGGGAACCTGAGCAAGACCATAGGCACACACACAGCCATGGAGAAGGGTGGCTTCTCCCCTTCCTTGAAAGCACCTCAATTTCAGAACTGATTCTCTTGGGGATTCACAGTTGAGAATTTGAGAGAGCAGAAGCCAGAAAAATACCTTCTGCTCCACGGGGATATGAAGGGCATGGATGGGATCTGGACTTTCTCCTCAATCTCAATCCCGTGCACGATTTCTCCAGTTCTGCCTCTAGTTCTTGCTCTTGAGGATGAGGAGGTTACAAACCAGGAGTCTCTCATTTAAAAACCGGGGTTCTCAATAGGTTGCTCTTTCTATGCAATCCCACACTGAGTTTTGAAAGTCAGATCAGGAAAGTTGAATATTTTACTGTTTTGAGTAGGTGGCAGTTGCACAAAATATAAGATGAAATGGCCCAGAAAGTATGTAAAAAGCAATGAGAAGATTCCAGCACATTGTAATATTTAAGGGAAAGGTGGAAGAAAATGAGTCAATGATGGAAAGCAGAAGAATCTTAGAAAAGAGGGAGCACAGAAAACATGATGCTAGAAAATCTAGAGTGAAAAACCATTTCCTAAAGGTGCAGCTTGTGGTATCAGATGGTGTGAATAAGTCAAGTAGCTTCAGAAATGAAAATAGTCCATTATTTTTGGCAACCTGGAGATTAGGAACCTTTAGAGCAATTTTAATGTCATCTAGTGGGCAGAAGATATAGGCAATAGGTTGAAAGATCAATATAAAATGAGAAATTAGAGGTAGGGATTATACAGCACTCTTTTAGGACATCTGATGTTAAGGCAAGGGAAGGATAGCTTCATAAAATATAAGCAAAGATTTTTTTTTTCCTCTGTAAACTTAGGAAGGAAGAAATGACTTGGGCATGTTTTTAGGTAAAGAACATGGGGCAGTGCAAAGAGAGTTTTTAAAAATTTGAGAAACAAGATGGAATATAAAGCAAGATTTAGAAGAATATGGAACAAAAATGAGTGTGGGAGTTTGTGTGGTTAAATGTTATCTTTAGAAAGAAGAAGGCATCACCCATAAGAGAGGGGTAATGATCAGAGAGAACAGTGAGAAACTGGAGTCCTACTACTAAGCATGAGGAAGCAAAAAAGAGTGGAAGCTTAAAAGGAAGAAGATGAAGGAGGAGAAACGGAGCTCCTTAGGAGCAAGGATGTAATTTCACAGGAGTTTTAAGAGCAGATAAGACTCGAATGGATGAACATTGATAATTTCTGAAGGGAAGTTAGGGATAAGGCATTTCCATTTCTGTTACTGACTTCTAGGGCTCTTCAAATTGCCCCAAATTCTTTTTCAGAATTGCCACAACTTCTCAACCACATCTGGATATTCTAACGAAATATGCATGTTTTATTCCTAACATTCTAACATTGTTTCCTCTGCCCTTCTATTTCTGTACTATAGTAAATCAGTCCTGAACATTCTACATAGGAAAGAATATCTTTTTTTTCTTATAACATAGATGGGCTATTCTTTAACCCCTTGTTTTCAGGCCCCCTTTCAGACTTGCCTTGCAGACACATTGCCTGAGGAACCTGAAACCTTTACGGGTTCTACTAGCAGATCAGCTCCCACCCCTACTCCTTAATACCAGCTTCCACTCCTACTCTTTAATGCCAGCATGTATTTTGGAGTATCTTTTTTTTCTACTTTATATCACAACTGAAAACTCTTACACTAATTTCCAGTCTAATAGAAATTGTTCAAATGTCTTATCTTCTGAGGCCCTCCAAGCATCAATGGTTTAATCCCCCCCCACCCCCGCCACACACACATTCATGATTCTACAGTAACTTGAATGGAATTTTAGAGAGAAGAAAACTGAGGAAAACCCACCCCCTTAAATAAGCACCATAAACAATCCTAGGAGACATGAGCTGTTTATTTTGTATATTGTACTTCTAATGAGCATTAAACAAGCACACACCCACTTAAGCTGTTTCTCAGTTGGCTATAGGATATAGCTATAACTATTGCCAATCTCAAACCTCTGCCCGCTCCAGAATCATTGTTCAGTAGCTGTACCTGGAAATCATCTTGTCTTCTCTTTCCTCTCATTCCAGAATAAAATATCTATTAAAGTAAGAAGTAAATGCATGAAAGAATACAGCGCTTTGTTATACCTATCCAGATCCTGAATGTAACAGATTTCATGTCCTTTGTAATTATGGAAATAAAACTTTTACTAGAAATAAAATATAAAATAAGGGTGGGGGAAGTCATCCAAACGGCTAATATACACTAACAACAAGGAAGTTATGACAGTGCAGGCAACTGAAGTGAGCATTTCTATCCCCTCCTGATGATTTTCCAACCTCTGGTACAATTGGCAAGTTAACTCTGACTGAAAAAGTTTTTTTCAGGTATTGCTGTTAATCAAAGGAAATCAGGTCCAATGTTCATGTCTTGAAGGCACTTCTGAAACATTAGAAAGTGTGTCATCTTGGCAGCCAGCTGAAGTGCAACCATTTGGAGCAGATCTATTTATCAATACGCACAGAGAGCAAGTTTAAGACTTGCACACTGGAGCTGAATGGAGCATGAAGAAGGGGCAGTGGAGAACACATAAATATTGAGCAATGACCTTCTATTTGGAAGTTGGAGGCAATCCCACACATGGGCTTTTATGCATTTAGAATTTATTTCTCTGAGTTCCAAGGTGCAGGTGGATTGTATTAGGAATAAATAATATCATGATCCAGGAAACCATAGGAAAAAAAAGGTTACCAGCATGAAAAGGAGTTATTACCTCAAGTAGATGGCAATTTCAGAATGGCAATTATAATTTCTTTACAAGAAAAAAGCAAAACAGCCATTTCATTTAGTAATTATAGAAGTTTATATATTTTTTAAGAAAAAAACCTTCAAAAAACAATCATTACCTTGGAAAATGTTTACTTAAATTTGTCTATTTCTAAACGCCCACTGAGCACTTAAATACTAATAGAGGGAATGTGTATCTCCAAAATAAACTGAGTTCTTGCCAATGAACCGTTTGGACAAAACACACAACTCAGAAGTATAGAGATATATTAAAAGACTGTCTTGCTAAGAGCTCCCTTTAAAAAATAAGTACATATGCCACAATGCCAGTTGAGAAGTTGGCATCTACAACCACAAAATGTAAGTTAAAAATAATTTCATCTTGTGAATATGGAAAATAATACCTTGCACTTAATTTCCCTCCAATTACTTCTACTGCAAAATTTTATATGACAAAGTTACTTTTTTAAATTGCTTATCTATTTATTACAATCTTAGTACAGAATTCCACCTCTTTAGCCTCAGAACAATGCCAGCGAAAATTAGACTAGCACACACATTCTGCAGTATCGATTCCTAACTCATTCTGAAAATCATAATAATGACATTTATATTTTAGTAACATAAAAAACAGAGACCTTAAAAACCTGAGCAACATCAATCTTCTCAACAAATAATGGTTTGAAAAATACATACATTTATGTTTTTTAAATTATTTATTATTTATTTTTCAAATCCAATTTGATTTCTACTACCTCCACTCAAAACCTATTATGTCTAGTGAAAGGGGAGGAGGTTTTAGACATCAACTAATCTAAGACTCACTTTATAGATTAAGACATTTGAGTTCTAGAGAAGTGATACTAATTGAATATAGGATAAATCCCCTTAAGAAAACGAATACCGTATCAGTCATCAGTAAAATCTAATGTAAAGAACCGGTCTCTAAAGTCTTTGATTTTAATGGGAAAAGATAACAGCCTCTCTTTTTTCATCACGTAAATTAGCTTCAGATTTATTAGTTTTGTTAATATATTCTTAGTACTTTAAATTAGTCACACCAGCTGAGGGGGCAGTGTTTCCCTGTTACTAGCTGCCCCTCTGGGTAATTAATGGCTTGTGCCCATGCCTGTGTTACCTCTCTTCTCCACTGATCTGTAATGCATTTGCCACCGGACTGTGTTATCCATTCCCAAACATTCCGCCCATGGTTCTCTGGTTAAATAATTCAGCTCCTCAGAAAGCCAGTAACACTTATTTTTGGTATCTTATTCTATGTTTGCCAATTTTTTACTTATGGTATAATTCTACTTTTATTGCTTTATAAAAAAATAGCAAGAAGCACTAGCATTAGTCTAAGAAATAACTGGTACTGCAGTAATAGATGAGATGTCTTAATTCTCCTTATCTCTGCAAGGGCCCTTAAATTCTCTGCAACATATTTCATTCTCTGGTTCTAGAAATTCCCCTTAAATTAAAAATATGTTTCCCGCACAAAAGTTGCTAAGTGCTCACTAGCTATCCTTATAACTGTACAGAACCATGGACTCCCACCCACTACTCTTGCTCTGTCACCCAGGCTGAAGTGCAGTGGTGCCATCTTGGCTCAATGCACCCTCTGCCTCCTAGGTTCAAGAGATTCTCCCACCTCAGCCTCCCCAGTAGCTGGAACTACAGGTGCCTGCCACCACACCAGGCTATTTTTTGTATTTATAGTAGAGACATGGTTTCACTATGTTGACCAGGCTGGTCTCAAACTTCTGACTTCAAGTGATCCACCCACCTCAGCCCCGCAAAGTGCTAGGATTATAGGCATGAGCCACTGCACCCCGGCCATAACCTCAATTTTAGAACAAGGCAGGTTTCTTATTTCTTTATACGCAAAAAGATTTCCATGATCTGTGACAATTTAAAGAATTCCGGTTTTGGCCCATCTTTTCCATCAGAACTGAGAAGGAACACTTGAGAAAATCAAAGAAATAAGACATTGTGATGCAAACTATCTACATTGGTAGTCTCCAAAAGGGGGTGATTTTGCCCTCCAGGAGACATTTGACAATATCTGGAGACATTTGAGTTTGTTACAATGGGGATGAGAAGGTGCTACAATCATCTAGTCATCTAGTGGGCAGAGGGCAGAAAGGCTGCTAAATATCCTACAACGTGCAGGACACCAAGCACAACAAGGAATTCGCAAGTCCACAATGTCAATAATGCAAAGGATGAGAACCTTGATTTCAGTTCTGGCTATTTAAAATGCTGTCTCCATACCAGCAGCTTTGGCCTTTCCTAGGAGCTTGTTGGAAACTCGGAACCCACCACAGACCTACTGAATCAATCCACAGTTAGCAAGATCCCCAGGTGACTCATATGGATAGTCCAATTTGAGAAGCACTGATTATACAACACTTAGGCAATTCTTACATATTCTAAAAGAGCATCTGTCTTATAGCACACAAGAATACCCTTAACTTAAATAACAGACTATTACAGTATCCTGTCTCTAATACGATATTAACATTAGTTCCACTGTGTAGCATATGAAAAAATTCCATTGCTTAGTAAATACGGAAAATTCTGGTTAGGGAAAACAAACATACTAGAACCTCTAAGAGGCTAATGCATCTTAAGAATCTCCAAGAAAGGGATATCATAGATACCATTTCTCAAAATTATATAACTCTAGAATCTATTTGTTTCAGAGCTTTTAATAAGTCTAAGTTTTCATAGAACAAATTTCCTTTTCTCAGCATGGAAACTAAACATACACTGATTAAGGTTGAGATCACTCTCAACAGAGCCTTGAATGAATTATTACCTATGATGCATGTTGCTTCAATGAAAGACAAAACTCAAGGCCTGTCTTAACAATGAAAGTCTGGCTGGAATCCCACAGAACCTCAACAAGAGAAAACCTTTCTCAAGTGTTAACCATGCCTAAGTAGAAACTTGCAGAGGAAAATTTCTTACATATAAAAATCCAGGTGAAAAAAAATATCTTGGGTATTGTTGCATGTTGAAAGAACAAAGCTTATGACTGGAGATGAATTCTCTTCATTCAGAAATCATATTAAAAAGACATATGCTTTCATCACATTATCTGACTACTTTAGTGATAAAACATTTTCTTTATTATGTAATAGAAAAACTCTGTTAACAAGCAACTCTTGGGAACAACTGCAAAATAGAAGGAAATACATATGAGTAATTCAATGTCAATGGTGACTTTATTATGCACATAAATTACATGGAGTTGCAGACTGTCTCTTTTCATCACTAATTGCATTACAGCTTATGCAAGGTTCACTGAATGAATAGAATCGCCTTGGTATGGACAGCTTTGCAAAACTGTGAACATTTCCTTAGCAATTAAGAATTCCCTAAGGTTGCCACACACTGGGTACAAATCCTTGGCATGTAATGTTGATATGTGGACATCTATAAATAGGTATGTTACACTATCTAGAAAAAACCAACAACAATAACAAATAGCATATCTTTGTAAGTATGATTAATTAGTAAGACAACGGGACTGGTGTCACACATACCTAGGTTCAAACCTGCACGTGCCCTATGCCCTGGCTGTCTAGCAGCATCAAGGGAAGGCCTGCATTTTCCTCAACAAGCACTTGAGTGGAATGTGGCATGAGTCACATGACACGCAAAAACAGAGAACACAAGGTCTTGGCATCACTCTGTTAGCAGTCACCTTTGTTATATTTAAGATTTCCATTCTTAGGACTGCTTAGCTATTCAGACATCCTTGGATGAGAAAGAGTCATTTTGGTCCACCAGAATCATTATCTTGGACAGAGCTTCTGAAGACATACTGAACCCTATCAACTCTGCTGACCAATGGGAGTGGTATATCCCAGATGGCATTAGGAACATACTCTAAAGTATTTGACTTTTACTGAGTATATCGTTCATTCCCCTAACGAACAATATGTTCGTTAATAAAACCCAAAATAAAACCCAACATGTCAGTGTTTACTGTGAGACACATGGTGGGTTCCAGGTGTCAGGAAGGTTTCTACAAAGATAGCCATGCGTGTATTCAAGGTCGTTCTGAGCACAGGATTTTAAAAAGGTGAGCTCTCCTCACTTTTTATTATTACATGTGAAATTGTTAAATAACTTTGTTCATTTAACAGTGATTGAACTGTTAAATTCAAAGAATCAAATATGAACATAGAAGCATCAAATATGAACACTTTAACTCTCTCAGACATTCTGCTTTAAAGTGTGCAATGTGAGCGTTCCATGAACACAGTAGAAACATCTATCCCAGGAACCGGATAAACCACACTCTAATCTCAGTTTTACTAGGAGTATCCACTTCCCACTGGAAAAGACATTTAATCTCTTTGAGCATCTATTTCCTTCTCAGAACAGGAGTAAAAGGATATATATATATATATATATCCTTTTATGTATGTATATGTACATGCACACATATACACGTATATGTACATGCACACATATACACGTATATGTATATGCATACATATGGGATATGTACATACATATACGTGTGTATGTATATACATATACGTGTGTGTATATACATATACGTGTGTGTATACATATACGTGTGTGTATATACATATACGTGTGTATATACATATACGTGTGTATATACATATACGTGTGTGTATATACATATACGTGTGTGTATACATATACGTGTGTGTATATACATATACGTGTGTATGTACATACATATACGTATATGTATGTACATACATACACGTGTACATACACGTGTATGTACATACATATACGTATATGTGTATGTATGTATGTATATACATATACATATATATTTTGCCACACTCACAAGGTTATTAAAAGGATTCTTTAGGTAATACAAAACAATTTACATGTTTAAAATTGATAAAGCTGTTCATTGATTCCATTCCCTTTTCTTTACGGTGCATAACAATTGCAGCTTTCTCTCATTAAGGTTTAGGGTAATTGTTTTTCTCAGTGAATATTACATTGCATGAGCTTGGCAGGTAAAAATAGCAACATTGTTTCTTAAAAGTGAAAAAAGAAAACCCACGGAGTTTTGAGAACAATTTTGTGCCCCAATTTACACCTACTAAATATTGAGGTAGATCCATTCTATCAATATATATTGACCACCTATTTATGTCTCAGGTACAGCCCAGGTGTTTGAAACGTATCCGTAATGAAAACACATAAAGATCCCTGTCCTTGTGGAGCTTCAATTCTAGCAGCAGGAGGCAGAACATAAATAATATTATAATAAATCATCAAATTATGTATTTTGTTGGAAGATGGCAATCACATATTTTAAAAAGGAATCATAGAACAAGGGGGTTGCAATTTGAAGCAGCTGAGTCAAAGTAGGTGCTTTGAGAGGGTGGCGCTGCGAAAAGAATTGGAGGAGATGATGAAGCCAGCAGCACAAACTCTGATGGATGAAGTTTCCAGGCAGAGGAAGAGAAGGGCAAAGGCCCTGGCAAACTGCTGTATTCAAGGCACAGGAAGCAGCAGTGGAGTTGGTCAAAGTGAGTTGAGGGTGGGGCTGCGAGATGAGGGCCAAGAGGTGACAGGAAGCCCTCAAAGGAAGAAGCAGGTTGCCCACAAATGTGACGTTGGGGCCACAGATCCTGGGCACAGGCAATAAGGGTGACCTTGTGAGGAATTTAATTATAATAAGAAACCAACTGGCATTCAGTCTGCTTTTCTTATCATTATGTGCCAGCAATTCTAAGCAATGTCACAGATAAAATACTCCTCAACCCCTGAATTCTTTTTAGTCTAAATGCTAAATAATTGCCGTGGTTACTGTGAAGTTCTAATTGCGTGTAATATATGGAACTTCCTGCTATGTGGTCAATCCCTAAAACATGGAGACTCATGCTGCATGCATTTGGGTCAGTTAGAAGTCTGTAGCGGTCCAGAATTGTGCGAGTGCTGTCTGTGTCTCCAATCCCTGTGTCACTAGAGTCCTGAATTTAGATTCAAAATAACAAAACTCAGTAATTATAACAGCAAAGAAACAGATCTTCAGTTATAATCTATGTAAGCACTTGGCAGTTGAATTCTATTTCAAATTTAAAACAGTAAAATAGATCGCAAACTGTAAGGTGTAATATTTTATGTGTGTATGCTTGCACGTTTTAGTTCATACATTTAATATTTTATTTTTTATTTTTGTTTTTTTAATTTTATTATTATTATACTTAAAGTTTTAGGGTACATGTACATAATGTGCAGGTTTGTTACATATGTATACATGTGCCATGTTGGTGTGCTGCACCCATTAACTCGTCATTTAGCATTAGGTATATCTCCTAATGCTATCCCTCCCCCCTCCCCCCACCCCACAACAGTTCCCGGTGTGTGGTGTTTCCCTTCCTGTGTCCACGTGTTCTCATTGTTCAATTCCCACCTATGAGTGAGAACATGCGGTGTTTGGTTTTTTGTCCTTGCGATAGTTTGCTGAGAATGATGGTTTCCAGCTTCATCCATGTCCCTACAAAGGACATGAACTCATCCTTTTTTATGGCTGCATAGTATTCCATGGTGTATTATGTGCCACATTTTCTTAATCCAGTCTATCATTGTACAGCTTTATAACAGAAACTTGTTACTGTGAAATTATTCTTACATAACTGTAATTTATTAAACTTTAATGGGATTACTTATTATTGTGAGAGACCAAAAAATAATTATAATGTTTTTTCTATTTTTTCCCAAAAAAATGCACTAATGTAATTAAAAAATGTTACATCATTACTTATTTCCTTTTATGTATTGTAACATTTGTTTTTATTGCTCTGCATACATGAAGTAAAACGAAAGAATTTCATTTTTTCACTTTTTGTTCCCAGTCATTACTATTATTCATTTGACTTCATATTTATTAATGAAAATAACTTTTTGAATAGGAGAAGAAATGTTAAAAAAAGGACCCACTCCAGCTGTTGAATACATAAAGCAGACCAATGATTGGAAGGAACTCATTGATCTTATTTCTTAAATATTTAGTGCATGAAGTACAATAAAATCACTTAGTCTAGCGGCCGACTTTATTACTTTTGGCTGTTCTTCTCCACAGTGGGAGAGTTTCATTAATAGTTGAATCAATAAATGAATCAATAAGAAAAAGTGAAAAAAAACCTAGATAATAGTATTTGAAAGGCTGACAGGAATGTGTCAGGCCAGATATAGGACACAGGTACCAACGTGGCACTTTATGTAGGATGTTTCACATTAAAGTAGCTTATTTTCTTGCTTTAAACATCTAGAAATTACAACAGTAATTGTTATGTCCAACTACTATAAGAGTTAAGTCCTGTAAATGATACCAAGCGGCTGTGCCGGGTGCAGTGGCTCACACCTGTAATCTCAGCACCCTGGGAGGCCAAGACGGGTGGATCAGGAGGTCAGGAGATCAAGACCATCCTGGTTAACACAGTGAAACCCTGTCTCTACTAAAAATACAAAAAATTAGCTGGGTGTGGTGGCGGGCGCCTGTAGTCCCAGCTACTCGGGAGGCTGAGGCAGGAGAATGGTGTGAACCTGGGAGCCGGAGCTTGCAGTGAGCCAAGATCACGCCACTGCACTCTGGCATGGGCGAAAGAACAAGACTCCATCTCAAAAAAAAAAAAAAAATGATACCAAGCAATATATGTTATTTAATCCTGCTGGTTTTACAAAAACATAACAGCAAAGGAAATCTGTCATGACTGCCCACTATATGGTCATAAAATTGAACAATTGATGCTTGTCACCCATAAGTCAAACTGTGGATAACTATGAAAATAAACCTATTTTAATTGATTTTTTTATCTGTTAGAGAATTAGAGATATGAAGAATTCAGTTTGATGGCAAAAAAGCAGATGTATTCTGAAATCATCAAATAGTTATATATATGTATATACTTTCACAGTATTTTTTTGTAAGAGACGGGGTCTCACTCTGTCACCCAGGCTAGACTAGAGCTGCATAACCATCATAGCTCACTGCAGGCTCAAACTCCTGGGCTCAAGGGATCCTTCTGCCTCAGTATCTCAGATGGCTGGGACTATAAGCGTGCACCACCATGCCCAGCTAATTTTTTAACTTTTTCTAGAGACGGGGTTTCACTGTGTTACCCAAGTTGGTCTTGAACTCCCGGCCTCAATCAATCCTCCCACCTCAGTCTTCCCAAAATATTGGGATTACAGGCATGAGCCACCATGCCCAGTCTAATTTTTTGATATACAATTTCAAACTGCAAGCTAGAATGGTTCCCTCCCCCACATTTATTATATTATGACTCAACAGAATGTGAAACAGGTCCATATAACACAGAATGATATCCCAGAAATTGTGCTCATCTTCACAACACTATTTTTAAAAAGTTACATTAAAAACACTTTGTATTTGCCTAAAAAGGTTAAAATAAACCACTTCTTCCTATAGTTATGTATACTAAATTCAATTATACGTGAATGATTCCTTATCTAGATTTTTTAATTTTCCTTTTTTAAAAATTTCTTTTTATCCAGATATTTGAATATATCAATAATCATTATAGCCTTTCAACAACTGAGAACCACTGTTAGTGCAATAATTAAGAAAGGATTAATAGCACTTCCAGATACTTCTACTGTATTTTTGTGCACTTGTAACTGTTTCATTTTTAGACCAGGGAAATAAAAATATCTTGTCCTTACTGCTTATCTAAGTTTACATCCTTATCATAAAATGCTTAGGAAAACAAACAGCATAAAGAATAAAATAACAATCACATTACCTGTGAAAAAGTACAGTAGGAAATTTCATCTATATTAATATTTATTTTATGAAAATAATGTTCAACTTTTAAACATAAACAGTACATTATTTATCTAGCTTTATTGTTTTATTTTTTTTAAATTTAAAATCCTATCTTCCACCATAGTTCTTGTCAATATGCATAAATATTCAATATGCATAAAACATATGATTCCATTTTATGTATTTATCTCAGCAGTCCTCTGTGAATCTTCTTTCTTTCCTTTTCTTTTTCTTTCTGTCCTTTTTTCTTCTCTGTCCTTTTTTCTTCTTCTGCTCTTCTCTCTGCTCTCTCAGTCCATGAGCCCATGGGCCCTCCCTCTAGCCTTGTTTTTTGTTTTTCCTTCTTTATTACTGTGGATAAAATATGCTGAATATTTACCATGTTATGTTCCAGCTGCTGTGCTTAGAGTCTTATGTGTATCATCCTAGCTTCCCTCACAAGTTTCTGAATAGCCATTACTGGTGGTATTCATTTTATAATGAGGCAAAAATGAGGCTTAGAGAGATTAAGGAGTTGCCCAAAGTCATCAAGACGGCAGACAGCAAAGCTGGGATTCATATTCAACAGGGTCTGTTTCCAGTGCCAGAGCCTTTCACAATAATAGACACGGAAACACACATTCTCAAGGATGTGCCAGTGTACTCTTGCCTGAACGTTTCCTTGGAATACATTTCCATCAGTGGAACAATTCACAGGCTAACTTAAAATGTTGGATACATACTTCCAAATTATCTTCAAGAAATATTTTACCAATGATGCATGGAAAAGTCCTGGCTTCCTATTTCTTAGGAAATATCAAGTAAATTTCGTTTACTTGATATTTTAAAATATTTTTTGTTCAATTTGTCTTTTTGTTCCTATCTGCTAAGGCAGAAGCTTTTCTTCCCTTCCTCTCTAAGACCCTGTTCTTCCTGATCATGGCACAGGAGCAGGCCAAATGGCCCAGCCTCCTGCAGAACGTCTGCAGATCGTGAGTTTCCTCAAGTTGCCTGACCTCCTTCTGCAACCAGGTGGAAAGGTGCACCCTGGTCTCTCACTGCTCAGGAAGCTGCTGACACTTGGGGCATCTTCAGTCTCCCTGCACACACAGTGCTTCCAGGACATCAAAACAGCCACACATTCTCATTGGCATCCTTCTAAAACTGACCTTTATTTTTCTGTCTTCTATTCTGATTCAGCCTCCTCCCCTTCCAGCACTTTCAGTACATAACTAGTAAAATTCTTGCACCTGCAGAGTACTCGGTCACCACTGTCCCTGTCTCCATCACCCTTTCTGCTCATTGAGCAAACTCTACTGTTCTTTGCTCTCTTCCTCTTTCAGCTGGACTCCATGGTGTATTTAAAAACTCAGCCAGCTTTCCTCAAACACTGCCCCACCCCAATTCTTTTGTCAATTTTCTGGTCATTGCTAGTCCGGCAAAAAGTCCAAGCCTGGATCAATAAAGCTGTCTGCCTTCTCCATGTCTAAGTTCCAACAAAATAACTTCAGCTGCAAAAAGAGCACAACTGGACAGGATGCTGTTCAGGAGAATCCACGCTGTGTGGAATCCAACATCAGCTGGTCCTCCTTCAGTGTTCCCCACAGCATTTCTTATTCCCTACCAACCTGTCCCTGTCATCTCCACCAGTCACTCCAGCCACTGAAGGGTGGCTTCCATGCAAGCCACTTTGCTGATAGTGCCCCCCGCAAGCCCCTTCTATCTGCTTGTCAGTGAAATTGTACTTCACCTCTCTTCTATAATTGAAATAATTTTCTGCTAGTTTCTATGACAACTCACACCCCTAATGTTCTCACAAACAATTCCTGCACCCCACACAATTCTTTCTGGGCTTCTCCACCTGTCTGATAACCATTGGCGACCTTCTCAAGGTTGCATCAGGACCTGTGCTAACTCTACACTCTGTCCCTTGACAATTCTCACCTTCTCACGGGCATCCCATCACTAACTGCTTTCCTAACGATACCTCCACATCCAGCCATGATCTTGCTCTAGAGTCCAAGCTTATGCATCTAATTGTGTATTTGCCTGTTTCCTTAGAAATCCAGGTTTCTGTCCTCACCACCTGGATAAAGTATAGTCATGTTCACGGACAGAGTCACGGACAGACATAGACAAAGGAGCAGGCTTGCTTGGCTAAATCTTACTTAACTTTCAAGTTTTAGCCTAGATATTGCCTTCTATATATGTTAAATCTGGATTTAGTACATTTCTATTCTATTGCATCCTGAACTTTTATCATATCACTTAGCACATATAATTTCTTATATAATTTTCTGTCTCTCTGTCATCTGTAAACTGGCTCCATCAATGAGGGCAGAGAGAACAGTGACTTTTTTTTTTTTTTTTTTTACTATTATATTCCCAGCTTTATACAGTACACCCAGCAGGTGTTCATGCTACCAAGATAAACTGAACTCAATGGAATTTAATTCTGCCTGGGAATATGGGCCACCAGACCTAGGCTACTTGGTCCTGCCCTGTTAATAGCTATGTCTCAGCTGTCACTTTCTAGGAATGGTGATGCAGACATTTTCCTCAAAAGCCCCTTTCTCCAACCTTATCAACTCTTGCTAAGAGATGCCAAGTAAGCTACTGACCTATCCATTCTTCAGGGAAGAGGAATCTACAGACCCACTTGGGTTCAGCTTTACACCTTGCTGCACTTGGAAAGTCCTCCCCAAAATTATTTTTCCCCCAAATTAATTTATATTTTTTAACATGCCATAATCTTTAATCTACCTGATGCCTGTTTTGCTATAAAGTTACATTTTTTTCCAATTAGTAAGTTATCTTAGCACTATTTATTTAATTCTTTATTCTCTCATGATCTATAATTTCAACTCTGTAACTAGCAAAATCTTCTAGCACCATGGCAAAGAATATAGACCCTAGAGCCAGCTGCCTAGATCCAATTCCACCATGACACTCAATAGACTTTGAGCAGATCACTTAATCTCACTGGATTAATTTATAAGTAAAATGCTTAAAATGGTACTGATAGAGAGAAGATCTTTATGCGTTACTGTGTATTGTTACTGTAATCTGATTTCATATTTTATTTTCAGCTCCATTTACTTTATTGTTGAACTTGTGCCACATTAATTGCTGTAGATGGATAACACATTTTTGCGTCTAAGAGAATATTAATTCCCATCCCTTTCAGAAAAAAACTACTTTTATATTCTTATGTAATTATTCCTATAGTAAAATTCTTTGTCCTCCAAATATTAATTTAAAAAGTCAACTACCACTTCTGTATTTATTTTTATGGGTCAAAGCATTGTATTAACAGCTTTATTTACATAGGTAATCAAATTTACTCATATGAGATATGCTTTATTATTACATTTGCTTTATGAATTAGGAGAATAAAGGTTGCAAACATTAAGTAACCCAGGTTGTCTAAGTCCAAAATTTGTACCCTATATAACTGTAACATACCACTTTCATTAAAGAAACAAACTTATTTTGTTATTTTTATTTTTATTTTTTTAAGACAGAGTCTCGCTCTGTCACCCAGGCTGGAGTGCAGTGGTGTTATCTTGGATCACTGCAACCTTTGCCTCCCAAGTTAAAGTGATTCTCCTGCCTCAGCCTCCAGAGTAGCTGGGATTACAGGTGTGCACCACCACACTCAGCTAATTTTGCATTTTTAGTAGAGATGGGGTTTCACCATGTTGGCCAGGCTGGTCTCAAACAACTGACCTCGTGATCCACCTGCCTCAGCCTCCCAAAGTGCAGAGATTACAGGCGTGAGCCACTGCACCTGGCCATAAAGAAACAAACTCTTGATGAGATTGGGATAGGATTTGGGTTAAACACAGACAAATTTGGGGGGAACTGACACTGTTGAATACTGTCTTCTTGTTCAATATTGCGGTTACTGTTTTATCCAATCATTTATGCTCTTCATTAAGGTTTTATATTATTAATATAGCTAAGGTTTACAGTTTTTACTGTATTGTAGGCACTATCAGAATGCTTTACAACAATTAATTCTTCTAAGTCTCACGATGACCATATGACTTTGGCATTATTATTATTTTTATAATTATTATAATCATTTCACAGAAAACCAAGACACAGAGAGGTCCCTTTAAATTAAATGACTGAATGACTTAATATCACCTAGCCAGTGAGTGACAAAACTAGTATTTTTGTTATACACTCTTGGTTCCAGAACCCATGACTTTAGTCAGTGATATGATTTGAATTTGTGTCCCCACCCAAATCTCTTGTTGAATTGTAATCCCCAATGTTGGAGGAGGGGCCTGGTGGAACATGATTGGATCGTGGGGGTGATTTCCCCCTTGCAGTTTTCATGATAGTGAGTAAAATCCCATGAGATCTGGTTGTTTAAAAGTGTGCAACCCCTCCTCCTTCACTCTCTCTTCCTACTGCTCCAGCCACAGAAGACATGCCTGCTTCACCTTCACCTTCAGCCATGATAGTGAGTTTCCTGAGGTCTCTGCAACCATGCTTCCTGTACAGCCTGCAGAACTGTGAGTCCTTTAAACTTCTTTTCTTTATACATTACACAATCTCAGTAGTCCTTTATAGCAATGCAAGAATGGACTAATACAGAAAATTGGTACTGAGAAGTGGGGCATTGCTATAAAGAAACTTGAAAATGTGGAAGTGACTTTGGAACTGGATAATGGGCAGAGGTTGGACTAGTTTGAAGGGGTCAGAAGGAGACAGGAAGATGTGGTAAAGTGTTGAACTTTCTAGAGATTTGTTATATTGTTGTGACCAAAATGATGATAGTGATATGGACAATGAAGTTCAGGCTGAGGTGGTCTCAGATGAAGATGAGGAACTTACTGGGAACTGAAGTGAAAGTCACTCTTGCTATGCTTTAGCAAAGAGACTGGTGGCACTGTGTTTCTGCCCTAAAGAGCTGCAGAACTTTGAACTTGGGAGTGATGATTTAAGGTATCTGGTGGAAGAAATTCCTAAGCAGCAAAGTGTCCAAGGTGTGGCCTGGCTGCTTCTATCAGCATATGGTTATATGCATGAGCAAATAGATGATCTGAAACTGGAACTTATATTTAATAGGAGAGCAGAGTAAAAAAGTTCAGAAAACTTGCAGCCTAACCATGTGGTAGAAAAGAAAAACCCATTTTCTGGGGAGAAATTCAAGCCAGCTGCAGAAATTTGCATAAGTAAAGAGAAGCCAAATGTTAATAGCCAAAACAATGGGGAAAATACCTTGAAGGCATTTCACAGAACTTTGCAGTAGCCCATCCCATTACAGGCCTGGAGGCATAGGCAGGAATAATGGTTTTAAGGCAGGCCCAGGGCCCCACCACTCTGTGCGACCTCAGGACACTGCTCCCTGTGTCCCAGCCACTCCAGCTCTAGCCATGGCTAAAAGGGTCCCAGATACATCTCAGGCTGCTGCTCCAGAGGTTGCAAAACAGAAGCCATGGCAGTTTCCACATGGTATGAAGCCTGCAGGTGCAGAGAGGACAAGAATTGAGGCTTTGGAGCCTCTGTATAGATTTCAGAAGATGTATGAAAATGCCTGGATATGCAGGCAAAAGTCTGCTGCAGGCGCACAGCCATCATAGAGAACTTCTACTAGGGGAGTGTGGAGGGGAAATGTGAGGTTGGATCCCCCAGACAGAGTCCCCACTGGGGCACTGCTTAGTGGAGCTGTGAGATAAGGGCTACCACCTTTCAGAACCAGAATGGTAGATCCACTGACAGCTTGCACTGTATGCCTTGAAAAGCCATAGGCATGTGGCCCATGAAAGCAGCCACAGAAGCTGTAACCTGCAAAGCCACAGGGGTGGAGATGCCCAAGGCATTAGGAGCCCAGCCCTTGTATCACCATGGCCTGGATGTGAGCAATGGAGTCAAAGCAGATTATTTTGGAGCTTTAAGATTAAATGACTGACCTGCTGGGTTTCAGACTTGCATGAGGCCTGTAGCCTCTTTGTTTTGGCTGATTTCTCCCTTTTGGAATAGGGGTCTTTACCCAATGCCTGTTCCCCCATTGTTATCTTGGAAGTCAATAATTTGTTTTTATTTTATTTATTTTTTTTATTTTACAGGCTCAAAGGTAGAAGGGTCTTGACTAGTCTCAGATGCGACTTTGGACCGTGAACTTCTGAGTTAATGCTTAAATGAGTTCAGACTTGGGGGACTGTTGAGAAGGGATGATTGTATTTTGCAATGTGAGAAGGACATGAGATTTGGGAGGGGCCAGGGGCAGAATGATATAGCTTGGATTTATGTCCCTGCACAAATCTTATGTCAAATTGTAATCCCCAATGTTGGAGGTGGGTCTTGGTTGGGGGTAACTGGATCTTGGAGATGGACTTCCCCCGTGCTATTTTTGTGATAGTGAGTGAGTTATCACGAGATCTGGTTGTTTAAAAGCGTGTAGCACCTCCCCGTTTGCTTTCTTCCTCCTCCTACGGCCACGTAAGACACACCTGCTTCCCTTTTGCCTTCTGTCATAATTATAAGTTTCATGAGGCCTCCCCAGCCATACTTCTTGTACAGCCTGCAGAAGTGTGAATCAATTAAACCTCTTTTTGTTATATAAATAACTCAGTCTCAGGTGGTTCTTTAGAGCAATGTAAGAATGGACTAATACAGTCAGTGAGCTTTCAGACTGACTCTCAAATAATTTATAAATTTCCAGCTATTTATATTGTATTGACATTTGTGAATGGCACCTTTTCTCACTATATTGTTATTGCTAGTCTATAGGAAAGCATTGTTTCTTTATTTTCCTTTTTAAATTTTATTTTCAAGATGTAGAGCAAAAATTTATGTTACTGGGTTTTTGATTGTTCTGATACACAGACATTGTGAAGTAATCACCACAATTAAGCTAATTAACATATCCATTACTTCATGTATGAAGTTGTGTGTGTGATGGGAAGACTTATGACCTACTCTTTCAGCAAGTTTCAAATATACATTATTAACTATGGTTACCATGCTGTACATTTAATCTCAAGAATTTGTTAATCTTATAAATGAAAGTTTTTACTCTTTGACCTATATCTTCCCATTGCCCCCACACTCAAACCCATAGCAATCATCTTTCTACTCTTTTTCTAAGGGTCCAATTTCTTTAAATTACACATATAAAAGAGATCATGCAGCATTTTTCTTTCTGTGTCTAGCTTATTTTACTTGGCATAATGTCCTCCATCTATGTTTTTGCAGATGGCAGAATTTCCTTCTTTTTTAAGGCTGAACAAAATTCGTGTGTGTGTGTGTGTGTGTGTGTGTGTGTGTGTGTGTGTGTGTAACCTACAATTTCTTTATCCATTCATCCACTGACAGACATTTAGGTTGTTTCCATATCTTGACTATTATTAACAATGCCACAAGGAATATGGGAATGCAGATATCTCTTTGGCATACTGATTTTAATTCCTTTTTTAATAGTCCCACATATACCCATTATAGTGCGATTGCTGTGTGGTAGTTCTGTTTTTCGTTTTTTGAGAAAATGCCATGCCCTAATGTCTCTACCAATTTTCAGTCTCATGATGAGGGTTCTCTTTTCTCCTCACCTCAGTAACACTTGTTATCATTTGGCTTTTTTATAACAGCAATACTAACAGATGTGAGGTGGTATCTCATCATGGTTTTGATTTGCAGTTCCCTGATGATTAGTGTTATTTAGCCCTTTTTATATACCTGTTGGTCATTTGTATGTCTTCCTTGGAAAAATATCTATGCAGTTACTTTGGTCATTTTTAAATTGGGTTATGTGTGTTTTTTGTAAATATTGAATTATATGAGCTCTGTTATATATTTTGGATATTAGCCTTCTAGCAGATACATGGTGTGCAATTATTTTCTCTCATTCCATAGGTTGCCTTTTCATTTTGTTGTTTCTTATGCTGTGTCAAAACTTTTTAGTTTGATGTAGGCTTGTTTGGTTTTTTTTTTTCCCTTTTGGTTGCCTGTGATTTGGGAGTCATATTCACAAAATCACTGCCAAGATCAATGTTAAGGAGCTTTTTTGTTATGTGTTCTTCCAGAATTGTTACATTTTCAGGGCTCACATTTAATTCTTATTCCATTTTAAGTTGATTTTTATGTATGGTTTAAGATTAAGGGTTCAATTTCATTATTTTGCATGTGGATATCCAATTTTCCCAACACCATTTATTGATGACTGTCCTTTTCCCTTTGTTTGGTCTTGATGCCTTTGTCAAAGACTAGTTGACCGTATGTAGGTGAGTTTATTTCTGGGATCTCTATTCTGTTCCATTAGTCTTTGTGTCTGTTTTTATGCCAGTACCATATTATTTTAATTATTATCATAGCTCTTCAGTACACTTAAAAATCAGGTAGTATGATGCCTCCAGCTTTGTTCTTTTGCTCAAGATTGCTTTGCTCTTCCTGGTACCATAAAATTTTAGAATTATTTTTCTATTTCTGTAAAGAATGTCATTGGGATTTTGGTGCAGATTACAGTCATTCAACCTGTAGATCACTTTGGGTAGTGTGGACATTTTAACAATACTAATTATTCCAATCCATGAGCATGGGTTATCTCTCAATTTGTGTCATCTTCAATGTCTTTCATCAATGTTTTATACTTCTCAGAGTATAGATCTTTCTCCTCTTTAAATTTATTCATAAGCATTTTTATTTTTTTTGATGTTATTGTAAATGAGATTTTTAAAAGATTTTCATTAAAGAAACTCACTGTTAATTCAATATTAGTGTATAGAAACATGAGTGATTTTTGTATGCTGATTTTGTAGCCTACAACTTCACTGAATGCATTAGTTCTAACTGTTCTTTTGGTGGCATTTTTTGGTGGCGTCTTTAGGGTTTTTTTTTTTACATACAGGACCATGTCATCTACAAATTTCACTTCTTCCTTTCCAATATGGATGTCTTTTGTTTCCTTCTCTTGACTAATTGCTCTGGCTAGGACTTCTAGCCCTCTATGCTGAATAGAAGTGGTAAGAATGGGCATCCTTGTCTTGTGTCTGATTTTAGAGGAAAAGCTTTTAGCTTAGTTCCATCCACTGTCAAGGATGATGTTAGTTGCAGCCTTGTCATATATGGCCTTTATTATGATTAGGTACATTTCTCTACCTAATTGGTTGGGAGTTTTTAATCATGAAAAGATGTTTCATGGTGAGACAGATAAAAAATTGTCAACGGTGGGGAGCACTGGTTTATGTATATTATCTTGCTGCCCTGTTGGAAGATTATTAATTCTAATCGTTTATCAGTCAGTTATACTGGGTTAAATAAATCATTTAGTTTTTCAACATTCAAAATTTATCATTTTATATTGTTTTAAAGAATGTTTTGATTAGCACTTACTGAACAATTTTAAATAGATTTAGCACTAAATACAGTTGTCCATACTGAACCTTAGTGGGAATGCCTCTAGTTTTTCACATGTAAGAGAGACTTAACTATTTTTTTTTTTAGGCAGATAATATTTAACCTGTTAAGGAAACATTGGGGATTAAGGTTCTTATATTAAGTCAGTTACTATTATTTCCTGGATCTTTCATTATTTAAGGTGCAACCACCACCCCCATTCTGCAAAACACAGCCATATATTTCGTCAAGACAGCATTACATCAACCAGTAGGACTCTGCTCTCCACAACATGGATATCTCACAATTGGCATTCGTAAAGTAAAAGAACAGGATTGAAAAGAAACTCATTATTCTTATTCTTGTCATGATCAATCCTTCCAAGTTTACTTAAGATCATTCCAGAATAAATTATATTAATAGATAATTTTTAAGGAAGAAGTCCATACATTGTTCAGCTCAAGGTCATGTGTTTTTAGCTGAAATAAAACACAATACAAATGGCAAAAAGCTTTGCTTATATTGATTGATTATTTTCATTCAGAGCGTAGGAATCAAATAAGATCAATCCATATGTACTAGAAGCAACCCTAAGAAGCTTTCATACATTTCATGTATGGTTACCCAGGAAGTAAACATCACACACACTGTGGTTTCAGTAATTGAAATGGCTGCTAATGTGGCTCCAGGTTTCCCAAGTTGCTACTTTTTTTTTCTTTCAATGATGACACACACTCATTTGGTTTCTAATACGGGACGTACTGAGTCAGCGATCTTTGACTTATTTCCATAATGGTGTCATAAATGTTGCACCTGCAGCAGATTATTCTTTGATTCAGTAAAAAAAAAAATTATTTTAGTTTTAAAGTAGCTCTGAATATTTCCATTCCAAATCTGTTTCAGGATTTTAGAATTCAGACATGGTTACATAAAAAGAGAACCATAAATTGGCATGAGACTATAAATTACAGTCAAAGAAGACCCACGTTTCAAGCAAGATGAATCTGGATTTTTAAAATTTTTATGCATGCTTTTTCAGTTTTAATTCATATATACGTTACCTAGAAATACAATCAATAAGTGGTTTTATGTCTCTCCTCTTTAATTCTGTGTGAAATGTTACCCTTTGCAATGGTCTTGTTAAACACTCTAGAAAAAAAGAGCAGTCTAAGCTGACTTTATAAAACCTCTACCTTTGTTCAGCCCAACCCTATACCATCCCTGCTTCTATACCCCTGCTGAACACTCCCAGAAAAAAAAAAAATATACTAATGTGAACCAGAGTCACTATGCAACCTCATTTTTGCCCTCAGTGTATTAGGTAAAGGTTCTTTGTTTTCCAGATTCTCTCTGTCAGTCACGGCACAAGTTATTCCAAACACACATTGCACTGTTACCACCAATGACCCCACCACCCACCAATTTCAAAAGATAACTCATGCTCCTACTGATCCACGAACAGTGGAAACTCATTGACAGGAAAGTCTTCACCCTCTCTCTTATCGCAGGTGAGTGTTAATGCAGAGCCACAAAAGATGCACAACTACCAGCTTTGTAACTATGCAAGCTCCGTAACAGTGAGGAAAGGAAGTCAATGATAAAACAGTCCATCCCAAAAATTCTGAGATGCACATTTCTTCAATTTTAATGGTTCTGAAATCAGTATAAAGAAGACAGGCAGTGTCTTCTTACAATCACTTTCGGCCAGATGGTGGCCATGGCAGAATTCTCAAACCTAGCACAGGTGAGAACTTGGCCCTCTGCGTATCATTCAACAAACGCTCTAAGGGCTTTGAGTTAGGAATATCAGTTAGGGCTGTTGTCTGAAAACATTCCAGTGACATATTCTGATGAGACCAAGAAAATAAAACTTGAAGAATGTGTCTCAACAGCTTGTAAGTCAAGCACAGAAGGCAATCGTGAAACACTTCTTAAAAATGTCCTGCAGCCTCACCACTTTTCATGTCACAGAGGGTGGCAGTGTGGGGAAAATGAAGACACTGATGGCTCAGCATCAAAAGTGATTCAGAAGAGAAAGACAGTGGAATATTTTTTGGGAATTCTCAGTCACCTTACTGAACTCGTATTTTCATTTTTTAAAGAATGTGCAACAATAATATAATCATACATGATAAAAATTTATATCTAGATAAGTCTAAACCAGCTTTTCCAAAAGGTATAAAATAAACACGTGAAGTAATAAAAAAGCATTGTGTCCTACTTTTCATGCTAACATCTTTGTATTTAGCTATCTCTCTCTCTGTTTCCTTCCTTCTTCTTTCTCTCTCCTGTTTCTCTCTCCTTCCTGCCTTCATTTCTTCCTCCCTTCATTCTTTTCTTCCTTTCTTAGTACATAAAATAACCGTATGTATTAAATTCAAAGTGTCTCAGGTTTTATGAGTTGGCAAAGATTTAAATAGTGCTAGTTAATTCTGACCATTAGTCAAACAATTAGTGACAATCACACTAAAGACTGACAATACAAATTGCAATTTTTCAGATTAGTATGCTATTTAAGAAGTACATTTTGAATAACTTCAATGGGCACATCAATCAAAATAATTTTTAAAAATCATTTTGATAAACCTATTGTGCATAAAACTCAAATACCTTTAAACTTAACCCCAAGTCTCAGTATCACACAATATATGCATGTAACAAAGTTGTACATGTACCCCCGAAATTAGAAGTTGAAATTATAAAAAGGAGAAAAAGAAAAAACGTAAACAATGCTTCATATTTTGAATGATACAAAAACCTAAGCTGCTTCTTAACTTTATGACTTTTGTTATACAGATGGTTATAATTCTATTTAAAGTGGTTGAAAATCATTTTCTCCAAATCATCATCCAGAAGAACACTTTATTTTTATTACTAAAGCAAATTTTTATTTTTCAAAAATTAATTGCTATATTCATATTTTAATCTATTACACAAGTATTTCCTGAAAACCTATATTCAAATTATAGTAAGCTTCCTCTTCAAGTTTTATGAAGATTGTGAAACTTACTTACATTATTACATCTTTTTAACCAAGTAAGAATAAAAAAAAATTCTTGAAAATATCTTGTATGCATGTGTGTGTGTTCCTGTTGACTCATGATCCATTGCCTTCATTACATAAACCTCGTCCAAGTAACCTTTCACAGGTGAGGAAAATATAATTGCTAGCAGGTGAGAAGCAAGAGCAAGATGAAGAACTAAATCTGTATTAATTTCCCTAATACATGTCAGAGATATTGTGAATAGCTCGGTGACAGTGGTGCATTCTGAATCTATCTGTTGTTCTCCAGCAGATCAGATGCAGTCAAGTCAAATTACTGACAACCAAGGAATAAACAGAATCCATTATGGGAAAGCTCTTATTTCCTGGCTTCCTGTGCTATCTGTATTGTTGTATTCCGTGGAAACTCACTAAACTGAAAAAAACTGACATCCCTCATCTTTGTCAAGGCCATAAAAACATTACAGTCAATGTCTTGAACTCACTTAAGCCCCCTGGCTTCACGCACTCAGCTTGTAAGCTTTCCATAAACGACAGCTGATTGCTGAGGGGAGGAAGTGACAAATTAGTGAATTAAAAATTTACACTGCGCTATATGAATACATTTCCTGACAATCAGCATTACTGGCTGCTAAAATGAGTTTCAAAAAGATGTACAGACCTTGAAATTTTCAATCATAGTTTTATCTAATAACACAAATCACGTTTTTATTTAGTTTACAAAGGACTACTGAAAAGAATTTAGAGATCAATTATGAATTAAATATTATCATAAAACAGAGCTTATAACCAGATCACATTTAGCAATCATTTGATAGTTTAATAAAAACTTTTAAAAATTCATTTCAGTCAATTGTGCTTTAATGGTAGATTATTTACTTGCAAATGTGGTTCACCCTTTGTATTCACGGTTCCTCATCCACAGATTCAACCAACGGCAGATCAAAATTATTTGGAAAAAAATTTTAAAAATAAAACAATACAAATAATACAAGTAAGAAACAATACATTATAACAACTATTTTCATAGTATTTACATTGTATTAGGTATTATAAGTAATATAGAGATGATCTGATGTATACAGGAGAATGTGCATAGGTTATATGCAAATACCACATCATTTTACATAAGAAACTTGGGCATCTGTGAATTTTGGTATCTGCAGGTCCTGGAACCAATCCTCCTCAAATACCAAGGGCGTATACCAGCAAGACTGTATTCTTAATATAGTATATGCAATTAAAATGAATCCTTAACTCCTATAGAAGAATAAGTTCACGTGTGGACTGTAGACTTGAAGGCATCATTCTCTTGTCTGGTGCATTATAGCTTTCAAGTGTTAGCATGCACATTGATGCAAGGACATAGAGCTGATCCATGGCTCTATACCCAGAACTAGAACAAGGAAACATGGAACAAGGACTCCTGATGCCTGCTCAATAGACTCTCCCTACACAGGTGCAGTGGCTGCTCCATACCATCCAGCATATGACACGTTAAGGCCAAATGCAACTATGATCAGGGCCACTGTTTCCTGCATTAGGGCCTCGTGTTTTAATGCTCTTTTTCTCCTTGTCTCTTCAAGGACTCTCTTCAGTGGTCCAAAGCCTGAGAACAGTTGCTTCATATATTTGTCTAGTTTTATAACTATTTATGTCATGAGTGTACATCAGCTACCAGTAACGTCTTTATGACCAGAAGCAGAATTCCAGGCAAACACATGTTAAGAAGGGTTCTTACTGTAGTAGTAATAGTATATACCACTTTGAAGAGAATTGTAAACACTTAACGGGCTAGAATATTGGATACTTATCCTGAAGTAGTGAGAAGACAGGATGAAATCAGATTTTGAACTTCTTTAGCTGTCAATAAAGAGTCTTTATTAGATTAGCAATGGAGAAGCTTTAAAGAAATTTGAGCTGGTGGGATGAGCTCAGCAGTTTGTGCTTGAAGAAGTTTAATCTGGCTGAATTTATCAGGCAATAGTAATAGAATGAGATGTCCATAGGCAGACCAGGCAAGAAGCTGCTACCTGAGGTCACAAGGCCATGAAAAAGGATGGGGGAAGGAGAAATTTAATGAAAGAATAGGAACAAGCTACTTCATGAAGGTCTGCTATTTGATGAGTATGGTACGAGAAAAGTATAAGTTAAAGTACTATCAAAAGTGTTGAGCTTGCCTGATTTAAGGAGAAAGAGAACAATCACCGGACAGAAGGGATATCTGACTCTGGGAACAATTACATTAATGATATCATTTTGACTTTGAGGCTGGTAAGATGCCTAATGTTGAAAGAGGAGATGTCCAGATGGAAATGACCAGTAGATGCCTAAAAATACGGGTCTTCAGCCTCTGGAGTAGGCTCAGTTTCCCAAAAATCTGAGGATTTCATATACAGGTAGGCAATGAGTGAGTTACAGAAGGAAACAAATGGGTCATTGGTATAAAATAGAATTTGGGAGGAAAAACAAGTTGAGAAAGAGAAGATGGTGACATTGAACGTGTTTCAATTATTGATAGTGGTACCCTTAAAAAAGTCACGTATTTAAAATATTAGTCTAGTTTGCATGTGTGTGCATGTGGGCATGTGTTGCAAGCTGATATAATAACCTTAAAAATGTCTTAGTTCTAATGGCATAAATTATCCAGATGATAAAGTAAAATAAAGTTAAAGTACACAAATCTATGTAGGATCAATATAATTAAAAGTAACATTTAATTTAAAAATCTTGAGAAAAATAACAAATGGAAACTTTTAAAGAAGAATGTGAGAGTTGAAAATGTGGCTTGATTTCTGAAACATGGCTACTCAGTTGCTAGATCAGAGAATTATTTGAGTAATATTTATCAAAAAACAATGATAATACTTGCTTTTAATGAAAATAGGCCTCTTTCCATTTTTGGTAGCCACAGTGAGTGGCTTTCCGAATGGCCTAACATAGATACAACTTATCACCCACTTTAGATGTGTACTGTTATAAAGCTCTCTTGTTTACATAATTTTAAAACTTTATTAAATTAATTTTGAGATAATCTAATTAGGTTTCAGGAAAATAAATGTTGAGAAATACAAACTTCTTAAAAGATCAGATTAAGGAAAGTCACAGACTTGAAAAAGGTGTCATTTCAAGAGATATGTAGGCTATGGATTCCACAAGACATGGTGCCTCATTTAACAAATCAGGAAACTAAGTTACTAGAAGGTCCCATAAGCTACTTATTAAGAAAGTATTACTATTTCAGTTCTGTTACTTTTTTATTGCAAACTTTTGCAACATCTACTTAACCTTCTGAACTTGTTTCTCATCTCTAGAATAAGCGATCTAAGATGTCTTCCAAATAACATCATAGGACCTATGTGACGAAATGGCTTTTGTGCCTTTGTCTAGCACTCTTCCCAAACCTACAGGTTCATGCTTACATCTAACTCCTTACTATCATTAATACAGATCTTTAAAAAAAAATCATCAATTTCCTAGTAACTTTTGTAACAACTGCTTTATTTGGGTTTAGCTAGAAAAAGAAATAAGCAATCATCATACATGTCTATTTCTGTTCCCTAAGGATTATTTGCTTTTTAAATTTTTTTCCGATAAGCTGAATAAATTTTTCTTTTTATGTCTTTCTTGGTTTTATATATGTCACGGACTGGTACCGGCTGGTAGCCTGTTAGGAACTGAGTGGCACAGAGGAGGTGAGCGGCAGGCAAATGAGCATTACCGTTCAAACTCTGCCTCCTGTCAGATCAGCAGCGGCATTAGATTCTGTATTAGGGTTCTCTAGAGGGACAGAACTAATAGGATACATGTATATATACACACACACACAAACACACACATATATACACACACACATATATACACACACACACACATATATATACATATTTCTGAAACATGGATACATAGTTCATATATACATATATACACATATTTATGTGTGTGTGTATATATATATACATATATGTATATATACACATATATATGTGTATATATGTGTATATATACATATATGTGTATATATGTGTATATATGTATATATATACATATATGTGTATATATGTATATATATACATATATGTGTGTATATATGTGTGTGTGTGTATATATATATATATATAGACAGAGAGAGAGAGGGTTTATTAAGTAGTATTAACTCACACAATCACGATCACAAGATCCCACAATAGGCCGTCTGCAAGCTGAGGAGCAAGGAAGCCAGTCTGAGTCCCAAAGCTGAAGAACTTGGAGTCCAATGTTTGAGGGCAGGAAGTATCCAGCACTGGAGAAAGATGTAAGCTGGGAGGCTAAGCCAGTCTAGACTTTTCACGATTTTCTGCCTGCTTTATAGTCTAGCCATGTTGGCAGCTGATAAAATGGTGTCCACCCAGATTAAGGGTGGGTCTGTCTTTCCCAGCCCACTGACTCAAATGTTAATCTCCTTCGGCAACACCCTCACAGACTCACTCAGGATCAATACCTTACATCCTTCGATCCAACCAAGTTGACACTCAGTATTAGCCATCACAGATGGATGCATAAACTCTACTGTGAACTGCGCATGCAAGAGATCTAGGTTGTGCACCCTCTATGAGATGGGACAGTTTGGGCAGTTTCATCCCCAAAACATCCCCCTGCCTCCCCATCCCAAAACCCCGTCCATGGAAAAACTGTCTTCCGCAAAACTGGGCCATGGTGTCGAAAAGGCTGGAGATTTCTGGTCTACATGAAAGCTGCCAGTAAACAAATAAAGTGGATAAAATATTTCTAGTCTGTACTCACTTGAGAAGGAGCACATCAGAGCATTATGTCAAGACCAGGATGGTATTAAGCCATGTGTTGTGAGAATGAGAAGTGAGGAAGGCACCAAATGATTCCTAGCTATTTTTAAGATTTTTGTTTTAAGAAATGCCTCTAGTCAGGGTCTAAGGAAATGCAAGACTCCAACACAGCACCCACAAAGTCACTGCAGATGGCCTGCCATACATTTGTACTTTCTGTAAAGTGGTCGTGGCATCATAAAAAATGTGTCTGCATAATTGATTTGAAATATAAGACTGATAAAAATTAGATCACCCTAATGTTCTCCACTTGTCATTAGATTGATCTATATTAAAAAGACAATCAAATTTTCCCATTAAAGAGAAGATATTCAATCATGAAATTGAGTTTTCCATTCCTATCTGCAATCAACATTTTAATATATACAGCCTGTCAATAAGTACAGCGGAAAATAGAGTTATATAACTATTAAGGTGCTTAATGAGTAGAACAGAGATATTCCTGGAAGAAAAAGATGTCTATTCCTGGAAAACAATGAGGAAAACCATTAAAATATGATGTCTTCCTAACAGCATGAATTAAACTACATATGTGTGTATAAAATGCAGTGATTTCAATTAACATGATAAATTCTTTTCTTAATTACCATCCCCAAATACTCTATTCCACAGCAGTATTTAGAAACAAGAGACTAATAAAGCCAAACTTTAAACTTGTAAAAACCTTAAAATGCTTTCCCAATACAAAGACTGTATAAATCAAAGATTATTATAATTAAAATAATCCAGAATACAGTCATAATTTGACCTAGGAAGAATAAGAAAATAAGTACAATAAGGTGTTTGATATGTATTATAATATTTAAAGATATCCTTTATCATTGTATTCATAGCTAATAGCATTAAGTAACTTATTATGCTTCTAAATTATATTAGTTTGTGAAATTAAATTTAATGATACTAAAAGGGATCTGATTGGCAACACTCCAAATTAGCATTTCTTAGCAAGCCAAGAAGGTAGAAACCATCTCAAGACTAGATGCTATTTCTTCTTCAAATTCCATTAGTTGCCAACATATTTCAAAGCTACAGGGAACTTAACACAAAAGGTTTAGTCTAGAAATTCATTCAGACCTGAATGCCTCAGATAAAGCTGCTAATGAAAATGTTATTCCATAATAATATAAATTGGTTGCTAACCTTGATACCTTTATTCAAAATATCTACCAAATAATTATGTACATACTATATTGTTATCAATAGAACATTTTTTAAAAGTTCACTTCTGTGTCATACCTTGACAAACATTAAGAGTTTTCAGGGCTGACTGTATTAAGACGACTTAAAAATTAAAATACAAGCTGGGTGCGGTGGCTCACTCCTGTAATCCCAACACTTTGGGAGGCCAAGGCCAGCGGATCACGAGGTCAGGAGATTGAGACCATCCTGGCCAACATGGTGAAACCCCATCGCTACTAAAAATACACAAATTAGTTGGGTGTGGTGGCTGGTGCCTGTAATCCCAACTACTCAGCAGGAGAATCACTTGAACCAGGGAGTGGGAGGTTGCAGTGAGCTGAGGAAGTGCCACTGCACTCCAGCCTGGTGACAGAGTGAAACTATATCTCAAATAAAATAAAATATATAACTTACTTTAAAGTTTGTAACATAAACTCATGAAAGTACCAAAATAATTTATCATAGAAAAAACATTTGCTCATTTCCTAAGTTTCAGATGGCCTTCGGGTTGAGATCCTTTTCATCTAAATTATTACCTCCAATTCATTTCACTCACTATTTCCTCCATGGATACTTATCAGGGAAAGCTAGAATTGATAACTTAGTCTTCCATCCTCCACAGAATGAAGTGCTCCATCAGGTCTTGTTCAGGGAATGAAGTATGAAGTCCTCTTTATTGTTGGATTAAGTATATAATTGTAAAATGAAAGCAAATTAATTGTATTGTGAAATCACTGCTTTGAAGAAAGAATCCTAGTGAAAGGAATGCCTCCCCGGAATGAAAATTCATGAAATGTTAATATTTGGTGTCACGGGGTTTCCATTACTCGAGTTGCCAGCCTTCTTTTGATGGTGAGCATCAAAAGATGCTGATGGTGAATTGAAATTCAATTTCCCAACCAGATTTCCTATGAATAAATAAACTCACGCTTGAGTTTACAGATAACTGGGTTAATATTTGCTATTGGTGAATAGTGCATCTCCGTTCAGAGCTTAATAGAGAAATTGTGTAGCTCTTGTATATGTGGTGAATCCGTGGGCTAGCTGGGAACCTTGCCTGTGACTTTCAGCTCCACTACTTACCAGCTATGAGATAGTGAGCAAGTTATTCCATCCAGCTGCTTCACTGAAAGAATGCAGATAGTGATACCTACATTACAGAGTTGTGGTACTGGTTTATATAAGTGGTTCTGAATAACATCTAGCTTTACCATATAGCAAGATAGTTCCTGAAAACAGAATGCCTGAACCCGTGTATAAATCTTACTACATTTTCACAACCACAATGTTATCATCTTTAGGGATTTCACTTGAGGAGAAAATAGACTAAGTGACACAAGGATTTTCTCTTGTTTCATTAGTAATTTGGTTTTACAATTCAATGCTATACGGAATATCATCTTCAAGCATGGCTACTTCCCAGGGAGTTTTCCAGAATGACAGATTTATATAATGTCTTATATATTCAATAGAAAATATCAACTTGCTCTTCTTCTCTCTATCTTAATATTGATGTGAAACTGAAAACAAAGTGAGGTGTGTATTCAGGGGCCAGTTGAATCACAGGAAAGAGAGGCAGTGAAGACCCTAACCCTTTCCTGTCTCACATTGTTTAAACACATTTGCTTTGTCCTTCCAAGTGGACCACAAGGGTTATCCTCCTGTTTCATAAATATAGTGTTATGCTTAAGATATGACAGCAGAAATATGTAGGGGAAAACAAAATGCATCATATTTTTCCTTGATAATCATCAATCAGGAATCATATATATTATGAGCAAAGAAATACACTTTCCAAAGATCTAAGCATGTACTAGATTTGCATGCAGTGACCATATGATTATTAAATTTTTTAAACAAGATGAATGTGTACTACAGAATGATAGCCAAGAAGGATGACACTTAAGCCCCAAACCTAACATTCAGTGGAATCAAGGCATGTACACAAATTGCAACCTGAAATAAACTCATAGCCTGTGACATAACTGCAAAGTTTGTGCACTGCCAAAAAGCACCTGGAGAAAGAGGTAATTCGAGGCTGTAGTTGGACTCTCATAGGATTGTCTAAGCTATGCACCTTGGTCTAAGGCTGTGTCTTCCAGGAGGAAGAAACATCCCAAGTCAGCAGACTTATATCAACCCAGAGGGGAAACCAAACCTTAGAAGTCCAGAATGAAATAAATACATTAAGAATGAAACACAGATAAATGAAAGAATTATTTTCCCTTGAAAGATTATTGCACTCTTCAGAGAAGCTTTAAAGAGTTTTCATAGATGGGATTGTTTCAATAGTCACATTACAAAATGTAAAACAAAGTTTTCACAGATCAAGTTGAAGGAATATGTTTGGATAAAAGTAAAAGTGTGCTGTAATGCGATCATAAAATGGAACTAAGTCTGCCTGATCATTGGAATTGTTCTCTTTATGCCACTGAGTCTTAGAGTTGGAGCTTGTGCTTGGCCTGTTTCTGTAACGTATGAGGGAAGGAAACCATTTGAGATTTTTAACTACTCTTTTGTAATGTAAAGTGAATGAATTCTTCTATACTTCAAATTGAGAGAATCTGATTTCTTATTTTTTCTTTTTTTAAAATTATACTTTAAGTTCTGGGGCACATGTGCAGAATGTACAGGTTTGTTAAATAGGTATACATGTGCCATGGTGGTTTACTGCACCATCAACTCATCATCTACATTAGATATTTCTCATAATGCTATACTTCCCCCAGCCCCCACCCCCTGACAGGCCCCAGTGTGTGATGTTCCCCTCCCTGTGTCCATGTGTTCTCATTGTTCAATGCCCACTTAGGAGTGAGAACATGCAGTGTTTGGTTTTCTGTTCTTGTGTTAGTTTACTGAGAATGATGGTTTCCAGCTTCATCCATATCCCTAAAAAGGACATGAAATCATCCTTTTTATGGCTCCATAATATTCCATGGTGTCTATGTGCCACATTTTCTTTGTCCAGTCTATCACTGATGGGCATTTGAGTCAGTTCCAAGTCATTGCTATTGTGAACAGTGCCGCAATAAACATACGTGTGTGTGTGTCTTTATAGTAGAATGATTTATAATCCTTTGGGTATATACCCACTAATGGGACTGCTGGGTCAAATGTTATTTCTAGTCCTAGATCCTTGAGGAATTGCCACACTGTCTTCCCCAATGGTTGAACTAATTTACACTCCCAACAACAGTGTAAAAGTGTTCCTATTTCTCCACATCCTCTCCAGTATCTGTTGTTTCCTGACTTTTTAATGATAACCATTCTAACTGGCGTGAAATGGTATCTCATTGTGGTTTTGATTGCATTTCTCTAATGACCAGTGATGATGAGCATTTTTTCATATGTCTGTTGGCTGCATAAAAATCTTCTTTTGAAAAGTATCTGTTCATATCCTTGCCCACTTTTTGATGGGGTTGTTTCTTTACTTCTTGTAAACTTGTTTAAGTTCTTTGTAGATTCTGAATATTAGCCCTTTGTCAGATGGATGGATTGCAAAAATTTTCTCCCATTCTGTAGATTGTCTGTTCACTCTGTTGATAGTTTATTTTGCTGTGTGGAGGCTCTTTAGTTTAATTAGATCCCATTTTTCTATTTTGGCTTTTGTTGCCACTGCTTTTAGTGTTTTAGTCATGAAGTCTTTGACCATGCCTATGTCCAGAATGGTATTGCCTAGGTTTTATTCTAGGTTTTTATGGTTTTAGGTCTTACCTTTAAGGCTTTAATCCATCTTGACTTAATTTTTGTATAAGGTGTAAGGAAGGGATCCAGTTCCAGCTTTCTGCATATGGCTACCCAGTTTTCCCAACACCATTTATTAAATAGGGAATCCTTTCCCCATTGCTTGATTTTGTCAGGTTTGTCAAAGATCAGATGGTTGTAGATATGTGGTGTTATTTCTGAGGCCTCTGTTCTGTTCCATTGGTCTATATATCTGTTTTGGTACCAGTACCATGCTGTTTTGGTTACTGTAGCCTTGTAATATAGTTTGAAGTCAGGTAGCATGATGCCCTAGCTTTGTTCTTTTTGCTTAGGATTGTCTTGGCTATGTGGGCTCTTTTTTGGTTCCATATGAAATTTAAAGAAGTTTTTTCCAATTCTGTGAAGAAAGTCAATGGTAGCTTGATGGGGATAGCATTGAATCTATCAATTACTTTGGGCAGTATGCCCATTTTCACGATATTGATTCTTCCTATCCACGAGCATGGAATGTTTATCCATTTGTTTGTGTCCTCTCTTATTTCCTTGAGCAGTGGTTTGTAGTTCTCCTTGAAGAGGTCCTTCATATCCCTTGTAAGCTGAATTCCTAGGTATTTCATTCTCTTTGCAGCAATTGTGAATGGGAGTTCACTCATGATTTGGCTCTCTGTTTGTCTGTTAATGGTGTATAGGAATGCCTGTGATTTTTGCACATTGATTTTGTATCCTGAGACTTTGCTAAAGTTGCATATCAGCTTAAGGAGATTTGGGCTTGAGATGATGGGGTTTTCTAAATATACAATCATGTCATCTGCAAACGGGGACAATATGACTTCCTCATATCCTAACTGGATACCCTGTATTTATTTGTGTTGCCTGACTGCCCTGGCCAGAACTTCCAATACTATGTTGAACAGGAATGGTAAGAGATGACATCCTTGTCTTGTGCTGGTTTTCTAAGGGAATGCTTCCAGTTTTTGACCATTCAGTATGATAGTGGCTGTCGGATTACCATAAATAGCTCTTATTATTTTGAGATACGTTCCATCAATACCTAGTTTATTGAGAGTTTTAGTAGGAAGGGCTGTGGAATTGTGTCGAAAGCCCTTTCTGCATCTCTTGAGATAATCATGTGGTTTTTGTCATTAGTTCTGTTTACGTGATGGATTATGTTTATTGATTTACATATATTGAAGCAGCCTTGAATCCCAGGGATGAAGCCGACTTGATCGTGGTGGATAAGCTTTTTGATGTGCTGCTGGATTCAGTCTGCCAGTATTTTATTGAGGATTTTCGCAGTGATGTTCATCAGGGATATTGGCCTAAAATTTTCTTTTTTGGTGTGTCTCTGCCAGGTTTTGATATCAGGATGCTGCTGGCCTATAAAATGAGTTAGGGAGGATTCCCTCTTTTTCTATTGTTTGGAATAGTTTCAGAAGGAATGGTACCTTCCGCTCTTTGTACCTCTGGTAGAATTCAGCTGTGAATCCATCTGGTCCTGGACTTTTTGTGATTGGTAGGCTATTAATTGCTGCCTCAATTTCAGAACTTGTTATTGATCTGTTCAGAGATTCGTTTTCTTCCTGGTTTAGTCTTTGGAGGGTATATGGGTCCAGGAATTTATCCATTTCTTCTAGATTTTCTAGTTTATTTGCGTACAGGTGTTTATAATACTATTCTCTGATGGTAGTTTGTATTTCTGTGGGATCGGTGCTGATATCCCCTTTATCATTTTTTATTGTGTCTATTTGATTCTTCTCTCTTTTCTCATTAGTCCTATTTTGTTGATCTTTTTAAAAAACCAGCTGCTGGATTCATTGATTTTTTTTTGAAGGGTATTTTGTGTCTCTATCTCCTTCAGGTCTTCTCTGATTTTAGTTATTTCTTGTCTTCTGCTAGCTTGTGAATTTGTTTGCTCTGGTTTCTCTAGTTCTTGTAATTGTGATGTTAGGGAGTTGATTTTAGATCTTTCCTGCTTTCTCTTGTGGGCATTTAGTGCTTTAAGTTTTCCGCTACAAACTGCTTTAAATGTGTCCCAGAGATTCCAGTACATTATGTCTTTGTTCTCACTGGTTTCAAAGAACATCTTTATTTATGCCTTCATTTCATTAATTGCTCAGTAGTTAGTCAGGAGCAGGTTGTTCAGTTTCCATGTAGTTACGTGGTTTTGAGTGAGTTTCTTAATCCTGAGTTCTAATTTGATTGCACTGCGGTCTGAGTAACAGTTTGTTATGATTTCCATTCTTTTGCATTTGCTGAGGTGTGTTTTACTTCCAATTATGTGTCAATTTTAGAATAAGTGTGATGTGGTGCTGAGAACAATGTATATACTGTTGATTTGGGGTGGAGAGCTCTGTAGATGTTTATTAGGTCTACTTGGTGCAGAGCTGAGTTCAAGTCCTGAATATCCTTGTAAATTTTCTGTCTCATTGATCTGTCCAATACTGACAGTCGGCTGTTAAAGTCTTCCATTATTATTGTGTGGGAGTCTAAGTCTCTTTTTAGGTCTCTAAGGACTTGCTTTATTAATCTGGGTGCTCCTGCATTGGGTGCATATATATTTAGGATAGTTAGCTCTTCTTGTTGCATTGATCCCTTTATCATTATATAATGTCCTCCTTTGTCTCTTTTGATCTTTGTGGTTTAAAGTCTATTTTATCAGAGACAAGACTAGGATTGCAAGCTCTGCTTTCTTTTGCTTTCCATTTGTTTAGTAAATCTTCCTCCATCCCTTTATTTTGAACCTTCCATCCCTTTATTTTGAACCTATGTGTGTCTTTCCATATGAGATGGTCTCCTGAATACAGCACACAGATGGGTCTTGACTCTTTATCCAATTTGCCAGTCTGTGTCTTTAAATTGGGGGCATTTATCTCGTTTATATTTAATGTTAATATTGTTATGTATGAATTTGATCCTGTCATTATGATATTAGCTGGTTATTTTGCCCCTTAGTTGATGAAGTTTCTTCATAGTGTCAATGGTCTTTACAATTTGGTATGTTTTTGTAGTGGTTGGTACTGGTTATTCTTTTCCATGTTTAGTGCTTCCTTCAGGAGCTCCTGTAAGGCAGGTCTGGTGGTGACAAAATCTCTCAGCATTTGCTTGTCTGTAAAGGATTTTATTTCTCCTTCGTTTATGAAACTTAGTTTGGCTGCATATGAAATTCTGGTTTGAAAATTCTTTTCTGTAAGAATGTTGAATACTGGCCCCCCATCTCTTCTGGCTTGTAGAGTTTCTGCTGAGAGATCCGCTGTTAGTCTGATGGGCATTCCTTTGTGGGTAACCTGACCTTTCTCTCTGGCTGCCCTTAACATTTTTTCCTTCATTTCAACCTTGGTGAATCTGACGATTATGTGTCATGGGGTTGCTCTTCTTGAGGAACATCTTTGTGGTGTTCTCTGTATTTCCTGAATTTGAATGTTGGCCTGCCTTGCTAGGTTGGGTAAGTTCTCCTGGAAAATATCCAGAACAGTGTTTTCTGACTTGGTTCCATTATCCCTGTCACTTTCAGGTACACCAATCAAATGTAGATTTGGTCTTTTCACATAGTCTCCTATTTCTTGGAGGCTTTGTTCATTTCCTTTCACTCTTTTTTCTCTAATCTTGTCTTCTCACTTTATTTCATTGAAATGATCTTCAATCTCTGATATCCTTTCTTCTGCTTGATTGATTTGGCTACTGATATTTGTATATGCTTCATGAAGTTCTCATGCTGTTTTCTTCAGCTCCATCAAGTCATTTATGTTCTTCTCTAAACTGGATATTCTAGTTAGCAATTCGTCTAACCTTTTTTCAAGGTTCTTAGCTTCCTTGCATTGGGTTAGAACATGCTCCTTTAGCTTGGAGGAGTTTGTTATTACCCACCTTCTGAAGCCTACTTCTGTCAGTTCATCAAACTCATTCTCCATCCAGTTTTGTTCCCTTGCTGGCGAGGAGCTGTGATCCTTTGGAGGAAAAGAGGTGTTCTGGTTTTTGGAATTTTCAGCATTTTTGCAATGGTTTCTCCCCATGTTCGTGGATTTATCTACCTTTGGTCTCTGAAGTCAGTGACCTATGGAGGGGGTCTCTGAGTAGATGTCCTTTTAGTTGATGTTGGTACTATTCCTTTCTCTTTGTTAGTTTTCCTTCTAACAGTGAAGCCGCTCTGAGGCAGGTCTGCTGGAATTTGCTGGAGGTCCACTCCAGACCCTGTTTGCCTGGGTATCACCGGCAGAGGCTGCAGATCAGCAAAGATTCCTGCCTGTTCCTCCCTCTGGAAGCTTCGTCCCAGAGGGACACCTGCCAGATGCCAGCCAGAGCTCTCCTGTATGAGGTATCTGTTGGCCCCTACTGGGAGGTGTCTCCCAGTCAGGATACACAAGGGTCAGGGACCCACTTGAGGAGGCAGTCTGTCCCTTATCAGAGCTCAAATGCTGTGCTGGGAGAACTGCTGCTCTCTTCAGAGCTGTCAGGCAGGGACATTTAAGTCTGCTAAAGCTGTGCCTGTAGCCACCCCTTCCCCCAGGTGATCCGTCCCAGGGAGATGGGGGTTTTATCTATAAGTCCCTGACTGGGGCTGCTCACTTTTTTTCAGAGATGCCTTGCCCAGCAAGGAGAAATCTAGACATGTGGTTCACCTTGCTGAGCTATGGAGGGCTCCACCTGGTTCAAACTTCCTGGCAGGCTTGTTTACACTGTGAGGGTAAAAATCACCCATTCAAGCCTCAGCAATGGCGGACGCCCCTCCCCCAACCAAGCTTGAGCATCCCAGGTAGAGCTCAGACTGCTATGCTAGCAGTGAGAATTTCAAGCCAGTGGATCTTAGCTTGCTGGGCTCCATAGGGGTGGGACCCACCGAGCCAGGTACTGGAGGGAGTCTCCTGGTCTGCAGGTTGTGAAGACCTTGGGAAAAGGGCAGTATCTGGGCCAGAGTGTTCCGTTCCTCCCAGTACAGTCTCTCACAGCTTCCCTTGGCTAGAGAAGGGAAATCCCCTGACCCCTTGCACTTCCTGGGTGAAGCAACACCCCACCCTGCTTCGGCTCACCCTCCGTGAGCTGCACCCTGTCCAACCAGTCACAATGAGATGAACCAGGTACCTCAGTTGGAAATGCAGAAATCACCCACCTTTTGCATCGATCTTGCTGGGAGCTGCAGACCGGAGCTGATCTATGAAACTAATATAAAGTCCACAAACTTGTACACGTAAGGCCAAATTTCTTCTCATTTTCCAGTTTATCACTTTAATACTCATGGGTTTTACAATCAGAAAATGCAGGGCCTCTATTCTGAGAACACATCACTCTCAAATCTTTCAGAAATTCTGGAACTTACACAGTCTTTTTATATGAGATAAATCACATTTTCCCACCCAAGCAGGGAGTAGTAGAGAAGACAGAAAGCAATTGCTGTAGATTTTCACTTCCTATAGTTCTTTCTCTAAATAGTTCTCTCTCAATTAATTTATAGATATAGCTATTATTACGCAGATGAATATCCAGATTTAAATCCCAATATGTTATAAATGCATTTTTGTGGGTTTTGTGGTCTTTTTATTTTTATTTGTTTAGAAAATCTGCTTTAATGGTTAAGCAAAGACTTATCTGAAATTGCAGTAAATGATTATGCATAAGTTTTGGGTTTTATGAGTTAAAATTAATTTGTGACATGGTTGCTTTACATATGGAAATTCAGTCTAATCTTTTTCTCATACTTTAAAATCTTATTCTGAAGGCTGGGTTTTATTGTTTTGTAAGTTTTGTAATGGCCTCAAGCCCAAAGCACCATAAATTTGAATTGGCATTACCATGCTGATTTATTCAATATTAGAAAGGTAGCTAATTTTTACATGAAAAGTGAAAAGGGAATTTATGCAAGACATTTATAACTTCAGATAAAAAAGAAAAATAAATATAAAACTGATAAATAGCGTTATCTAAATGTTTGTTTGAGGCTCTATGATTTATCAGCATATGAGTCTTAAATCAGAGCCACAGAGAGAGTGAAGTGTCCAAGTGTTGGCTTAGGGGTGAGGGTTTTGATTTGTGCATGTCCTCTATATCATAATTATGACTAGATTGACAAGTCCTGGGTATATTCAACCTCAGTTTTAAATATGAAGCCGAATTTATTCACAGAGGTTTGGGAAACAGATTAAGTTAATACCAGAAAAAGTCCTTCTTAAATTACAATAAGTAAATGTAGTGAGTTTTTTATTCCCAAGCAAGTCTACAGTGTGGTTACTCTAAGTGTTGATTCTTTGAATATCTTTTGAATTCCAAATACAAGATACACCAGTAGACTTTAAAGTGAAACCATATCTACAGCTTTTCCTCCTAAGAAAATAATCCATTGGCTTTCAAAATTATAGCAAGGTTAAAAGACAGTATATGAGATAAAAATATATGCCACGTTCCATTATGGACTTTCTAAGCTATTTAATGAAAACAGATTTTTTTCACATATGCATATATTTTATCACTTAACTTATTAATTTTAGCGTAGTTTTAGGTTCACAGCAAAGCTAAAAGGAAGGTACCATGATTTCCCCTATACTTCCTACCCCCACACATGTATAGCCTCCCTCATTATCAACATCCCCCACCAAAGAGGTACAATTGTTATAACTGATGAATCTACAGTGACACAACATAATCACCAAAGTTCATAGTTTACCTTAGGGTTCAGTCTTGGTATTGTGCATTCTATGGGTTTGAAGAAACGTATAACAACATGCATAGATAAACTCATGTACATGAATTTCTGTAGCGTTAGAGTTGTTTCATTAGAAGTGGGATTGCGGAGTCAAAAGGTAAATGCATATGCAGTTTTTTTGTTTGTTTGTTTGGTTGGTTGGTTGGTTGGTTGGTTTTGAGACAGAGTCTTCCTCTGTCGCCAGGCTGGAGCGCAGTGGTGCAATCTCAGCTCACTGCAACCTCTGTCCCCTGGGTTCAAGCAATTCTCCTGCCTCAGCCTCCCGAGTAGCTGGGATTACAGGCACATGCCACCATGCCTGGCTAATTTTTGCATTTTTTAAGTAGAGACAGGGTTTCACCATGCTGGCCGGGCTGGTCTCAAATTCCTGACCATGTGATCCTCCTGCCTCAGGCATATGTAGTTTTATCAGATATTGCTATATTCTTTCCAATGGGGTTATTGCAGGTTGCATTCCCCCAGCAGACTCTAAAGGAAGGCAGAATTTTTGAGGTGCCTAAAATATTTATTCAAACTAAGATTGTCAATGAAAGTATTCTGAAACGGACGGAACTGAAGAAAATTTAAACATTTACTCAAAAAAGTAGAAAAAAAGGCATTTGATATGCAATATTCATACTTTAAATGGGAAATAAGCCAATCAGGTAAACTAATGTATAGCAGAACAGAAACTCACTTTCCATAGCACCAGCCCAATCCCTGTTTTAACCGTGATACCCAATTTTCAAACAGCCACTGGCACTGCCCATGGAGACTGATCTCCATGGAACCTGTGTTTGCCTGGCAAGTGCAGACATTCTGAATCCAAGTAGGGATGAATGCCATTTGTTAGCAAGTGCAGTGGGAGGGAGGAAAGGCAACCAGCGCCCTCAGAGAAACCAGAGTGGGGCAGTTCTTGTTCCTCACAGAACCCCATCTTCTCTCACCACCTCTGTGTAACCTGACCCCCCTCCAATTTTTAACTCTTTTTAAATTTTTGCCTTTTGCCTCTGAATTTTGCGTTCACCAGTCCTTAAAAATCACAGAGGACCCAGAAGAGATTTTAATGTAGCAACATTTTTTTGGAATGAAACACTTATAAATTTACTAAATATAAATGTTAAAAAAACTGTTACAGCATATATATATAAACTATTACATCACATATATGTGTGTGTATATATATGTGTGTGTATATATGTGTATGTGTGTGTGGAGGCTTTGTTCATTTCCTTTCACTCTTTTTTCTCTAATCTTGTCTTCTCACTTTATTTCATTGAAATGATCTTCAATCTCTGATATCCTTTCTTCTGCTTGATTGATTTGGCTACTGATATTTGTATATGCTTCATGAAGTTCTCATGCTGTTTTCTTCAGCTCCATCAAGTCATTTATGTTCTTCTCTAAACTGCATTTGAGCTCTGATAAGGGACAGACTGCCTCCTCAAGTGGGTCCCTGACCCTTGTGTATCCTGACTGGGAGACACCTCCCAGTAGGGGCCAACAGATACCTCATACAGGAGAGCTCTGGCTGGCATCTGGCAGGTGTCCCTACACACACACACATATATAACATTTTCAATTGCTTAGATACTGTTTTCCTAACTTTACTACCTTTTAGGTATAAAAACAGCTTTACAGAACAGCCTTCCTTCTGAAGAGACAACCATTATTAGGTTAGGTACTTAAGTCCATATTACAGCTTCATATTGTCTCCCTTTCTATGTCACACTCAACTCTGTCCCAAATACTAAAAAAAGAGGTGAGAAATTCTTAGCATCCTGGTAGTGATTTACACGTATCATATATCTTTAGTATTGTCAATCTAGGGTTTTTAGCACCCAATTTATGGGGGCAGGGGTTAAGGAGGAGGCCAGTGGGGTGAAAGTCCGTGAGTTAATATAATGAGGAAGAGCTCGCAAAAGAGATGAGCATTTATGAGTGACATAAATCTCTGAAGTTTAAGAACAGCACTTAGCATACTAAACTGTCCAAATAGTCCTTGAATGCTGACAAACGGTTCGTAAAAAGTTAAAAAAAAAAAAAAAGACATACATTCTTCAGAGCTATTTTTTCAATACCTGAAAAAAATCCTGTAATCCCATATTGGTTTGTGATACATGTTATCATTCCTTTATGGAGTTTTCAACTCAAGGTCAGAAGGTTCTTGAGTCATTCCTCTTTGGTGCAGATAAGTTGTATTTTACGTTCTACTGCAGTTCTCTGCCATTCTTCTTGACTTCCAAATCTCAAGCTTAGAACATTTCTTATGAAATCTATGACTTCCATTAATATCAAACCTGTTTCCCTTTTGTGTAAATTAATATATTACCATTCAATTATATTTAAGTTTACCAAACATTTCTCAAAATTATCTCATTCTCTTTAAAAGATAATCCAAAACTTGGTCCTCAATTAGTTTCTTCCATTGTAAACCAATCTTTCCTTTCTGAACTGGCTTGCTTAACTGATTGTATGCTTACTTTTTGATTCTGTTAAATGAACTTAAATTTGGCCTAATTCTGCTGCTGTATGTAGTTAACTGCAACCTAACCTAGCGTGTCAACCAAGAGCAAACCAACTTAAGAGTCTATTCTTGCAATAAATAGCTGTGTCTCAGCCAATCACAGTAGCCAAGCTTCAACCAATCACAAGTTGCCAACTGATAAGATCATGTTCATATAAGGCAAATGCCTCATCATATCTTGCCCAAATAGGGCAAACACTGAGCTGTAACCAATCAGGCTGTTTCTACACCTCCTGTGCTTTTCTGGTCTAGAAATACTATCTGCCCCTGAGTAGAGCTCCTGGAACCTCTCCTGGTTCTGAGAGCTGCCCAATTTATAAACTACTTTTGCTCAGATAAACTATGCTAAATTTGATTTGTCTGAAGTTTTCTTTCAACAGATCTGACTGGTTTTCCAGTAAGGTGATACCAGATAGACTACTATAGCGATTATGATTCCTTAGAAATGAATTAATATAAAGACTAATGTGAAGTAGAGGAACCGGCTTTAAGCAAAAATACTTAAAACACTGATAGATAATAATGTGTTTATGAAATGTGAACAACACACGGTTATGAAACCCTTGAGTTAAAAAGGGTACACAATGAAAGCCCATGTATTCGAGTTTTGCTTTAAGTCATTCAAAAACCGTGAAAGGGAACACTACAAGTAAGTTCTATTTTGATCACAGTTGTGTGTGGTTTCCACATAAAACACCTAGATTTCATCAGTGCTTGTCCAATATCATTACCAATGCTTCTAACAAGTGGTCCAGAATTTGTGGCAAAGGTGATGTGAATCTGATTCAGGAAGTATCAAGCAGAACACTGCAGGAGTTCCACTCATATTGGAAATGTATTTTTGGCCTTATTTTCTACTGGGCCAAAAATATCATTCTGGTTAACATCCCATAAACAGGTAGTGAACCAAAAAGAGGGTGAGAGACTTCCTTCCTGATAGTAGGAAAAATATTCACTCTACCACAGACCGTGGATGGGTACAGGTGTCAGACAGAACTCTGACAATAAGCAGTTAAACATTACTTGGCATTGACAATACAAGAAAAAAAAGTCAGAATTCCCTTCACTATCAGGAAAATAATCTAGATAGGTATTTTAGAAAACTAATGTATCAGATCAATCCACTTCCTGCCAACTGAAGTTACCTCCTACTCTGATAGAAATGTGTACTTATTTATTATTCAAATGGTTGCAGCTTAACAAATCCGATATCTATCAGGAGGAGACTAGGTTTTCTGAAGCAGTGACTTCAGAACCCCTGACTGGTATTTTACATTAATAAAATTGGCTAGAGCTCTAGACCTGCTGAGTCAAGAGTTAAAATAAAACTCCCCAACCAGCAATCCATCACCTAGATAGTGCAAGCGGCCACAATGCTGACGATGGAGTCTTTGATAGGTGTCCATTGAAATAAGGAGGACTAATTAATGCTCTGACAATCATCAGCCTTCAATAGGAAATTAAATGTTATTAAGACGAAGCCCTCTAGCACTATTGATCATTGATATGAGCAGGGAACTGAGCTTAACATGAGGTGCTATGTCCATCTCACACAAATTAATCTAGCTAAAATACTGCAAATCATGCAGATCACGAACAAAATTAAGGTTAATCTTCCTTTAGTAAAGAGTAACAAACCTTATTTTAAAGTACTATATTAAGAGTATGGCAAGTTACAGATAAGTTTAAGGAAAAAAGTAAAATGTTCCGGCCTATATACGTGAAAAATCCAGAGTACTGGAGTTTTTGGCTCATTGGCTCCAGGAACAAAGGACAGGTGTGTGTATGATCTTTTGCCACCCACTCCACATCTCTTACTTCCATTTCTTTACTTGCCTCTGCTTGGTCATATTGATAGATATACTTATTCTACATGGTGCTGGGATGGACACCGATGGTTCTGGAATTACATTACTCTCAAACATTGCAATCTCAGAGGAGGGAAAAGACTTTTGTTTTTCAGCATCCCTTTCGTTCTCATGGGGGACTCTGACTGGCCCTTCCTGAAACGATGCCTATCCAGGAACCAATCAGTGTGATCAGGGAGATAAGATCCTAGATGGGCCAGTCATGAGGCACACCCCTATCCTGGAGAACTGAAATGAACCATTCCAATAGAATCACACAGAATGACTAGTTACCTAAAGGAAAGGGACTGCCAAAACCTATAACTCTACTACACACACATTATGTACTCAATCCATTCAGGTGGTATTTACTGAGTACCTATATGGGCCAGGCCTTGTGCTAAACCCTACAATGCCAGAAATATGGAGATTAAAACTGATGCTTGTATCTCTATCAGAATTAAAATGCTGTAATTCATTGAAGTCTCAGTTTTATACCATCTTTAGGCCCGTTATGCTGGACCATCTTATTAGCAGGTTTCTCTGAAACAAAGTATGTAATATAGTCTAGGAATTGTCAGCCAGGCTGCTTCTCACTCCCTCAGGTGTTAATAACTTTCACCACAACTCAAAGCTTTAGAGTTAGTCTTTGGATTACTGCTTCATTGGCTGCAATCAAGTGGGCTCATTTGGTGGTCCCTGTCTTTCCCGACACTCATGTGTCTCTTTACTTTCTGCACCCAAATATGTTAAAGTCTCTACCTAATTAAACATGCCAACCAACAGCATAATGGTTTGTTGAATTCAACCAAAGAGTACAATCTCACCAGTGGCTGCTAATGATATTAGTAACGTATCCTGTTGTAGGCACTCATAAAACTGAGGAATGACAACAACCAGCTCCCTGACCTCATGGAGGCGGCATCCCAGTGAGGGAGACACAAACCAAACAGCTAGTAACACATTCCTTCGTTATTGTGGTGATTGTGATGAATGTTCTAAAGCACAATCACAGGAATTACAGAAGAATAGAATCCAAGCACATAACTTATCCTGGGAGACTAGAGATTATGTTTCTCGAGAAAGGGACTTTGGAAGTGTAACATGAAGGAAAGTCAAGAATTAACTAGGGGACGTGGGTGGCAGGAGTGAGGGAGAACGTTCCAGACAAATGGGGCATTTTAAGGAAAAACTGTGAGGTGTAAAGACCACAGGATGCTGAGAAACAGGGAGAAGGCCAGAGCAGGGAAAAGTGAGAACAGCAGGTGGATATCACCAACCCCTAAGGCAGCTCTTAGATAACGCAGGAACACAGACTTACAATAATGCTAAGGAATTGGCTCTTTATCCCTAGAGCAGTGGTTTCCACACTCAACAATTTTGCCCCCCACCCACACCCCCACATTTGGCATTGAATGGAGACATTTTGGTTGTCATATTGCCACAACTGTGGTGGTAGGAGTGGGGAGGGAGTGTTACTGACACATTTAGTGGAAAGAGACCAGGGCAGCTGCTAAACACCCCACCACGCACAGGACATCCCCCTACAACAAATGGAATCATGCTGGCCTGAATGGGAAGAATGCTGAGGTTAAAACCCTGTCTTAAAACAGCACAAGGACCTAGAAAGGTTTTCAGCGAGAAATTATCATACTAAAATGTGCATTACGTGCACTTAAAACAACCAAAATATCGTTCCTATCAGGAAATGAATAGGAGGAGGAGAGTGAGTAGATGCGTGTGGGCTGAAAAAAGAAAGAACCCAGGAAGTCAGGGCAGAAATAACAGCACAGAGCAGCAGGTGGACTGCAGAGGAGGTCAGGATGAACAGAGGCAAGACATGTCATGGACAACAAACCAACAGGCTTGTTCATCACCAGCCATGGGAGCAAGGAAAGGGAAAGGCTCCAAGAACCACTCTTGTCATTGTGGCCATTAGGTAAATAGAGCTCCACCACTCACTCACAACAGGAATGCTAGTGGAGAGAAAGCCACACACTCAGTTCTGGACATGTCGAGCTTTAGCTGTCTGGGATACAGGAGGGTGGAGATCTAGAGGATGAGATGGAGGGCTGGGCTGCTGATGCCAATTTAGAGATGTCTGCCATGGCCATGAGTGGTCTCAATCAGGAAGGACAGAATGAGATGCGAAGAAGATCTCCAGCTGAGCCTGGAGGAATTCTACCCCCAGTTGTGTAAGGAAGAATAAACTGGCTAAGAAAACAGAAGAACAGTCAGAATGGTAAGAGGAAAACCAAAGGAGAATAACATTTTGTACCCAAGAAAAATGTATTTCAAGAAGGATGGAGTGTTCAACAGTTTAGAAGAGAGCCCAGAGATAAATGAGAACTGAACCGTGTCCACAGCTGACACTCCAGAAGTACTCGGATGAATCTAAAGGATGCAGATTAAAGTCTCCTGAACATAATAAAAGCATTCAAAAGAACATGAAGTCAAAAGCTTGTGTCTGCACTGACATGTGCCCTGACTTTTCAGGTTCCCTTTCTCTTTCTTGGTTTGTCTTCTTCAGCAGCCCTGATCTTGCTATTTATTCCACATGGCTTCTATTGTGCATGTGCTGAAGTCTCTAAGAAATCCTGCTCTTGAGGAAAAAAAAAATTCTTTTTCCAGTCCCAACAGGGAAGTTAATGAAGGGATAATGAATGCAATAGAAAGCATAAAGATCCATTTATTTGTATATGCCAACAATTTTTATAATGGCACAATAATCTTAATTACAGTTATTTATCACAACGTAATTCCTACTGACCATGCCACATTGACACAATTAATAATTTGATGTGTACTTCCTAAAACAAATTGGTTTACACCTATCAGAAAGGCTGTGCTTGCCAGCTACCTGCAAGTTTACTAATTACCTGCTTTGAAAATCTACTGACCTATCAGGAAAGGGTTAATTTTTCTCAGTAGCATTCCTGTGGTCACCATTTGAAGTAATTATCACAACATAGTAAGAAACAGACAAGAAACAGACAAGCTGTCTACACATGAGATGACTGGCCTTCTGACACATGACACATGACACATGACACATGACACACAGCATGCTGGCCTTCTGTGCAGGTAAGTGCCTGCTTGTTTTTCCCCAGGTAACTGACTGGGAGCAGCAACTGGCCTATCTGTAACGTCCTGCCATTGAGACACAGTGCAGAGTCATAGAGCATTTGAATTATCTCTGGTTTCTACAAAGAAGACATGCATCGGCGGCACACTGGTTTAACGTATCACAGTTTCATATGCTCTTCCTAGACTCTCAGATCTTTATATGAAAGTTATTCTCTGTGCCTGAAGCCTTGGGCATTTCTACTGGGCTGGGGACAATATTTTTTAGAAACCAACAGATGGAAGCAAGATGACAGAGAAAGCCGAGGTGTTGAAAATTGCCCTTGCAGCTTAACATCCAATATTCCACAGGCGTTCCAAACACAACTTATTCAGTAGCATTTGCACATTATCACAACATCCGGATAGATTCCTAAAAATGTGAAAATGTCTACTTTGGTCAGCGAATGTGTTCTAAATAAAAGAATTATACCAAATGTATACTGGAAGGATATTTCTTTGTGTAAATTTAGAGAAAAAAGGTTCCTCCTTTAATTTCTTTCTTAACGGATTTTTGCTGTATCTATAAAGATGCAACAGATTTGGAGCTACATAAATCATAATACATTTCATGATACATGGAAGGTGAACAGTAGAAGAGACACAGTTATTATTCTTAATTGCAATACAGAAAATTACTGAACACCAAAAATGTACCCAGAACTGTGTGAAGGGCAAGTAATACAAGGGTCCTTGCTCTTGGATGGAAACACAATGCATAACCAAACCAAGAGGCTTCTTAGATTGGCATGTGGTCTGCTGTTCTGATAGGATGAAAAACAGAAACAATGAAATTCAAAAACCCTACCACTGAAAATATTACAGAAATATGCAACTATGAATGAGGAGGAAAAGGTGGAGGAATTAGAATTTGCAAACTCACTGTGTAGAAAACATAATTAAATAAAGATAATTACTAAATTTATTGGAACAGAATACATAGCCCCACAATTTAAATCACATTTTCTACATCACTTATTTGCCAGTCAATGATGCATCGATTTGTAATCTCTTCTGTATTTTCTGATGGTTCAGTTTGCACTGCTAATTTATCGTGCACTTCTGGGGTTTATCCATCTAACTAGTTTCTAACGCATTTTACCCTTCACTTGGAAATCCACAGACATGTAATGGAGACTCAAGACATTTAAATATTCTTTTAAAAGCAGTGTATTAGATAGAATATTAAGCTTCCATGTCAGAATGTAAACTCTAATGAGGTGATAAAAATTTCACTGAAAGAATTTTAAGTATTCTGAGCAATGCACAGACTATTTATCAAACAGCAGCAGAAAATAAATAGGCTTCATTACTCCAAACATTTAACCTCTCTTAAGTCACATTTTTACACCTCAATTCATAGTCCATAATAAAGCCATTAATAGAATACTCATGATCCAGTATAAAGACAATGATTTCTTTTTCCGAAATACAAATTAATCATTTTAAACAATCCATAGCACAACCTAAGTTGGCAATCCTGTAACTGTTGAAGACCGTCTTTGCACTTACATGGTACTTTGCCAATAATTAGTATTCTTCATTTATTTTCTACTGAACTGCTCTTTATAAAGTACTCAAAGAGAAAACTAATGCATATCTTCTTGAACTTTTAAGTGAAGGCAAATATTCTCTGGAAAGTGAGTTTCTCATCTCTCTCCTTCAAAAAGCCACTTGGAATCATATAAACAAGAAACCTCTGTTGACACCCTATGGAGAAACAACATATAAAGCTGCAGGCAGCATTACCATGTCTTTCCATTATGATGACTGGCAGACTCTAGGTCAGAGCCCTGAGTCCTGGAGCGCTGCCCATGTTTCATTTCCTCACTGTAACATGAAGGGTTTTGAGGAAATAAACTCTAAGCTCCCAATAGTCCTAACATGTTATGACAGTAAAAGTGCTAGGATTGCATGATTCCAGGGAAGAGAATAAAAAGGGTGTAGACCTAATAATATACCATTATGATGTCGATCCACTTTTAATCAAGACAGACAGCTACTATTAGGTTTTTTACACATTATTTATTTTTATTTTTATTTTTTATTTTTTTTTTTAGATGGAGTCTCGCTCTGTCATCCAGGCTGGAATGCAGTGGCACAATCTCGGCTCACTGCAAGCTCTGCCTCCTGGGTTCATGCCATTCTCCTGCCTCAGCCTCCCGAGTAGCTGGGACTACAGGCGCTCGCCACCACGCCTGGCTAATTTTTTTGTATTTTTAGTGGAGACGGGGTTTCACCATGTTAGCCAGGATGGTCTTGATCCCCTGACCTCATGATCCACCCGCCTCGGCCTCCCAAAGTGCTGGGATTACAGGCGTGAGCCACCGCAGCCGGCCTACATGTTATTTTTAATAGAAGAGAAATAGTGTAAATATTTAATGAGACATATTTTAAAGGATATTGTTTCATTGAAAAAAATGATTATTTTAAATTAGGGTAGAACATTCAATACACTTTATTTTAAATGCAGATTTCCTTCTCCAAACTCTATTTCTTCCAATAAGATCAAGTATATTAAGTCATATATCCAGTCAGCAAGTTGGTCATGGCACAGTTAGTACATGTACTGTGCCTCCCACCTTCTTAATTCCTAACATGAGTGTGAATGAGTTTGAAGTTTGAATGCTGTAGTGCTTTTTTACTATAGTACTCTGTTAGGTGATCTGGTGATTGTTCCTATAGTTGCTATGTGCTTGGTCAACCACTTTGCTAAGTCATCTCAGCTGTACTACTCGAGGATTTTATGCAAATCAGCTCCTTCTTCAACTGCCTTAAAACAGGAAGCTTTTCTCTATTTCTGAAACTCCTTGAACTTCCTTCCTTAGAATACTTCCCACTATAGTCAAACAAGTAGGAACAAAGAGAATGGTCCAATCCTTCTTCCCTCTACCTGATAATATAGTAATCATTGCCGTGAAATCATTAGGCTGATGCTTCACAGCTTATAACCTTCATCTTATTCATAGTGCAACCTAATAAAAGGGCTATTTTGTCATCTAAAACAGTGTAGTATCTTCAATTCCTCATAGTTTAGTATAAGTGCATTGTTACTTTAGAAAGTAGATTACCACAAAAAGAAAAACAGTACTATGTTGACCCTAAGACATTTTCTTTGTCCATACCTAGAGTTACAAGTTCACATGAGGGGCAGCAGATGAAGTGTATGTGTGAAGGTGCTGGGCATAAGAGCTAAGGGAGTCTTGGAGAAAAAGGTGAACACATATTCAGTCAAAACTTGTCCAATGTCTTTAAAAATGAAAGCAAAGTGTCAGCCATCATATTAACCTACAGGTAGTTCACAATCTCACCTCTCATGAATTCCTTACAACAAATACATAATTACTTGAGCTTTCTGGTTATTTGAGTGCCAGGTAATATTTGATTGTATGTGAACTAGGATCATAATGGTCTACTAGTTACTACAACATAGATTTAGGGATTGGGATATAACAATTCATTCAAGTAAAACAAATTCTTCTAACAATGGCTTACTTTTCCAAACATAAGGATTATATTATTAAACTCAACCTTTTACTCTCTTAATATGGAAACTCTAAAGACTTTGCATATATCCACTGAAAATTCTTTAAGTTAAATTCCATCAACAAATCATTCAGATGCTAACCCAATCCTACTACTACGAATTGCAATTTAATGAATACTTGCAATATTATTGATCTCTACAAAGAGTATCTCAGGTAATTCCCTCACAGTAAACCTATGTGAGAATTATTTCCCAGTCTAGAGGTGAGGAAATGAAGACCAGAAGTTGTTTATCCTTAATCTTTACATTCTCTAAGAATAAGTCCCCTTAGCATTCAAATCTATCACATAAATAAGCGTAAAGATTCAAGGAAGGCCTGGCACAGTGGCTTATGCCAGTAATCCCAGCACTTTGGGAGGCCAAGGCAGGCCAATAGCTTTGAGCTCAGGAATTCAAGACCAGCCTGGGCAACATGGCGAAACCCCATCTCTACAAAAAATATAAAAATTAGCTGGGTATGGTGACATGTGCCTGTAGTCCCAGATACTCAGGAGGCAGAGGCTGGAGGACTGCTTGAGCTCAGGAAGTGGAGGGTGCAGTGAACCAAGATCGTGCCACTGCATACCAGCCTGGGTGACAAAGTGAGACCATGTCTCAGAAAAAAAAAAAGAAAGAAAAAATATATATTTAAGGAAAAACTCATGTGAAGCACTGCACTTTGGAAAATTCTATAGTACAAAAGAGGAGGCCATGGGTAACTCTGTGAGGCATTACAAGAGCCCTGCCAATGCCAGGCCACTCCATTTGCTATTAGCCATAACTGACCTTAATTTTCAGTCTTGTCCAGCAGCACTAGGAAGGCAATCAATCTTTTGTCAGAGTGAACTTTTTAGGGAAGACATGTGCTATTCAATTGTATAATAACAATGATAATACTATTTCTAGTGAATAAATTATATTTGTTTTTTATATTTGCCACATTCAAAGACCTCTCCCAGAAGTATGTGTGAGCTCCAAAAAGGGGTTCTCAGTAGTCACTACCTTAGGCTCCACATCAAAGTATAGGTCTTGCTGATGAATAGTAGAAGGAGAAGAAATGTAATAAATTTCTAAATGTGAGCATGTTAAAATATTTAACAATATACTTTATTAATGGAAGTAATGCATATATAATTTTTTAACATCATGTTAAATATATTATTCTTATATAGAAATATATGTATATACAATACACAAATATAATACACATAATATAAATATATATTTATATACTATATGTATCTAATATACTATATTATACTATAAACATATATACATACTACATATACTATATATTTATATAAATATATTATCTATGTTTTAAAATATAGACAAAAATAGAAAATGCAGTTAAGAAGGTAAGAAAATGGTATTTTTCATTTCCCATCCCTCCCAGGGACGTGCCCTTTATAACTACTTGTGCTATGATTCAGTCCATTTTGCCTTCCCAGAGTCTTTTAAACTCACCCTCTCTCCCCATTTTCAATATAATTCACCTGGTTAAGTTCTTTGTCAATTTGTTGCCTGGACTACTCCAATAACCTCCAAACTGGCTTCCCAAACATACTGATTCTCTTCAATTTATTCTTCATGCGATTTCCGGAGTGATCTGGCTAAAACACAGGTCTGATCATGTCATACAATCTCATCCCTGACCTTTGACATTCTTCAATGACTGTCACATGTACCCAACTGCATTGCAAAGGCAACAAGGGGCCGTGATCATTGGCCTCCTGCCCACCTCACTGGCCTCAATTCCTTGCACTGCCTCCCACAGTCATTTCCAGGGCCCCAGATAAAGCATGTTCTCTTTCCTACCTAGATTCTAGGGTATGGATTAAGTATGTGGGTTCCAGCTGCAGTCCACCCAGATTCAAAACCTGCTGCCCCCACTTAGTCACCAAGGTGTGGGCAAGCTACTACACCTGTTGAAACTGCAGCTTCTGCTGTGATATGGAGGAGGTAGCTGGACCTAAAACATGGCTTAGGTGTGAGGATCATCAAGTGTATGAAATCATTCCTGCAGAGTTTTCCATACAGTACTTGGCTCACACACAGATAATATCTGTAGGCCTCCTTTCCAGAGCTAAAAATGCACACACTTCACAAGAGGGGAAAAATCTTAGCCCTCATGGAGCACGTGTTCTAGTGGAGACAGACACTGACAAGTATAATACACAGTGTGTTGGAAGTAAAAACTCCCATGAAGAAACTAAAGCTGGCCAGGACTGCCATTTTCAGTAGGATGGGCAGAAAAAACATTAATGGGAAAGTGGCATTGGACCAAAGATTTGTAAGAGGTGAGAAGGTGAGCCACACAGAAATCTGAGAAAGAAACATCTCAGGCAGAGAAAACCATAAGGCAAGGACCCTGAGGTGGGGTTGTGCCTGGAGAGTTTGGAGAATAGAAAGGAGATCAATGACTGGAACCGAATTTTGCCTGGGCGAGTGATAATGAAATCAAAGAGAAAAGTGGTGGTGGAGCAGATCATAGTGGTTTGGGGGCCATTTGAAGGGTACTGGCTTTTACTGAGTGAAGTGGAAAAGTATATGACTGCCACTGGCTATTACTACTTATTAACGTTTCTGGGAAGTTTCAAGCCAATCTTCCAAGCTGGCTCAAGAGCTTCATGTCTCTGCCCCCAGAGGACATCTGAAACCTCTATTATGGCACAGCAGTCCCCCACCTGAACTCCCGGAAGACAAGGCTCAGGTGTTCATCTTGGTGTCCCCAGCACTCTGTGGGTTACTCAGCAGGCAGGAATGGCTTAATTAAGAATGACTTTGAGAAGACCCCAAAAAAGTGTCTGTTCCATAGTGCACTAAATATACTCTGTATGATCCTAAAAATAGTGATGGGAAATAAGCATATGCCTTCCGCTGACATCATGTTTGAATTCTCAGCACTTTCAGCAATACGATACAGTGATGCTGGACTATTTTGCTAAGATTCTTTCATTTTACAATTTTGAAAAATTCTTGCATGGGTTATCTAAATCTGTTTCAAAAATAACCCTGTGCTTTTTACATTTTAGTAACTCCATTTTCCAAATAAGGAAACTGAAGCCCAAAATATCAAGTGACGAGTGGAAGTCTCAGTCCTATAATTCAGAAACCCACCACCCAGGAGAAGGGCCCTGATGCTTGTAAAGAATGCAAGAATGCATGGCTGCTTATGACACAGAGAGCATCCCTATTAAAACGGCTGCAGCACAGCGAGCTGAAGCAAGGCAGAAAGAGGGAGAAAACAGACTGAGATAATGCAGCAGCACTTGGTGGTGAAAGGAAACAACCAAAGCAGGAAGAATTCCATTCTGCATTCACTGATCACAGACGGAGTTGCCCTTTTGATGAATGACACAGCGAGGGCCACAAAATAAGAGGTGCTGCCAAGAGACACCAAGATGACTGGGAACGAACAGTATCGATATCAAAGTTACTACTGGTAGTGCCTATTCTCTGTACTGCTGTTTTATTCTATTGCATTTTTGTTGGATTCTAATTCCACAGTAGCTGTAGTATCTCTGATATGGAGCATAGGGCAGCTGTAGCACCAATCCAAAACTAACCAGCACTGTACCTGCACCCAGTTAAGACTCAGCATCTACTACTGATGAAGTCTTAGTCTTATTTTTTGTTTTCTTACTTCTGGGATCTGGTTTCTTAATCTGCAAAAATGGGAATGATGGTGTCTATTTTACAGATTTGTTACAGAATAAATAATGTGGTAGAGTATTAAAAATGATGAACTGTTCTATGATGGTAAAACATAATTAAAATCTCTCTTCTCTCCACATACATTTGTGAATTAGTTGTGTTGCCCTCAAATTAAATAATACTTTACTTTATAATCATTCTAAAATACATATTAATTTTTCTGCCATCTAAACAATTATCAACACCTAAAAACAGAATCATACTGCATACCCATTTCTTAGTGTCACTTTTCAGTAAATAAATCAATTTGTGAATGCTGTTGTACAGAATATTGTCACTTACTTTTTTTCACATATACTGTATCATAGTTTCATGAAGCTAATAATCACTGTACTGCAGAAATAGTCTAATAGGTCTTTTATTCACCACACTGCTTCTGTATTTTATTATGGTGATATTTTGACACTTGAGAAGCAAAAGTGGTGAGACAGTATCTTCATAAAAAAAAAGGGATCAATTACATTGAATTACCTTGAAAACTAAAGTAATGAAAATGATTTCCTTCAACTTAATATGAGACTGCTGATCCCATCATCTCTTTCCAATAGTGCACATCGTAACACAGCAGAAGCTATTTTGTTACAGCAGCATCACCACCCATAGCCTTGAGTCTAGGACAGTAAATGAGCAACATGAATGAATCGCCATTCTTCTTCCTTCCTACACAGTACTGTGAAGAATACAGAGCAATAGTCAAACATCAGGGGAAATCTATCTTGTTCTTTCAAAAATAATAACCTGAGTTTATATTTTAAAAGATTATCATTCCAAGTTTGGAGACTTTCAAATTGCCTCAATTATAAAACGACTTAAATGAAAGTGACAAAGTCAAAGAAAATTGCACTGTGATGGGGAAATAAAATCAGTGCCAGGAATGTGATGGAAGAGAATAGAATCCAATGTATCCACCGACTGGTGCAGGAATTCAAAATCATGTAACTGTTGACAAATATTTAAACAGCAACACATCAGCTTAAATGTACAACTAAAAAATAAAAACAAAAAAAACTTTCAAACGTTACAAACAAGAAAGCATACTATTGCAAATTGTATAGTCCTCAAATGCTGCTTCATTTTTACAGTAACACAGCGAAGTGAAGCAAAATGAAAAGCACATCAGGTTCTGTAACTCCTTCTATTCACCTACGATATTAGAGGCTCTCACTTAAGAAATCTATGCTTTCTTGGGAGGCCGAGGCGGGTGGATCATGAGGTCATGAGATCGAGACCATCCTGGCTAACAAGGTGAAACCCCGTCTCTACTAAAAATACAAAAAAAAATTAGCCGGGCGCGGTGGCGGGCGCCTGTAGTCCCAGCTACTCGAGAGGCTGAGGCAGGAGAATGGCGTGAACCCGGGAAGTGGAGCTTGCAGTGAGCCGAGATTGCGCCACTGCAGTCCGCAGTCTGGCCTGGGCGACAGAGCGAGACTCCGTCTCAAAAAAAAAAAAAAAAAAAAAAAAAAAAAAAAGAAATCTATGCTTTCAGCAATATACTCTTTTACAAAACAAAAAACTTGATTGCTTATAATTATTATATAAAATACTGCTGCATGCCCTTTGGGCTTAATATGAAATTAATAACTCCATGTAGAAGGATCACAGCATATTAACCTGAAAACACGTTGAAAATGAAAAGTGAAATTTTAGTTAACAAAATGTAATGATTGTGACCATAATGAGAGCTGCATTGTTTTGTATTTGTTTTTGCAGTCCATCTAACAGTGAGGCTCCCCAAGATAAGAACAAAAAAATGTGAATAATGCAAATATCTTAAAAGAAATAATGGCCGGGCGCGGTGGCTCACACCTGTAATCCCAGCACTTCGGGAGGCCGAGGCGGGTGGATCACAAGGTCAGGAGATTGAGACCATCCTGGCTAACATGGGGCAACTCCGTCTCTACTAAAAATACAAAAAATTAACCAGGCGTGGTGGTGGGTGCCTGTAGTCCCAGTTACTCGGGAGGCTGAGGCAGAAGAATGGCGTGAACCCAGGAGGTTGGAGCTTGCAGTGAGCCGAGATTGCGCCACTTCACTCCAGCCTGGGCGACAGAGCGAGACTCTGTCTCAAAAAATAAAATAAAATAAAATAAAATAAAATAAAATAAAATAAAAAATAAGAAATGATATGTCTGGCTAACAGAGCATGCAAAGTGGTCTCTGGTATGTTTTGAAAATTACCATTTTCCCCAATATACAAGTACTCAACCAAAGCATCAACTTTTTGAAAAATCAGTTTCATCTAAAAGATACACAGTTCAGATACAAATTATATATATTTTAAAAGAAACTTTAAATATATAATAAAGAAAAGTAAGAAGCAAGTTGGGGTGGCTCACACCTGTAATCTCTGTTACTTTGGGAGGCTGAGGTGGGAGGATTACTTCAGCTCAGGAGTTTAAGACCAGCCCTGGCAACACAGTCGTCCCCTCTCTACGAAAATATTAGTTGGATGTGGTGTTGTGCACATGTAGATATATGGCAGTTTGAGGTGGGAGGATCACTAGAGACCCAGGAGTTACAGGCTGCAGTAAGCTATGATTGCACCGCTGCACTTCAGTCTAAGGCAAAGTGAGACCTTGTATCAAAATAAAGAAAAACTTAGAAATGTTTTAGTTCTCAATTATGTAACTATATTTTTTTCATGTGCTCAGTGCTCATATTCTATGTTAACATTTTAGTTTAACTGGTTCTATAAAATGTAAAGGTTACATAGCTAATCAACAAAAACTGTATGATTGAAACTGGTTTAAAAAAAAGTTTTCCTAATATCTAAGAAACACCATACATCTATTTTTTTCTGAAAGACCATGCAATCATCAAAACACTATTTTGCAGCAGCTGCACATTTAATACTTTGAAAGCATGGCTGCAATGTATTTTGTGAATTTTAATCCTGGTTAATTCTGGGCACATAACTATTAGGGGTTTTTATTTTTTCCCTTTTATCTTACCTTCTTTCAGAAATTTCAAACAAAAAAAAATTTTAAAAAGTAAAAGAATATGATTCCCAACTCATTATAAAAACATAAAAATCAAACTGGAAAAACATTGGTAAACTATAGCTTGTGAAAACACAAGTGGCCAGATGCACAGTGAGACAGGCTGCTGTCTGTGTTTGGCTTTCTTGATATTACATTTCTTAGAATTTGTTTTATTTGTTAGGCAGCAAAACAAAGCTTGGCAAGAGGATACCACGTCTGAGGAGAGTCTGAGGATGTGGAATAGCTCAAGAGGCAGCTGGGTGTGTGATGAGAAGATAAACGCCATTAGGTGGAATTTGGAAAACTAGGTCAACATTTTATTTTATTTTATTTGAGATGGAGTATCGCTCTGTTGCCCAGGCTGGAGTGCAGTGGCACGATCTCAGTTCACTGCAATCTCCATCTTCTGGGTTCAAGTGATTCTCCTGCCTCAGCTTCCTGAGTAGCTGCAATTTCAGGTGGCTGCCGCCATGCCTGGCTAATTTTTATATTTTTAGTAGAGACGGGGTTTCGCCATGTTGGCCAGACTGGTCTTGTACTCCTGATCTCAAGTGATCTGCCGGCCTCGGCCTCCTAAAGTGCTGGGATTACGGGCATGGGCCACTGCACCCAGCTGGGTCAACATTTTTAAAAGACTTAGAAAGTCTCACTGAGGTATGTGACAAAAATCTCTTCTTATCTCCCCAAAACTCCAGTAAGAATTTCTGTATTTCTTCAAAGTTTAGTCCTAAAACACATCTGGGTTGTCAATTTTCATATATTATACATATAAATTCAGAGTCCAAAAACCAAGAACATTTTAAAAGTTACTCCAATGTCAAACTTTGGAGTAATTTAAAAATTCCTCGTAAGGTGAAAGGGAGCATGCTCACTCTTTCCACCAGATGAGGACGCGGGAAAAAGACACCATCTACGAATCAGAAAGTGGAGCCTCTCCAGACCCTGAATATGCCAGTACCTTGATCAAAGATTTCCCAGCCCCCAGAACTCTGATAAATAAATTTCTGTTATTCATAAGCCACCTAGCTTATGTTAGTTTGTTATAGCAAACCAAATGGACAGATACGCAGACTTTAGATTCAAGTCAACTTGGGTTTGAAACCCAGTTTTGGAAGATACTGCATTTCATTTTAGGGAAGTTATTTAAATTATTTGAATCACAGTTTTTTGTTTTTGTTTTTATTTTGTTTTGTTTTGTTTTCTTTAAGAAGGAGCTAGAAATACCTGTTTCAAAGCATTGTTGAAAGGATTACATGGCACACATAAAATGCCTGGAACAGGCACTTAGGAATTAACAAATCTTCAATGCAATGGAATCTCAATGAGGACAGGGCTGTTTGTGTCTTTTGATCACTGGTGTATGCCTGTCATACAGAAATGCTCCATAAATATTTGGAGAATGAGAGAACTAGTATTATCAATAATTATTTAATAATTTCCCCTAAGCTTAAGTAGCAGCCTAAACACAGTACGATTGATTCTTGTTATGTGTGATAGTTTTGTTCTATAAAGTCAATGATAACACTGAATTAGAGAATACTGAGCTATCGCTCCTAGGAGAAATAAAGGGTTAAGTTCCTGCAAGCCTTTGGTCACAATGTTTTCATCAACTAATTAATGCATAATCTTGTTTTATGGATGTTTCTCTTTGAAGCTATCTTATTTTTATATATTGTTGATTCATGAATATTTAATTCATGGCCAACAGCTCTGTAACTCATGCAGAAACAAAGCTTATTGAACACATATATTTTCTCCGTAGGGCACACTGCAGCTTTCTTGCACTTATAAACATTAGATAACAAATCAGCATTACCATTGAGGGCTATTTTAAACAATGAAATCACTAGGAAAAAACATGAAAATGGGCCAGGCGCGGTGGCTCATGCCTGTAATCCCAGCACTTTGGGAGGCCGAGGTGGGTGGATCACGAGGTCAGGAGATCAAGACCATCCTGGCTAACACGGTGAAACCCCGTCTCTACTAAAAATACAAAAAATTAGCTGGGTGTGGTGGTGGGCGCCTGTAGTCCCAGCTACTCAGGAGGCTGAGGCAGGAGAATGGCGTGAACCCGGGAGGCGGAGCTTGCAGTGAGCCGAGATTGCAGCACTGCACCTCCAGCCTGGGTGACAGAGTCTCTCAAAAAAAAAAAAGAAAAAAAGAAAATGAAAAAAACAAAACCAAACTGAAATGTGGCACCAACTAGACTATGAAAAGGGCATTTGTTTGCAGAAGGAGAGCTGAAATGAGAACGCAGAGTATTATCTTCTGAGGCCTCAGTTAGGTACATGTGTGTCCATGCACGGCACATGACTGTGAATACCCTGTTTGTTAATTTGGGGGTTATAAATGCATTTTAACATACACAAGCTCACAAACATGAAATTCTCAAATACTGAGGATGGATTGTATATCCAACAGGGAATCCATGGTACTCATGTAAGGATTACACCTTCTATTTCTGCATATCTCTCCTCTCTCCTTCTGTCTCTGTTCAACACTGTCATAAATATTTCTTTTCAAGCAGCAAACACCCAATCAGTACGTGCTGAAAAGAAAAAAAATGAACATATGCTTTGAGGATTTTCATTCCAATGGAGACTAAATACACAACAGGACTTGGAACCCCAATGTGTTGTCATCTTAAATGTATATGGTACAGTAGTCATCCAAAAGAATATTGCATATAGCAGGTCATTTTTTAAAAATGTTACATACAAACATGTCTTTCAATGAATGTTGTTAGGGTTATCGAACAGTTAGAAGAAATGGAAATATGCTAGATGAGGTTAAGTAAATAGAAAGTAGATAGAAAACCACTAGCTTCCATCAGGGTCTAGAGGAGCCTATAATAATAAAAAGGTCAGACCAGGAAGAGACAGGCTGGAAGAAGAGGGATCACACAAAGGAGGAAACTGGTTTGTATAGTATGTTATTAAAAATGCTGATTTTTGTCATATCTTGTCACATTGCTTATTGTTCAAGACAAGTATCTAGCAACTGGCCTGAGAGGAAATTAATACCCTATCATAATCTCTCTGATCTATTGTTCAGTGGCAAGCAATGAGGGGAAAATCTTTGTGTCTTGAGAGCTGTGTGGCTTGTGTATTGGTTTACTACTTCTCATTCCACTGAAGCTCAAGAGTTGAATTATTCTCTACAGAATCATTAAGAAGTATAAACGGAGTGCCCTACCACTTCTCTTTTCCTCGGTTATAATGGAATGGGTAAATAACAAGGTATTCAGAGATGTTTTCCTATTTGTGTATTAAAATAATGCTTTTCTATTTCTTGAGAAAAAATGGAATATTTTTATTCCGTAACAATGTCACATTCACATTTATTTCACTAATGAAGAACACTATGCAGAGTTCCTTTTACTTAGCTTTGCGTGAGTTTGATGTTCTCATGCTGTCTTATCATTTTAGTACTGAAGCAGGCTTATTTAGAATAGTTAGGCAATAAATAAAAACAAAATCCATAATCCCTTAATTTGTCCCATTTTTATCACACTATAAACAGATGTAATATTACATACACATATATTACATATTAAAATTGTGATATTATATATAAAGTCTTACACTGTTTTTAATCACTTAACTATATAATGAGTATTGTCCAGTTCCTTAGACAGTCTTCAAAAACAGTAGTTCACACTGCCTGTAATGGATGAATTATTTAAACATTTGCCACTTTTATTATAAATATTTGTATACTTTTTACAAATATCTATAATCTACTTTAAAATAGTTAGCATGGATAGTGTGATATTGCCATGCAATTATTTAACTGTCAGCACACTCTTTCTGCAAGGGGCCAGATAGTACATATATTTGGATTTGTGAGTAATCTCATCTCTTCTCCAACTGTTCAGCACTGCCATGTTAGTGCCAAAGCAGTGATAAACAACGTATAAAGGCATGAGTGTGCTGTGTTCCAATAAAACTTTATTAGTAGGCGCTGGTTGAATTTCACCTAATTTTCACATGTCATGAAATATTCTTCTTTTGAATTGTTTCCAACTATTTAAAATATGTGAAAAATCATTCTTAGCTCATAGGCCATAGAAAAACAGGCAGCAGCTTGGAATCAGCCTTGGGCTATAGTTTGCAGACCACTAGTTCAAGCCCCACTGCAGATTCAGTCAACTGCCCTAATGAGAATCTCTTGCTCCAAGACTGGCCAACTCCCTTCCATTTAGAAGCCCCTTTCTCCAGAGGAGGGCTACCCTAAACTGTTTAGACTAATTTTATATCTGATCAACAGCAGATATTTTTAATAATTTGCATTAGAATGAGTTTCCATGGGTGACATTAATGGCTTGTTAGCATAATGTAGATGTAAGAAATGAGCGCTCATTGTTCAAATTCATGATACTTAGAGCCAGCATTTACCCCTCTTTAGTGGTTTTCAGGTTGAGCACCTGCAGATCCTAAGGGAGGTCAGGGACACTCTGAAACCCAGACAGTAGTCATATATCAACAGGTATGAACAACCAGTAATTAGCAACTGACATGCTGCATAATAGCTGAAAATCAGCCCTGCCTAAATGGGCTTTATCTGATTTCACAGATAGCTGGATGAAATCTTTTGTGCTCACTTAAAGATACATTTTTGCCCTTTATAGAAAGAGCTGCTGACCCTTGCCTTAAACACCTGGGCAATATCACACTATCCATGCTATTTTAAATGATAGATATTCAGAAAAAGTTTCAAAATGTCCATAAATAAAAGGTCAAATGTTTAAATAATTCAGCCATTATAGGTAATGTGAACTGTTTTTGAAGACTGTTTAAGGAACCGGACAAATATCATTATGTATGTAAGTGATTAAAAATAGTGCCAGAATAAATATGTAAATGTCTGCAGGCATGGTAGATTTTGGTGTCAGAATTGCTCTCACTTTCAACTGTTATACAGAGGTTGTTGGAAAGTGTGCAAGCTGCCCCTGATTCTAACCATTGGAAGCTGCCATTCCATTGCCCCCCAAAAATTTGGACCTTAACAGTATATAAAAGTTGGATCTCAATTCACAGTTCTTCCATAAAACACTTACTGAGTTTCTTTTATGTGCCAGGCATAGATACAGACACAGTAGTGGAATAAAGGCAGATATGGTCCCTGTCTTGATATTCATTGTTATGGCATAAGTGGGAATAAAAAATAAGCATTAAAATGCATTAAATATTCCTTTGTATTTTATAAGTCAGTAACAGTATACTGTATCAATCACTAAAATAGGGATTTCCATGAGCCAGGACTGTCCCAAGGGCATGGCATACATCAATCTATTCAAGAACCCCGCCTTATGAGGTGATATTATGCCCACTTTTCAGATGAGGAAACTGAGGGACAGAAAGATTAAGGTATCTCTTGACATATGACAACTTTAAAGCTGTGGCTTGGGTTTTAACCCCAGCAGTTCAAACTCTTAGTCTATGCTCTTAGTCTCTGTTCTTCAAAGTTTGGTGAATGAATTTGGGGTACAAAGTGACAGTCACTTAGGCGGGCAGTCAAGGAAGGACTTTCTTAGCAGGGATAATTTAAACTGCAGCCTAAAGGACGGGAAGGCATCAATTATGAAAAAAGGCAAACAGCACATCTAACACCCTATGTCTGGGAGGAGATTTCTCTGTTCCTGTAAGAGAAAAGAGGTTGACATGCCTAGAACCTGGGAAGCCACAGATAGGACCTTGCTTTTATTCTAAGCTGGCAGAAAGTAGGAGAGTTACAGTCAGATTTAATTTTAAAAATCAGTCTGGTTGCTGTGCAGAGATTGCATAATGGGGTAAAAGTGATACTAGGTGGGGTCCATTGAAGATCAAGAACAAAGGTGGCTTAGACCAGAGTAAATGCTGCAGGGAAAGAAACTGATGTAGCCCATTTCAGAAACAGTTCAAAAGCTCCCAAACAATACTCCCCAACCAAGCCCTCCATGAAATCTATCTGATGCTGAAGATAAATAATTGTATTTCTTGTATTAAAGCAACACATTATTATTTTTTTTTTTTTTTTTTGAGACGGAGTCTCGCTCTGTCGCCCAGGCTGGAATGCAGTGGCGCGATCTCGGCCCCCTGAAACCTCCGCCTCCTGGGTTCAAAGGATTCTCCTGCCTCAGCCTCCCGAATAGCTGGGATTAAAGGCATGCGCCACCACGTCCAGCTAATTTTTGTATTTTTAGTAGAGACAGGGTTTCACCATGTTGGCCAGGATGGTCTCGATATCCTGACCTCGTGATCCCCCTGCCTCAGCCTCCCAAAATGCTGGGATTACAGGTATGAGCCACTGTGTCCCGCCCAAAGAACACATTATTCTAATGTAAATTACACACTTCCTTTTTTGTCTCCAGCTTACACCTTTCTCTCCATGAAGTGCTGGAAATAAATCAGGGACTAAATTTTCATATAAAGAATTTTTTCTCTCTTATCTAACTAAAATATACTTAATTTCATTTGAAATGTTATGAAAGCAATGGAGCTAGTACCACAACAGAGTTTAAAGTAAGAATTGTCCAGTTCAATCCATTAAACAGGTGATTTATTTTTGGAAAAATAAAGCTTTAAATAATTTATAAACAAATTTGATCATTTATTCTAAATTGTAAATATATATTATAATAATTGAAGGATAATTAATATCAATAAGCATATTTTCTTTTCTTAATGCATATTATTTTGTGCTATTATTAAAACATTAAAATATTACAATTTATGTATTAACTATATATCATATATATATACATATATATATATCATATGTTCCCCCACACACACATAGTTAGATTTAATCTACTTATACTTTTAAAAAGAGTTACTTTAAAAAAAGTGTCACTACATATGTCAATTCTATCGAATGAGTAGCTGTAGAACAGGTTTGCCACACTCAATCAGAATCGTAAGCACTGGGACAAATGGTCAGGTTTACATTTCAGAATCATTGCCTGGTTGTTAGATAGGTTGGGTCAACTCAGGATAGAGGCCAAGAGTCCACGGGGAGACAAAGTGGAGAGTGTGGAATCACAGAAGCATGAATGCAATGGAGGTAGGAATGGCCTATTTCTTAGGACCTGGGAGGATGACTAAGTCACCTGAGGATACGATGAGGATGACAAAAAGAGGGAAGGATTGTGGGTGAGAGGGAAATAAGATTATTTATGGGTATGTGGAGTTCAATTTGCTTATGGGGCATGAGAAATTGAATAAAAAGTCTAAATGACTGAAGAGAGAGGTGGGCCAGACCTTCTCAAATTTTCAACATTTAAGTGAAAACAAGGGAGGAATAATATTCCTCGGGGATATCATGAATTGCAGAGAAAAGGGCCGAGATGAAAGGAATATTTAAAGGACAAGAACATAAAGAGAAGCCTCCAAAAATACTGTAGCCCAACTCTCCTTCCTTCTTCTTATTGCCATCTCTTTAAATTCTTGCCACATAAAAAAGCATATCATCCACGGGCTTCCTTTCAAAGTAAAAATATTTTCTAGAGCTTTCTAACTTGTACCTGTCCTGGAAGAACTGTTCTGTAATGAAGTTAGAAATTATAAAGGTAAGCATGAAATAAGTACAACGTGCCAGGGTGTAAATTCAATCAAATCCCCAGGTGGGGTTTCCCTCTTTGGTTCAGCTTCATTCTTTTGTAGTAGAGGGAGTCGGATACTTGGTAGAAGCTCCATTTGACTGAACATTAGGCTTAGTTGAAATCATCTATATTTTGGGTTTTAAAATATGTGTGTGGGGGGCACTGTGGGTAGGTAGTTGTGTTTAACATATCAATATGTATTGAAAATTATTTTTTGATTGAAAGATTTAATCACTTGGCCAGGCACAGTGGCTCACATCTGTAATCCCAGTGCTTTGGGAGACCCAAGAGGGCAGATCATTTAAGGTCAGGAGTTAAGAGACCAGCCTGGCCAACATCGTGAAACCCCCAGCTCTACTAAAAATACAAGAAAAATTAGCTGGGCTTGGGGGCACACTGTAGTTTCAGCTACAGAGGAGGCTGAGGCAGGAGAATTGCATGAACCCAGGAGGCAGAGGGTGCAGTGAGCCAAGATCATGCAACTGTGCTCCAGCCTGGGCAACAGAGTGAGACTCCATCTCCAAACAAACAAACAAACAACAACAAACACAAAGATTTAATTATTGAAGGTGAGTGTTCCGACCCTGAGGAGCTTACAATTTGCTGTGGGATCAATGACTTAAAGAATCAAAGCCCTACTTGGTTGTATTCAGCGTGCTGGGGGAGTAAGCCATGGTGAGAATGTGCCTCGGGGTGATGCACATTTGTGAGCTCTTTTCATCGGCGCTGTGTGGTTGCATTCTCTGTCATCCTCTTGGGCTGCCATCCTTTTGTCTGTACCTATTCACTCACTGAAGCCTACGGTCAATAGAGCACTAGTTGAATAGAAGATTATTTTAGATGGAACACTCTCAGATCTCAAGAAATTTCTGAAAAAAAGTAACAGTGCCAGGTAGCTGAGGAAAAGAAGAGATAAGACCTTGAAATAAGAATCTGATTGAACAACTGAACTAAAGAGAGAGAAAAGCCTTTGAAAAGCATGTGATCTACTTGAAATTTGAGGATTTGGGCTATAATATAAATCTGTCATGTTGAAAGAATACTTAGGAAGTTGGTGAAGACAGAACCCGTGCTAATTCGGGGTAACTATAAAATGATTATCTTTATTTCATGAGTAGCATCAGACATAATCAAAGGGCAGTTATTTTATTAAACAGATGCTCACTTTGGTTAAATATTCTGGGATTACCTGAGACCCATTCTGTACATAAATGTCTTTTATGACGTCTAAAGAAATTGTCAATATTCTGAAAGGAGGCTTTTAACAAAATCATGGGCCACAGGTGGAGATTTCTCCTCTTTACTTGAGGACATAGCAGGCTTTCTGAGTATGTATTTCTACTTCAATAAGACCTAAGTCCCCATGAGGAACTCCCCATAGGAAAACCCTAGCACTACCCCATCAGCAAGGGACCTTCCATGCAGAGAATTCCATCGGATGTCACAGATAATGGCTGCCTTTCAACCAGTCTGCTGGATACCCAGGACAAACGTGCATGAAGTATAAGTAAATCCAAAGTGAACTTAATTGACAACCTAATAACAATATCAAATTTAATCAATAGACATCTTTGACCAAGTAATGATTCAGACCACTCAAAGAATTTCTATACATTCAATATTCGTATTTATTCTATTTTGAGTTAAATTGCTAGAATTATGAAATACAGAATTATTAATGAGTTTTCTACATTATATATGATGAATATGTATGAGGACACAATTTTACCCACTTCATTTACTATAACCTAGTCTATGTATTAAAACCCCAAAAGAACATACTTATACATACATAAGTATAAGAAAGAATGAGAAAGAAGTATGGAATACTCCTTAATATAAGCTCCTGTAGTATAAGTGCAGCATTTCTGTTACAAGTCTTATAAAATATATGAAGTATTTATTTGTATAATTTTTATATTAGCTAGGACACAAAAATCATGCTGAGAAAATAGTTAAGGATTTTTATCACTGAAGATAGGCTGAGTTATGCTGCAGTAAAAACAAACTAAAAATCTCAGCAGCTCGAGTCAACGGAAGTTTAAAGAGAACGAATTCTGCAGTGCCTTCCCACTGTGTCTATAAACTCAGCCACATAACTCATCATGGGAAGCAGGACACAAGCAAAGGCTTGGAAAGCACTCGGGCAGTTGGGTTTGTCCTCTTCCTCATGCCTCAACCATCGCTCTGAGAAAATGCCAGGTCTACTGCAGGAAGAAACACAGTGCACAGAACCAGGGGGTCCAGTTGCTCCAGATCACATCTAGTTGAAACCTAGAGACATACAGGCAAAATCAGCAGAATGGAGCTGACCACCCCAGTCCTGTGAGCAAAAAAATGCTTCTTGTGTACCACAAGGGTTTGTGGTTGTTTGTTACATAGCATACTTGTAGCAAGGCACAGCTGATACAGCTGTCAAGGTCCCAGTATCTGATTTTAGCTCCCAGTTTATTTTTCTGTTGTGATGAACACTGTTTAATTCAGTTTCAAGTCCACATGTACATGTTAGTTTTCCCAATCTATTGCCCTATAGTTACATGGAATACATGAAGGAGGTGCTCAGACAGTTCTTGTTTTATTGTATTTCCTGCCAAAAAGATGCCCCATGTTCATATTAGTTATTCCCCTTGATCAGCTCTGCTTCTCTTTTTCCACAACAATTAGTGCTTCTATCCAGAATTACTACTGTCCCTCTTATCTTTCTTCTTCTACCCAGAATTGCAAAGACAATTACAAGTCACTGACTCCAAGCCACTCTCCAGCACAAGGATTGCTACACCGGATCCTAGGGTGGAAATCTCAGGATAATCTTTTCTGGCTATCTGCTAATCCCTTCATATCTTGAGGGCTTCCCCTGGGTACTCTTCAAAAACACAGAGGTTGTTAGCATGCTTTAGCTCTCTATGCAGAGACTGAGCTCCACTTTGACTGCAATGCTTTCCTCCATTTCTCCTTGCTCTAATCTCTGCAGGTGCAAACCAACCCTGACATCCTGGACCCCAAACTGGGTCAAAGAGCCAAGCTCTCTACTTAATTTGGAGGACAGGCTTAGTACCTGATCATGTCAACTCTTAACCAACATCCGCAACACTCAGATGCTTCAGTGTTACTCCCAAAACATGGCAATGGGAGAATACCAACACAGAAAAATTCTAGGATGACGCATTCAGGGATCACAAGGCAGATTCCTACAGGATCACACATGAATGCAGTGGGCTGGCTGGGGTTAAGAGTTGGGTAGAGTCTGCAGGCTCCATCCAAATAGGCTAAGAGCTACCCAACTGAAGTCAATTCATTCCAAGAAGAATCATGTTTCAATTTTTCAAATTTTCAAAAGAAATTAAAAATATATAGTTGGCAATTAATTTTTAAAAACTTATATTGTCCCAATGAAACATACATCCAGTTTACAGATATATGTTTATATATGCTATCAGGAGATAGCAACCACCATAGAGGTTTGATCTATTTGGTGGATTATTCCAGCAGGAAAACAGTGTTCTTACAGTCAGGATACATGCATGGTACCTGAATTATGTTGTTTACTGGAAGCAAGAGGGTCTTGCCTTGCCTTTACCTGGGTTTTGCAGTCAGAATGGAACACAGAGAGTAGGGCTACACAGGCAAATCTCCATTGCTGCTGCAGAGTTACACCTTCTGCCAACAGCAAGTATAATATGCAAAAGATCTTAACTTTCTTTCTAACATTTATTCAGCAAATGCTATGTTCCAGGTACTTCTTTAGTTATTGCAAGATTTAGAGTGGAATAAAATATTGTCTCTGCCCTCAGGGAGTAGACAATTTCACAGTATTACTGTATTTAGTAAACAAACAGATGACTTTCAGTCTTTTGGGTCTCATAGAATGGATTTTTAAAAAGGGTGAATTTGAATTACTTATCTGGATATCTTGTATATCTGCCAAATAATTCGATTTTGGAATAAAGATACAAAATATAATTTGATCAGACCCCCGTATCTCTGATCAGAATCACTTAGTAACTAAAATAGTTAAGAAGGTGCAAAGGAATATTATCCTGGAGGAAGAAAATTAAAAGAATTATCTTTTTCTGAGGGATTCTCAAATAATCTTAAACAAGCATATAGAGTGTCTTAACAATACGTGTACTGGAATCCTCATCTCAAAGCATCCTACAATTTTTTTCATCTCTCATTCAGAGGACAGGGAAAAAGAAAGGAAATGATTTTTCATCAAAAATGTGAACATGCTGTTTTAACATCAATGACTAGAAGACTAGATGTAGTCAAGCTTATTTGAAATTAATTATCTAAGAAGCCTCAATAGTGCTCATCCCATCAATCTTGTTCCGGCCTGACCTCGGAGGACTACCTGCAAAGGTGTGAAGACAGCTCAGACTTCAGAACAATCCAATGCATGGCCTTGGCTGACATTCACTACAGGAAGACTAATTAAGAAGACTTCTCAGAATACAGATGCCTACCTAATGAGAGCTGAAGTAACACATACCATTTTTCACTTCGGTCAAGAAACAGATGACAGAGAGTAGCAGATGGTTCACTTTAACAGAGGCCTGATGAAAATATGAATGAGTGCCTCTCAGTTGCTACCTGGCAGAGTGTTGAAAGCACCTCAGTCACAGAGAGGGATCCTGAACCCAAGTACTTAGCATCAGGAATACAGCTCAAGTTCCAGTTTCCAGAGGATGTTCTAGCAAACATTAGTTGAGGCCACTTAGGTTTGGAACGGACTGTGTTGGTCCTGGAGGGCTCCTCGAATGGATGCATCCTAACCTTTAACCCACAATAAGAGAAATGTACTTAAGCCCACCTCTAAATGAATTTGTCTTCAGCTTGTTCCTCTGGAGGCCCTATGTCCAGCCCAACTATGATATAGCTGTCACAGTTTAGTTGTGGCTCACAGTTAGGAAAAAGGAAAAAGCTGCCTACATAAAGCATATTTACTTGGCTCCCTTCCCTGAAACCCACTGCAATGGAGGAAAACAACATAATCACACGTAATAAAAATGGAAAATATCTACAATACAAATGCTAACCTAGTGAAACTAAACTAAGGACACACAAAGTCAGTGTGTTTCTCTCCAGAGCTCAAGCAGAAGGCAGATTTTGCTAGAATTAAATGAGAGACTCTTGAGCATCTCAGCTCAAAATGATTCATTTTCTGACAATTAAATTAGGGAAACTGTCTGAAGATAAATCCAGAAGGGAAAGAAAAAATAGCCACAAGCTTTTGAAGAGCTGACATCTGTCAATGGTGCAGGCATAAATCATCTCCAAATAGCCAACCAAATGCCTGAACAGGACAAATACCACACTGACCTTCTGCCAGGATGATCAGCTTCTCTGCCCAAAGATGTGTCTCCAACCCAAAGGATGCTACACATTGTGTATGGAGAAACAGAATGTGTCTGAGCACTACGCCAGCCAGAATTCTTCCCCCACCCAACTCCATTCCTGAGCAAATCATGGGCCACACTTGAGAATAATTATTAGAAAGAGAAAAAGCTAATGTAATATAAGTGGAAAAAGCAAAAGGCAGATGACAGAAGTAATTCAATAAACTGCAAAACAGTATATATAGCCAGATCCCTTATATGAAAATATATGTATATGTGGGCATATAAATAAAATAATACCTGGGATGAGACATCTGAAAATGTAAATAGTATATATCTGAGTAGTGAGAGAGGGGTTAATGTGACGCTTCTACTCTTTGCTTTATTCATATAGGAACATTTTAAAAATATAATTTTGAAAAAACAGCTGAGTTGAGCTTAGCCTCTGAAGAGAGTGAACATCCCTTCAGGGAAGTGGTATAATGCTGTCAGACTTGAACCTTGATCCTTTTTCTTCTATCCCTTTTATCTTTCCCTTGACTCTATGGTGAACCACTTTAGAGTGTCCACACTTTTATGCAGTCCTCCACATCTTGAGTGTGGATAGGACCCATGACTTGCTCCTAATCAAAAGAATATAGCACAGTGATGGGATGTCATACCTATGATTACACTCCATTATATACACATGCATTACGTGAGACTTTATCTTGGGAATAGACTCACTCTAGAGACTCCCCTGGCTAGCTAGAGGAAGCAGCAGCTGTACTGGGAAATTCCACATGGCAAGGAATTATGAGTAACCTTTAAGGACCACAGGTAGCCTCTAAGAACTGAAAGTAGCTTCCAGCCTTGAGCCAGACAGTATCCCAGGCCCTCAGACCTGGAGGTCTGAACAAATTCTGCCAACAGTCTGAGTGAACTTGGAAGCAGATTCTTTTCCAGCAAAGCCTTCAACAAAACCCAACCCAGCCAACCCTTGATTGCAGCTGTGTGAGGTTCTGAGGAGGGGGCCCAGCTAGTCTGTGCCTGGACATCTGACTCGCAGAAACTGAACTCATAAAAGTGTGCTTTTTTAGGCCAAAGACAAAACAAAAGCAAAACTCTGAAACCATTTCCATTGGTGTGATCACTGAATCAAGGTGGTAAAATATGGGCCGAGCAAGGGATAGGGATGAGGCCTTCTCAACACCAGTGCTTTCCAAATATTTTTTGAAAGTCAAGTTTATTGGGGGAAATCTTATAGTCAGTAAAATTTATCCTTCTTAGGTATAAAGTTTAACATGTTTTGGCAAATATATAAAGGCAGATAAGCACCACCAAATCAAGATACAGAGTGCGTCATCACACTAAAGAGTACTCTCTTTCCCTTAGTTGTCAGCCACCTGCCCTGGCCCGCAGGCATCCACTGATAGGATTGTCTACAGTTATGTCTTTTTGTGAATATCACATCAGTAGAATCACACATAGCCTCTTGTGTCAGTCTCCTTTCACTTAACATAGCATTTCTGAGATTTGCACAAATTGTTGTATGCATCATAATTAGTTTTTTTTGATGATGAACTTTCCTACCAGGGAAGCTACTAAAATAAGGAAGTAAGGCCAGCGCGGTGGCTCAGGCCTGTAATCCCAGCACTTTGGGAGGCTGAGGCGGGCGGATCACGAGGTCAGGAGATCGAGACCATCCTGGCTAACGCGGTGAAACCCCATCTCTACTAAAAAATATAAAAAATTAGCCTGGCGTTGTGGCGGGCGCCTGTAGTCCCAGCTACTCGGGAGGCTGAGGCAGGAGAATGGTGTGAACCCAGGAGGCGGAGCTTGCAGTGAGCCGAGATCACGCCACTGCACTCCAGCCTGGGAGACAGAGCAATACTCCATCTCAAAAAAAAAAAAAAAGAAAGTGAAAATTAGGTGTCCCACAACTATGACTTTTGACAACGTGTGACTGCAGAAACACAGCACTTCTGAGATTTGCACAAATTGTTATATGTATCAGTAATTAGTTTTTTTTGTTGATGAACTTTCTTACCAGGGAAGCTACTAAAATAAGAAAGTGAGAACTAGGTGTCCCACAGCCATGACTTTTGACAAGGTGTGACTGCAGAAACAGAGCCGGTCTGCCAGTCCCATCCTCCTCTCATGCACACAGACCTAATGATTTTTCTACAGAATATACCCGTTGTCTCCATGCAGAGGCCGAACAATGACCTGCATCTCACTTCTGCCTTCTTTTTCTCATGCAAGTAATCCAAGTGGTAAGACCTCAAACAAATTCAGGACCCTAAATGAAAAGGAGTCTGGGAAATATATTTGTACCTTTCCAGCCTCTGTAGTTCAGGAAGATACCACAGGAAAAAACTACAATAGGTGATGAGTGACAGTCCAAAATCCCCAAAACCAGGAACACAGGACACACAAATGCCACAGTACATATTAAATGCTAAATTTTCAACTATTTTTTAGAGTAAACCAAAATATAAGTAAAAATTGTAATTTTTCTTCCTACTCTCTCTCTTATGAAAATCACTTTTGTAAGCCAATATTTTAGACACACAACAATTTGCGATTACAAAGTCTGTTTAAAAATAAAAGAAGAAAAACTACAAAAAAGCCTCAGGGTCTTCAAACATCATCACTGCAGACAGCTCTCACTGTATGACTCTAATTAATCTCTTGGAGCCTCCATTTCTACATCTTTAAAGAGACAAAGTTAAATATTTCTAAGAACTTTCCACTCCTAAATTTCTGCATTTTGCTAATTGTAGGATATTAGCTATGATGCTAAGTGGTAACTCACATATATTCAGAAGAAATATATTGATGATTAAAAGTATGTTTTAAAGATGATTTTTTTTTTTTTGAGATAGGGTCTCACTCTGTCACTCAGGTTGGAGTTCAGTGGTGTGTTCTTGGCTCACTACAACCTCCCCATCCCAGGCTCAAGCAACCCTCCCACTTCAGCCTCCCAAGTAGCTGGGACTACAGGTGCATGCCACCACACCTGGCTATAAAGATGATTTTTTAAACTTAAATAGATTTATCAGTGGTAAAATGTAACAAAACCCATTGCAGAGTAATAAATTGTATTTAATTTTTACTATAATATATAATGTGCGTCAGTTTGCTAAGGAAAAAAGCAATTAAACATTACCAAAGGGGGCCAAGAAATCTCCTAAAGTGAAAAGCTGTAAGTAAGAAAAGATGAAACCTTTCTTTAAGGGTTTAATCATGGTTCTCTCTAGATATTGGAGAGATCTGAGTAGTTCTACGAATTATAATAACACTAGTAATAAGTCTTTTATTTACAGGATACTAATCTGCTAGGATGTATCCATTTGCACAACCTGAATAACAATGTCTAAAATATACAAGTTTATTTTTCTTGCTTGGCGAGTCTGGGATTATCTAGGGCGGGCCTTCTGCAGTGTGGCTCAAGTACGATGAAGACACAGGCTCCATCATTCTGGATGCTTCCCCATCCTGGGAGTGTTGTTTGTCAACTCAGGGCCATGAGCTCTGTTGCAGTTCCAGGCAACAGGCCACATTTAAGGCAGGGTAAGCACCACAAAATCAAGATACAGAATGTTTCATCACCCTGAAGAGTACCCTCCTTCCCTTTGTTGTCAGCCCCCTCCCGTGACCCACAGGCATCCACTGATGGGATCTGTCTATAGTTATGTCTTTGTGAATATCATATAAGTAGAATCATACATAGCCCCTTGTGTCTGTCTCCTTTCACCTAACATAGTGCCTTTGAGATTCGCACAAATTGTCACATGCATCAGTAGTTATTGGTTTATGAACTTTCTTACCAGGGAAGCTACTATGATAACAAAGTGAAAACTAGGTATCCTGTAAGATTGAAGAATGGCAGTGCATCGACTGTTCCCAAGAGAGCAAGAACTGTTTCAAAAAACACAGTAGGTTTCTGCGTTTATGTGTCAGAGCTATGCCTGTGACACACCCGGCTACTGAAGAGGCTGGGAAGATAAAATCAGCTTTCCCACTTCTACAGCAGAAGCCAGAAAAGGAGAAGGCAGTTTCACTCGGCTAATGGGCAGTATCTGGCCAAGATTTACAAGATGAAAGTCTTTCATAGCTGCTATTCTTTAGGAACATTACCAGCTAGAGTTAACTCCAGGCCCAGCTACACAGCAGTGTGAATGATCTCTTATTCAATGACCACTGACTCTAGAAAAACTCTCAACTATACTGTGACATGGGTGTGTTTGCTCAAATAATTTAATCATGTAAAAGCATCTCTTCTTGGATCTGTTAAAGCACTTGTCAAAATGTCAGATAAAAGAAGATGATGAACTAAACTGTATTATAAAATTGTGTACAATAATCCCAAACAGTTAGTTATTTTTTTCTGCTTGCTAAGAATACAGCGTGACCTGCAAAAACAACATAAAAAGTTAACAATTCTACAGAAAGCAATAAGAGCAGTGCAGAGAGAATTGCTTCCATCATTTAAGAAACGGTAGACAAAGTATTGAGAAGCCTTAAAACAAGTGCAAATGATGCTGTCAGTAAGTATAAGGTTGGACTCCTTTTACTATGGAGAGATTTTGTACAAAACATTTCTTTAATATTAAACTAATGTTTTCTTAGCTAAATTATCGTATAGTGAAATTGTCCTTTAAGTACATTTTAAAAACAGAAATCATGCTCATTTAATAAAATTAAGATATTACAAAAAAGCATATTTGTACATTAATAATGTAAGAGTTATTTAGAAAAATGCCTTTGGTGTTCCACTTAAGATCCATGAATGGCATGTATTCTGTGATATATGGAATATAAAAATATTTTTATTATAAGAGATTAACTTAAACCCACAGAGACATTTCAATGTAGTGAGGGAGAGGTGACCACAGATAACTCTAATACCTGTTAGAGATGACTATGCATCCCAAGAGAAGGGCAGGCAAAGGAAAGATGATTGTTCCTTCCTCAGCTTTAAGGAGCCAAGAACCATTTATCTGGATTTTGACCTGCTTCCCTTTGTCTCCATCTCCTAAATCAGGTGATGGTTTAAGGAACCCTTCGGTCCGGCTGGGTGCCGTGGCTCACATCTATAATCCCAGCACTTTGGGAGGCTGAGGTGGGTGGATCACGAGGTCAAGGGATCGAGATCATCCTGGCCAACATGGTGAAATCTGTCTCTACTAAAATTACAAAAATTAGCTGGGCATGGTGGCGTGCGCCTGTAGTCCCAGCTACTTGGGAGGCTGAGGCAGGAGAGTTGCTTGAAACCAGGAGGTGGAGGTTGCAGTGAGCTGAGATCACACCAACTGCACTCCAGCCTGGGCCAAAGGCGAGACTCCATCTCAAAAAAAAAAAAAAAAAAGACAGAAAGAAAACTGATCTCACAGCAAAAACAGCTTGAAGAATGTCTACACTTTCTCCTTCGTTGGCCTATTAGCAGAAATCCTTGAAGGCAGATCTAGGAAACAGGAACTGATGAAAAACAAACATGAACTTTAACTCTACAAGTCTATTTTTTCCCTAAATGCCTCAGCCTGCTGCCTTCACAGCAGTTACAGCTGAAGGTCCGGGCAGTGCACCACTACAGTGGCATTTTCAATGGAAGGGAGGTTAGGGTTGAGTTTGCTATGTGCATCAAAGCTTTTGCTACGTTTCTCTTTTATTTTTTGTCATAGCAAAACAAAATACCATGCAATCTGATCCTTTGCCTATTCAGTTTAAACATAAGAAAAACAAGTTTTAACCCCTTGTCACTCCACATCATTTGTACAGATAATACATTTAATTTCCTTCCAGTGTGTTCTTATTGACTCTAATTATCAAAGAGAAATCACTGAGATTCCCATTCTTCTTACCAATGATTGGCTTAATTTTTTTTTTTTCTTTTTGAGAGGAAGTCTCACTCTGTCGCCCAGGCTAGCATGATCTTGGCTCACTGCAACCTCTGCCTCCTGGGTTCAAGTGATTCTCCTGCTTAAGTCTCTGGAGTAGCTGGGATTACAGGCATGTGCCACCACGCCAGGCTAATTTTTGTATTTTTAGCAGAGACGGGGTTTCACCATGTCGGCCGGGCTGGTCTTGGAACTCCTGACCTCAGGTGATGCACCCGCCTTGGCCTCCCAAAGTGCTAGAATTACAGGCATGAGCCACCACGCCGGGCCGACTGGCCTAATTTGATAGCATTTTTTTATATATATTTAATCGGCATAGTCCTAATTTTAACATGTAGGGCATGCTCATTGCACGCCACTTACATATAGAAATGTACATTCAGGTTTCACTATTGTCTTTTATATAAAAAAATCAAGCAGATATTCTTATGTTAATGGCACATAAAAGTAATAGCTAATGGTTATTTTGTTATTACTACATGTTATGAACTGTTTTAAGCTCTTTAGCTATATTAACTTTGAAATTCTTACAATTCTGCGAGATAAATACTATTATTAACTTTAACAGATAAAACTGACGCACAGAGAGGTTAAATAATGTAACAAAATATATTTACAACACTCCTAGTTACTGTTAAAATGAAGTATAGTTTTGTCTATGGATAACATTCACATCTTGATCTTTCACACTTTGCCACATACTAGCCACACGGCCTTAAGTATGCTAACTTATCTCATTAAGCCTCAGTTTCCTCATCTTTCAGATGGGCATGGGAATTGTATATGATTCTGGTAGGTGGGCAGATTATAAGATAATGTGTGTGAGGCATGGTGCCTGGATCACAGTAAGTCCTCATTGATAATTAGTTAACATTATTATTAGTAGGAGTTCAAACACTGACTTCTAGTCTTGGATTGGGAGTTTATAATTTGTGTAATGTTGGATAAAAGACTTAAGATCTTTGCTTTCCCTATTTCTTTGCCTGTGGAGTGAGAACTAAATGTCCCCAGCCAGCTCCATCATGTAGCATAAGGTCAAGTCAAACAATGTTTGCAGAAGCAGTCGGTAAACTGTAAAGAACTAGACACATACAAACTACTTCTTTTATTAACTCAACAGGGAGAAAAAGGCTTTAACCTTTTATTCCACAATGACTACTTCCAAAAGTTTCAGGGTCTCTGAGCTAACACAGATAAATGCTTTCATTGCATTTTTTTTTAATGGCAAAGTGGTAGCTGATTTTTAAAGAGTTTTCAGAAATATTTTCAACAAAGTACCTCTCAGCAACTTTCTTAGGATACAGACCTCTCTCTGAAGTTTCACAGTCCTTGCATCTGTAATTATGGATGAAATGTAGTATTCCTACTAACAACACTGAGACATCAAGAAAATGCTGAAATGTTTGTACTGTTCTGTTCTTTATTCAATAAAGGGCATACAGCAGTGTTAAAATAAAAATAATTTTATAAAGACAATTTAAATAGAAATATTAAAGTACTTGTAAAGTTCAAACTCTAAAGTTTCTTATTTGAAACTCATTTTTCCAATGATGCTAATTCAATAGGTATAATTTAAATAATATTTTTCTAAATTCGTGGTCACAAGGATTGTTTTTGGACATTAAAAGAAGAGGGTAAAATAAAACAAAAGAGTCGTTCATCCTAGAAATCAGAGTTTAGTAACTTCCCACAGTTAGCAAACTTAATAGCTTAAAATGAGTTTAAAATAGAATCAAATATACTAGTTGGAGAAGATAAGTTTTTACGAGATTATTTTTTGATTAAGTATATGCCATAGTGAAAATGGGGATATGATACTGAACAGCAGCACACAAAAGCAGAGGTATTTTTTGATAATATAGTCATTCATAGTATCCTAGGGGTCAGGCTAAAGATAAATAAAGTTCGAGCCACATTCCTGCAAAAATGGTATGTACACAGTGCTGCAAAATGGGGAGAAGGAGAAAGAAATGAGAACATAGGATATTCCTCTCCTTATGAAAAATTATATTGACTATGACCAGACAGAAATACTAAATACAGTCAGCAATTTATTTCTTATTTTAGGATGACAGAAATCAATGTGAATGGGTGATTTCACAAATAACATTTGTTTTTGTTGTTAATATTACTATTATTAGAAGGGCTGAAATTAAAAACTATTCTTTGTGGAGACAATTAGCACCTACCTATATTAGAAATACAATATGTAAGCCAGGTGCAGTGGCTCAGGCCTGTAATCCCAGTACTTTGGGAGGCTGAGGCAGGAGGATCATGAGGTCAGGAGTTTGAGACCAGCCTGATCAACATGGTGAAACCCCATCTCTACTAAAAATACAACAATTAGCTGGGCATGGTGGCATGCACCTATAATCCCAGCTACTCAGGAGGTTGAGGCTGGAGAATCGCTTGAGCCCAGGAGGCAGAGGCTGCAGTGAGCCAAGATTGCTCCACGCCACTACAGTCCAGTCTGGGTGACAGAGTGAGACTCCATCTCAAAAAAAAAAAAAAAAAAAAAAATACCATATATATACATATATATAAAGGACAGTTTTTCTCCTAGTATTTTCATCATGAGGATAAGACTTCTGCAACAACCTGGATATCATTAGAATATCTAAATACCAGCTCCATTTCATTTCAATACAGACAAATAAAATGTAACACAGAGCCTTAATTCTGCAAATTTCTTAGGGTACAAATTGCAATGAAATATGTCATGGATTTGAAGACTAAAATAAATGGTTTGAAACATTCATTAACACAATCTAAACTTGCCATCTTTAGTGATCAAGGCTTCTGGACCTACCGTTCACCTGGAAGTGTGGCATAGGACACTGGGGACAGCAGGGGGGCGGGACTCTGAGGACTCCATTCAAGTATGGCAGGTCCCTAACAAGACCGTAGCCTCGACAACAAGTTCAATATTAGTTTAACTGTAAATTACATTCTATATTTAACTTTGTTACACGGGGAGTATATGTTTGCTGTGAGTGATGGCTTAATTTATTTTTAAAGAGAAAGTGAAAGATATTTCTCGTGATTGTATCTGAAACATAGTGAATGAATTTGATGGAAGGAGTGCTCCTGTGGAGCTAACATTGGTAGAAAATGAAAAAAGGGAAACCCTATCAGAAACTGACTGGAGTCGGCCTTCCAGACAGAAAAACAAATGCCTCAACACCTCTTTAAATGTTTTTATTTTCCTAGGGATAATGACAATTTTTTTTTATGACCAGCTCCATATTTTTCTTAAGATTACTGCATGAATTTCTCTCTTCCTCTCTCAATACCTTACTCTGGTAAAGTTACAGAGCATTACACTGGTTGCCTTGATCTTTTACTTCATTTATATGCATTTACAGATTAGCAGAGAAGCAAGCTCACTTAAAAGGTAGGAAAATTTAGGTTTGAATGCCATTCTCACATTTAATAGTCTGTGACCCAGAATAGGTTGTAAGATCTCTCTTAGCCTCATCTTCATTTTAACTTGAGGATGATACAATCTTCCTCATATGTAAATTGTAATAATTCAGGGGGCCTGGCGCAGTGGTTCACACCTGTAATCCCAGCACTTTGGGAGGCCGAGGCGGGCGGATCAAGAGGTCAGGAGATCGAGACTATCCTGGCTAACACAGTGAAACCCCGTCTCTACTAAAAATACAAAAAAAAATTAGCCGGGCATGGTGGCAGGTGCCTGTAGTCCCAGCTACTCGGGAGGCTGAAGCAGGAGAATGGCATGAACCCGGGAGGCGAACAGAGCTTGCAGTGAGCCGAGATCCCACCACTGCACTCCAGCCTAGGTGAGAGAGCAATATTCCGTCTCAAAAAAAAAAAAAGAAAGAAAGAAATCAGGAAGGTAAAGAATGAAAATGTACGTGTATTGCGATACATTATTATTAGCTATTATGTTTATGATTATCATTAAGGGAAACAATAATACTTATGTAAAAATAAAATACCTTAAGATTTTGAGAGATAGGGTTTCTGTCTTAGAGTGAATTTTTCTTCATGGCCCTGAGTTACCAGGCAGAGTGATTGGGGAAAATAAATGCCCCAATTTAATATCCAATACTCTCTGGACAAGTTTAGTTCCATAGCCAGAGCAGATGTGAATGATACTATCAAGCATGAACTCCTCATTCACTCATTTTTACACAAGAGTATCACAAGAGACTGCCAAATGCTTTATTGAAATCACGAAGCATTACATCTTCAGGTTGTCGCTGCTTTATTTGTATGGTAATCTGTTGGGGAAAAAAAACAAAGGAAAACACACAAACAAAAAACAAGGCAGTTTGTAACCATTCCTTCTGAGTGAATCCAGGTGGGCACATTCTGATGAATTTTTCAATGTATTCTCCAGCAGTTGACTTAACTGTTAACTCCAAAACCTCCTGTTAGTCAAGCCTTTTTAAGAAAGGAAAAGATCCTTTAACCATCTCCAGAAAGTTGTCCAAATAACAGATACATGTGACAAGTAGATTTACCCTTCCTACTCTTTTCTGGGAATTCAGTTCTAGGAGGCCTTGCCAGGAGTCAATATTCTGGAATGCTTCAATTCATGCATAGCTTCTTAAAGGCATCTTATAAATGTCTTAAGATAGAAATGGAAATGTTATGGGCCTGCCTATAAAGAGATTACCCATCCAAGTGCCAAATACATGATTTAGTTAGAATGCATTTGGTTGCGACAGAAGGTCAATGTGAGCTAGTTTAAGCAAACCAAAAAAATGAAAATGACAAAAAACAAAATCAAACAACAAAAAATAATTTATTGGAAGAATACTGGGATCTCTCACTGAATCCAAAGAGTTGAACAATCAAGCATTCTAGCTTTCTTTACAGGGCAGAAAACAAGGCCTCCAATTATCCAAACTCTCTATCGTAGACAAGCAGACTTCGTTCAATACATAATAATGCTGGCATGAAAGGACTCAGAAAAAATGCACTGATGTGTCCGCATCTGTTCAAGTAACCATTCTGGGGCCACCAATCCTCTACGACCAACATGAGCATGGGGTATCTGGACTATTCACAGAGTGAGCAATTAGGGCTTGACAGCCACTCATAAGGGGTTTCCCATAGTAACTTCCGGATTCCTTTATACCAGGTCTGATGTGATACTACATCATTATCAAGTCATAATGTTTCTTGAAAAATGTAAACCCAACAACAAGAAGAGTAGCAATTTAGTTATACACTTAATTAAATAGTTTAAATAATAAAATAATTGAGGGATGTTAACAAAGGATAAATGTAACTTCTCATTCATTTATTTATGTGTATGTTATCAAAAAGGTCAAATTCAAGCATGTGCCCAGATAGCATTACCATGAATAAGAGAGATTATTTACTTTGGTTAAACTCTTTTAAAATTAAATGTGAGGTATTATTGCAATTGAAATATTCACATCACAGCCTTGCAACCCTTGCATCTACCTAAATATATTAAATTTCATTTACTTATTTTCTCTCTATACAATTTCTAACAGTTGTTATTTATTTAATCATTCATTCATTTAACCTAAAATTGAATCCCATCAGTTAAGAAATTGGAAAGTACTAGTCTTTTTATTTACTTATTTGTTTATTTATTTATTTATTTATTTATTTATGAGACGGAGTCTTGCTCTGTCACCGAGGCTGGAGTGCAGTGGCGCAATCTCAGCTTACCACAACCTCCTCCACCTATGTTCAAGCAATGCTCCTACCTCAGCCTCCCAAGTAGCTGGGATTACAGGTGTCCATCATCATGCCCAGCTAAGTTTTGTGTTTTTTGTTTGTATTTTTGTATTTTGAGATGGAGTCTCACTTTGCCACCAGGCTGGAGTGTAGTGGCACAGTCTCAGCTCACTGCAACCTCCGCCTCCCGGGTTCAAGGGATTCTCCTGCCTCAGCCTCCCGAGTAGCTGAGACTGCAGGTGTGCACCACAATGCCCAGCTAATTGTTGTATTTTTAGTAAAGACGGGGTTTCGCCATGTTGGCCAGGCTGGTCTCAAACTCCTGACCTCAGGTGATCCACCCACCTCAGCCTCCCAAAGTGCTGGGATTACCAGCATGAGCCACCATGCCCGGCCAAAAGTACTAGTCTTGATACTAGAAATTTTGTTATGAAATAGTGATTTTTTGAAAAGACAGAAAATGAGTTTCACCTTACTCACTGTATTAGTTTGTTCTCACGCTGCTAATAAAGACGTACCTGGCAGGGCACAGTGGCTTACACCTGTAATCCCAGCACTTTGGGAGGCTGAGGCAGGTGGATCACCTGAAGTCAAGACTTGGAGACCAGCCTGGCCAACATGGTGAAGCCCCATTTCTACTGCAAATACAAAAAAAATTAGCCGGGCATGGTGGCAGGCACCTGTAATCCCAGCTACTTGGGAGGCTGAGGTGGGAGAATTGCTAGAACCCTGGGGGCAGAGGTTGCAGTGAGCTGAGATCACGCCACTGCACTCCAGCCTGGGAGACAGAGCAAGAGACTGTGAAAAAAAAAAAAAAAAGATGTGCCTAAGACTGGGTAATTTATAAAGGAAAGAGGTTTAATGGACTCACAATTCAGCATGGCTAAGGAGGCCTCACAATCATGGCAGAAGGCAAAGGAGAAGGAAAGTCACGTCTTACATGGGGGCAGGCGAAAGAGAGATTGTGCAGGGGAATTCCCATTTTTAAAGCCATCAGATCTCATGAGACTTATTTACTACCATGGGAACAGTATGGGGGAAACTGCCCCCATGATTCAGTTATCTCCACCTGGCCCCACTCTTGACATCTGGGGATTATTACAATTCAAGGTGAGATTTGGGTGGGGACACAGCCAAACCATATCACTCACCATTAATGCTATCAACACCTTCTTAAATATATTCCAACAATTTAAATAAAATAGCTTTATTGACTTCCATAAAATAGTCCAATGGCAATAAAACATCAGGACTCTTGAAATGAATTTCGCACATTCAATTCAATCTCAGTGGTTAAGTGTGAAATTTATTACTATTGTTACTCATGATCAATTAATAAAATAATTTCAATATTCGTATTTGTAGCTACTATGCAAAGAGCAGCTTCCATATTCCAGGCACTACGACAGGCCCTTTCCATTGAATCCAAAAGAAGGAAGATGTCTCAAAGGGGCACAAGGACACTTTGCACAGCATAATTCAAATAGTGGCTAATGTTCTTAAGATTTAATGAGGACTATCTAGAGTCTCCTATCCCACCTTTTGTGAGAATTTCAATTGACCCAAGATTTCTGGAAACCCCAGAACTTCATGTTCTACTGGTCATCTGTGGCTCTGAGCTCCCGCTTCTGTAGGAAATATCTCCTTCTCCATTCACGGACAATAACTATTCTATGTGCTGACTGAGATGAGCAACACAACTTGTTCTCCTTGATTTCCCCAAAGCCTCTTGATATCAGACATTGGCAGGTGCTGGGACTTGCAAACACACTTGTGATCCAGAGGGTTTTAAGTCACAGCAACAAAAATGACCTGATTATCAAGAGTTCTAACACATTTTCTTTTTTTACAAAAAAAAAAATAAGAAAAGTAAGAGAGAAAAAATCTACATCTTCTCCCAGAACACTGAAATGTAACATGTTGAAGTGTTATCAAGGAGCTTTGAAACGCCTCCTGCACTCTCTCTCCAGCGGATTTATAGACCATCTCATGTAATAATCTGTCAATAAGTTAAATTCTGAAAGCTCATTTATTATTATTTTTTCTCTACCAAATATCCTCTCCTCTCTCCATATTTCCTTAGTGACTAAAGAAACTCCAGATTCACCATTGGATTTCCTGATTTAATCCCCAGCTTGAGACTGCATAGTCTTTACTGCTTAATTGTCTAAGAGAGATGGCAAAGAGTAATTCATCAAGCTGATATCAACTGAGGAGCACAGATTTCCATGGGCATCCTAATAAACTAATATGTGTTTGTAAAATGTGTGTTATTATATGCATACATTCCATTACAACACTGAGAGCTAACTGTCTTCATTTTATCAGATAATTAAAATCAGTTTCAGAAATGTTACATAACCAAGGCCGTTCAGTAAGAAAATGCTGGAGGAATCTGAAGTAAGTCTACTGATTCCAAATGTATCACTTTTTCCATCATGCAGAATATTAGCCCACACTCTATGGCCACTTATGAATCAGTCCTTAAAACAAGATGGCATACTTCTCCTTCAGAAGCGAGTGTCACGTAGCTTACTCTGTGTCATGGCAGAAGCCATGAAAATTACCTTATCCTTAAAATAGATTACAGCCCAGTAGTACTGAGTGACTTTCCCCCTAATTAACAAAGATAATCAGATGTCCCACCTCAAGTCCTTACCTAGACTTGTGGTGGAGACAATGGTTCCTAACGCTACATAATAAATTGTCTGTTGTTATAGATACTACATATTTACAAAGTATGGATATCTCAGACCACAGAGGAAAGATTCTTAGCAGGAACAACAACAACAAAACTATATTTAAATGTTGTCAAGATTAAAAAATAATATGCAATATTTATCCTTAGCGATGAAATACTAATAAGTAGATTTTACTAGCTAACAAGTTATATGTCAGAGTTTAACAACATCTATGATTTGGAGAAGACCTTAGTTCATTTAGTTAAATCTTCACTCTAATTTAAGTCCCTCACAGATATTCATTCAGATTCTCCTTGCTTAATTCTAACATCTAGGACTTCGCTACTTCTCTCTTTGAATTTGTGGGTAGCTCTGACATATACACACACACACACACACACACACACACACACACACACACACACCACAGATCCTTTCCAACTTTTTTCGTACCCTAGTATCCTATGTTTCATATGGTAGTTAGAAAAGGATAATATATTTTGAGCATGCTGTGCAAGGCAATGGACGAAGCCAGTGCAAAGAGCTTACCCAGCCACACCCCAGGCTAAAAAGAATTGCATCTCAGCACATTTACTGACAAGCGATGGTACATCTCTGTGCTGCCACCCACTGGTCAAAAGGTCTGTCATTGATTACTGTTTGTCAGTGAATTTCCCAAAGAGACAGCAGCAACTGGCCGTACTTGAGAGTACTTCCCTAAATTTGTCATTTGCTGGCATCTTTGAGACCATTTTTTCCATTAAAAAAAAGTCTACCTTATGAACACATCCCAGAGGCAGATCTGCAGTGAAACTTGCCATTGTCACTAGCAATGTAAACCCCAAACCTATTTGTTCCTTCCAAATATATGGGGGGCTACTTAAGTCTTTGAGTTATTCCTTTCAGGCTTAAAGTTCCTCAAGTTTGTAACTGAGATTCATATCTGGCACAAGACAGAGACCTGCCTCTCCTAAATTTTGACGCTTTATCCTAAGCTCTTCTCAGTTGTACAACAGTTATTGAACAAAAGTTTGGTTCTTCTTTTGCATAACCATATTTGAAGACAGCTCCTACAGCCCCCCTTCCTGTCTCACCCGACCACCCACAATTTGCAAGCCAAGCATCATTGATTTTCCCACCTGCAACATATGTAACTTGGTTTCTATATTCTTCACAGGTGTGGGTATGCTGCCGCGACTCATGTTTGGGAGCTTATTTTGTCTACTGACTAAATATATTGCTAATATTTTTAAATATAATATTTACATATTTTAAAATGTGTTGTTGGTCTGCCATGGAATTTTTTTGATGTTCTTAGGCTCTGGTCTAGCAGTTCATTTCAGTGTTACCTCAGCTCACTATTCTGCCTATAGTCAAAAAAGTCAGAAAACATCAAGTGTTGGCAAGGATGTGAAGATATTGTAATCCTCATAAAATACAGAAACAGCCTGGCGGTTCTTCAGAATGTTAACCTAGTGTTGTCATGTGACCCAGCATTTCCACTCTTAGGTTTTTATTACCCAAGGGAAATAAAAACATATGTCCACACAAACTTGTACACAAATATTCACAGCAACACTATTCCCAATAGACAACAAGTGAACACAACCCAAATGGCCATCAATGAATGACTGCATAAATGAAATGAGGTGTATCCATACAGTGGAATATTATTTGGCAGTAAAAAGTAATGAAATCCCGATGCATGCCACAACATGAATGAAACTTGAAACATTATGATAAGCAATATAAGCCCTTTAGAAAAGACCATATATTTATAATTCCATTTACATAAAACAATCAGAATAAGAAAATCTGCAGAAGCAGAAAGTATAATAGTGGTTTCCTGGAGTGACTGTGACTATACCAAAACCACATAAAAAAGGGAACAGTATGGTATGTGAGTAAATCTCAATAAGCTGTTTTTTTTTAAATTCACCCCAGGCTACATAGAATCGTAAGACTTAGAAGTAGAGAAAATGGTCTAACATGACTGATTTTTTATAAACATGGAAAAAATGAGTGAATTGGTTATCTACTGCTGTGTAACAAACCACCTCAAGATTTACTGACTTGAAATTACAACCACCATCTGCTTTGGTCCTCTATCTCCAAATATCAATGAGGACAGATGGCCTCTGCTTCACACAGCATTAGCTGGGGCTCGGGGCTCCACTGCTGATGGCTCACTGGAAAGGTTGCTAAGTCAGTGCTGGCATCAGCCAGGAGTTCAGATGGTGCTGCATGCCTGGAGACTGCGTGCCTGTCCACATGGCCTCTTTACAAGTGTCTTGAGCATGTTCACCTCATGGTGACTGGTTTCTAAGAATGAGCATCTCAGAAGAACTAGGCAGGAGGTCTACTTCCCTGTAGCCCTGGTCACATGCATTCCCTTCCACCATAGTCCTAAGCCTAACTGGAATGAAGAAGAGGAAATATGGAGCTCGTCTATCAACGGGAGAGGATCAGATTCTCATCACAAGAAGGATGGGAGACATAGGAAATTGTGATCTAGCACTCTGAAACAAGACAACTTACCATAGTGAGTTTTAGGCTAAGTTTATTGTCACAATTCCCCTGTTTACTTCGCCTTCCTGCAATCTTTATTTGTGGTCCACATTTCTAACAAAACCACCTATTTACTCACTTCCTGTGTTGATGAAAAATATATTCATATTTTACATTTTAGTGAGGTAGCTTTCAATAATAGACTGCTTTAAGACACCATTTTCACAGAGTTTTCTCCTAAGAAGATGCTGAAAAGTAAACCCTCACATGAGCCAGGGACAAGAATGAAGAATTTGCTATAACAGTACTTAAATTTTTCAACACAAATCCTCCCAGCATTTTCTTCTATGAAGATTCTATTTCCCGTAAACTGAAGAGAAGACTGAAATTAATGGTTACACAGTTGCAGGTAAGTATGCTTTTTGTCTCTCTTGGAACCATCTACACAAATGTGCTCAAAAGGAAATGTGCTAAAATAAAAAAGTGCCAACAATAAAAGAACTACTCATATACAACACTGTATAAGTCCATTCTCATGCTGCTATGAAGAAATACCTGAGACTAGGTAATTTATAAACGAAAGAGGTTTAACTGACTCCCAGTTCCACAGGGCCTGGGAGGCCTCAGAAAACTTACAATCATGGTAGAAGGGGAAGCAAACATGTCCTTCTTCACATGGTGGTAGGAAGGAGAAGAATGACCAAAGGTGGGGGCGGAAAGCCCCTTATAAAACCATCAAATCTTGTGAGAACTCACTCACTATCACAACAACAGCAGGAGGGTAATTGCCCCCATGACTCAATTACCTCCTACCAGGTCCCTCCCATGACACATGGGGATTATGGGAACTACAATTTGAGATGACATTTCGGTGAGGACACAGCCAAACCATATCAAACACATATGACATGCCACCATTAAACATAAAAATAAATAGTAAACACAAAAAATTACTTCAAAATCTGTAATGATTAAAACATTTTAATATGACAACATCAAGAGTTTCATCAAGCACAAATATGTGAAAAATCTCCCAAACACAAAAAGCATACAAAATAAGCACTAAAACAAATAATTGGATTTTTCTGAGACTCTGGGGAACAGCATGCTTTCAAACAGCAGTTAAAAATCACTGAAGATTTTCAACAAATATGATAAACTTGGCATAATTGTATACAAACAAAAATAATTAAGTGTATTTTTATGTTTTTTATGTGTAAAGTTGCTGATTCATGTACTAATATGGTAGGTTTTTTTTCCTCTTAACTAAAACAAGGTACACAGTCTAGTTTCAAAAAAAAAGACAAAGACACATTTTATTAATGAAGGATATAGTTGAGTAAATAAGCCTCATATTAAACTGAAAATATCTCATTCCACCTGATTAAATGAGTTTTGATTGAGGTTGTTTATAGAAAAAATTGCAATTTGGGGGCCTAGGATTCATCAGTCAATGGGCACATTCTGAAGCGATATGCAGGCAGCCCAAATGGAAGATCTAGACCCAATACAACCATTAAAGTAAGGGAAAAAGCATATGATCAATGTAACACTGGAAATGAGACCCCTGCACCATAAAAGTGACTAAGGACTTTTACCACAATTAAGCAACGCATTTACTTTTGTGCTAAAATAAAATGGAAAAAGACAGTAAGTTCATTCCTAAGTCATACTCTCAATACAAATATACTAAACACCTCCTCCATGGCTGGCACTGCTCCAAGAGCTGGTGACCCAACAGTAAGGAGGGGAGACAAGGCCACATCCCCATCCAATAAGCTTAGGTGAGAGTTAGAAAAATATTACAGTTATTGGGCCGGGCGTGGTGGCTCATGTCTGTAATTCCAGCAGTTTGGGAGGCCGAGGTGGGCAGATTACAAGGTCAGGAGATCGAGACATTCCTGGCTAGCACAGTGAAACCCTGTCTCTACTAAAGATACAAAAAATTAGCCGGGCGTAGTGGCGGGCACCTGTAGTCCCAGCTGCTCGGGAGCTGTGGCAGAAGAATGGTGTGAACCCGGGAGGCGGACCTTGCAGCGAGCTGAGATCACACCACTGCACTCCAGCCTGGGCGACAGAGCAAGGCTTCATTTCAAAAAAAAAAAAAGTATTACAGTTATGCAGTTATTAATTATTACCAGTAGTAAGAGTAATATGTCTATTACTGAAACGGTTCATTTATATTAGATCAGTTGACTATAGTTAACTATTGAAAGGTTTTCAATGTCAGTAAACAAACCAGTAAAGCTCCTAGTATGGTAATTTCTTATCTTGGGTCTCCATAAAGACAGAGTCACCAAATCACTGCAGCATTATTCAAGCCGTGTTCTTGGGGGGCATTCCAGTGGAGGGATGAGGTGTTGTTTTCAATATGAGCAGAGCTCTCAAAAGTGAGAGGATTTACACTCTAGATGATTCATTTGAAGAATAAATTGCCTCTGGCTTTTGACAGGAGGTCTCTATTAGGCAATTTCAGGTCTCTGAACAGTATCTCAAGTGTGTGGTATTATTTAACAAAATAATTTAATAAAAGTGGCTGTTTTGTTAATAGGTGGGCTGGATTCCAAGCTTATCTATTTCGGTGGAGGGTTTCTCCTCTGTTGTGGAGGTGGTGGGCATGGGTGCTGGCCAACAGTGCTACAGTGGTATTTCAAAAGTTCTGAATCAAATAAAAGACTTAAACACCTTTGGTTGATATCCCAGAGTTCTACTTTTCAGAATAGAAGATACGGCAGTGTCAAAACTATATGTGGAATTGTTTGTGATTTCCTATAAAAACTATGGACTAGACTTTTATGTAATTTTAATTTTTAATTTGAGCATAATTTCTTTATCACTCCAAGATGTGTAACTTGCGAAAATGCATCCCCAAATGACTAAATCTATTGACTTGGGGAATGAAGCTATTTAGCAATGTCTCCCTAGATGTTGAAGATTACCTGTCAAAAGTGATTTTTTTTTTTGCCTTATTGATATTGAGTTGTTCTTTCTCACAGTAATTAGGCAAGTGGCCCAGCTGCTTCCTGAGGCTATGAGTAGAATATGAAAGTCAGAACTTGTCCTTAGTGAAAAAGGAGGATGCTAATCTTCACTTTTCCATGGGAGGCCACAGAGCCAGCTCATTTAGAGCCCAGGGCATGAACTTGCACGTGCGTTTTATGATTGCAGCCCAGTGACAGCAACTTGAACATGATCGATGGGCTGCCTCAGGCATGTTTACCTGTGTCACTGATGCATGCTAGAGATAACTCCAGTCCAGGCCACTGATGCCCAGCAACAGAAATTTTCAACTAAAGTAAGAATGTGTCTAACCCACAGTATTCCCTTCCTGTCACATTTTCTCTACAGATACAATTAACTAAAAAATAAGGTATAGTTGTTCCTTAAATTATTTGTATTTGGGTTATTAGTGATTCCTTTTAAAAATACATTGCGGATCAAATTAAATATATTGCAGATCAAATTAATGTATAAATTTCCCTATTCTCTTCTCCTCGTTAAATAAGAGACTGGCAGAGAATACTATCTAACTTGACCTTAGCAAAACCTTGGTCATAGAAAAATATTTTTCTTCAGAAAAATATCAGACAACACATTGTAGGCCTATTATTTTATCTAAATGATGAGGTTGTGTAGTGTAGTGGGGGGGAAAAGCACTGAATTTGAAGTAAAACATAAAGTCTCAGTTTCTTGATCATAAAACATATTGAGCAAAATAATCATTAGAGGAAAAATATATGATTTAATTATATATCTGAGGAAATGTTTCACATGTACATTTTATAGAAATACATGTTTTACAAAAATATGTAAATTAAAGGAATTTATTGTCTGTTCTTTTTAAAAAACGTTTTTGAGATACTATTGAACATTGTTTCCTTGCTCTAAAATAATTCCTGTGTTTTTCTTGACTATTCCTACTATATCTGGTTCCATTTCTCTGAAAAAATCAACATTTTTCCCATGAGCTTCCTCTAGAATATTCTATGGGTTAATTTCTTGCTTTGTGCAAACCATGCACAGCGCACTGACTATTTTACCCCAGGAGCCCCTGCTTTGTTGGCCTGCCAGTGGCCCTTTTCAGTAATTAATGATGACATATTTTCCAAGCGAATTTTTAAGAGTCTTGAATCTTTTTTTTTCAAACCTTTGCTCCAGGCAGTGTCTGTCAAAGCAGACCCAATGATTAATGTACAAGGAAGTGTGACATGTCACTTCTTTTCATACTGTGAAAATGGAATCAATCTAAGATCAACAAAGGTAAAAATGTGAAATACAATTATATTAAATAATTCACAGTGAATCTATATCACATACTCATTAGAAACATGTTTGAAATAATATTAAATGATATGAAAAAATACTCCTCATAGAAGGTTAAATGTACAAAGAAGAATAAAATATTTATAAAGCAAAATGAAAATTTTGTACAGATAATCTTATATTCATATAAAAAGTCTGGAAGGAAATCTCCCTAAATATTTGCAGCTACCTCTGTTTGTGGTGAATTTTCAAAATAAAAAAAACCCAATTCATTTATTTTTCCTATCTAATGTTTTAAACTTTTACACAACATGCATGAATTACGCCTTTATAGTGGAAAATTCATAAAAATTACTAAAACACCACATTTTACATATTCAGTATGATTTTACATATGAATATTTAACAATGAGTTGTAGTAATAAATATGACAGAAGCGTTAGAAGCACTATATTGTCATGTTACAAAACCCCACATACTAAAGGCTTATTTTCTAATCTAGCATATAACACCCTAGTCTCTTTTTTTCCCTTGATAGCTCCAGTGCTCTGTAAACCCAACAACTAACACTATTAAATAGAACAGAGCATAAAACAATCAAATGAGTTAATTCTTGGAATGGAGTTTGAAATTATCAAAAGGACAGATAGGTATATAAGTGTCCTGAGAAGAGTTATAAACTGAAACTAAGGAAAATATTAAGTTTCAGGGGGAAAAGTCAAAATAACTTAGAGTAACTAACAGAATACACATAAGAGAGCATCAGGAAGCAGGGGTGGAGAGACAGAGATGATCTATCCAGAGTTCTAGAATTATTCACCCATAACTGGAACTCCCAGCACACATTCCCAAGACTTGAATAAGTAGTTTATGATTTGTTTCTCCTTGATTTATAGTTTTATTTATCATTTTTCTGATGCACAGGGTTAACAAGTAAACAAATACACTTCAAATGCAGGTGGTCCCATCAATCTCATGCTACCTGAGCATCCCTTTCCTTCATACATGAACTTCATAACTTTACATACACACTCATTTTCTTTCTTTACCCTCCTGGAACTCTAAACACCCCATCTGGTCAATCTATCTACAATCCTTCCATCCTGTACGTATGAAACTCACAAGGCTTTCTGATCCTTGCTCCCCCTTCCTTGTTATAAACCATATCATGTGTCATGACCCAGTTCCACGGACTCCTAGCTTGCACCTTTATCTCTCAATTCACAGCTTCAAACAGATGATCACTATTCCTAATACAGCTGAGTTTCTGCAACAAAAGTTAAAGGAAATGCATGCTTTTTTTTTCATTTCTAATCCACCCTGGCTTGAAACAAGAAATAAAAATTCAGCAATCACGTAATTCTCACTTAAATTTTGATATGTGGAGAAAGTTCAACTGGTAGCACTATGCTATGGATAATTCTTCCCTTCTCTGACTAAACGAATATAAACTTCACTGGTCTTTGCAGATAATCCTCTATCTTCTTGACCTTTCCTAAGGTGTTATAACTTCTGCTTTTTCTTGGATGATAATTTTGTCATTAATTTCATAAAATGCTTTCCCAAAATACCATCCGAAATTTGATTAATAGTTATAGGTCATTTCCCTAACAACACATTGTGTTATCAGAAATTATTGTTGCACATTATAGTAACACCAATAATGCTGAAAGATTTAGCAACGATATGTGGCACTGGAAGAAAACTAATTAAGGGAGTATTTTATAATGAACTTCTTCCAAATAGTATTCTTGTTATATATAGAGTTAAGTTACTTTTGAAATTCTAAATGTAGAAGCTGAATAAAAAGGAAGGCATGCTATCCTCACAAGAGATGATGTAAAAGATCTAGTTTCTTTAGATTTTAAATGAATCTTTTTAAATTCTTCCTTGTGGCTTCATATGACACAACATATATAAAGTACTCAGTGTCGTGGTTTGCCCCATAGTGAAAGCCCAGAAATGTCAGCTGGGCACGGTGGCTCACGCCTGTAATCCCAGCACTTTGGGAGGCCGAGGCTGGTGGGTCATGAGGTCAGGAGTTTGAGACCAGCTCGACCAACATGGTGAAACCTGTCTCTACTGAAAAAAAAAAAATAGCCAGGCGTGGTGGCGCATGCCTGTAATCCCAGCTATTCAGGAGGCTGGGGCAGGAGAATCACTTGAACCTGGGAGGTGGAGGTGGAAGAGGTTATGGTGAGCCAAGATCGCACCACCGCACTCTAGCCTGGGCGACAGAGCGACACTCCATCTCAAAAACAAAACAAAACAAACCCACAGAAATGTCTTACTCTTACTTTCCTATATTTTGTACAATAAGAAAAACTAAAAGGAAGAGAATGTCTGTTTTGCTACCTTTGAATCACCAATATCCTAAATAATGGTACTCAAAAAATCCTCTAAAATCAAGAATACGGTTTATAATGATTGTGAAACTAAAAGAACAATGAAAATTAGTGTAACAATAGAGTATCTGGAGTTACAAATGCTCTCAATTTCAAGTTTATTTTTAGTCTGTAAAAATCATCTGGGGTTTGATAATATATTGACTAAAGAGTTTCCTGAAATTTTCATCTATATTTTTTTCTATTTTAAAACTCTTTACATATGGTTGTCTTATATTTTTAACTCCACTGCTAACTACTTGAAGGCCAATTCAGATAAAAATTTTAAGAAACAACTTAGCTTTCACTCTACAGATAATATTCTAGACTTGAGGAAAAAAATAAGGAACCTTTAAGAATGATTTAGGATACAAATCCCCTAATGAAGGATAAGATTGGTTGTTTGCATCAGGACATCCCCAAAAAGCTCATGGAATCTGCTGCTTTTTGATTTATGCTTTCACCTAGGCAGATGCTGCACGTGGGACCTAATTCCCAGCTTCTGACTTGGGCACCTGGGGCTTCTCTATCTCAAGTTTCCAGAACACATTTGCATCCCTCCCCAAATTACTTATGTGCCACCAAAAAAAAAAAAAGTCATCTTTGCTGCCCCAAAATGAATAATACATTTTTTAATTCCTCAGAAAAAAAACTTTTCACAGTGATATAGTTTGGCTGTGTCCCCACCCAAATCCCCTATGTCTTCAGTCTGTTTCCACCTCCATCTAACTGTAAAACACAAATGCTAATCAATATTAATAGTTTGATTTGTTTCCTTCTATACTTTTCTAGATGCTCATAAATATGTATAAACCAAAAACATATCTAATGTTCTGAGTTTTTAAAAACAGGATAATACCATACTATGTAATTTCCTTTCTAAAATTCTCATGGATTTTTTCCCCAAAGATTAAACATATAGCCCCAACTCATTTTTACTAATGACTGCATAATATTTATAGAAAGAATATAACATTTTCAACTCTTCACCAAGCCATCCGTATTTTTGGCTATTTCAAATAATTTTATAATAAATTTCGACACACATAAAATCTTACCTATTTAGTCACTAATTTCTACAGAATATATATCTAAATGACTAAATCAATGGTTATTGAACATTTTAAATGTCAATGCATAGAAACAAATCATTTTACCAAAAAATTATAGCAATTTATATTCCCATTTGGAGTGAAAAAGAATGTGGATTCCTCCAAGCCTTAACTCTTACCTAGCATACAATATAAACTACTTTTCAACAGCTGTCTACCTGGTAGATTAAAAATTAGTTTTATTTTCACTTAAAATTGTATGTCCCCAATGGGTGCATTAGAGTGGACATTTCTAAACATTCATTACTTGCTTGCATCTTTCTTCTGTTTATATCTTTTGCCTAGTTTTGTATTCGTTTATTTCTCTTTTTCTCACCAACATTAGGAAGTCTTCATATATTAATTTTATCAACATGTTATTATACTTGTGGCACATATTTTCTCTTGGACTATTTTTCTTTGCTATTTTGAGTTGTGTCTTGCTATTACTAGTAGTATTCATATTGTGAAACTCATCGACCACTTATGTATGGCTTCTGGACTTCCTCTCTTGTTTAAAACTTTGCTTACCTTTAGTTTACAAAGCTCCTTCCCCAGAGTTTCTTCTAATATGTTGATGGTTTTATTTTTACAGTTACCATTTTTTTCCCTGTGAGATTTATTTCTCTTTATGCTGTAAGTTAACAGTTCTAATTTTCTTCCAGATGTCGAGTCAGTTATGACAACACCACGTAAGCCTCTTCTTTGTAATGAATTGAAACACGAACTTTAAGTGAATAGGCATATATGTATATTTGAATCTGTTTTGAACCCTCAGTTATGTTTTACACAGAGACCATTCTTTTTTGGGCCCATTGGGTACTACTGTGATTGGTAAGATTGGTAAGATAAAATCTCTCAAAACTTTCCTTGCATTCTCATATATTTATACTTCCACCGGTCTTTAAAATAGTTTGATCCAGTTTGCCAAAGAAACAAACAACCAGCCACAGGCTTCTGATTACAGCTGCCTAAATTTTATATCCTAATTTGGGAGACAGTAGTATTGTGATGATACTAAGCTTTTCAACAGAGGAGCATGCCATGCCTTTTTATTCATTCTGAATTACTTTATGTCCTTGTGATAAAACAATTTTCAGCAGACAGGTCTTGCCTTTTTGTTACATTTGTTCTTTCTGCTTTAAATTTTCTTACTACTCAGAAGTTAGTAGCCTAGCAAGACTTCCAGATCACACATGAATAAGAAAGCACGACATAACCCAACCATAACAAGGTAGTGTATTGAGGATGGGGAGTGGTATTAACCCCCTTGGTGGTCCCTTTTTCCATTTCCCCTAAAACATAATCAGAAAACTCTCAAGAGTGAGCTTTGGAAAGCAAACTAATCAAGGAGCACAGCCTAAAGCTCAACCCAATTTCCTGCTTACTGACTATTTTCACAAACTAGAGTATCCACTCAATCTATTCAACTCTCCCTTGAGTACCTACTTAGCTGAACACTTCCTGACCAGATGGCACACTTTTGACTGATAGCATCATTGATCCCTTCGGTCAGTGGGTTGACTGTTTAGGTGGTTTCCCACTCTTACCTAAATCAGTTTCCACTCATGAAACAGAATCAGTTTCCTCTAGAGCCCTTCTTCTTTTTGAATAGCGTTACTATTCTTAATTGCTCCCATTTTAGGCTCTCGCTCTGCTGAGATGTTCCTGGAGTCAGGTAAGTTGCCAATTCAGCATCACCAAATCACATAACCCAAACGCGGCAGGCTTTTTTACTTAAAATTTTAAAAACCGTTATACTTTCTAGCACATGTTTAGAAGAAGCAGTAACTAAAAGAATCTTGATCGTCCAGCTCTCTTTATTTACTACTTTTTTATTTACAAGAAACATGACTTTTATAAAGTGACGTTTTAAATCTAAGGTTCAGATTTTATTTACTTATGCATTTTTTGGCAAAGTAACATTGGAGGAAGAATCGTTCAGACTTTCATTAGTTCGAGAAGGAAATTTTAGACTACATCCTTCCAGATCCATCTCAGAAAACACTGGAAAAACCAATTTGCCTTGACTTTGATGTGATATTCATTTACTGTCATATATATTTTTAACCTCCCGGATATATTTTAATTTTTCATTAGATTTTATCTTTTCTAAGACTAATTATTTCACTTTGTATGTTTAATAGTATTAAATGTCAGGTCCATCAATTAATCTGCCAAAACTTCACCCATAGGAAATTTTGATTATAAAGTTGTTTTTCTTCCCCTATAAAATATCTTTTCAAGGAAGGCTGCCCAAAACATGGAGTCAAAAGGAATTATAACCATATTACAATATTATTTATATAATAAATACCAACACTCTGCTACATGAGTATGAGTTTCTTTTAACATAATTTAATCTTTAACGTTCATCTAGAAAAACAATTTTTAAAATGTCCCCAAACGCATATCACAAAAATGGGAATGTTTCTACCTGTTCTTTGACTGAGGCGAGGATGGCAGAGGTGGTTTCTGTTTCAGAGCCATCCCCGTTGGAGGTGTTTAAGCCGGGGCTCAGGGAACTCGTCTTCTCTGAGGCTGATGAAGGCTGGTCTGGAACAGGCATAGCTCCTGCAAGGCAAGAGGACATGATCAATACAATCAGATGTTGACACTAAACAGGTACAACTATCAGACCACTTTGAAGATACACACAGAAAAAAAAGTAAAACTATAAGCTGCTGAGAAAGACCAAGACATAATTATAGAACGGGAGTAATACAGTAAAGTAAAGTAACAGTACAAGTAAACAGAATGTTTTATTCTTTTATCAACTCCAACCAAATTCCAGAACACACTCACACTTTCTGTTTTGTCTTTGAGGTAAATGGGGAAAGAAATCATCAGAAGGAAAAAGAAGGAGAGACTATAAGAATAAAGTAATAAAGAAGTATTGAGTCTAAGAAGCTAGTCCAACTATAAATTTATGACTATTTTAGGTAAATTTATTACCTGCCTATTGGTATATGTGCTGTTATTACATGTTTCCTCCTTGGTTCCTGGCTCATATCTCCCATAACCCCCGTTATAGTCTTGTGATGGTACTGGGTGTGTCAGGTCTCAGGAGCAGGCCTCAGAAAGCAATCTCTCTGACCTTCCCCTGCCCTCCTTTTACCTGCTCTAAGGCAGGACTCTAATCCTCCCTGCCTCCTTTCTGATTGTGGGTCATAAGATCCTCATTCCACAGAGGGTCCTGCCCCCTACGTCCTGGGGAAAAAAATGCTGATGTCAAGAAGCCTCCATAAAACCCCAGAGGACTGGGTTCGTAGAGCTTCTGGAGAGCTAACCACCTGGAGGTTCCTGGAAAGTGGCACATCGGGAGGGCTTGGAAGCTCTGCACCTCTTCCCCCATAACTCGCCCTATGCATATCTTCATCTGTATCCCTTGTGATATCCTCTGAAATAAACGTGTATACATATGTGTTTCCCTGAGTTCTCTGAGCTGCTCTGGCAAATTAATAGAATCCAACCCAGGGACTGTGGGAACCCCAGCTGAAGCCTGTTGGTCAGAAGTTCTGAGGCCTGGACTTGCAATTGGTATCTGGGGGGATGAGACAGTTTTGGGGACTGAACCCTCAACATGTGGGCTCTGACACTCTCTGAGAGTGGATAGTGTAGTAGATAGTGTCGGACTGATAGAGTAGATAGTGTCAGAACTGAATTAGAGGACACCCAACTGTGTCTGTTGCTTGGCGTGTATGGGAAAAAACCCACACATTTGGTCACAGAAGTCTTCTGTGTTTGTTGTTGTTGTGTGAGAGTAGAAGAAAAATAGAGTTTGAGAGGGTTTTTCCCAAAACAGAATATTTTCAACTCAAAAGAAAATCTATCAGACATTCCCCTTTGCAAGAAAATCATACAGAAGCCATGATTAATAATTTACCAATAATTAAAGAGATACCTGAATTAACATAAGAAGCTTAGTTAGTATTGTGAAATACAGTCAATAACTAATCTACTCCACAAATATTTACCAAGTTCCTAGTCCATGACAGACAGCAGACAAAAACTGGCAAGGCCATTTGCCATAGTTGATTTTGTCTGAGTTTATTTGTGAAAGAAAGCAGAAACTCAAATAACATTAGACCCAATGCATAAGTGGATGCATATGTACAGGTTAAAAACAAGATTCTCAGAATTGTTCCCATCTTTCCCGCACAAACAAATGAGATTGCTGTGGTCTGAATGTTGATGTCTCCCAAATTCATACGCTGAAATATTAATACCCAAGGTGATGGTACTAGGAGGAGGGGCCTTTGAGAGGAGATGAAGTCAAGAGGGTGGAGCCCTCATAAATAGGATGAGTCCTTATAAAAGAGGCCTGAGAGAGACTTCTCTACCCTCCCACGATGTGAGGGCACAGCAATAAGGCATCATCTATAAACCAGAAAGTCGGCCCTCCCCAGACACTAAATCTGCCAGGACTTAATCTTTTGCTTCCCAGCTCCAGAACTTCAAGTTAATTTCCATTGCTTATAAGGAGCCAATTTATGGTGTTTGGTTACTCTGGTCCCCAAGAGAGCAGCCATGACCTTGTATCGCCACCTCTCTCCATGTCCAATGGTTCACAAGGGACTTTATGCAAGGTGATATGGTTTGACTATGTTCCCCAACAAATCTCATCTTGAATTGTAGCTCCCAAAATCCCCACATGTAGTGAGAGGGACCAGGTGGGAGGTAATTAAATCATAGGGGCAGGTTTTGCCCATGCTGTTCTCATGACAGTGAATAAGTCTCAAGAGATCTGTAGCTCAAATGAACTTAAAAAGGGACTGAAGTATTTGTTACATGTATCATCTAGCAGTGATCAACAGAGAAAGCAATAGTTAACTGAGGATATTTACCAAGGCATTACAAAACCCCCATCTCAATAAAAGACTGAGAGTAAACAGAAATTATTTTCTTGCCTAAAGCTATTACATTACACATCCCTCCAGGAACCAGGGTTGTGTAAATATTAAAAGATATTTTCTATTATACCATATCTAAGCATCCTGGGTTTTACATTAAGAGATGTGATTTCCACAGTAGCCTTTGCCCTAAGTTATTACGTATGTCTAGTTAATAATTTAGAGATATTCCAACCTAAAAAGGCCCCATTACAGAATTTTACTTAAAATATATGTTAAGGAAAGCAGTCATCCAAATTTCCTATTGAACATTTCATCTAATTTTTTATTTGTTTTAATTTTATGAAGTACTTATAATAATATCACCAATGGGGATTGGAATAGCACTGAAAAAGTAAATCTGTTACAAACAGAATATGTGAGAAGGAATAATAATATCACCAATGGGGATTGGAATAGCACTGGAAAAGGAAATCTGTTATGAACAGAATATGTGAGAAGGTTTGGGGAAATAATATCAACAAAACAAAATTTGAGCAAAGAGTTAGAATCAGATTAAATATGATTTGGCAAAATGCAACCACAGCTAAAAAGATTAAAGTATTGAAGGTGATGAATACCAACAGGATGACAGAAAGAGATTTGCGTAATTATGGTGGTGTGTTAGGAAGAACATAATAAAGCATATTTATGTATTCAACATGCTTTCTCATATGGTTTTCTTATTCGATCAAGTCTCTTAATTATGTAAAATGTAAACAACCAGTTCAGCAAATGTTGTGCCCAGATAAAGAGTGGAACCTATGAATTTCCAGCTAGGGAAGGTTTCAGAGATGGTGAAAGAGCAGAAAGTAAGAAGGAAGGACAATGCAGCTCTTGTGTGCACAGTCACCTCTGGTCCCTGAGAAAGCCGCCGTGACCTTCTATTGCCACCTCTCTCCATGTCCATGGGTTCACAGGGGACTCTATGCAAGGTGATATGGTTTGGCTATGTCCCCCGACAAATCTCATCTTGAATGGTAGCTTCCATAATCCCCACGTGTAGTGAGAGGGACCAGGTGGGAGGTAATTAAATCACGGAGGCAGGTTTTGCCCATGCTGTTCTCATGATAGTGAATAAGTCTAATGAGATCTGATGGTTTTAGGAAGGGCAGTTCCCCTGCACGTGCTCTCTTGCCTGCCACCATGCAAGACATGCCTTTGCTTCTCCTTCACCTTCTGCCATGATTGTGAGGCCTCCCCAGCCATGCAGAACTGTGAGTCCATGAAAACTCTTTTTCTCTATAAATTACTCAGTCTTAGGTATGTCTTTATTAGCAGCATGAGAATGGACTAATACACAAGGAGCACCTCATGCTGAGAAAGGGGGACTCTTACATATTTTAAATTACCATTTTAATTTTTGTTTATTTACATTTTATTGGGCCCATGCTAATTCAGGCTCTGAGCCAGTATTCTTATCAACATATTTTTGACAAAGAAATTGTTTAAGGGCCCAAAGTTATTAAGTCACATAAGTGGGCCCAGAACTCAGGCTTTCTGCCTTTTAATTCCTATTTCAATGTCCTTTGATGTGTCAGCCTATTTCCTATAACCTGTACTGCCTCCTAATGCTACTCTACTAACTAATTTTTATAAAATGTAACTCTTTAAAAGCATAACAGTGACCTGTCATAAAAAAATATGGGATTTAATAGGCACTGAATCAAGGTTTCTCCTCCGGCACTTGACAAGTGTGACCCACACAGTATGGGGAATAATTAGGCCTGTTTATCTACCTCCTTTCTCCTTACAGCAATAACAGAAAGAGAAGTGGAATCTTCAAGGCTTATTCCACCGTACAGAGCTACCGCTACCTAAAGCAACCTCCATTCCTGAATGCAAATGACTTGGAATAATTTCCATGATTCATAATTTTTTTAATCCAAATTTAATGTAACTATTGTGTCTGGACAGAAAAGACAGTCACCCTCCAATCACAATCTTCTCAGCTCAGGTCACACAGAAGAGAGAGAGGAAACCACAAAAGACCTGCCCCAGTGAATCCCTGGATGGCCTTAGGGTAAGTATAAAAAGTGTTAAACTTCTAACTTCGCAGTAATATGGCCAAATACGTCAGTCTTAATCACAGCTAATCTACTAAAAATTAGTATTTAATCTGTGCAACCAGGAAATCTGGGAAGTATAGAGAAATAAAAAGCAAAAACCAAGAACAAAGGAAGAGCAACCACCAGCAATTCTGCCATTCCAGATAAGTAAAATTACTTTGGGATTTTGGTGATTTATTATTTCTAATATAACTTATTCTGTACAATGTTTTTTACATAATAAGGTACTAATGCAAGGTTTTTGAATTTCTTGTGGCTCAGCAACATCTCATGAACAATTTCTTATATCAACAAACATTGCTCTACAGTTTAATTACAATGAATACTCAGTATTCAATAATCTGTACATGTTGAAAGTTATCTACCTGTCTTTTATATGTGATTTTTACCCCATTTTTACATCTATGACATATTCAATACATGGGTTCCCAGCAGTAGAATTGGTAAAATAAGGAATCTGTGTATTTTTCGGCCTTTTGTTAGCCAGTCCTGCTGCCAGGCTGGTCCAGCCTACTCGCCCACTGGAAAGGTCATGAGAATGTTACCTCACCACAATGTTAACCACACGGATCTCCATTATCCTCTCAGGCTTTTGCCAACCTGATATAGAAAAATGCACCCCTTTGACTTTGTTTTTGTTTGACTGTGAGTAGAGTGCACAATTTACCCAGATTTATTCACCCTGTACAGCACTTCTTGCTACCCTTGAAGTGGTTACCATGTAAGAAGTCTTCCTACACATAGTAGAATTATAATCTGCAAATACCCAAGCTGCATTTTGGACAGACCCATCTTCCACATGAGAAAAAGAGACAGCAGTGCGGGAAGAACAGCCCTAAATTTCGGGTGGGTTCTTCTAGCAGAACTTGGTACCAACAAGTCCTATGTCCAGAAAATAATAAAACAACACCACTAGCAGTTTCAGGGTGCAAGTCACCCTGCTCTATGCCCACACATGCATGAGCAGTGTTACGGACAGAACTGTGTTCCCCAAATTCATATGCTGAAGCCTTAATCCCTATGTGACTGTATTGGAGATGGAGCCTTTAGGGAGGTGATTAAGGTTAAATGGGGTCACAGAGTGGTGGGGCCCTAATATAACAGGACTTCATGTGCTTATACGAAGAGCAAGTGGCATCAGAGGTCTCTCTTCCCCTTTGCATACACAAAGACAGAAAGCCATAAGTAGGCACAATGAGAAAGTACTGTTGACCAGCGGGGAAGAGAGGTGGCCTACTGGCACCTTGATCTTGGACTTCTGGTCTCCAGAAATATGAGAAAATAAATTTCTGTTATTTAAACCATTCAGTCTGTAGTATTGTGCTATGGCGGCACAAGCTGACCAATACAAAAAGTGTTCAATTTTCTCAACTTTCTTTCCCTTAATTCCCCTGTGGGCTGGGCATGGAGTCTTGGGAACTGACAGGAGAAAGGTAAAACATCTCTTGGTAACACCTTCATCTAAAACGAATCACAGGTCTCAGGAGGAGGCATGTGTCCCAACATTGCTTCAAATCAGCATACCGGGACAAAGCAAAGCTTACAAAGGGATGTACCCCATTGTATGAAATAAGCCTACAGAATAAAACAGTATCTTAAACACATCCATAATACTACCACTTTCATAAATGATGCAATAAGAAATTCAGAAAAATTGGCCTGCATAACAATAACAGCAAAAGCAGTTAGGCCCTGCATGCCGAGCCTTCTTTTCAGTTTGAACTCTTATAACCATAGGTAATAAGATGTTATGATGTCCAAATGAATAGTCTAAACTTTTCTTTCCCAAATAGGAGTCTCTATAAATTTACATTACACTTGGCAACATGCTAGAATCTTAACTGCATTTTGGAAGGCCAAACTCTCTAGCCGTCAATGCAGAGACAATATTCAATGTCATATTTTATTGACATCCATCACACACACACAAACACACACGTAAATTCTTCATATTTGAACTTGTTCTTTCTTTAGTCACTTTTGCATTGCAACTGATGACTTACACATCAAGACATGGTCATCTTCAACAAAATAACTGATGATGTCTGTATCACACAACCATCCAATTAAGTGATACAGCCAGCATTCTTGTGTCACTCTTACTTGGTGGTCCCCTCCTCTCCAATTTTCCAGTAAGTTCCTGTGGCCATTATATGGGTTTGCTCCTTCTTAGCTGCCCTCCCCTCTCTATAAGCCATGACCTCTTATCCTTCCAATTCTCCTCTCATTCTGTCACTCTTGGGGTCCTAGGGCCCTCAGGCTCTGAAGTCACATGCTTCAAATTCCAGCATTTCCAAACTGCAAGTATGCTGTGGGAAGCTAGAGATTTCATTAGTTAGACTTGCACTATAGCAGCCCCTACCCACACATGACTATCTACATTTTAATTAAAATAACATTAAAAAGTCAACTATTCATATATTTCAACTGCTCCAGAGCTAGAGATGGCCAGTGGGTACACTATTGAACAGTGAAAAGTGGAAGATCTCCATCACTGCAGAAAGTTCTACTGATAGCCCAAGTCTATGCCCAGTAGTAAATTCTCTGATGTAATCTTCCATCTGCAGCTGAATCCAGGCAGGAGAGGTCTTGAGATGTGGTCAGATTACCAGGATAATTGGAAGGCAGAACTGGTGGGCCTCCTGAAAGATTCTATGTGGATGTAAGCCACAGTGAGAGGAGACCAGGTGAGTCCAAGGGCTTGGCCTGAGTGACCGGCCATCAGCCAAGATGTCAAGAATGTGGGTGGAACAGACTTGGGGCAGGGAAAGGCAACCTTGCCTGCAAACTTTCAACCTGAAATCTACCTATGACTCTTATGTGCTGCTGACATCTGGGCAGCTGAGCTCTATGGCCAGAAACCACACTCTGATGTCAGTCAGGGAATGTAAAGATTGAGAGCTATTTATGACAAACCCACAGCTAATATCACACTGAATGGGCAAAAACTGGAAGCATTCCCTTTGAAAACCAGTACAAGACAAGGATGCCCTCTCTCACCACTCCTATTATAGTGTTGGAAGTTCTGGCCCGGGCAATCAGGCAGGAGAAAGAAATAACGGGTATTCAATTAGGAAAAGAAGAAGTCAAATTGTACCTGTTTCCAGATAGCATGATTGTATACTTAGAAAACCCCATCGTCTCAGCCCAAAATCTCCTTAAGCTGATAGGCAACTTCAGCAAAGTCTCAGGATACAAAATCACTGTGCAAAAATCACAAGCATTCCTATACACCAATAGAAGACAGAGAGCCAGATGATGAGTGAACTCCCATTCACAATTGCTTCAAAGAGAATAAAAAACCTAGGAATCCAACTTACAAGGGATGTGAAGGACCTCTTCAAGGAGAACTAAAAACCACTGCTCAACGAAATAAAAGAGGACACAAACAAATGCAAGAACATTCCATGCTCATGGATAGGAAGAATCAGTATCATGAAAATGGTCATACTGCCCAAGGTAATTTATAGATTCAATGCCCTCCCCATCAAGCTACCAATTACTTTCTTCACAGAATTGGAAAAAACTACTTTAAAGTTCATATGGAACCAAAAAAGAGCCCACACAGTCAAGACAATCCTCAGCAAAAAGAACAAAGCTGGAGGCATCACACTACCTGACTTCAAACTATATTACAAGGCTACAGTAACCAAAACAGCATGGTACTGGTACCAAAACAGACGAATAGACCAATGGAACAGAACAGAGGCCTCAGAAATAACACCACACATCTACAACCATCTGATCTTTGACAAACCTGACAAAAACAAGAAATGGGGAAAGGATTCCCTATTTAATAAATGGTGCTGGGAAAACTGGCTAGCCATATGTAGAAAGCTGAAACTGGATCCCTTCCTTACACCTTATACAAAAATTAATTCAAGATAGATTAAAGACTTGAATGTAAGACCTAAAACCATAAAAACCCTAGAAGAAAACCTAGGCAATACCATTCAGGACATAGGCATGGGCAAAGACTTCATGACTAAAACACCAAAAGCAATGCCAACAAAAGCCAAAACAGACAAATGAGATCTAATTAAAATAAAGAGCTTATGCATAGCAAAAGAAACTATCATCAGAGTGAACAGGCAACCTACAGACTGGGAGAAAATTTTTGCAATCTACCCATCTGACAAAGGCCTAATATCCAGAATCTACAAAGAACTCAAACAAATTTACAAGAAAAAAACAACCCATCAAAAAGTGGGCAAAGGACACTTCTTACAGGCACTTTTCATACAGGACTTTTCATACAGGCACTTCTCAAAAGACAACATTTATGCAGCCAACAGACACATGAAAAAATTCTCATCGTCACTGGTCATCAGAGAAATGCAAATCAAAACCAAAATGAGATACCATCTCATGCCAGTTAGAATGGCGATCATTAAAAAGTCAGGAAACAACAGATGCTGGAGAGGATGTGGAGAAATAAGAATGCTTTTACACTGTTGGTGGGAGTGTAAATTAGTTCAACCATTGTGGAAGACAGTGTGGCAATTCCTCAAGGATCTAGGACTAGAAATACCATTTGGCCAAGCAATCCCATTACTGGCTATATACCCAAAGGATTATAAATCATTCTACTATAAAGACACATGCACACGTATGTTTACTGTAGCACTATGCACAATAGCAAAGACTTGAAACCAACCCATATGTCCATCAATGATAGACTGGATTAAGAAAATGTGGCACATATACACCATGGAATACCATGCAGCCGTAAAAAAGGATGAGTTCATGTCCTTTGCAGGGACATGGATGAAGCTGGAAACCATCATTCTAAGCAAACTATCACAAGAACAGAAAAGCAAACACTGCATGTTCTCACTCACAGGTGGGAGGTGAACAATGAGAACACATGGACACAGGGCTGGGAACATCAACACACTGGGGCCTGTCAGGGGGCGTGGGGCTGGGGGAGAGATAGCATTAGGAGAAATACCTAATGTAAATGTCGAGTTGATGGGTGTAGCAAACCAACATGGCACATGTATACTTACATAACAAACCTGCACGTTGTACACATGTACCCTAGAACTTAAAGTATAATAAAAAATAAATTGTCTTATATATTATATATTCATGTATATTATATATATAATATATATTCATATATTATAGTATACATGTATATATTACATAGTATATATGTATATATAGTAGTATTCATATATATATATATAATGGAATACTACTCAGCCATAAAAAGGAATGAAATAATGTTATTTGCAGTGACCTGGATGGAATTGGAGCCAATTATTCTAAGTGAAGTAACTCAGGAATGGAAAACCAAACATCATATGTTCTCACTCATAAGTGGGAGCTAAGCTATGAGGACACAAAGGCATAATAATAATACAATGGACTTTGGGGACTCGGGGGGAAAGGGTGGGAGGGGGTGAGGGATAAAAGACTACACATTGGGTACAGTGTATACTGCTTGGGTGATGGGTGCACCAAGATTTCAGAAATCACCACTAAAGAACTTACTTATGTAACCAACCACCACCTGTTACCCCAAAACTTATGGAGGAAAAAAATATATTGATGACTTCTAAACATTGCTTGTCAAATCTTGTTTCCCGTCCTGTTCCTTCTCTTCAGGAAGGTCCCTTTTTATCTTTTAGTTTAGAGTAGCTAGAAACATTTATAACTCTTCTCTCACTTTCTTCTTTTACCTTCAGCAACAGACTTCAACTCCAGAGACTCTGATGTTAACTACCTTGACTTCCTGCCCCCTCACACCAAACAAACAAGAGAACCCTGTTACAGCCACACTTAGCCTTCTTTCCTTCTCTCATGTAGATCAAAGAAATGTCTTCCATTTCTTTCAGAGAATACCCCCCTCCCTGTTCTTGATCCTATGTTCTAAAAAACAAATGTTGGCAAAATAGAATTACTTTTGGCTTTACTTCCATCATCAGGCATTACTTTCATAATCTGCCATTACCTTATACCCAAGTGAATAATGAAATATGGCATTAGAACATCCCAGGTATTGTTATTTAAATATATATGTAAATATGAGCTACTGAATGTTTTAAAAATTTACATATTTTAAAATATTTTATTTTGAAAATCTTCCACTGAATAGGTGACATTTTAAAGACTCCTACTACGTATAATTGAAGAATAAGCATAAACATCTTTTTATGCATATTAGGGTACACAGAATGTGTGGATTAGTACAAATTAGCAACACAAAGAACAGTATTGAGCACCTCATTTGTGTAATCACTCTCATCACCAAAACTGCAATTCTCTATTTGTAACTAGCATATCGCTACCAAAAGAAATAGGCATCATGTCATTCTCACTCAGAAGTGCTCTGCACACATAAACATATATTCATCCTCACTTCTCACTTTACAAAGAGAAATCTAAAGTTATCGCTTATCATAATATAAACAATATAGTAATAGTTGTCAAAACTATAAACAATTAGGGCAGAAACTCAATCTGTCTTGGTCTATGTTCAATTTCCCACAGCTAACTCAGTATGTAATATATAGAAGCTAGTTAATAAATATTTGTTGAGCTAATATATGAACGATTAGAGTAAAATCAATAATAATTGCTTATGAGAGCATGTAACAAAAATATAATGGGCTTTGCATTAGGAGCATTTCTCTATGTGGCATTTGAAATGATACTCCTTTATTTCAACTCAAGATAGCTGCTTTTCAGTAAAAGCAGAAATAGGATTCAGAATCCTAGGACTAGTTTAAGACTTTCGCTTCCGTCAACTACCTGAGAATGATGTACACTTTGGGTAAGTGGCTTCCAAGGTAGAATCGTCGATCAAGTAGGCTTCCAGAACCTGATACTTGCAACCAACAGCTTGCAAATATAGAATCTGGCAAAACATATAGAGAAGATCATGCAAGGATGGGAAGCAGCACCTTTGAGCCATAGTCAGAACATGCAACCACAAGGGCATCAGCAGACAAAGGCAGGAGGCAGAGGAATTTCAGTTCCACCTGAGAAGTTGGGGGTGTGGCATTAGGTCTTATTCATGGAGGCGGCTACACAGGTCATTTGCTGCTGTAGTGGAAGATGTGATGGCTGGAGGGTGGAGAGCTGGTGGGATCTCAGTGTGGAGCTCATGTGTCAAACACAAGGGGATTACCGTTCTACCTCTGCGTTCAGACAGGCAGGAGCAGTGGGAGGGTCAACATAGCTTGGTGGGTCAGGAAACCCATTCTGTATCCTTGCATGAGCTATTCATCATTGAGAAGAATGGGATCATCCTGAATATCACCACAGACTTAATTTCCACCTGAGTTATTATTCTTAGTGACATATTATGTGTGAAGGTAAAAAGGAAGGTTCTGTGATGACTTCTACAAAGCAAGATGGAACGGTGCTCCTCATACAGGGGAGACGCCTAAGCAGCCAGGCTCTAGCAAACTGCGGTCAGTGAGGATGGGAGCAGGTCTTCCTTTGGCTACGTTCCGAATGTCTCACCGTCTGTTTCTAAAGCATGATCTCAGCCAATTTTATCTAATCTTAACAAGCATTACACTAACAACTTATCTGTCTTAAAAATATTATTGAAAAGGTAGTGCTTTTAAAAACAAACCAGTGGTTAAGGGTGAATCAATTGCTGCTGCTCCTGAGCTCTGCCCCAGGCAAGCTTGTGACTTGAGAGCCAGAGCCAACACCACAGGTGAAGCAAGGAAGATGCGCGACGGCCAAGCAACAGGTTAGGCTCTCAGGGCAGAACTGACAGATCTCTCAACAGCAATCAGGGTCCCCTCAGACCTGAGGACTGAGAAGAAAGCTAAAAAAGTGTAGGAGATGGAGTGATTGACAGTGTAATGGCACAGGGTTAGAGCAGAGAGGAAAGGATCAGAATAAATGTATATAGGGAGACATGAGGAGCAGGAAAGAGCAGCAAGTGGGCTGAGATGCAGGGAGCACTGGCGTGAGCCTCGAAACACTGCCAGAGAAGAAAAGTGGGGTCAGCAGACATGCTGTTGGTAGATCCTTGAAGAGGAGTGTGTGTGTGTGTGTTTGTGTGTGTGCGTGTGTGTGTGTGTGCACGTGTGTGTGTGTGTATTTCTATTTTATTATTTTATTATTATTATTTTTTTGAGACAGAGTCTCACTTTGTTGCCCAGGCTGGAGTGCAGTGCCACAATCTCGGCCCACTGCAACTACCACCTCCCAGGCTCTGGTGATCCTTCCACCTCAGCCTGGGACTACAGGCATGTGCCACCGCGTCCAGCTAATTTTTGTGCTTTTAGTAGACATGGGGTTTCACCATGTTGCCCAGGTGGGTCTCGAACTCCTGAGCTCAGGCGATCCACCCACCTCGGCCAAAGTACTGGGATTACAGGCATGAGCCACCATGCCCAGCTAAGGATTTTAAGAAATTGGATGATGACCTTGAATTTGTTAATGATCTTGAACTTGAACCTGGTAATTTCAGGAAATAACCTATATATAACGTACTATATTATCATTGTTTTTTAAACCAAATAAACATTGTATTTATGGATTTGCATTTTCTTGGAATTCTGTGTCATATCCCAATAATGGAAGTGTGGCACATACATTGTTGGCAATGTTGTCACCCCTCACACATGTTGGCTCCACCAAGGCATTCTCAGGAGTCTTCTTTAGATGCGCCCTTCGTGGGATACTATATTATTATATCAACAAACGAAGTGAGCCACTCTCTACAACTGCATGTGGAATCCTGGGGAGAGGCTAGTACAATGAGGCTGAAGGCCACTGGCATACGTATATGAGTTTCCAAGGGGTCCACACTTTCTATTTCCTCTCATTGAACACTATCCAGACCTCTCTTTGGCAAAGCCATGCACACCCAAGATTGGATGTGCAAGTAATGATTCAGATGTCTACCTCTAGCTGAGACCTCACAGTTGATGTCCATACTATACATTTGTAATAAGCCACAATCTACTGCAAATGGCTCCATCAGATCCTCAGAAACACACCAAATTCAGCATGAGTCCAAGTCTCCTGCCTGGACACACAAAACCCTCCTAACCTGCCTCTCATGCCTGCAATATTACCTCCTTCAATCAAGTCCATGCATTATTCATTAAAAGAGTCAATCTTCCTTACCAACCATCTGATCACATAATGCTTTTTCCCTAAATTTATTTGAGTGGATCTCAGCATCTAAACAGAGGTTTCCAAACTTTCTTTGACAGAAAATGTGTTTTAACTCATGGCCCAATTACACATAATCATGTATTTTAACAGAAACAAGACTTCATGAAAAAGGAAGCTTTATAACATGTGATGCACTATATTTTATATTTTATTCCATTTTATTTAAAATGCTAGTGTCACCCACTAAATTAATGGATACAAAACAGTTCAGAAACCACTGACACAGAGGATAGAGTTCGATCTGCTTTGCATGATGTATGAGGCTGTTCTTGCCCTGGCCCACACATCTCCACTCTTAAGGCTGTTGCCTCTCCTCTCACACCTTACACTACACACACCAAGCCTCTTGCCACTCCCAATACATCTTAATAAACTGTGTTGTGAACACGCAGAGTTCTCTTCCTGCGTGTGCCAATTCAGTTTACCACAATTGAATTTATCATCTTCCCTTTACCATCACCAAGACTTTTGTTGGCTGCCAAACTCCCTTTCTCTTTTCACTTTCATAGTCCTAATGGATGCATTTCTTCCTCTCTGAAGCCTTTTGGACAACTCCAGGCACCATGAATCACTTCACGTCCTCTTTACTGTTACCTTTACAGCTTGAACTTTCCTCAGATATTACATGATCACTAAGAACTGTGATGATCTTATCTCTTCTGGGATTAAAAAAAACTTTTAATGTTTTTGAAATCGGGATGGTTCTTCATGTGACTATGGCCCCTTTTTCCTTTAAGCCATTCGGGATAAATTTTCTGTCATTTGCAATTAAAAGTGTTACTAAATCAATGATATACTCAATATCTTAGATCTATGGAAATACCATATATTTTACATTTTACATTTTACATCCCCTAATTAGTTCATGAATTCTTTGAGCACAGAAATTGGGTCTTATTCATATTTATAACCTCAGTGCCTAGAATAATGCCTAGTAAAGAGCTGGCATCATTAAATGCTTATTGAATAAGTCAAAATGAAAGAACATTTATAATTTATTGTCAGCCCCATTTTAAAATGTCAAGGAATTTTACACGTACAACACTGGCACATAAATGTCCTATAACTCTTCCCAGGTTTACAAACATAAATATTCAATATGTTAAATTAAATCTATTAAGTATATAGCTATAAAAATAGAAATATTCAAATTAATGACTTTGGTTGATACATGATATTAAAGTAGTCAAACCATATATATTTCTACCAATCACACCTATGTCTACATTTATAATGGAAATATGTCTAGATAAAATTAATAATCATAATAAGTTCTAGGGTTCATCTCTACTACAAATTAGATAGTGACACATTTCTTGCATCAACAACCATCCTAGTTCCCCCAGACAACACAAATATATTTCAACAGCTGATTGATGGGTTTACCAAGCTACAGGGACACTTATCCTTATGCCAGAAAAATAAAGTCTGGGATTCTAAAATTACAGACCCATCAAACTAACAGTAGATTGAGCCGAAATTGAAATAGGCACAGTACTTTAAAATTTGACTCTTCCAGAATAAAAGAGGAAGTTCTAACATATTTCATAAAAATGAAGTTCAGTGTTGAATTGACTATTCTTTTGGCTGAAACTTCAAAGAAGCATGCTTACCACAGCCCCTAATACAGTGTTCACCACACACAGTGACTGTCCAGAATACACTGTCACTGCCAAATGTCTCAGGTTCTGGAGTTCCTCTCACACAGCTCCTGTAGACTTCGAATCCATCTCATACATTGCATCTGTGCAAGACACTGAATAAAAGCATCTAAGCTTATAAGTGAAATACAATCTGTCTTCCTAAATATTCTCCCTAGTAATATCCTAAACAAATACACAGTTTTCCAGCTTAGATTCCCTATTTAATCATAGATTTACATCATAAAATCTGGCAAAAAAACAAAACAAAACAAAAAACGTGCTTAAGCCAGTCACAACAATTTTACCACTGTGAATTGCCAACTTTGACTGTCACAATCTATTAAACAGAAAGTCCCCAAATGCCAGCCACACAGTGGTTCGCAACATGTTCTTACTTCACAGTACTTGAAAGTGTCCACTCAAATTATGGCAATTTACCCTTCATATTGATTGCAAATATGTATCTGCCACTTCACAATTTCTCAAGATACCGAAGCTCAATGACACATCTAGTTTTTCCAGAATTGCTATCAATGGGCAGTCAAGCACAAAAAATCTCACTCTGCAAACAGATATCTGCACTCAGCCCATATGTTTAACCTATCACAACAGAGACTGTATCAATCAGTGTTTTAAAATTAACTATAAAACCGAGTTTCAACTACTCTTATACAACTTTAGTCACTACCATTGACTTAGCAGTTTTTTAAATAAATTGCTGACCTTAAGAAAACAAAGACTGAATAGAGCCATAATAATTTTATAGCTGCCAAGATACATTGACATTTTTTACCCGCATATAACAAATTTTGAAATTTTAAGTGATATAACCTGCCTATTACAACACATGACTTTAAAAGTAAGCTGTGCTTAGGAGTTAAATCTAAATTATATATATTTAAAAGGTATTACTGTAATTGTAAATGTTACATAGCAAAGAAACTCATTTTTTGTATATAATCATTCAATATTACACTTCAGGGCTTCAAATACCCTGGTATGTGATCAACAACTAATTTTAAATGGACAAATAATTAGATATTATGAAAAGGGGTGATTATCAATTCCCAGCCTTACTTTTTTGCCAATTTGTTTTCTGTTTTCTTTTAATTTACAATTTGTACAAATCATTACCCTGTCAAGCAAAATTTATAGCATTTCTTTACCGCCAAATTCCCATTTTCTCCAAATAAGACTCTCAGATATTGTTCCCTTTTTAAATTACCTCCTAATGAAAATATTTTCCCTCTCACCTGCATTTATATCTTATCTGCTTATTATTTGTTACTATCTCTGTTGGGTTGAGTTTGGGAGTATGTGATAATTTTCAATTATGTCCACAGGTTCTTTCATACTCCTCTCTTCACGAAGTAGAGCTTACTTCACCTCCCCTTGAGAGTGGGCTAGACTTAGTGACCCTTTACACAAATAATATGGTAGATGTGATGGTATATGATCCTGAGACAAGTTATGAAAGACACTCAGACTTCCCTATTGATCTCTCTTTGATCATTCACTCTGGGGAAGTCAGCTTCCAGGTAGACAGGATGCTCAAGCAGCCCTATGGAGAAAGAGGTCCACGTAAGGAAAAACTAAAGCCTCCTACCAACAACTGGCAAAGGACTGATACCTACAACCAATGGGCCATATGAGTAAGACATTTAGACAGCAGATCTTCCAGTCCCAGGCCTGCTTCAGATGATATAGACCTAGCTCCCATCTTGACTGAAACATTAGAGGAAACTTTGACTCAGAAATACCCAGCTAAGTGGCTCCTAGATTCTTGACTCACAGAATCCATGAGATAAATATTAGTTGTGTTAAGGTCCTAAATTCTAGGGCAATGTGTTATGCAGCAACAGATAACTAATATTGAGCGTAGTGACAATCTTCAGGTGTTTTTGAGGGTCATTACCTAATGCTGAGGTTTCAGTGATTTCATTATAGTCTTTTTTTGACACCAGCACATGGAAGGAGTCAGAAAATATGCCAGGCCAGAGATTCTGCTCCATCCCCAAATTGTATTCTGCATAGTCCCTCAGAGTTTATGACTTATCACAGACTCCTCAGGAGCCATCTCCAAGAAAGGTTCAAAGTTAGGAAGAAATCAAGGAAAATAATGTATGAATGACTTAGCATGAGAGTAATCATGATTTCACAGTACATTCTGTCTGTTTAAAGATTTCTAAAGATGTTCAAGGATTTTACTTAGTATATATACACATTTAAAAAGCATTTCATAATTATTGCTGAAGTTTAGGTTGATATTTTTGGACACGGATATCTTCTCCATGGTTTACATAAAATAAGTATAAAATAATAGTCTTACATATGAATGATAATGAGGATATACAATGTTTTTGTCATCAGATGATCTAATCTTATTCATTTACTATACCTTATTTAAAAAAATAGACCCTTGTATATTTAGGTTTCAAGTATTTCTCTTAATGAGTGCATATCATAATCTATAATTATATAGCTATGATTAGTGCTAAGTTTCCAATGACTAATTTTCTGGCAGGGTTTTTGCAGGATCCTCTGGGCAAGTGCTCACACTGAAGCCAGTATTCTGGCACTTGACTTTCTTCCTATTCTTCAACTAGTACCTTTCTGGTCTTGGTATGAACCAACTGCATAATCTCCCAACTCAAGGTGGAGTGAGTTAATTTTACCTTGATAGATACTAGCGCTGCTGACTGACTTTCCATTTTTCTTCTTCATCTAGGACAGCATTCACCTAAAATCAGTCTTGCTGTTATGACTTGTTTTGGTTAAGGAATTATAATTGAGTACAAGCATTTAAGATCCCCTGTATGATTCCTCATTCTCTGTTTCTTCCTACTTTGAAAAACCCTGTGTGTTGTATTAGGGTGGCAGAGGCATAAGAGATTGAAGAGTAACTATGTGGAAGAGGAGGTTTCATCTACCCACAGAGGATATGTTGCTTGAGTGATTAACTAGACTGCTTGGATTAAGCCAGTGTGATTTTGGTATTGTTTGTTACTTTGGCATGCCCAGCCCATCCTGACTAATACACTGTCCAGAGTGCATGACGGGGGATACCTACAAAAGTTTCTGAGTTAAAAGAACATGATAGTCTAAATTTCTCTTGAAAAACAAATTTTGTTTTGCCCCCAAAGGGTTCAGCTTTAATTACAGTCCTACTGGAAAAATATTTCTCTGGATCTTAGTTTCCTCATTGGTATAGGTAACATTGGTATAGCTCTATATTGTAGGTTTGCGTCAAGATTCAAAAACAGTAATTTTTATTATATTTTAAAAATTACAAAGCTTGTGACTAGACATTAGCTAGTCTAGACTAGACTAGACATTAATACAAAATGGATTTTAATTCCTAAATTATCTTTGTTAATATATTTTAAATTATCTTATACACCAAGATGTAATCAATAATAATTGATAAATGAACTATGACTATGAATACTCATACAACATTGTGATATATGGTTTAAGCAATGCACTTTTTAAAACCAAATGTATTTCTTAACTTCTTGGTATGATAAAATTAAGATTTCATAGACACTCACCTGTCCGGGGTAAAATTTAGTAGACTTTTTTATATCAGGAAATTAAAGAAACACTCCACTAAAGTGTAAACCTGAAATTTCTACTTAGGGAAACCATTAAATAATTTAAAAGAGATTTATCAGTGAATTTTGTTGATGTGCTCACAATTTAATCAATATTAATCATCTTTTCCACCATTCATTCTGAAATTTCTCAAGTGTAAAGCAGAAGAAAAGACAGCTTGTTTCCAACTTTTATTTCAGGTTCAGGGGTACATATGCAGGTTTGTAATATAGGTAAATTGAGTGTCATGGGGGTCTGGTGTACAGATTATTTCATCACCCAGGTAAGAAGCATAGTAGACAATAGGTAGTTGTTTGATCATCTCCCTTCTCCCACCCTACACCCTCAAATAGGTCCCAGTGTCTGTTGTTCCCTTCTTTGTGTCCACATGTACTCAATATTTACCTTCCACTTATAAGTGAGAACATGAGGGTTGGTTTTCTGTTCCTGCTTTAGTTCACTTAGGATAATCGCCTCCAGCTCCATTCATGTTGCTTCAATGAACGTGATCTTGTGCTTTTTAATGGCTGCATAGTATGCCACAGTGTATATCTGCCACACTTTCTTTAACCAGTCTACTGCTAATGGCCATTTAGGTTGATTCCACGTTTTTGCTATTGTGAACAGTGTTGTGATGAATATGGTGTAATGATTTACATTCCTTTGGGAATATACCCAATAATGGGATTGCTGGGTTGAATGACACTTCTGCTTTAACTTCTTTGGGAAATCGCCACACTGCTTACTACAATGGCTGAACTAATTTTCATCCCAACAAGCAGTGTATAACATTCCTTTTTCTCCACAGCCTCACCAGCATCTGTTACTATTTGACTTCTTAATAACAGCCATTCAGACAGGTGTGAGATAGTGTCTCTCTGTGGTTTTGATTTGCATTGTTCTAATGATTCATGATGTTAAGTACTTTTTCATAAATTGTTGGCTGTGCACAGTCTTCTTTTGAAAAGTGTCTGTTCATGTCTTTGGGCCACATTTTAATGGGGTTGTTTTTTGCTTGCTACTTTAAGTTCCTTACAGATTCTCTACATTAGACCTTTGTCAGATGCATAAGTTACAAATATCTTCTCCCATTCTGTACGCCGTCTGTTTACTCTATTTTATTTTGCTGTGCAGAAACTCTTTAGTTTAATTAGGTGGTCCCCTTTATCAATTTTTGTTTTTGTTGCAATTGCTTTTGGTGTCTCCATCATGAAATCTTTACCAGAGCCTATGACTGGAATACAATTTCCTAGGTTATCATCAGGGTTTTTATAGTCTTAGGTTTTCCATTTGTCTTGAGTTGATTTATGTAAGGAAGGGATCCAGTTTCAATCTTCTGTATATGGCTGGCCAATTTATCCTAGCAGCATTTATTGAATAGGAAGTCTTTTTCTTATTGCTCATTGTCAGTTATGTCCATTAGATGGTTGCAGGTATCTGGCTTTATTTCTGGGCTCTCTATTCTGTTCCACTGGTCTATGTGTCTGTTCTTTTTTTTTTTTTCTTTTTCCACTAACATGCTGTTTTCATTAGTGTAGGCTTATAGTATAGTTTAAAGTCAGGTAGTGCGATGCCTCCAGCTTTGTTCTTTTTGCTTAGGATTTCTTGGGCTATTGGGGCTTTTTTTCGTTCTATATGCTTTATACAATAGGTATTTCTATTTCTGTGCAGAATGTCATTGGTGGTTTGGAATAGCATTCAATCTATAAGTTGCTTTGGGCAGTATGGCCATTTTAACAGTATTCTTCCTATCTATGAGCATGAAATGTTCTTCCATTTTATCAGTCATCTCAGATGTCTTTCAGCAGTATTTTGTAATTCTCATTGTAGAGATCTTTCACCTCCCTGGTTAGCTGCATTCCTAGGTATTTTGCACTATTTGTGGCTATTGTGAATGGGGTTGGTTTCTTCATTTGACCCTCAGCTTGGACACTGTTGATGTATACAAATGCTACTGATTTTTGTGCACTAATTTTACATTCTGAAACTTTGCTAAAGTTGTTTGTAAGATCTACGAGCTCTGGGGCAGAGACTATGGGGTTTTCTAGGTATAGAATCATATTGTCTGCAAGCAGAGAAAGCCTGACTTCCTCTCTTCCTATTTGGATGCCTTTTATTTCTCCTTCCTGATTGCTCTGGCTAGGACTTCCAGAACTGTGTTGAATGGAAGTGGTGACAGTGGTCATCCTTGTCTTGTTCCAGTTCTCAAGGGGAATGCTTCCAGCTTTTACCTGTTCACTATGATATGGCTGTGGGTATGTTATAGATGGCTCTTATTATTTTGAGGTATGTTCCTACAGTGCTTAGTTTGCTGAAGGTTCATAACATGAAGGAATATTTAATTTTATTAAAAGCCTTTCTGTATTTATTGAGATAATTAGGTTTCATGTTTTTAGTTCTATTTATGTGATGAATCACATTTATTGATTTGCAAATGTTGAAACAAACCTGCATCCAGGAATAAAGCCTACCTCATCATGGTGGAATACCTTGTTCGTGTGCTGCTGGATTTGGTTCGTTTGAAATTTGTTGATGACTTTTTACATCAATGTTCATCAAGGATATTGGCCCAAAGTTTTCTTTTTTTGTTGTGTCTCTACCAGGTTTTGCTATCAGGATGATGCTGTCCTCATAGAATAAGTTAGGGAGGAGTCTGTCCTCCTCAATTTTTTGGAATAGTTTCAGTAGGATTGGTACCAGCTCTTCTTATACACCTGATAGAACTCAGATGTGAATCCATCTGGTACTCAGCTTTTTCTGGTTCGCAGTGTTTTTATTACTGATTCAATTTTGGAACTCATTATCAGTCTGTTCAGGATTGCAATTTCTTCCTTTTCTCACCTTGGGAGACTGTATGTTTCCAGGAATTTATCAATTTCTTCTAGGCTTTCTAGTGCATAGAGGTGTGCATAGAGGTGTTTGTAGTAGTCTCGGAGGGATTTTTGTATTTCTTGGGGGTCAGTGGTAATGTCCTCTTTGTTATTTCCAATTGTGTTTATTGGGTTCCTCTCTCTTTTATTATTAATCTAGCTAGTGGTATATCAATCTTATTTATTCTTTCAAATAACTACCTCCAAGATTTGTTGATCCTTTGTGTAACATTTTTTTCTCAGTTTCATTCATTTCAGGTCTGATTTTGGTTATGTCTTATCTTCTGCTACCTTTGGGGTTGATTTGCTCTTGATTTTCTAGTTTCTCTAGGTGTGATGTTAGGTTGTGAATTTGAGATCTTTCTAACTTTTTTTTATGTGGGCATATAGTGTTATAAATGTTTCTCTTAACAATGTTTTAGGTAGGTCCCAGAAATTCTGATATGTTTTATCTTTGTTCTCATCACTTTCAAGGAATTTCCTTATTATTCTGTTGTGGTTTTTTGGGGGAGGGGGCGGGGAGGTGGAGAGTTCTGTAGATGTTTGTTAGATCTATTCGGTCAAGTGTGGAGTTGAGGTCCCAAATAACTTCATTATTTTCTTCTCTGATGATCTAATATTGTCAGTGGGGTGTTGACATCTTCCTCTATTATTGTGTGGTTATCTACATCTCTTTGTAAGTCTCTAAGAACTTGTTTTATGAATCTGGGTGCTCCTGTCTTGGGTGCATATACATACAGGATAGCTATGTTTTCTTGTTGAGTTGATCCTTTTACCAATATGTGATGCCCTTTTTGTCTGTTTTGATTGTTGTTGGTTTAAAGTCTGTTTTGTCTGAAATTAGAATAGCAGCCCCTGCTTTTTTCTGTTTATATAGTGGATTTTTTTCCATCCCTTTACTGTGAGCCTGTGGGTTTCATTCCATGTGGGGTAAGTATCTTAAAGACAGTAAATCTTGCTTCTTTATACAATTTGCCACTTTGTGCCCTTTAATTGGGGCATTTAGGCCATTTACATTCAATGTTACTATTGATATGTACAGATTTGATCATATTATCTTGTTATTAGCTGGTTATTATGTAGACTTGATTGTGTGGTTGCTGTATAGTGTCACTGATTTATGTAGTTGTGTGTCTTTTTGTGGTGGCTAGTTGAACATTCTTTCCTTTCCATAATTAGCACTCCCTTCAGGACCTCTTGTAAAACAGGTCTGGTGGTAACAAATTCCCTCAGCATCTGCTTGTCTGAAAAGGATCTCATTTCTTCCTCATCTACGAAGTTTAGTTTGACTGGATATGAAATTCTCCGTTGCAATTTATTTTCTTTCATAATGCTTAATATAGGCCCCCAATCTCTTCTGGCTTGTAGAGTTTCTGCTGAAAAGTCCACCAGTAGCCAGATGAGGTTCCCTTTGTGGATGACCTGTAACTTCTCTCTAGATGCTTTTAATATTTTTTTCTTTCACTTCAATCCTAGAGAATCTGATGACTATGTGTCTTGTCGATGGTCATCTTGTAATACCTTGCAGGCATTTTCTGCATTTCCTGAATTTGAATGTTGGCCTCTCTAGCAAGGCTAGGAAAGTTTTCAGGGAAGATATCCTCAAATATGTTTTCCAAGTTGCTTGCTTACTCTCCCACTCTTTCAGGGACACCGATGAGTCATACATTTGGTCTCTTTACATAATCCCATATTTCTAGGAGTTTTTGTTCATTCTTCTTTTTTTTTTTTGTCTGATCATTTTATTTTGCAGAACTGGTCTTTGAGCTCTGAGATTCTTTCCTCAGCTTGGTTTATTCTGCTGTTAATACTTGCAATTATATTATGAAATTCTTGAAGTGAGCTTTTCAGCTCTACCAGGTCAGTTTGGTTCTTTCTTAAAATGGCTATTTCATCTTTCAGCTTCTGTATCATTTTATTTTATTCCTTATAGTTCTTGGATTGAGTTTCAACTTTCTCCTGAATCTTCATGATCTTTTTTCCTACCCTATGTTCCTGTTCTGAATTTTATGTCTGTCACTTCAATCATTTTAGCCTGGTGAAGAACCATTGCTGAAGAACTAGTGTGGTCATGTGGAGGTAGAAGCCACTCTGGCTTTCTGAGTTATCCGAGTTCTTGTTGTGGTCTTTCTCATCTGAGTAAGCTAGTGTTCCTTCAAAAAGACTGCTTTTTAATGCTAACATTATGCAAAAACTTTGTGCCTAGATTTAACATAAAATTCGGAAAAGAAAACCAAAATAATTTTAAACAGTTATAAAGCCTAGGCTGCAAGCACTACAAAATTATTAACAAGTGGCTGATTCAAGAATATAGAAAATTTTTTTAAATATTATAACTTCTATCTGATCTGAGTAAAAAAAATACAGTACTCAAAAACTGAACACTGGATAAACAGTTGTTTAGTTGTTATGTGAAAAGTCAATAATCACCTCTAAGTATTTTAAAAATACATTTAAACTGATAAAGGAAATGTAACTCCAATATAAAATTCATAGTGCCATTATAAAATGTTGCTTAACACATTGAAAAATTACACAGTATCTGGCTTTCAAATATTCAAACAACTTAAAACAATAAAAACAACATATTGACAAATTTCTCAGCAGTCATATTTTATGGGTATTCTGCTAGTTTTCCCCTATCCATTTACATATATATGTAAAGGTACACACATATACATAAATACATCCACATCCACACAAATCGATATACACACACATACATACACACACACACACACACACACACACTTAACAGAAATGTGATGATGCTATATATATTGTCTGTAACTTTTTTTTCCAATCAGTATGTTTTGGAGACCATTTCAGACCATTACTTATGAATTTATCATGTTTAAATCTGTCGACAGCTATCCCATTGTATTGATGTAACATTTTTAGTTCTCTCCTCTACAAATGTTGTTTTCATTGCATTGCTTTTAGTTGTTATGTGAAAAGTCAATAATCACTTCTAAGTATTTTAAGAATACATTTAAACTGGTAAGTTAAAGGAAATGTGACTCCAATATAAAAATTCATAGTACCATTATAAAAAGTTGCTTAACACCCTGAAAAATTACACAATATCTGGTTTTCAAATATTCAAACAACTTAAAACAATAAAAACAACATATAGACAAATTTCTGAGCAGTCATATTTTATGGGTATTCTGCTAGTTTTCCCCTATCAATTTACATATATATGTAAAGGTACACACATATACATACATACATGCACATACACACAAATCGATATACACACATATACACACACACACACATAACAAAAATGTGATGATGCTATATATATTGTTCTGTAACTTTTTTTCCAATCAGGATGTCTTCGAGACCATTTCAGACCATTATGAATTTATCATGTTGTTTAAATCTGTACGCAGCTATCCCACTGTATTGATGTATCATTTTTAGTTCTCTCCTCTACAAATACTTTTTTCATTTCTTTTTTTATTTTGCTCATAAATATATGTTGAAATCAGGATCACTTTATAAGGGTGTATGTGTGTATGTGTGAGTATTATTTTAGAATAAATTCCTAGAAATGAATTTGCTGTGTCTAAGAATACAAACATCTTAAGCTGTGACAGATGCAGCCATCTTGTTCCCAACGCATTTCCAATGGAGACTTCGCCAACAACATAAAGGAATGCCAAATTACATGCCCTTTGGCAAACAGAGATATGAGTCGTCATTTAAATTTTTAATAATCTGACAGTTAAAATGTAATGTATAATTGTTTTCTTTTGTGTAAAATGACATTTTAAACTGTAGAGTCCGTTAGACAAAAAGCTGATTCCATTAACAGAAAAACATGAGTCATCTTTCTATGACTTGTCAAAGTAGTGTTGTTGTATTTCTCTTATAGCACTTTACCCACTTTACTGCAATTACAGATAAAAATCTTCTGACCCTTACATCCAATGTAAAAAGTCATTACTTTTAACTTCATTTCACAAATGGAGAAAGATGAGACTCAGGAAAAATAAACAGCATGTACAGTCTCAGAAGTGTAGTCAGGGGCAGTCAAAGATTTTAAACTAAATTTCTGACATCTTGTCATGTATTATTTTGATTAGACCCCAGAATAGTCAATGTTTGGATGTAATAGTTCTTTTGCATATACATCCTATTACAAAACAATACACATTAGTTTCAAGGAAGTTGTTTTTATAATTTTAGATAAATCCTTCAGCTTTGTCACTTAGACGGTAATTACTTCTGAAATCCTGAAGATGCCATCTTTCTAATTCCCTATGATACCAATATCTATTTAAAATTTGTATTTTTAATTGATACATAATTGTATACATTCATGAGGGAGTATGATATGATGTTTTGATATATATTTATGGTGTGGAATAATTAAATCAGGATAGCTAACACATTTATAACCATAAATTTTTGTTTGATTAAAAAAAATTTCACTTCTACTGTTTTACCAATATTAAAATATGCAATGCAGTTATTTTAGTCACTATTCTGTATAATTGATCAGGAAAGCTCATTCGTCCTGTCTAATGGAAACTTTGCACCTCTTGACCAACATTTCCCCTTTCCCCATCCACTCAGGCCTTAGCATCTGGTAACCATCATATAGTACCTTTTTAATGTGTTGTGAAGTCAGTTATCTTCCAAGAGACCATGCTTATTCAAAACTCCAAAGACAAATTTCAGAAAAGCTGTAATTTCTCTGTGTTTACAATTACTTTATGTAACCATATCATATAGTAAATCTTAGATATGAGTAAACAGGTTTAAATTATCATATTCCCAGTCTAAAAATAATATTTAACATTTCAAAATTCATTTGTAGTATTCTCTACTGTATTTTTAAAAGTAATTTCCCTGACCAATTAAATTATTCTATGTTTAGGAGAACTCCCCTCATGGCAGTAGACTTCACACATTTTATTTTCTTTGTTCTTTCTTTTCAGTACATTTAGAATGTTTCACATCATCAACAGTTACCACTCTCTAATACATAAATTATTCCTGAATAAAATGTCAAATATTTTAATATTTAGTTGTTAGAAAATCAGTCAATTATAAGTGCTCAAAAATATTAAACAAATTTAAAATAAAACAAGAATAACCTGTGGAAAAATAAACTTTGACTTTATGTAAAAAAACAAAATTTCTGTAAATTAGGTAGGAAGCACTTGCTTCTTTACATAGAAATATTTTAGCATGATTGGTCTTTTTGGAGGGAGAGGTCCAAGCATGAACCTGATTATAATCTACCTTTTTATGTCACTGTTTTTTTAACAAACTTTCCTCTCCAAAAGATAATTGGGAGATGAAATTTTAATCAATTAGGGATATTATATTTTACAAAGAGCAAAAATTGTTTTATGTTTAACTGTCTATTATGAAAACCTTAATAACCTGCAGGAGCTATTAAAAGCATACTAGCAAATGCTTAAAATCAGAATTTGCTTTTTATAAACATGTCCAAGGATCTTAAGGAAAATGATACATAAATATAAATCAATATGATGTTTCTTTTTAAAATCTCAATTATGCAAACATGGTAGTTATACAGATTTTTGTTAGACAAAGCACAAATATTCAACTACAAAAGTTTTTTCTATATTTATTTTACAATCAGGTTTCTTATCAATTAATTTCTCTGTCTTAGATCAAAAAGCAATAAAAATGCATATCAGTGTCATACTGATCTCAGCATGTATGCTAAAGATTATCTATACATGGATTGTTATACATATGAGGTAATAACATTCTAAGTTAAAGAGAAATTTTTACAGTGTAATAATAACACTAATTGTGTACGTACTATGGACCAGGCATTATTCTAAGCTCCTCCAGTACTGACTCAACTAATACAGCAATGCTATGCAGTACTTCTATTATTATCCTCTTTTCTAGATGATGGAACTGAGATACAGGAGGTTAACCTCCCCAAGGTGGCAAAGGGAAGGGCTACTGTTTGAACTCACATGGCCTATGGTTCAGTCACTACACTGTGCTGTTAATCTACTGGATGCCTCTAAATACTGATACCAATTTGGTAAATTATTCATTAATTAAAAAATCATTCATGGACCACATACTTTGCCAGGTCCAGTACTTGGCATTGAGTACTGGATGCAAAAAAAAAAAAAAAAAAAAATCCTATTTATCCCTCCTTCCTACTTTGGAGAAGCCATAGGTAAAATAATTAATATAGCAATTGGATCTAAAGCATACATTTTGGTTATGAAGAAGGAAGGTTTCTAAGTAGGAAAGTCTTCAGAGGGCTTGCTTTGGTGTTCCAGTGCCTACCACAATGGCCACGTATTCTAGAAGCTCTTGGGAATGACTCCATTCCACAATCCTTGTTACCCAGCCCCTCATTGCACCTGTGGTCATCTATCTACTCCACAGGAGCCTGGGACCCTTCTGCCTCCTCTGGTTAAGGGGCCTATTACCAGGAGCTAGTTGTGTTGCTTCTAAACCCATTCATTTCAATTTTATCTAATAATTATATTATGTGATTAAACATATGTAAGACAATGAGACATAACTGCATCAAGAATAGTTTTTGTTATTTTATGAATACTTGTTGAAATTCCTTTAAGATAAGCCACTGAAAAATGCCGTGGTATTATAGATAAGGTAATTGTAAAAGGCAAAGGAAAAATTATAAACATCTAGAAGGATTCTTCTTTAAAATACTTCAAAAGTTTCTTAGATTCCTCCTAGAGGAAGGAAGGAAGAGTAGGGAGTGGAGCAGTAAGAATGCTCATTCCATGTTATTACGAGCAGACTCATATTTAAATAACTGACCTAGGTCCTATACAGTTAGTGAACACATGTACAATTAAGTTAAAAATAAAACGAATACAGCATTTATGTAGTTTTTTTTTAATGATTCTCTATTTTAAATGACTCCTCTTAACTCAATCTCTTGATTGAAAGAGTTTTTACCAACCATGGTCTCAACACTTATTGGTTGAATGAATGAACGAATGAACAGTAAGTGAATTGATCACGTTTAACCTATTCTGCCTGTTATGTGATTGTTTAGTTGGTCTTTTCATTGTATGAGTATTTGTTTTGCCTGGAATCATTTACTTGCTGGATCAATTAGTCATTTATTAACTTAATTAAGAAACAAGTGGCTACTGGTACTTGATGATGTCAATAATTCCACCAAAGACGATACCGAGTGTTGAAGGGCTCTTTTGTTTCGCCTGGAATCTGCCTCTGCTCCCTTGTAACTGTGTCTGCACACGGCACCCGCATGAGGCAATGCACTCGGATAGACCAATTTCATGAAACTGTAATTACTCTGAGAACGATGCTAAATTTAAATTGTACAAGTGACTGAATTTCAATTTAGAATAACAAATCTACACATCATCTTATTGGAAAATCATTATCTAATTTCTGTGTACCACACATATAATTTGCACAATTGAGAAAAAAAGTCTCTCAATTTGCTATCTTAAAAAGTGAAACAGCTTTGTGAACTTTGAACAGAGGATTAAAGTTCCATTGATATTCTGAACAAAGTGAAGTGAACTAAATAGGAAAAATAATGTTAATCAGAAATTAATTTGTAGATTTTATATTCAAGATGGTACAATATCTAGTAACAATCTAATCGCTTTTTCACCAAGGAAAAAGTAAATAATAAAGTATTGGATTTGAATTTATTGTATTTAAATTTGTATCATAATATTTCAATAAACTCAAGTTATTAGAGTTGCTACCTACTGATTTAGAACAAACAACTCTAGTGCAGAGGATGAAGCTTGTGTGAATACAGGAAACTCTGTTTTGGCTGTAAAAGACTCCATCAGGTTTTCAAGTAGCATAGGATCTAACACTAATTATTTCTGGTATACTGTGCACTATTTTATACAAAAAATGTGTAGCTTATATTGGTAACCAAGAAAACTTCCTATTTAAAAATCTAAGTTGATCACCATAGTTAACGCAATGGGCAAATTTGGAAAACTAGATTCTACCATAATTAGAAAAAAATGTGGAAATTGAAAAATGAAAGGACCAGGTCACATATATATAGATTAAGTGACATTAGTCAAATAAGAGAAAAAATTGTGTTATCCACAGGCATAGGCGACTTCTATCATATTTAGTTTCTATTATCTAGAAAATTAAATGCACCTTTAAATACAAAAATATGCTTACTGATATAACTGGATGAAATCTCAATTTCACGTTGTCAATTCTAGAGTCCCCTACAAAAATGGCATCCATTCTATACATTTCCTCTTTGCACACAGCAAAAACTACAGATGCACATGAGTAACCCTTGTGCAGCACAAGGGAGAGTAAGGACTCGTTGCCCAGACATCTTATAAATGGGAGGGTAATGAGGCATAAAGAAATTAAGTAACATTTTCAAGGTCATACCCTGAGTCTTTAATAGAGCAGAGAATAGAAACGTAAGTTTTGGTTATTAGATCTATACTGTAATGTCTAGAGCATGCTTCCAATCTTGCAAATCTTGCACAACAAACCAAAATGAAGTACCTGGCACAAAATAGACCTCATATGTGCATATGAAACACTTGCTTATCCAGGAAACTAAATGATCCAAAAAAGAATTATTTTGAAAAGTAAATTAAAGACAAAATAAAGCTCCATTACAATTTCCAAATGAAAGCTTGCTTTAAGATGGATGATAGCAATCAAGCAAATTTCTCCTTTGCTTGCTTTTATGCATGACATATTTTGTAATGACCTTCTGAGTTTAACCCAGGCCTTCACGAATAATAAGTTTATCGTCCTGGAGTTGCCTGGAGCAGCTCTGTACAGCAATACATCTTCCACATGGACTGGTCAAACCCCAGTACTGCCTTCTGTCTAGTTATTTTCTCCTGTTCATATATGGATTTGGATCTGAAACCACACATTTGAGTTCACAAAAGAATGATAATTCACCAACTGAATTTTGCCTGGGCAACTGTTCTTAATCTAAAATACAGAACTCCTTTCCACTTGCTGTTAGTAAATATTACTGTTTGGCTCTGTGTCCCCATGCAAATCTCATGTTGAATTGTAATCTCCAGTGTTGGGGTGGATCTGAGTAGGAGGTGAATGGGTCATAGGGGCAGATTTCCCCCTTGCTGTTCTCATGACAGTGAGTTCTCATGAGACCTGGTTGTTTAAAAATGTGTAGCACTTCCTCCTTCACTCTCTCTCTCCTGCTGGCCATGTGAAGATGGTACATGCTTCCCCTTCACCTTCCATCATGAGTGTATGTTTCCTGAGGCCTCTCCAGCCATGATTCCTGTATACTTTGCAGAACCATGAGCTAATTAATCCTCTTTTCTTTATAAATTACCCAGTCTCAGGTAGTTCTTTATAGCAGTGTGAGAAAGAACTAATACAGTAAAGGCTTACATAAGGCAATGAAAATGGGAGAAACACACTCTTTACTCAGCCATTGTGCTTTCTGCCCAACTACCCAAGCCCAAGTAACCCTATGACAGTAAGTCAATGGACTAAAAACTCCTGTAGGTCATTTCATTGTATGATCATGACCCATTCTGCACAGGTTATTTGGCTTATTAATGTTCCACCTGCCTGTGCTTCAATTGACCAGAGAAACTCTTGTAGAAGAAACACTGACTTAGCTTTAATTGTCCTCCAAATTTGATCCAATGAGCATTACAAGAGCTTCCAAAGTAAGTAATAGAGAATTCAGAGGAAATGGCTTCCCTGAATGCTACTTTAAACATTTCATATTAGCAAATTCACTGACACAATTTCAGATATTCTCATTGAATGGAGAAACATCTTTACAAGGCACTTTTAGCGTCAAAAATGGATGATATGAGCTTCAATGAGTACAGTGGAAATTAGTTGTTTTGGTTGATCAGTAGCTGGTTTCCCTGTTTTTGTTCATTGCATCTTGATCTTCCTTGACAGACTTACTCATCCTGACATTGCATGAAATTTTATGGACTCCCAATCAAGGGTCCACAACTCTGCAGTCAGAGTTGGCCCCCAAGGATATCCAAATTCCAATCCTTGGAACTTGTGAATATATTATGTTAAATGGCAATGAAAATTAGGGCACATGAAAGTTAGGTTTCTAACTAGCTGGCTGTGAGATGTGGAGATTATGCTGGATTATCTGGTTGAGCCCAGTGTAATCACAGGGTCCTTATAAATGGAAGAGGGAGGCAGGAAAGTCAGAGTCAGGAAGGAGATGTGACAAAGGAAGAAGGAATGATGTAATTGCTGGCATTGAAGATGGAAGGGTCCACGAGCCAAGGAATGCAGGCAGCCTCTAGAAGTCAGAGAAGGCAGGGAAATGGGTTCTTCTCTAGAGGCTTCAGAAGCAGTGCAGACCTACCAACACCTTGATATTGGCCAAGTGAGGCCTATTTCAGACTCCTGGCCTCCAGAAGTAGAAAGTAACAAATTTATATTGTTTTAAGTCACCACATTTGTGACAATCTGTTACAGCAGCCGCAATTTCCTGGCCCATTGTGGGCATGTCTCTGAGTGGGCTCCTCTTGGGATCAAAAAGCAAAAAAAAAGATAGAAAACAGTTGAACTTGATTCTGCTGGTGAGGCCACCCCAAAGCCACTGTCTACTAGTCCCTGATGCTCATATCCCTGGAGTCTTCCTGGGTCCTGCCTTTCCTAACTCCTGGCTTTTGGACATTTCCCTTTCTTTTATGGGCATGTCATATGGTTCCAACATGTGACTTTTCCTTTCCCCCTGGAAGCAAATCAGTGGTTTCTTCAACTTGTAACCAAAGATCGTAACTGATACAGTTCAGTCAGCTCTTTAACCTGGTTCTAGCAATGCCATTAGTTGACTGTGCTATTAAACATACCTTTTCTGTGGGCCAGCTACTGTGCTCAGCACTGAGGATCAAATAATAAACAACAAAACCAGTTTCTACTACAAAGTGTTACTGAGTAGCCAATACTGCAGACCCAATGCACATGAATCAAAGTCAAACTTACATGTATGAAAAAAAAAGTGTCCAGATAAAAAATAAAGAATATTATCTAACTCAGACTGCAAATTTATCAAGTTCCATTGGCCATGGGGCAACATGAATATGGTAAAATCCATCCTCAATAAGTGAGTCATTAATCCTGCCCCCCCCACCCTCCCTTCCTTTCTTCCTCATAGAGAAAATGTTTATGAGCCTCTATTTGATGCATTGAGCATAGAGAATACCAGACCAATTTAATGCAGACAAGCAAAGTCAGAGGATCTTGCAGTTCTGTGGTTCTAGGCTAAGGGCAGATGAATTAAGAGAGAGTCTCTATAATGAAACAAATGTTAAAATGGTTAGACTGGGATGGTAAGGTCAGGATCATGCCTGGGGAACACACTGCTGGGCCAAATGCCCAGGGACGAGCAGAAGCCGCTCAGGGGGAAGGTGGAGAAGGGGCAGTCCCAACCACTGGGAGGTGTGACCTGGGCAGAGGCAGTCATACACACAGCAAGGTTCCAGGCTGCCAGGTGGATCAGAGAAGGGGAGCAAAGACCAGAAGAAAAGAACCTTAGATGATGAGACTGGAAAGAAAAGGAAAGCCAGGCCAGACAAGGTCTGTGTCCACTCTTCTGCATTCACACTCCTTAGATTATCTAAAAACTGACAATGAAGTAAAATATTTTGTATGTGAGGTATGGACTTCAAGATCAGATTTGAATATTTTGGAAATATTAAAAATATAGCTTGAAAATGGCGTCGAACTCTCGGCAGAGCTATTATAAGGCTCTTGGGGTCGTCTGTGTATGCAACAAGCTCAAATGAGATGTAGAGGAGGGGATAAATTGGAGATGCAAGGAATTCACCTCCACAGGCCTTTTGATAGACATAGGTTTTCCAAAATGACTCAACACAGCTTATTGTTAGAAAACAAATCAAATAATTTGTTAATAATAATGTATTAAAATTTCAATTAAAATAATTTTAAATTGTAAAATGCTATATGTTCATTACATCAGAATAGATCTGTTATACACTGTGGATTCTGTATTATTTCTTAATAACTAGAGTCAGTATAGAGATAGAAAGCAAAAGCTTGGGTTTTCTAAAATACATGCCATGAAACTAGCACTGTAATGTTCAATTTTGGGAAATCTCATGACATATATAACCAGGCCTTTTAACTATTTACCTTCTGTAATAAGGGCTCATGTTAGACATGATTTTTATGTTTCCATTGTTTGCACCAAATAATTAAATCACATTCCAGGAATCATTTATTTACATATACTTGCATTGTCAACATCCACTTGGCTGACTGAGGGAATGTGCACCCCATAGGGAGAAGTAAAACATTCCATAGGGATAATAATGCAAGTTACAATGGTATTAGTGTTGGTGGCTCAGAGCCGCTTGATGTTCAAATGGGTGGTGATATGGTTTGGCTGTGTCCCCACCCAAATCTCATCTTGAATTTCCATGTGTTGTGGGAAGGACCCAGTGGGAGGTAACTGAATCATGAGGGCAGGTCTTTCCCGTGCTGTTCTCTTGAATGAATAAGTCTCACAAGATCTGATGGTTTTAAAAAGAGTTTTCCTGCACAAGCTGTCTCTCTCTTTTTGCCTGTTGTCATCCAAGTAAGACATGACTTGCTCTTCCTTGCCTTCTGCCGTGATTGTGAGGCTTCCCCGGCCACATAGAACTGTAAGTCCACTAAACCTCTTTCTTTTGTAAATTGCCCAGTCTCAGCTTTGTCTTTATCAGCAGCGTGAAAACTAACTAATATAGGTGGCTTGGGGCACTTAACTGACCCTCAATTTAGACCAGGGTGGTGCTGGGAGTCTCATCGAAGTCATGGAGGGAAGGCTTTCAGTCCTGTCTCACATAATAATAATAACACGCTGTGAATTCTATTTCTTATCTCCTCTCCTCCCTCCTGACATATGGTAACATAAAATTTCAAACCTACCTTGAATTTCAGGGCAATATTTCTAAGTCAGAAATGTTCACGGTAATAAACACCTCAGGAAAAGAGAACCAGGAAACTGATTGATCTCTGTACCATACAGCTATGGCCAGGAGTGTGGCATCTCCTTGCATGCCAGAGCTCACCCTGAGACCCACCCCACCCCACTGCACAACACTCCATCCATCTACATTGTCATCTGGGTCTTCGTGACTCCATGTAGTTAGTACACCAGCAGCATTAGCTATCATCTGGGAGCTCATTAAAAATAAAAAATCTCACCTTTCCCTGGACCTAATGAATCAGCATTGTAACAAGATGCTAAGCACATGTGAGGGGCACAGATATAGATGAATAGCATCTCCTAGAATTGAGTAATGTGCAACCTATGCAGCTGTGTATGGTAGCTCCAATCCCATCAGTGCTTCAATAGTGTTTTGATGGCAGGAAAACCATTGGCTACACAATGCCCATTAATTACTAGTAGGCCATGTGGTGGCAGGTGTGAGGTTGTGTGTGGGCATGTGTCTATGCCTCCATCTGTTCATATACACCCACTGCATCTCTCCAATTCCACTTCCAGAAATGCAGAACTCATGCCTGTGCACCTCTGTCCTAAGACAAAAGATCACTGAGTATGTGTCACACTCAAGAGATGGTTTAGAAATGAACCACGAACAAGAATTATATTCCCTTTGACAAGCAAGTTAGATGAACGCCCATTTTTTATCTTAGGGTCTTTTGGAAAACCTCCAATATAATGCTCAATAGCCCCTCCTTCATCATATTGAAAATGGATTCCTAGGATGCCTATCAAGGCAGACTGGCATACGGCACCATTCTGCTTGAGTCGATGCTAGGTTTTGACTGGCCAAGCACTGATGACCACTTTGAAGAAGAGGCAGAGGCAGTTGAGGTAAGCTCTGTATTTGGCAAATATCAAATGAGGAGCACTGGGAGGTCTGTTGACAGAGCCTTCATCGCTGTTCCCCCTGGCTAGACCATTGTACATTATTTGGATAATATCTGTCAAATTATGTAAAAAGAAAAATGTATGGTAGATATAAATATTGTGTATATCTCATAGTTTTGTCTGCTAAGAGAATATTCCAATAATGTATCACTAAATTCTTAACTGTAATACAAAAATTCTAGGTTGAAACAACAAACTCCTTCATTTCCACTAATAATCCAAAATGGGAGTTGACCTGCCTTATCACACTAATTTTTTTTTTCTAATTACAGCATTCAGCATGAAAAAGCTCTTACATGCATCTTTATGAAACTAAATGGAACAGGTTTTCTGTGGTCTCTTCATTAGTCTGTTGTCTTCCTGACAATCACTGCACAATATTAGGGCTGTATTATACTAAGTCATGAGCAGTAAGGGGCACCTAGCACTCAGAGAGTCTCTCTCCCACTCAGGAGTTTTGTTTTGTTTTGTTTTGTTTTGTTTTGTTTTGTTTTGTGACAGAGTCTCACTGTGTCACCCAGGCTGGAGTGCAGTGGTGCCATCTCAGCTCACTGCAACCTCCACCTCCCAGGCTGAAGCAATTCTCCTGCCTCAGCCTCCCCAGTAGCTGGGATTACAGGCATGCACCACCTTACCCAGCTAATTTTTTGTATTTTCAGTAGAGACGGGTTTTCATCCTGTTGGCCAGGCTGGCCTTAAACTCCTAACCCCATGTGATCGGCCCACCTTGGCCTCCCAAAGTGCTAGGATTATAGGTGTGTGCCACCACACCTGGGTGTTATTAAATAGCCAAAACATCTGAGACACTAAGAGACATTGCTGAAGTTCACATAACCAATGAGTAACTAAGCCAGACCCACACTGCATCTTGTGATCACATACTATCCCATGCTCATTGATAAAAACTACCTGCAATCATTTGTGAGGACAAACCACTGCCACAGACGAATCACTGAGAGGTCCCAAGAGAAACGAAGCCTCCCTAAGGGTCCTGATGCCCAGTGTCTTCAGGATCCCAGTTCCTTCTCCATCTTTCAAACATGTGGGGAATTCAGTGACGAAATATTGCTGGGAGTTGTCTGGCCCAGACTTTTATTTCTGTAGGTAAGAGCTCCCCTCAGTTAACATAATCCAGCCCATTTCTCATTAAGGGGAAAGAAGATAGTTTTTGTATTCTTTGTCTTTCCATAGACTATAAATAAGAGGCAACTCCCCTCAGAATCACATCAGTGGTTCTCAAACTTCAATATGCATCCGAATCTCCTGGGGACCTTGTTAAAAATGGAGAATTCTAGGCATCAGACTCAGAACTTAAACCTTCTGAATTCCTTCAGGGATCCAGTCCTGGGTCACTTTCGGGACTACCTGCTCTATGCCTTGCTTTGAAAACCCAGACACAGAAACCACAGTGAGGCTGAATCTCCAGAGGGAACTTTATGGGGTGCAAAGTTGGGGCCTCCAGAGGTCTCTCTGAAGGTGATGCGCACCAGGTCCCCAACAGTATTAACAGAAATGATATGGATAACACACTTGAATTTATAATTAACTACAATAAGAGCATATCAGCAGAAGGCAATCATTTCACATTTGTAATTGCAAAAACTAAATTCTTAAAGGAATTTTGTGGTTAATATTGTATTTGAGCAATTCTCGTGATGTACTTAAAGTGAATATTATACATGCATATAAAGATAACTGTAAAACATAACATTCTTCTAGAGCTTAAAAATGGCAATTTATTCTACTAATAATTTTACATAATATCCATTTGCCTATATCACTGAAACAGACACTTAATTCACTAGAAACTGAATTCCATTAATGAAGGTTTAAGTATAAAACAAGATGGTAACCAGAGATACTAAGTGGACAGTACATATATGCAAATTAACACACACATAAAATATATGCCCCAGAATAAGCCATTCAGTTGAAATCATTACAGTATAAGTGATTAATAATTATATTTTCATATTTCAGTAATAAGATGATTTGGCCATTCATAAATATGTATAATTTTCTGTACCAACACTGTCGACACATAATTTGTTTTCCAACCCCACTGATTTTCTCCAGGCAGATGTATCATTTTCCAATTATAAAATTAAACATTCAACTTGAAAATATGTTAGCAGTCTAATTCCAGTTTGAATAACTTTCTGTATATTTTCAGAAGTATATTCTGGAAGAATTCAGGGGGAAAGTATGGAATTCAAAATGGCTGATGAATTTAAAAGATGTAATCAGCCTCTGAGAAGTATTACCACCATGGGCTAAGTTGTGAAGAGGAGTAGAAGCTTTTAGGATAAGGAAAGTCATTGAAGAAAAGAAACAGAAACTCCCTAGGGCTTAGGAGACCTCACGGGCATCACAGACATAGGGAGAGACAGAAGAAGAATGGAAACCTGGTCTCTGTATTTTTCAAAACATGGAACTAATATTTATGGGTTTTGATAGTAACTCACTATTCTAACCTTAACGTGAATACTCAGTACTGAACTAATAACACTTGAAGTAAACAGAATTAGAATATATAAGGATCCTGAAATACTACTGAAGATTCAGATTGTTACACGTGGTATTAAAACAGAAAAAAAGGAAAGAAGGAAGGAAGGAAGGAAGGAAGGAAGGAAGGAAGGAAGGAAGGAAGGGGTAGGGGTAGGGGAAGGGGAAGGAAGACTGTTCAATATGATGGATATATTTTTAATCTGAATGAATATTTCCCATCATTCAGGAACCTACTCATGCCTGCACAGTGATCACAAAAAACAGAGTAGGCTGACATCTTCCTATACTTTCCTGCACCCCTTCCCCTGAGGCAAATGTCTAGCCATCTGAATTTGACCATGCTAGGACAGAGAGAACCTGTCCTGGGACTGTTGGATTTGGGGCGCAAAGGAGTCAGCCAATCCTTCTTCAATGACTACAAATATGATGCAAAGTTTGAGAACAGTGAGTAGATCAGAAAAGCAGACACAAAAAGAGAGAGAATATGTGTGTGAGAGAGAGACACAGAGACAGAGACAAAGAGACTGGGACTTGGGGTGAGAAGAGAGACAGAGACTGAACACAGTAGGTGCCCAAAAAGGAGGGGGGGACTAGTTTCAGTTGCTTTCTGATACTCAGCTATGTTCCTCTTCTTGGTTATGAGAAACACAACTATATCTTATAAAACAAAACAAAATCACTTCTTTTCTTTAATGTATGTCCACTGGATTCTGTCAGAATCAAATATTCCTAGTAACATACTCATAAAATCACGATATACATATGAAATGGAAGGCTTTACATTATAAAAAGGAAAGGGGTCCAAATTACCTTTGATAGGGTCCAAATTACCATCCTGGAAATAGCTCTATCATGAACCCACATTGTTAGCTTTTTTTTTTTTTTTTTGGGATGGAGTCTCGCCCTGTCTCCCAGGCTGGAGTGCAGTGGCACGATGTCAGCTCACTGCAACCTCCACCTTCCGGCTAATTTTTGTATTTTTAGCAGAGGCGGGGTTTCACCATGTTGGTCAGGCTGCCCTTGAACTCCTGACCTTGTGATCTGCCTGCCTCTGTTAGCCTTTTAGAATTTGAACATTTTTCAATGTTTAAATTATCTAATTAGTGCAGATCTACATTATAAAATGAAAAATAAGGAACATAAAGAAGAATAGAGTTAAAATACTTAAAAACACTACCATTTAGAGAAAAGTCAATGTTAAAGGGTTTTTTTAAATGAGAGATATATTTTTTCACAGACACAAACAAAATTCTACAATGTTGCTTTATCACATGTAGTCTTCTTTATCATTGTAGACCTCACTTAATACCTTCTCCTGACCCCCGTCTATTTACATAATCATTTATGCAGTCACTGTAATAACTTTCTATTATCTATTACTTGATGCCTTATAATTTAGCTACCTGAGCTACTGTTTTGAATATTTAAGTTTTCTCTAATTTCCCACTATTAAAAGAGATTAGAATGGAAACCTTTGCTTGCTTGTTCACTTCCTTAAGATAAATTATTTGGGTTAGGATCATTGCCTTAAAGACCTATACCACGTGAGGGCTTTTGAAACACTGAAAATGTTCACTCTGGGTAGGCTGTTGGATTTATGAGCTCAGCAGGCACACTGAAAAGCCATGTTAGGTACTAGGATTTTCTAGTCAAGTTTGCTGATCCAAAGGACAGTTACTTCATTGTTTTATGAGGCAAAAATGAACATTTTCCCCCATATCTTGGCCATGTTTACTTATTTTACAATTTGAACATGGTCCCTGCCTGTTCTAGGAGATAGCAGATTTTCTAATAGACTATTCCTTAAATAGCAGAAATTGATTTTCTAACTAAATTAGAAGTTTTAATCTTAATTAATCTTAATTAAATCTTCAACTTTTTTCCTTTATTATTTCTGCTTTTGTTTTCCTATGATTATATAAATACCCTTTGTTTTATCTATTTCTAAAGTCGTATTTTTACACTTCGCATTAGATCACAATTGCATTCATTTTGGAAAAGAGTTTAAAGTCAAGTGGTAGGGCTTTTTGTCTCAGGTTTTTCTGTGGGAAAATTAATAATAAAAACAATAATATGAAATTTAGATAGGCGTTCTAACATGGGGTCCATAGAAGAGCTCACAGAGGACTTTGAATATTTTAAACCGTCTCTGAAAAGTTGAATGTGTATGCATTTGTGGATTTTACTAAGAAGTCCTAAAGCTTATATGAAATTCTCAAACAGGTGTGTGAGCTCTTAATGGTGAAGAACTTTGATTTAAAGAGTAAACTATAGATTAAACACATAGCAGTCCTTTCCTTTAAAAAGGTGGTAAATCCCTTTTAATTTCAGAGGAGCAGACAGAGTCCTGTGATCTTTTGGCCACTGAAGTTTTTGATCCAATTGAATGTCACACAAAGCCCCACAGATACAAGCAGTTCTTCTGTTAAAGCCACGGTGGGGGAGTCCGGAAATCTGGGGCAGAATTTGAAAATACTGCATCAGAATATGATTCAAGGTGGCAAGATGTTCTATGAATACATCTTCTACCTCTTCAAATAAAAGTTTTCAGAATGACTCAACACAACTCAAATTTGTTATGGTTGTGGAGCCTGAAATAAATAATGCTGCAGATTAATTAAGAGAAATGCATCTTTTTCTCAAAGAGCAGAAATATAAGATGACCCAGATCATCATCCATTATCAGACTGTCTGGCATTAGTGCAAAGCTGGAATGTCGATATCACAAAAGAAGCTCTTGTGCTGAACAGTTACTGTCAGCCATGAAATCAACCTCAAATGCCAGTGGAGCCCAATAAACACCAAAACTTCCTCTCAATCATCTGTCAGTGCACCTATTTTAGGAAGTGATGGGAAACAATGCATCAACATATAAATTCAAATATATCTATGAATCCATACAAATGAAATGATTTTTTTTCCAAGCAGTAAAATCCAGGTCTTTCAGCTTTTCTGCTTTGTGCCGTACAGGTATTACTATTAGGACTAATTTACACAATTAGTAATGATGCAAATTACTAATAATATTGCTGAAAACACTTAATTATTTAATAAGTACAATAGTCAAATGAGTTGGACACTCCTGTGATACAGAATTAGTTATGCCAATGTAGCCTTAGCCCCAGATGCTATTTAAGTACAGAACTATCAAACTTATTTTTTCTTTACAAGTTTCCATATATAAGGACTTAGTAAAAAAGCATGCAACAGGGCTGGGCGTGGTGGCTCATGCCTGTAATCCCAGTACACTGGGAGGCTAAGGCAGATCACTTGAGGTCAGGAGTTAGAGGCCAGCCTGGCCAACATGGTGAGACCCTGTCTCTACCAAAAATACAAAAATCAGCCGGGTGTGGTGGTGCATGCCTGTAATCCCAGCTACTTTGGGTGGCTGAGGCAGAAGAATCGCTTGAACCCGGGAGGCGGAGGTTGCAGTGAGCCAAGATGGTGCCACTGCACTCCAGCCTGGGTGACAGAGGGAGACTCCATCTCAAAAAAAAAAAAAAAAAAAGCATACAACAAACATGCAAATTTATAACCAATCAATTTTAAAAGGAAATCATCATGTATTAATAGAAGTCATTAAATTCTTTTTTACTATTAAGAGAATGATCAATAGAAACTATCTTTTAATATCTGCACTTCCTGTTCTGACCAATTTCTTAGAATAGATAAAATACTAAACATGTTGTCAAGAAAGAAGAGATCATACATTAATCTGTAGAATTGAAACTAGGTACCAAATAACATTAAGCAGAAGGAAATTCAAGTAGTTGTTTTACAAAAGAACTGAACTTTGACAGTTTGCCACATTTATTATTAAAAATACAAAGAAAAACTCATTGAGATATATTTCAAGCACACATCAATTTGCCTATTTTTTGACAGAGAATAAAACAATGTTCTTGCGATAGTTTACTGAGAATGATGATTTCCGATTTCATCCATGTCCCTACAAAGGACATGAACTCATCATTTTTTATGGCTGCATAGTATTCCATGGTGTATATGTGCCACATTTTCTTAATCCATGAGATCACATGGACACAGGAAGGGGAATATCACACTCTGGGGACCATGGTGGGGTGGGGGGAGGGGGGAGGGATAGCACTGGGAGATATACCTAATGCTAGATGACGAGTTAGTGGGTGCAGCGCACCAGCATGGCACATGTATACATATGTAACTAACCTGCACAATGTGCACATGTACCCTAAAACTTAAAGTATAATAAAAAAAAATTAAAAAAAAAAACAATGATGGCTTTAGTCTAAAATACTGGTTGGTATGCCAGCCATGCTGATTACCAGATAGTCACATTTTCGCTTGCAATATGGAAGTAGTATGTATCTCAGTCTTGATTTAAGAAACACTTTTTTTTCAACTGGAGAATACAGTTTAATTTTGTGTTACCCCATGATACCATTTTATTAGTACGATTTTCTTCAAGGACTCAAAAATAGCTCTGTTCATTAATCTGAGCACACAGGTAACTGCACATTAGTACAGTTCAACTAACTGAGCTTGTCTGCATATGGAAGACACATCCTTAACAACTAACGTCAAATACTGGCAATGTTCTAACTACATACAACACCGTTCAGCTGGAAGTGCAGTCACCAGCTTCTCACTTCTTACATCCAATCCCATCCTAGTTGTCCTTCTGTCTCTCAAAATGCACATCGTGTCTGACTTTATAGTCACAGTCATCAAAGACAGCCAAACAGAGCTGGGCGGGGGGGCGGTGCGGGCAAGAAGACCTGTGTGAGAACTAACCACCTCTTTCAAAAGGCTGAGAAAAGTGCGGTTTTTACCACATTACCTTTTAGGAATTATTCTCCCATTCTGGCCTTACATAAAGATGATAGAATTTTAGTACACAGTTAAACAAAAGAGTGAAAGACATTTCCTAAATTCTCGGAGAACAAGAAAGGACTTGGGCATTTGAATTGACGAAAATTGGACATAAAATTCTCTTCTGCCACATATTAGCTACAGGACCTTGGAGAAGTCATGCAACTTTCCCTGAATATCCGTTTCCTCAAATATCCATTTCCTCATCTGTAAAATCGAGATAACACTAAGGACACTCCTGAGGATAAGACGAGAGAAGCACAGGAAGGTTCCGTAAGCACTCAATAACTGTCTAGCATGTCCCCCCATTGCACTGTCCCCAACTCTCTTGCTACTTGATATCACTTTATCTTGTCAAGGATCTCCCCTTGGAGTATTTACAGCTTTTCCCTAATGAATCAAAGTGTGCAATATCACAAGGAGAGCTTGCTCCTTCCCCTTCCTACAGAACTCAGGGAGGACTGCGGTTGCTCGTAAGGGTGCTGCTGCTTTCAGAGGAGTCAAAGGAGCGAAGCTCTGGGCCCCGGAAGGGACTCTGAGTAGAGTATGTGTCTGCAGCCTTGGGGCGCTGGGAGGAATAATATACCCCCGACATTTATGTCCACTGGAATCTGTGAATGTGACCTTATTTGTAAATAGAGTCTTTGCAGATATAATCAAGTTAAAATGAGATCATATTGGATTAGAGTGGTGCTAATACAAAGACTAGGGTCCTTATAAGAAGAGGGGAATCTGGACACAGACGCACACACACAGAAGACGGCCATATGAAGGTGGAGGTAGAGGGTAGAGTATCCTGCCACGAGCCAACTCCAAGGATTGCTGGCAATCACGAGAAGCTGGAAGAGGCCACGAAGGATTCTTTCCTAGAGCCTTCAGAGGGAGCATGGGTGGCCCTTCTGACACTTGGGTTTAGAACTTCCAGCCTCCAGAACTGAAAGAGAATAAATTTCTAGTGTTGTACACCGCTCAGTTTGTGGTAATTGGTTACAACAGTAGTAGGAAACAAATACAGCTAGGGAACAATGGTGGGGGCAGAATCCTAGGTTTTCTGTAGTCACAGAGGACTTCAGGCAGAAAACACTGGAAGCAGAGGGGGAGACCTTCCCCTCATCAGCCAGTGAGTGAGACAAAGGACGCTGAAGACAAGGAGTTAAAATAGCCAACCTCTGTAAGATAGATACCCAACAACAATGCATTTAAAATAATATTTTCTGTTAATTGCATTTCTAATCATAAACCTCTACTGTGAGCACTAGTGTTTGTGGAGGGTCAGAGAAGGGGGTAAGTAATAGATGCAGTCTACAAGACCGTAAACAGCTTTCATTATTTGAATAGATACTATTTTGCTAGGCTTATTGCATACTTATTTTTATCCACAGAATGAGAAACATAATATTATCAATCCCATTTATTTTATACATGGGAACACTGAGACTCAGAAATACTAATTAATAGCCTCAACCTCACAAAGAGCTGATAAGCGACTGATCAGGGATTTCCACCCAGAATATATCTGATTGTAGCTATTATCGATGCTTTATCGCAGGTATACATCCCCAAGTTATTCATCTAGCAAATAAAAATTACTTTTAAAAAACAAAATTACTTTAAAAAAAGGCATAATGTTGATCACCAGAAGATAGAAATATTTTATTGTTAAACATTCTGTATTTACAAGTCCTTAATAAGTGAAAAATTTTATAATCTCTTGAAAAGTAGGAAGCATCCCATAATAAATCATTAGGCAAGTTATACTACTGGACATCCACACTCCTAATAAAAACAGTATAAGAAAATCCAGATTTTCAAAAAGGATAATCTATTGGGTGACTACTTGTTAAAAAATACTCATGTTAATTAAGTAATTCTCAATAAATATATAACACACATGACACTTTCTATTTCAAATAAATAATTGTATAAGCAAGTTCTCACTTTCAATTACTTTGTTTTAATATACTCCATAAATTGTTTAAATATATTACCATAATCGACCCTCAAATGAGCAAAATATAATGAAACATCTCTTGGCATGTAAATTTGCCCTTCAGCTACAAATGAATCACTTACTCCTCAATCAACAGGACGTTTGTACACAATTAACAATAGCCATCTATCATTCCTCCAAAGATGGCATTTTGCCCATGACTAGAACCATCACAGTCCATTGACTATTGGTTATAAAACACTTCTTCAGTCATATCTACCTTAGTATTTCATAAGTCAACATTTAATTTATTGTGTTGATTAGATTCAATGTTTATATTCATACTTCCCATTCATCTGCTTAACTTCAGTTAATGAGGCTGATTTTGTTGTTTCCAATCCTGGATCGAGTTCTGAGACCTGGAAGATGGAGGTGGTTGAGTGGTGAAGCTTGCAGAAAAGCACCACTCCTGAATCTTAGACAGAGGCCAGCATAAAATTTGGGAAATGGGGGGGCTTCTCTAATAAATATTGGGGACTGTGCCTAAAGCAGGGGAAATGCATGCTTGCTAGGCAAAAACAACAAGCATCTCCCTACAGCAAAATTCTTCTATATCCAACATCTTAGTTTTAGTTCTTGAATGTTGGTCCTGTCAAATTTCCCCTGGAGAACTGGTAAAAAATACAACTCTCCAGGCCTGGCTCTCTAAATAACCTTAGGTCCCTGTGTTTTTTATTAGCTCTCCCAGGTGATTTTGAGATATCTAAATGTTTTTGAGAACTACTGGTCTATTCCACAAACTTTTAAGTTTTTGCACCTGGTATTTGGACCTAAAGTAGTCCCAGAATAAAAGATTTTTTGGACCAATCAGTCTTAAGCATGTACTGTGTGCCACTTCGTGCACTACTTGTCCCAAACTACCTGTGATCTCTTTTAATTTTAGAATCAAAATTTCCAGATCTCAGGTTTTGACTGAGACTGGAAATCTCAGTTTAAGTTGTTAAGGATGGAAGAGACATCCTTAACAACTAACATCAAATACTGGCAATGTTCTAACTACATACAACACCGTTCAGCTGGAAGTGCAGTCACCAGCTTCTCACTTCTTACATCCAATCCCATCCTAGTTGTCCTTCTGTCTCTCAAAATGCACATCATGTCTGACTTCATAGTCACAGTCATCAAAGACAGCCAAGCAGAGCTGGGCGGGGCAGGGGGGCAGTGGTGCGGGGAAGAAGACAGGTGTGAGAACTAACCACCTCTTTCAAATGGCTTTGAATTGTCAACAAGTTCTCCAGGTGATTCAGATCAGCCACTCCAACCAGGTGACATTGTCAGCATCATCAGAGATGAGCCATGCTTGACAGGATGAGCCCATAATATAAGAATGGTACTTTACTCTGTGGTCTCTTCCCCTAAACCTATAATCTCAATTGAATCATGTGGAAAACAGAAAAATCCTGGTTGAGAGATATTCTACAATATACCAGACCAGTACTCCCCAAAACTGTCAAGGTTATCAAAAGCAAGCGAAGTCTGAGAAACTGCCACAGCCACGAAGGATCCTAGAGAGACCTAACTAAAAGTAATGTGGTGTCCTGAATGGGATCTGGAAAAGGAAAAGGATACTGGAGAAACATTGAGGAAATATGAATGAACTACAGGCTACACTTAGTAATAATGCATCAATATTGGATCATTAATCATGCCAAATGTACCATGCGAATGCAAAACTTTAATAATGGAGGAAAGTGGGTGTGAGTCATATGGGAATTCTCTGTACCATCTTTCCAATAATTCTGAAAACTTAAAACTTTTCTAAGATTTAAAAGTTTCTTTTAAAAATCCCCCAAAATCAGTTTAAGCAGAAACACTGGCAAATATTGACACATCCTTTAAACATATCTTTAAAATTAGAACATATTTCCAATGCCCCATCTTTTTATGGCATGACAGGCCTTTTTTGGGTGTAAGCCTCTGGTCAGAAGGCCACAGCGTCCTCATGCATGACGCATGGTGTATCCGCCATATGTTCTTGTTTCAGTTAATTTAAAGAGGCAAGGAAAATCAGAAGACCCTGAAACATACTGAGTGTAAAACAATTTTGAATTTTTATGAATTTTTTAACCATATATTTTTAATGTTTTCTCACACACCCTAATTCAACAACTATTTTTGTCTTCTCACTCTCAAGTACTTATCATAGCTTTTACTAAGACAATAGCTGTCTTTCACACTTTATCCTCACATTCCATTGGTTTAGTGCTATTTACCTGAGTTATCTATTGATAACACAACAGGCACAAACAGACAAACAGGTATGGAAGCAAGCCCTGTTGACTCCAATCGACCTAGTGGGGGAAGAACTGCAGGCTGCCTTGCAGAGAGAGGGTGCCCAGCAAGGTGCTGGCATCAGTTCCAAATGTAACATGGGTTATGGCATAGCCTGTAACAGGAATTATGACATGGGTTGGTAGAGCTGGCAAGTCACTTCGATGGAGATCAGCTGGTATTACAGCTTCTCCTGCACTTCAAATATCTACCTTGGTTATATGAGGAGTCGCCACTTGCTGATGTATAAATATCAAATGGTTTTAGTTTTGTCCAATAACTGCTACCTCTTGTGATTTGTCAAACTTCCTTTTATACTGGGTGGCTGGTTTCCTTAAAAATAGTTCAGTTTAATGTATTAAATTTCCAGCAATTTTAGTCACTGAAACAGTATCATTTAGCAAACAGGACTTGATGGTTGTCCATTGTAAGAGTCCATCATCATTCCTAATTCCATCTTCCCCTCTCTAGCACACACGGTAAAGCAAGGACCTTTCCCTGCAACTGCCCTCTCTCTTCTCTCTTTTATCCCACTAGGATTGGGGGAAGGACAAGAGGAAGATAAAAGCAGGGCCTCCATTTAACCTTCCCTGTTGAGCGTGATGGCCCCTTCCTGGGAGGGACCCCACTCATCCAGTTCCTGGAAAAACGAGAGAGGAGGAGCTGAGACCTGAGTATCTACTGCAGACAGTAGTACATTGAAGGCAGGGCCAGGTCCTGAAGCTGACCGCCTCTGGGATCTTCAAGTCACACACCGTGTCATCCCCTAGAGTGCCAGCAGTCCTCATCTCCTCTGCTCTTTGCCACCCAATCCTGAGCCCCTAGGTACAGATTGGACCCTTCTTTCTTACCTCTCAGAAACCAGGAATTCAATGCTATGCCAGCCACCTCATCACATCTTCCCCACAGCCAATTTGAGTAGGACTGAGAAGTAGATGTCATCCTCTATTCCACGTGCTGTCTCCCAACTTTCCCAGTGATTGTCATGACCTTAGAAAGACTGGAGGGATGGCTGCTGCTCCCAGCAAACTTTGCCCACAGCCACCTCACATCTTCCTCTGCCCTCTCACCTGGAGAGTGCAGAGGCTATGGGGGACATGTTGAAATAGCAGCTTTTATCTCTGAGCTAGACTCCACAGCCAGCAGGCCTCTGAACTAGAATGGGATTGAATCCAGGGACCCCCATTCCCACATGCAGCAACTAGAAGATCCCTAGAGCCACATCCCAAGTAAACAGACATTTTTCTTGCTGGATCCTACAAGGAGGGAGATGCAAAGGGTAGGAGAGGCTGGCCCAGGATTTTCTAGAGTAATAGAGGTGACACACAAAGCTGAAGCTGAAGTTGCTTAAAATAGGTGATGCTTTTCCTGTGACTGCACCAAGGCCAGCCAGCCCTGGGGGAAATCCTGAGCAGTGACACAACAGATGACCCACGGAGCCACTGCAAGCTGGCCAGTGATGTCAGTGTTGGGTGAAGAATAGGTGAAGTAGCCTGCCCAGGACCATGGATTTCTACAATAATTTATTTACCCGATAAAGTGCTATTTCCTTCAAATTTAAATGTTACAACCTCCTTAGCCTTTGTTCCAAGCCAACTACTTTACTTTCCTTTTAAAGGCACTGCTTTAGTGAAACACACTGATAAACTGTTTTCAAGGTAGGCATGGAAGAGAAGAACTATCATTAACACACACCTGTTGCTGCCAGTCACTAGGGGTTTGGCAAATATTATCTCACCCCGCAGCAAGCAAATGAGAGAGAGAACACTAATCCAACTGACAGAGGAGGGATCTAAGGAGTGTTAGGTGGAACCAAGATTGAGCTTCAGCCCAATTAAAAAAAATAAAAAATAAAGCTTATGCCTTTCCAATTTCATGCTGCGATTTTCCATGATGGCATGCTAATCTATCAGTTCCCTAACACAATCATTTTCTGAATGCTGAGTTTAACAAAGCCACAAAGAAATATGAGGTTTCTGAGGAAGCCAGCCTCCGCCCTTTAGGAAGCTTATAATCAAATGTTGGGGATTCCTTTCCCCCAGGAGTCTGACTTTTGCTTTTTATTGCCCTTCAACTTTTTGCAATACAATTTATAATTTGAAGAATATTTGATAAAACTGCATGATGTTCTTTGAACACAACCTCTGTTAAGACAGGTTTTGAAATGAAGAACCATATATATGAGCAAACCTCTGTTTTTGTGTTTTGTTATGGATAATTTACACAATACACAATTTATACAGTTACAAATGACTCCTCAACTCTGAACCAGGTAAAATAAACATTTCATTACTGATCTTTTTTTCTTGGAACTTCTCCACACTGAATTATACTCAAGTGCATCACAATTACCCATTTGATCTTCTCCCCGTGTATTTTGGACCTACCATCTAATTTATAAATACTAACTACCTGTAAATGCACTACTTTTAAATTATAGCTACAATGATTTTTAAATGTGCCTATACTTGGGCATCATCTAGGGTTTCTAAAAAATATATTGACACCTGGGTCCACCCAAATCTCATCTTGGATTGTAGCTCCCATAATCCAACCACGTCATGGGAGGGGCCTGGTGGGAGGTAACTGAATCATGGGTGCGGGTCTTTCCCATGCTGTTCTTGTGATAGTCACATGAGAGCTGATGTTTGTACAAAGGGCAGTTCCCCTGCACACACTCTCTTGCCTGCCACCATTTAAGACATGCCTTTGTTCCTCCTTTGTCTTCCACCACAATTGTTAGGCCTCGTTAACCATGTGGATCTGTGAGTCCTCTTTTTCTTTATAAATTACCCAGTCTCGGATATTTCTATATAACAGTATGAAAATGAGCTAAAACAGCCCCCAAGAGACACGATGCAATTGGGCTCATGCAAATGTTTGAAAACCAGTGCTCTACTGAACACTAAATACAAAAAAAAAGCTGACCTTTTGTAAACTTACTACGTTTGAAATTTTTAAGAAAATGAGATAGAAGGAGATTAAACCTAAATTATCCAGATATCTGAATGCACACTCATGAGGGCAATAAAGGTCTGAGAAAAGGACCTATTATGTAAATTCCAACCATGTGTACCTGGTGCCCACATGGAGGTATAAAACAAGCCTTCATAAATGTATGTTTCTCTTGTGAAGTCTCATCCTTTGTTAACTAGTGCTAAAATAGTTTAATAATGGTTACATTCCACTACGACGAATCTATTTCAATCAGCATTCCAAAAAAATTTATTTGCTTGGTCCTTAATTCAACCTCTTTTCTTTTTGAACTGTCTGGGTTCACTGTGAAACGCTCAGTATCTTTCAAACAACCCATTATCCTATTCCATTATGAGATTCAGATTTCATTTCTCATCTATATGTTGATCTTTCTTTTACATGCTTATAATCAAGTCCCCAAATCTGTGATGTGAGTATTTTCAGGGACCGAGTAAATAATCACACCCATGTTCACTGCTCAAGTTAGAGCCAAGTAAGAGACTCAGAAAGGATTCAGATGAAAGGACATAACAAGTTCTCTTTTGGTGCTGGTCTAGTGGACATTGGAGAACATGGCTTACAGCTGTGGCCCAGAGGGAATCGTGATGCTGAAGCACATGCATGACTAGAACAAGCTACCGGGGCTGCCTTTGGTCAACTTAATAAATTATGAAGAGGCTCATGGAGGGGCAGATCCCGGAGAGAAGAGAGAGAGGTTGAGATCATGTGTCTAGCTCTTTCTCCCAGGCTCCCCAGTCACCCTAAGGAGAGATGAGCGAGGGAGCCAAGAGAATGCAGGAGAATTTCCTAGTTGGTTTTTCTCCATTGCATAGAGATATTCAGTATACTGCAGATTTGCTTATGACCTCCACTGACAACTGTCTAATATGCACTATTATTTCATCTTGACAGCTCTCCCCATTTGCTACCTGCAATTATGTAATCTGCTCTATATCTAAAAACCATTCTTCTGCACCCTACTCTCAGGAATCTGCCTCTCCACTGGCCCTCTTCATAATTTGTTAAGTTGACCAAAGGCATCCTCAGTGGGTTGGTCTAGCCATGTATGTGCTTCCGCATCGGGATTCCCTCTAGGCCACAGCCGTAAGCCACATTCTCCAATGTCCACTAGACCAGCTTGGTTTTTCATAATGGTTTTTAGGTATAGAGCAGATGACATAACTGCAGGTAGTAAATGGGAAGAGCTGCCAAGATGAAATAATAATGCATATTTGACAGTGGCCAGTGGAGATCATGAGCAAGTCTGCAGTATGCTGAATACCTGTATGCAATGGAGGAGAAACTTCTTTTGACTACTTTCCTCTTTCCCTGTGGAGGCACACCAACCAGGAAATCCTCTAGTGTAATGGTTTTTAGATATAGAGCAGATGACATAATTCCTACTTTCCTTCCCAGAGCTATCAGGTGAGGAGGCAAGGCCCTGACTACTTGTGCTATCTGTCTCTTCTTAAGGACAACTCTATAGATGTCTCTCGATGGCACCCTGGGTGAGAGATCACTTAGCAGAAAAGTGAGAAGAGTCAGGGAGTAGACTTGTGAACCACCCTATAGAGCTGGTGACCCAGCCACGTTCAGTAGATGGACCACATACCATGTCCACAAAAGTTGTTGCAAAACAAACCAGAACAAAAACAACAACCACTTATAGAACACACTAGGGAATAAGCTGACTTTTTGTTGTGATCAGTGGACAAATACAAACTGGATACTGTAAAAGAGCTATTGTTGACCTGCTGAAAATGGCATAAGCAATAGAAAATAACACTGGTTGAAACACACAGGCACAACATCAAACTCATGTCCATGGAATTCAAATGGACAATGGGAAAATATAAGAGAAATGAAAAAAGGTAACGTTTTAAATTCTTGTGAAAAATAACTTGATTTAAGTGGTTAACAGGTGAAAATAATACAGGATCTGTCACATATTCATGACTCAAAGAATATCAGTGGTAACTGATTTTAGGAGGTTTTTCTTGGGGAGGGGGATGTGATAGGCAAAACTCTAAAATGACCCCCATGTAATCCATATCCTTTTATTATCCTCTCATCCACAGATGTGGAAAAGATCTGTAAATACAATGGGATATCCTTCCATTGATTAGACTAAGTTACATGACAGATGCAAAGGGATTTTTCCAGATAGAATTAAGGTTGCTAAGAAACTGACTTCCAGTTAATCAAAAGGAAATTTATCCTGGTTGAGCGTGATTTAATCAAGTGAACTGGTTTTAAAAAGTGCCTAGAGATGAAAGCCTCAAAGCAGCAGATGTTTCTATTGTTGGCTTAGAAGAAGCAAACCCCATGAATTCAACCACCAACAGGAAAGGAATTCTGCCAACAATCTGAGATAGCACTGATGTAAGTGGGTCCACTCCCCAGTCAAGCCTGCAGATGAGACCACAACTAGTCAATGCCTTGATTTCAGTCTAATGACACCTTAAGCAGAGGACCAACTAAGCCAAGCCTGGACTTCTGACCTTTGGAAATTGTGAGTTAACAGGCATTGTTTTAAGCCACTAACTTTGTGCTAATTTGTTATGCAGCAACAAATAATTAATATGAGGATAATTTGCACCAGTTTTCTTCTATTGTTCTTGCAACTTGACTATACATATAACTATCTTGCTCATAAGTGCATACAATGTAAAAATAAAAAAATTTCCCTGATTAGAGTTCTTCATCATAATACCTTATACACAGGCTTTTTCCTCACATCAAAACATAAATTGTTATTGTGTATATTGGTAATTATAATACAGTGAGACATAATTAATGTATCCCAACATTATAGTGTTCACATTTACCTAGAAGATGAGGATGATAGTGTGTTGGTCAAAAATAGTCACAAGTTATTTTGCAAGCCATCTCTTTGGAAACAGGACAGATACAGATTTTAAAAGGAAATATCATGAATAATGATGGCTGGAGTAAAGAAGGGTTAATTCGGATTTTTGAACAAAATAACCATATAAAAACACTTTTCAGTAACTTGAACATCAAATATAAAATGTTATTTTTTAAAAAACTAAGTTCCAATTTAAAGTGAATAAAATATGAATTGGATGGATAATGTATGTTCTATCAAAATAAATCTAAACTATTTAACACAGTAGGAAGCAAGCATTAGATGGAAATATGCTACTAACATATGTTAATGTGGGAAAAAAGGAAAGTGTAAGACAGAATGTATAGGAGTATCCCAAACTCGCAGGTTAAATAGTGGAAAAAAAAAAATCCTAAAAATTATTATCAAAATCTACCTTGCAGAAAGAAGTATGTTGGTAGAATTTGGAGGCTGGGTTACTAGCATCTTCCCCAACTTTATCAAAGAGGGTAATTTCCTCCCCCACTTTTCTCCTTCATAGGGGAGGGAGTAACAAACACATCAGTACTATCAGGACAGGGTGTTTGAACTTGAGCACCTTTCTGGGTCTGGAAGCCAGCCATGGAGGGGAACTGCCCTGCTGCAGGAACAGACTCTTCATGAGTCAGCCTCTTGGGCTGGACAGCCAGTGCCCGGGGCAGTCATGGAGGGGGGTCACACTGCTGCCGCTGTCACTCTCACCAACTGCACCCGCAGCATTTCCTGGGTGCCCAGACCAGTGCAGAGCACATGGCTCACCTCACCCTATTCGACCAGACCCCCATTCTGCAAGTGGGTACATGTAACAGCGCGGCAGCAGGGCTGAGCTCTGGGTACCCAGCCATCTCACAACAACCACAGGAGCCACTCAGGGGACCAGGCCAGCTGGCAGAGGACAGGGGCTGCTTTTTCTTTCTCAGTAATCACAATTCACTTCTACAACTGTCATAATTCCATTTTAGAAAAGTAAAGTGTAAGACTGCCCTCTCAGAAGGGAATTCATCAATTTGCATATTTCCTGGAGACTTCTTTCTGTTACTCTATTAATTTATTAACACTTTTTAAAGTGATGCAGTTTCCCAAGATGCTCTCTGTCTGATAAATCATTGAGGTGGTTATAAATAAAGCATTACACCTTAATTCCCTAGGTATCTAACCCAGAAAACTAGATGCTACTGATTTTCTACAGAGATGTTCTGAAAATTAATTGCTACTGATAATTCAATTCTTCCCTAAAATCAGGAAAGGCTGAAGCAAGATGGGCAGATAAAATGTTTTCAGATGCTAGACAGAACAAAAATGACAAAGACAATGTAAACCTATGCTAGGATAATTAAAGAAAGTTTGTGCCTTATTTCGGACTAAAGAAACTGAACTGAAGGAGAAAATGGACTTTTCCTGAAGATCCCTCTCCTTTAGTTTTTTGTTTGTTTGTTTTAAATCATTTCCATGAATACACACTTATCTTGAATTATCCAAAGTTCTCACACTGTGCTAACTAACATACTGAGCTTGTAGTTCCCAGAGAAATTTTAGGGTTTACCCACATTTTCATTTTATTCTTGAACTAAAGTCACAACATTTTCCCGAATAGAGTTGGGGGACAGAAGTAAGCATATGAAAATGTCAGAGGAAGGGACTCTGCCTTCCTAAAGCTTGGCCTCCGCAAACATGCAAAATTGTTTAAACAATAAGGTCACATCTCATCAGCAACTTAGGTTCCTCCAGACCTGGAGTCGGCAGTATGTTTGTGATGCTATGGATGGAATGATCCCATGACACTAATATAAAAACTTCTGGACTATGCGATAGTGGACAAGTTATTAAAGTCCCTAAAATGTAGGGATTGGGGAAAGCAAGTCTTTATTAGTACCAATAAATTTTCTTAATTTAAGCAATGGCAGCTTTACATAGTATTCTGAACAACTAGAGCTAAGCAAAACTGTTACGCATGTGCACAACTAGTTTGGACAGTCTGTTGATAATCAAGATATACTAAATGTCTCCAATTATGTTAACAACTCGGCAAGATTTGAAAGCGAACATAAATCATAGGTAAAATAAATGCAACAACACTAATAACTGTAATGCATGACTTACTAGAAACTATATTTCAGCCACTTTTCTAGAGAATCATTTACACGCCAACATATCTAGCCACCACAGCCACACCATGAAGTAGACCCTTCAGTTATGACTAATCTGCCTGCAATTGATGTACTTATTATGTAAAGCATTTGTAATGTTACCTTTTTATTTCTTAGTAGGTTGAATTTTGAGCATTTTAAGATTTTTTTATTAACAGAAAGTATTATTGGAACTCCATTTGAAATACTTGGTTGGTTATATTGGAAATCACTGAACTTTACACATTCCCATAATTTAATAAAGGAAACTCTGAATGTGTATGTCCATGTCTGTGCACACGTGTGTGCATCCATGCCTGAACAATATGGATTACTTTGTACAGTTATTCTCGAGCTTTTAGTAGGTAAAGATAAAATAGAGTTGCATTTTGTTAGGGGAATTTTTCTATTCCCTAGTGAGATTGTGTTCAGTTCTTAATGTACTTTTCCTTAGAAGTGCAAATAAATGAATATGAATTGACAGGATCCTATAAATTAGTAACACTGACTTTCCAACAAAACACAGTAGACATTCATTTATAGAACATTGCTCCCTATAAGTTTACTGCTTTGAAGAATATATGCTTAAAATCCAATGATATTTCATTGTTGAAATGATATTTGAAAGTGTTTTTTAAGAAGATTTCAAAACAGAACTCATTACCTAATGATCACATCTAATTTTTAATTCCAGTTGATGCTTCTCAGTTTGACCAACCGTAGCCTTAAAATAACCTTGGTTAAATTTTTTAAAACTAAAAATTCAAAAAATATGTATCATAATATTCAGGACTCAAGACTTTCACAATTTGGCTATTAAGGTTATTCCCACACATCAACATTAAATCAGTCTAATAACTTCTTGCACAAGACAGTGTGCTAAGGACCCCTAGTCCTGTCCTCAAATCTGTAAGAGGGCTGCCTTCACTCCAGCAAAGAGCAAGTATCATAACTTTATCTCACATTTTATACTTTTTAAATATTTAGGGCCTTTAATCAACTTGGAATTTATGTGTTTAGTGGGAAGATGAAAATCTAATATTACTTTACTTTTCCATATAGACAGCCAAAGATACCACATTAAGACAACAGCACTGATTGAAAAAGTCTCCTCTGTTTCTCCCTTATATATGAAATTCTCACATACGTAGAAGTCTATTTCTAGTTATATCATTGTTTTAAGAGCTTAGTGATGCAATCCATGTAAATAAAAACAAGCACAGTGCTCATGCATACTTTGTCTTATTAACATTATTATTATTATTATTTATTATACTTTAAGTTCTAGGGTACATGTGCGCAATGTGCAGGTTTGTTACATATGTATACATGTGCCATGTTGGTGTGCTGCACTCATTAACTCGTCATTTACATTAGGTATATCTCCTAATGCTATCCCTCCCCCCTCCCCCTACCCCACAACAGGCCCTGGTGTGGGATGTACCCCTTCCTGTGTCCAAGTGTTCTCATTGTTCAATTCCCACCTATGAATGAGAACATGCAGTGTTTGGTTTTTTGTCCTTGCGATAGTTTGCTGAGAATGATGGTTTCCAACTTCATCCATGTCAAAGAAATGCATATCAAAACCACAATGAGATACCATCTCACACCAGTTAGAATGGCGATCATTAAAAAGTCAGGGAACAACAGGTGCTGGAGAGGATGTGGAGAAATAGGAACACTTTTACACTGTTGGTGGGACTGTAAACTAGTCGACCATCATGGAAGACAGTGTGGTGATTTCTCAAGGATCTAGAACTAGAAATACCATTTGACCTAACATTATTACTACTTTCTAAATTATCCTGGATTATTTTGTTCACTTACATTTTCATGTGACTTTCTGAATCAATTTTTTGCCACTCCTGAAAAATCTTCTTTGGATTTTGGAGTGGGAGAGCATTAAATTTGTTTATTAGGAGTAATTTTCTCTTGCCTTCCCATTCACAAACCTTCTACTGTCTCCTTTTATCCTGTTCTTCTTTATGAGCTTCTATGAAATTTATCTCCTAAAAAGTTTTGCATATTTTTGTTAGGATTTTATTTATGCATCTTATAATTTTATTATTTCTGCGAGTAAGAATATATTTTCTATTATATTTTCTAGTTATTTATGGCTGGTATAGAGGAAAGCTATTGATTTTTGTATTTTGAGATTTAATCTGAATATCTTAATGGACTCATTTTTATTAGTTATAATAGCTTTTCAGTTACTCCCTTGGGTTTTCTGGGTATATAGACTATAAAGTCTACAAATAATGCCATATTTCTTGCTTCCAAATCTTTTTACCCCTGCCATATTTAGAATTGCCTAGTATCTCAAATACAATGTTGAATATTGGAAGTGATACAAAGCATAACATTCCAGATTTTAATTAAAATACTTCTCATATTTCACCACTGAATATAATATTCTGATTGGTAACTCCTTTACAAGTTTAAGAACTTCCTTTTATTTTATTCTGCTAAGAGATTTGTTTTTTAACCAAGATTGGGTATTACACGTTATCAAATGTATGTTGAACATCTGCTGAGATGACCAGAAAGCCTTTCTTCTGACTAGTATTAATGTACTAGTTTTCATTCATGAGTTTTCTAATATTGAGCCATCCTTGCATATTTGCAACAAAACATGCTTTGCTATAACTAGTTTTTATGCTTCGAGGATTGAATTTGCTCCAGTGTTTAAAATTGAGCTGGACCTATCATTTCATTTACTGATTTCCATTTCTGGCCGGGTTACTGGGGTATCCTGTATTGCTTATCTAAAAATTAAATTTCTCAAAAATAAACTTTTTTTGGTTAATCAATTTGAATTGCATCATGTCATTCATTTGTCAGTCTTTCCATTATCCCCTACTCCAGAAGAAGTTTCAGCCACTTAGTGCCTGCCATATGCTTGTTGCTGTTCATTAGAAAAACATTTCAATATGAAGTCCTGGAGCCCTCTGAGTTGACTGACAATGTCATAGAGGTGTAGATTGAGCATGGGCTTTTGAGTCAGAGCTGACAGGTCCCCTTACTGTGTCAGTTTAAACCTATGCTCTCTTCCTTTGTAAAATGAACATAATTCCTACGTTATATGCTGCTGTAATGACTGAGTAAGGTAATGCTCACAGTGTACCTAGGGCACACAAGATTTTCTACACGTAATGATGTGCTGATTTTTCTTGATGAATGTGAATGTGAACATTTGCTTCTTTGAATATGTCAGCCTTGGTCTCTGCATGTTGAGTGATGCATAGAGTTTACACAGTAAATCTACAAATATCACTCATAAAAGAAATGTTTACGGGTAGTCCTTTGAAAACAAATTGGCATTTATTTACAAAATCAAAAGTTAGATACAGACCCTGGGACAATCTGACAGTGGAGGGAATGAACACCATGTGGTAGGGTCAGGAGCCCACATAGCAATTGTCACAGAATGAATGGTATTCCCCAGATAGATACGTTGAGGGCTTAATTCTCCAGTATCAGTGAACATGATCTTATTCAGACATGGGATTTTTGCAGACATAACTGGTTCAAATGAGGTTACACTGGGATGGGATGGGCCCAATCCAACAGGACTGGAGTCCTTAAAAAAAGAGAGATGATGATGTGAAGACACTGGCACCCTGGGAGAACACCATGGGAAGACAGAGGCGGACAGTGGAGCAACATATCTACAAGCAAGGAATGCCTGGGGTTACCAGGAGCTGGAAGAGGCATGAATCCTCCTCCAGAGATGTCAGAGGGAACATGGCTGTGCCAACACTCTGATTTCAGATTTCTAACCTGCAGAAGGGTAAGATAATACATTTCAGTTATTTTAAACCACATAGTTGGTCATACTTTGTTACAGCAGCCTGCGGGGTATGGGCAGGGGGTATCTCATGGATCAGAGCCATGAAATAACTTAGAGGTTCAGGTTGTCAAGCAAACCAAGAGGAAGACCGTGCAACAAGAAAATGCTGATATTAAGCCAAATGTTATCTGAGCTAGTATGAAAGCAAGAACATGTTCTCAAGTGCACACCAGCTAGAACAAATGGAAGGAAATGGCCGAAAGGGTCAGAGAATAAATGGCATAAATGCCACGATGGCTACTTATGTTGAAGATTTATTAAAAGTGCATCAGATGCTCATCAATCCACTAGGTAATGGGTGTGACTGTAACTGTTAAGTATATTTGATAATGTATTTGGCAAACGTTGCCATAGAAACACAATTTCATGGAACAAAGAAACACTAGCTTAATCTCCAATGTAATTTTGCTATGAAAGTGGTTCACGAAAACGAATCTGGGACATTGAGGCTCTTTCTTGCCTCAGAATTAACATTTATCCTATTAATTCATTACTGCTAAACTTTGGGATCCATAATCTTTCCTAGGTAGTATCAATCTCAGTCTTCAGAATTTCACCCTCCCCATCCCTCCCTATTTTCTGAGTGCTGAGAGAAGCAAAGTCAATTGTTATTCTAACTGATCAGATACTCTAGGCAAACAAAATGCAGTCATGCTGGTTTCACACTGGTCAAACAGGATCAAAGATGAGGATGCCATGCCAAGAAAGTGGGTGACTGCATTTAACATTCTACAAATAGAATTAATTGACTTGCTGTCCAAGTCATATGATGAAGCTATTCTAACTCTGGGAATGAAACCAGAATTTCTCACCATCAATTCTCTTTTCTCTTCTCTAGACCATGCGGTCTCAAAGTTTTTATTCTCCAATGATAATCAGTTTAAATGAGAGAATGCCTGCCAAACCCAATGCTCTAATTACATAGTTAGGAAGAACTGATAATAATTATTGCAATGTTCTACCCTCAAAAACTGTTAGGCAATGCTGACTGATTTAGATACCGAGACACAATTTTCTTTAAAATACACACACACACATATATATTTTAAAAACTGTCTAAATGTGTACATGCCACAAAAATCCATCATTAATGATTGTTAGCATAAATTTGTAACTAGCAAAACTAGTTCTGAGGCTTATGTTTCGCTTTCCATTTTTAAGTAATTCAAAAGTATTGGTTAAATCAATGAATGCATGAATATTTTATTAACATGGTCTGCAAATATAAGAAAGAGAAAAAGTCCTGAGATGCTCCTTCCCCACATATTTTTGTGCAAGCATGAACGCTTTCAAATATTTAAATACAAGTACAGCAGGGGTCTAAGAGGAAGCACATCAAGGCCGATGAATTGAGTGTTCAAGATATTATTCATGCCTGACATGGCTTTTTATAAAATTACACTTCTTGTCACCTAGAATTTTACTGATTCTTTCTTTTAATTATCAAATTCCATGGTTACTTCCACCAATAAAACAGCAATGTCCTCTTAAAAGAAAAATATTCTAGCAGCACACAATGCTTCTATTCTGCTTCCATTTCCTCTTTCCCTACGGAAGGCTTCCTTGCCAGATTCCATTCACAGCCAAAAAACTCTTGCCAACAAAGGCTTAAAATGATAAACTAACTCAGGGATAAATGGCAGAAGCCACATTTATTTAGGGGGAAAAAACGTCCACATTTACAGAACTCTCTAATACATATCATGATTTCCCAGCGATGCATTTTAAGTAAAATTAGAAATGCTTTAGATGGCTAAAAATTCTAATGCAATCAATTTTCATAATTTTTTCCATACAATGGACACTAAGGTAACTGATGTCGATTTCCACAGATAAAGAATTTGACAAATATTTTACAGTTTGCTGTGCTATTGGTTTATGGGGCTCCCGACCCTTACTATAAATGTCCACTCTTCACATAGGCCCAACAGGTGGATCTTTCCGAGGCCCCACGTCTGATCTGCTCTGCCTACTTGCTCCTCTCCATTTTCCATTTCTCAGGAAATGGCAATTCTGTTCCTCTAGTAATTCAGTCCAAAAAACCTGGATTCATCCTTGATGCCTTTCATAATGTCACACACAGTATTATTGGTTACAGGATAAACTGTGTCCCTCCCAAGATTCATATGTTGAAGTCCTAACCCCCAATACCTCAGAATGTGACCCTATTTGGAAATAGGATTGTTGCAAATGTAATTAGTTAAGATGTGGTCATACTGGAGTAGGGTGAGCTCCTAAACCAATATGACAGATGTCCTCATGAAAAAGGGAAATATGGACACAGACATGTGCACAGGCAGAACGCCATGGGAACACTGGAGTGATGCTGCCACCAGCCAAGGAACTACCAGAAGCTGGAGAGAGGCCTGGAATAGACCCTTCCCTAGCACCTGCTGAGAGAGCATGGCACAGCTGACACCTTGATTTCAGACTTCTGACCTCCAGAACTGAAGGTAAATTTCTGTTGTTCTAAGTCACTCAGATTGTGGCAATTTGATACAGCAGCCCTAGAAAACTCATAGAGTGATCAGTCTATCAACCAATCACATTGGCTTTTGATACCTATGAAATTACTTACAAATGTTTTTCTTCTAACACTGGGGTTATTTATTCCTAGATGTTATTCCTCATGTGACAGTTTTCATAGACATAGTATTATCTCTAGGTTGACTCCCATATTTATGGCATATACTTATTTTGAATTTACTGAAAAGAAACACTGTATGGTGTAAAGCGTGTTTTGTTGTTTTCTCCACCCTTGGTGACCAATTACAGGGACACTGCTCGCCCACTGCATGTCAGTGTACCATATCACACCTTGGGAGGGGCTGCCCCTGGCATTAGGCCAACTCCTGAAACTATCATAGTATTCTTCATTCACAGACAAGCTTCCAACATTAATTCTCTTCCCTAAGGAATTTTATTTCTGGAAGAGGGATGAGTAAATGGCACCAACTGGCATCCTCAAAGTTACTAAGCACCATCTACTGTCCCCGTATTTTAATACATCCATGGTAATTATATTATTTCCATCAGTCTGCTGAAAATTTAAACACTGATCTAAACTTAGAAAAAATGGTGTATCAACGTGAAACACAATAGCTACTGATAAAAGGCGTTATATAATTAGGTGATAAATTGTGTGCGCAGATGCTACATGCTGTAAGAGATCAGAGCGGCCTTAGATCAATGAGAGCGCACCAGAGGACTGGAATCTTGCTGTGTCAATTTGTGTTTTTCTCTTTGATTTGCTTTGTCATCTGTAGACTCTTCTTTGTTTTGGGTATTTTTAAGTACTTAGAATTAATTTACAATATGAAAGCATAACTTATACATCTTTGTCCACAAGGAATGCTGAGTTTTCAACAGGACTGTAAGATGATTAGTTGCAAGCCAGTAGGGAGCAAGAACTATAAACATCAGTCATTTACAAAATTAGAATTTATACCATCTTTTCTCCCACGTATGAGTGATCGACAGGATATAAAATAAATGCTTAGGATCCAAGCAGATGGGTTTTCTCCATTTGCAAGACTCCAAGTCTTTCTGGGTAAGGAATGCCTACTTGGATGCTCTTTTGCATCTGGAATGGTTTAAACATTCCTATTTATGATTCGTAGGCTCAACACAAAAAACTCATGGTATTAGCCCCATACAAAATAAATGTACAATTATTATTTTCCCAAACACTACTATATTTGTATTTACCATATTTTCCCATGTATTTTTTACTTCTCCCTTTTCACAACCTTATGCAATTGGATAACAAACAATAAATTAAAACGTTCTTCAGGGACCATAAATATTCATTTATTTATTTAACTCATTTAATTTAGAAACAAAGAGTGAGTGTTCCTCCTGTGTTAGACAGTGTACTACGTGCCCTGACTCCAATGGAGGGCAAGTAAGCCTTACTGCCCACAGGGTGCGGCAGTAGCTATCATAAATGCCAAGAATGTCTTTATTTAGAAGGCCAAGGAAGGTCTCTGGAGGAAGCGACCCTTCAGCTGAGCCATGACATAAAAAGAGGAGTGAGCAAACTAGCAGGTGAGGATACAAACCGCAGGGAAGGAATAAAAATCTGGAAGTGAGATTTAACATGGTTTAAGGAGATTCCGTTTATCCTACAGGTAATGAGAAACCACTGAAGAGTTTTCACTTTAGGGGACTGCCATCATGAAGTTCATTTTAGGATCCCAGTCTGTGACTCCAGATTTAGTGGGTGGGAGAAGATAGGGGAGTAACTGGCTAAGGGAGACCAGTGAGGAGTCAGATTCCATCATCTTGGTTAAATGTAGCGTGGGAGGGATAGAAGGGGAAATGAAAGAACTGAACTGCTCTGAGACAGGTTTAGAATGTGGACCAGCCCAGACACAGTGGCTGATGGCCCATGATAGCTGAGGAAGAAGACAAAGATTTCTTGGGAAGGAGAATATGGTATCTTAAAATCCAAAATGTTATTCATGTATGAGAAATAGCCATTCAATATGGAGATGTGACTCTTCTGTCTTACTCAGTAAGGTTTCTATTGTTGGTGGAGAAAAGGTTACCACAGACTTAGTAACTTAAAACAACACAAAGTTAGTACATTACAGTTCTTTAGGTCAGAATGTCCACACAGGCCTCAGCAGGCCATATCAAGCCATTAGCAGGTCTGTATTCTTTCCTGGATGATCTGGCAGAGAATCTGTTTCCTTGTCTTTTCCAGCTTCTAGAGGCCACCTGTATTCCTTGGCTCCTGGCCTCCTACCTCTATCTTCAAAGCCAGCAATGGCAGGTTGAGTCCTCTCCTGACCCTCCTCCATCATCACCCATCTGTACAGACACACCCAGGGAAGGTTCTCAGCATTTAGGAACTCACGTGATTCTATGTGGCCCGAGAGGATGAACTAGTTCCTCTGCACCTCCCACATTAGCTGAGTAGCAACCTCAACTGCATCTGCCATGCTAACCCCCCTCACCGTGCAATGTCACATGTTCACAGGTTCCAGGGATTAGGACAAGGTCATCTTTCAGGGCTATTCTTCCACGAACTACACTGATGCAGCATTTCTGCCTACACATGCTAGTCCACATCCAGCCCAATTACTTCCCTAGAAACTACTTTTGCACTATTCTCTTCTGAACAAAGCATATTATGGGCCACATTCTTCCCATAGAGCCTTATCTGAGAGGCTTTCATTTGCAGTAATATTTTAGCATAATCCTATCAAGAATGATTTCCAAATAAAGGGTATTTTGTCCCTTTGTACCTATAACATTGCTAAAACCTTATCTCATCCTTTGTGCTGCTTAATTTACTTCTTATAGCTTTCCTTCAAGGGCATATAACATTTTCAAACATAAGCATTTGCCCATTTTTAAGGTAATGAGCCCAATCTGTTTTTTGAAAATGAAATAATATACTTAAAATCATATGACTTAGGGCTGTTTATAGGATGTCTTAATTTTTCAGATGGTTAAGTATTACAAAAATCTATATAAAAACTAAACCTCAATTTACACCATCCATTTCCTACATTTTTATAACAAAACAGTAGGAAAATATATTGCTGCTAAAAATTAATAGTTACAGAAATTGTGAAAAGCTCAAGAGAAGTACTACTTCTGGTGATAAAACTTAAAAAGCAAATTATCAAGGAATAGTATGTAACTATTATTGTCTTTGATGGAGCACAGGAGTGAGGAATTTTACAGAACTATTGTCCATAAACACTGGATTGTGTTTACATTTATCTCATTGTGTTTATATGTATCTACTAGCAGTAAAAAGGCAAGTATCAGGGAAAAGAGCCATTACAGATCCCGAAAATGGCAAAATTAACTGAGGAAAAAGGTTTCTTTGACATTGAGATTGGCTTTACAAATATTTTTCCTAAATGAGATCTCCTAATAAAACAACTAGGAAAAGACTTTAAAAGTCTCCTCCATTCACCACAATTGAATGAGTGATCACCGATCATTTCGGTGTGAGTAACTCTGATATGCACACAGGGCAGTGGGGATGCTGCATTCCCGTCATTGTCACAGCCTGGCACTTGCCTGCGTCTCACCACAGGGTGGAGAATATTCCTGGCCCCCAGCCAGGACTTCCAAAATGGGGCAAGGATAAGTGGAATTAATTTTCCCTCATTTTGGATGTATTCCAAGTTTCAGGGTTCAGTGGTATCATTACCACAGGATCAAATTGTGATCAAAGACAAAAATGCATAAATATTTTATAGAGTAACCAAGTGTAAGCTTACAACTCCAAACTAAAATGTTTAGTATTAAATGCTATTCTCAAATATTCACCTCTAAGCTCCCATCGTCCTCATTATGTACTTGAATAATTTAAATATAAATGATGTAGTTATATCTCTGAATGTGGAAATTTTATAGAAGTAAAATTATGAAAATAATAAACAATTTTCAAACTTCTCAACAAATGTTTGCTAGTATCCTAGAAATTTAAGATAACATCATTTCTGGATTTGCATTTTATTTATCTTCTTGTATCTATGTATATGAATAGTCTAAATTTGTAGTATAGTTGCTTGACTTTACTTATAAAAAGACAGTGCCATAAGTTTCCTTTGCCCCTCTGTAACAATGCATGCAACAAAGCATGTTTTGTATGTTTATAACTGTTTTAAATGACTTTAGTTTAAAAGTACCACAGAGCAAAAGTTAACAGAGAAAGTGTCTTAATAGTTTGTGTTTTGGCTGAGCTTGGTGGCTCACGCCTGTAATCCTAGCATTTTGGGAGGCCAAGGTGGGCAGATCACCTGAGGTGAGGAGTTCGAGACCAGCCTGGCCAACATGATGAAACCCCGTCTCTACTAAAAATACAAAAAAAAAATAGCCAGTCGTGGTGGTACATGCCTGTAGTCCGGGTTACTCAGGAGGCCAAGAAAGGAGAATCGCTGGAACCCGGGAGGCGGAGGTTGCAGTGAGCTGAGATGGTGCCACTGCACTCCAGCCTGGGTGACAGAGTGAGACTGTTTCAAAAAAAAAAAAAAAAAAGGTTTGTGTGTCTTCAAACCAAGATATCAATTTACTTCTTTAAATTTTAAATATTGTAAATGCTATTTTCTTTTAGTGGGGAACTATTTTCATGTATGTTAGACTCTTTCTACTCTTCTGGTAACCACTGATTATGCCAGTGTGCATGTGTGTGTATGAAGTGAGAGTCCACATGTTTTAATGTCATTTTCTACAAAAACAGAGGATTTGGCCAGGTGCAGTGGCTCACGCCTGTAATCCCAGAACTCTGGGAGGCCAAGGCGGACAGATCATGAGGTCAGGAGATTGAGACCATCCTGATCAACATGGTGAAACCCTGTCTTTACTAAAAATACAAATATTATCTGGGCCTGGTGGTGCGTGCCTGTAATGGCAGCTACTCGGGACGCTGAGGCAGGAGAATCACTTGAACCAGGGAGTCAGAGGTTGCAGTGAACTGAGATCGCGCCACTGCACTCTAGCCTGGGGACAGAGTGAGACTCCGTCTCCAAACAAAAAAAGGAGGATTTATATGGTTGCATTTATCTCCATATAACAAGTATTTCAGGAAAAAAAAGTAACGTTTTGTGTTAAAACGTACTGTATACACTTTATGGGCCATACAAAACACAGTATAAATCATGACTTTAAAATGTTTGTGCTCTTTATCATATAAATAATCACTATTTTAATGTGCAGAAATTAAGGGAGGTAACAGGCAGTTTCATTCATGTACAAGAGTGCTATCTCAGGATTCTGAAATACTTGAGGCTGAATCCTGGTTTGTCAATATTCTTTTTTCCTTGCTGAGTGATCCTTGAGTAAGTTAACCTCTATAAACCTCAATTCATACTAAAGATTTGTAAAAATCTTTAGTATACTAGCATTTATATTTAGGTCTTAAATCATCCATCACATATTTGTTCATCGTTTTAAAACCTTTCTACACACTCTCCAGGTGCTTCATGACCATTTTCTACTTCACTGGTGTAGTTTCCCATTCTGTGATTCTATCTTAAATTCTAGGGTAGTTTTATGTCACTGGTGATGTTTTTAATCCTGTATTGTTTTAATTTACCACCTGCTTTCTTCCTTTTTATCTCTGAATAAAGATATGGGTTCCTTGGCAATTTCCAAGTCTTTGTTTTGAGACAGAATTTCATGGCTTACAGTTCAATGTCTCTTTCTTCTTCCTCCCGTTGAGATGTGTATAGTTTTCAAACATTTTACCTTCTCCAATGGCTTTTTATCAACTTCTACTCCCTGTTTTTATCTGTTACATCATTTTCAATGCATTTTTGTTCACTGACACAATATACAGACTTTTTTGTGGAATTTAATAGGAAAAGACATTAGCTGTTATTACTACCATATTATGAAATATCCCCCCCTTGCTCTGTCCATATCGCTACTTGGATAAAGAGGGAGAAGTTTAATATTTTATCCATGCTAGCAATATTTTGAAACATAATGAAACAGCATTCTAACTGCACAGACAGTGATAGATACTATTAATGTTGCACTTAAGTTGTGTCAGGCAAGCTACTGTCTACAGATAAAAATGAGGCATGAAAAGTTTATGTAGTTTAGTCAAAGTCACACAACACACAAAGAGGAATGCTAGATTCAGACTCATATCAAAACACTCCATGCATTTTCTACTACTCCAAACTCCCTCTTCAATTATTTTAAGAAGGAATTGACTAGGGTGGTAAAGTTTGACATTCCAGAATTTTGGACTAGCTGCCCATTTAGCCACTTACTACTTTAACTAAGGAACTGAATTCATTTCTCTTAGCCTCACTGTACTTTTTCTAAAATTTAAGCAATGACTGTCAACTTCATGTGTTAATGATACAATGAAATGAAATTAAGTATATATTAAAAAGTCTGAAACATAATAAGTGTTGAGAAAATATTTGTTGAATGGAATTTAAACCTTCAAAGAATTACTCCCACTATAGAGTATCAATTTTGGTTTTCCCTCTATAGTCACCTATCAGTAAATAGGGAACTTCTGAGAAGAACTGAAAGCAAAGATGATTCAATACGATATGGTTTAAAGATATCTGAGTTTCTAACACTAAAGAAAAGCTTGAAGACATAGAATACCTGGAAACACACCTTTCAAAATTCAATATAGATAGGATCTACTCAGGATTGTGGTCATGAAATTACATAGTACATTTAAAGATGTTATTGAGCGTGATGATCTAATTAGCAGAATTAATAAACAGAAACTGACTAGCATACATCCCTTAATTTATTCACCATAGGTCAGACCTTTACTGTGATACTACTGTGTGCCAGACACTCTACTGAGCACCAAGTGATGAAGGAAAAGGCATACCCTTCCGTCCATTAGAGAAACTTCTAAAAAAATTTTTCATTTGACTCTTCCACAGCATATAAACTAATGATTGATAAACATAAAGTCAATTGAGATAATTAGGCAGAACAGTTTCTTTTAGTAGAATAACAGCATTGTCTCATCATATTCTCAGCTATTGGAAAACCTAATCCTTCTCACTTAGAATTGAGTATTATATTTGAAATCCAAAGATAAAGTAATAGATACTTTATAAGTCTTATTTATAAATCACAAAATACATTTTAGAATTCCCTTCTCTTGCTTTCATTACTTTCAGAAAATACTGTTGTTAAGTAGCAGTAACATGCTAATTTTCTAATGAGAAGGTACATACAGAGTTTCACGACTGTTTTTCAAGAGGGTGTTCTTTGCATCTATCAAGGCTAAAAGAAAGAAGGTATTTAAGAAGCTAATTTCCTACGGGAATAATATAAGGTTTAAACACTTTCAGGGCTGTTCTTCCATAATTATCTTTTACAATTTTATCTTCCAAAGTGAATACACTCTTTTGTCGTTGTTGTTCTGTGAGTTAAATAGCACACTGGCAAAATGTCTTGTTAGCTGATGGGTACCAGTTAAGCATGGAGGTTTTTTGTAAGTTTGCACAGTGGTTTTATTTTCTGAGCCAACACAGAACAAATGTAATAATGAGCAAACTCTTACTCACCTAGGGTGAGTAACAGTGATAGCTACATTTACTAAGGGCAGAGCATCCGACTGATGATACAGTTGCTTCTGAACCTCTTTTAACTCTCACATCTGTTTTTGGCTCTGTGTTTAACAACAAAACCTGGGCTTTTCCTCAATTGCAAATGAACTAATTTGAATAGGCACAGAGATGTGTAAAGGCAACACTGGTTTCTTCTTACCTATGATAATCCAACTATTATAGTTTCCATTTTTGCAATGTTTCTGGCAGGACATTGTAACTAAGAGCATTGAAATGAGATAGCTGGCACCCTCCAGGTATGTAATTGGGAAAACTCCATAGGCAGCAACCAATTTTTTTTTCTTTTGTATATGCTTATATGCCCTTAGTTATACTGTATTATTTGGAACTGGAAATTTTACTCTATGAGCATAAATATAAAACCAGCATCTTTTTACTTTAGTAAAGAGTAATTCTATAGCATCCAATAACTGGACAATAATCAGTAATTCTGAGTTGCATATAGTGATCTAAATAGCAAATGTGTATTTTACAGTGATTTGTTTAACAAAATAAGCAATTGCATTCTTGATCCTATAATATTTGGAATAACACCTTCCAAACATATAAAAAATGAAACTACCACCCAGAAAATGCGATACATTTTTCCCAAACTTTTCTGCAGGCTCGAGTGTGTATCTATTAAAAATCTTCTACCAGGCATGGTAGCTCATGCTTGTAATCCCAGCACTTTAGGAGGCCAAGGCAGAAGGATCACTTGAAGTCAGGAGTTTGAGACTAGCCTGGCCAAAATGGTGAAACCCCATCTCTACTAAAAACACAAAAATTAGCCATGTGTGGTGGCCATGCCTGTAATCCCAGCTACTCAGGGGGCTGAGGCAGGAGAATCGCTTGAACTCGAGAGGCAGAGATTGCAGTGAGCTGAGATCGCACCACTGCACTCCAGCCTAGGCGATAGAGCAAGACTCTGTCTTAAAAAAAAAAAAAAGTCCAAGTGCAGTGGCTCATGCCTGTAATCCCAGCACTTTGGGAGACTAAGGCAGGAGGATCACCTGAGGTCAGGAGTTTGAAACCAGCCTGACCAACAGGGAGAAACCCCGTCCCTACTAAAAGTGCAAAATTAGCTGGGCGTGGTGGCGCATGCCTGTAATCCCAGCTACTCAGGAGGTTGAGGCAGGAGAATTGCTTGAACCTAGAAGGCAGAGGCTGCAGTGAGCTGAGATCGTGCCATTGCACTCCAGTCTGGGCAACAAGAGCGAAACTCCATCTCAAAAAAAAAAAAACGAATCTTCTAATCATACTATGTAAGTATTTCAGTTAATTATGACTTGTTACCTTGTTACAGTGTATACACTTTACCAGGTCATATATAATAAAACCATGAAATTAATTGCTATATAGTAGCCCACTGTATGGCTGTTTACTAATTTACTGAACAATTTCCCATGATTATCTATTTCTTCTTTTTATGATAAATAGCAATGTAATGAACATTATTTTATCAAATACATATTCATTCAACTAATAACTTTTGAGTCCCTTCTATGAGCATGTGCCTAGGAAATATAATCTTTGTTCTTAAAAACTTATAGCAGCCCAGATGTCATAAACACCAAATATCAGTGACTCTGACATATTTCAAGACACCCAGATTGTGAAAAGAAGAGAGGGGAATATTCTCAAAAGTTTGTTAACCAAAGGTAAGTTCATGCGAGACCTTTAAACCATATTAAGAAGTTCCAGGACTGGCGTGGTGACTGACGCCTGTAATGCCAGCACTTTGGGAGGCCGAGGCGGGTGGATCACGAGGTCAGGAGATCAAGACCATCCTGGCTAACATGGTGAAACCCCGTCTCTACTAAAAATACAAAAATTAGCTGGGCATGGTGGCGCGTGCCTGTAATCCCAGCTACTCAGGAGGCTGAGGCAGGAGAATCGCTTTAACCAGGGAGTCGGAGGTTGCAGTGAGCTGAGATTGCACCACTGCACTCCAGCCTGGCAACAGAGCGAGACTGCGTCTCAAAAAAAAAAGAAAAAAAAATATGCACAAGAGTGCACAAGAGGGGTCACTGAGAAATTTAACTTTTTGCTTTTGAAAAATCATCTTTGCTCCAAAGGGGAAAAGGAATCTGAACTGTATAAACTTGTGCAGAGCAGGCTACTGCTAGCAGCTACTTATGATAGGATGACATAAAATAGGGCACTGAATGATATTTCGGAGGTAGACGCTATAGGATTTCTGGATCCACTGAACTGAAGATGAGAAAAAGAGTCACTGAATGTTAAGGCTACCGAAATATTAAGGAAGTGAACCCTCTGCCTGTCACATGTGACTCACACAGCTCACGTTCTAAGGTTTTGCAGGCTGTCATTGTCTAGTGCTTCTCCACTGTGAGACGAGTTCACTTCCTATTCCACAAACTGTTTTTCTCACTGTTTCAAAGGGAGATCCTACGACCCATTGAATTTTATATCACTCGTCTTATAATTCACTGTTGTATCACCAGTGCCCATCCTCCCAGATATCTGGTCTGCAATATTGCAATATTTGAAATTTTTCTTTTTTTTTTCCACTCATTTTTCTCCTCCAATCTAGTCAGTAAAAAATCTTACTAAATCCTGGCAACCTCCATTTTTTTAAACTCATTTTTGCTCCAACCAAGTCAGTTAAAAATCTTACCAAATTTTAGCCACTGGCCTCTGTTCTGAGGACTCCTATGAGTTCTGTACTTCTATAAAGTCTTCACATTTTGTGGGGCAAGACTCTGACAGGGACTTCTAGGCAGATGCACTTTTAAATACAAGTCATGGTTTCTGTTTAACAGTATATTACACATTAAAACAATCATGAGATACACTATACAACTATTAGAATGGCTAATATCTAAAAAACCTGACAGTAACAGTTACTGTCGAGGATACAGCACAACAGGCCCTCTCATTCACTGCTGATGGGAATGCAAAATGGTATAGCCATTCTGGAAGACTGTTTGGCAGCTGCTTTAGTATACAACTAAATATAGCCTTACTATGCTATCCAGTCTTTATACTCCTAGGTATTTACCCAACTTATTTGAAAATATGTTGACACAAAAGCCTGCATGTGAATGTTTATAGTAGTTTTATTCATTACTGCCAAAACTGGAAGCAAACAAGATTGCCTTCAAAAGATGAATGGATAAATAAACTGGTATAGTCATATAATGGAAGATTATTCAGCCCCAAAAATAAATGAGCTATCAAGCCATGAAAAGACATGGCTTAAACCCTCATTACTAAGGGAAAGAAGACAATTTGAAAAGGGTACATACCGAATGATTCCAATTGTATGGTATTCTAGAATAGGAAAACTATAGAGATGGCAAAAAATAAAAATAAAAAGATGAGTGGTTACCAGGGGTTTGGAAGGAGGAGAAAAGGGTTGAAGAGGTGAAACACAGGGCAATTTTTAGGGCAGTGAAACTATTCTGCATGACACTACTCATTTGTCAAAACCCATGGAACTTTACAACACAAAGAATGAAGCTTAATGTATGTACATTTTAAAAAACATTTAGGATAGCAAGGAATCTGAGGATGAAATGCCAGATGTGGCAAAGCAATCTAACTGTACAAAACAACCTCACTGAAGAAGGTGAGAAAAGAAATGGTGTTCTAAGTAACTTTGGAAATGAATGGCGATTGCAAGACTAAAGGGAAAATAATCATTTTAATCATTGTGATTTAATCAATGATGTTGTTTCCCATGGAAGCATGGGTTAACGACTGTGATCTTGCTATACTTCTCTACTGTCACTGAACAATTAAGTAAAAGGATGGCATGTGGTTTGAGCCAGGTTTCTCATATTTGGAGTAGGCAGATACATTTAAGCAACAGGAGGAGAACAGAATGATCCAGGAGGTAACAGACTAGAGTTGGACACATCACTGTGAACTGATATATAGCTTTGTACAGATACAGATGGTTGAATACAGAAATATTCATAGGTAATGTATATACTCAGATTAGTATACACTCATATATTTATTTGCTATATCAACTGACAGTCTAAAAACAAGGACACTCCACTAGCAACAAGCACATCTACCACCCTTGGTTTTTAATAGTATTCTTCAATAAAAGGAATCACGGCTCCTGGAAGAAATGGCTGATCCTAAGACTGGATCAGGGACATGTAAGATGAGTTCAGAGAACCTCATAATGCCAGAAAATAAGGAAGTACAAATAAATAAATGAACAATGAATGAATGAATGAATGAATGGAATATGTCAAAGCCACTCAGTAGCCCCTTTGAAGAAAGCTAGAATAATTGGAACAACAAAATAAATATGCTAGCATTGGATCATAACATAAAGTATAAAATAAATATCCATGTGTCTATACTAATATAAAGGTTTGAATAAATAAGTAAATGGGGAGAAACAACAAATCTCCCATGCAGAATTCCACGTAACTCACATAGAACATAGATCCACCAGCCTTAAAAAGTAGAGTATATTACTCCATACTCAAGTGGATACTGTACATTGTGACTTCCTTCCAATTAGTAGAGTATAGAAAGCAGGAGAGAGCAACTTTACAATGGAGAAATATGACAAACACTGTCTCAGCTAAGTGAGCAAGGTCAACGTCAATAATGGTCAGTCATGTCAACAGTGTATACACTAACCCTATCAGACAGATTCCAGGAGAGGGACATCCTATAATATGACTGACCAATACTCCTCAAAACTATCAAAGTTATTAAAACAAGGAAAGTCTGAGAATCTTCCAGAGTCAAGAGGAGCCTAAGGACACATGATCCTAGAAGAGACAAAAAGACATTAGCTAAAACCTAGGAAAGTTGGAATAAAGTGTGGAGTTTAGTTAATAACAATACAGCAATACAATGTTGTAATTACAATACATGTGACATAGTAATGTAAGATGTTCAAGATGTTCAGATGAGGGACAACTGGGAATGGGATATATGAGAACTTTGTACTATCTTCTCAACTTTTCTGTAGATCTAAAACTGCACAAAAAATTATCTTAAAATGTATTTTAAAATGCATTATATATCTAACAATTTAAAGCAAATAAAATCAATAGTAACTAACGCTCACTGCCCACATGTCACTCTAAATACAGAATACTACAAGAACTTTAAAGTGATCAGAGATGTCATAGTATCTAATTTACATTTAATAAGGTAGAATATATTCAATCAAAATTTGTTTGAAGATCTTTTGGCACTGCCATTCATTCATTTCCAGGGTTCATTTCCTGAGCCAGCCATCTACAAGCAATGTGCAGATCTAAAACATAATATGGGCAATGTAAAAACCTGGGTAAGTTCTTTAGCATTCTGGGTTTTGGTTGCCCCATCTAACACATCAGGGTTGTAACAGCACTTATGTGCACATTGGGGAAATCTAAAAAGTTAATATATATTTATATATATAACACTGAGAAGGGTGCCTACAATAATGAACATAAATGTTAGCTATCATTATGATTATTTTGATGATCATGAATAATTGATCTTAAAAAAAAGATGAGCAGTACTTGCTCCCATAATTCCACTTTTATTAAGCAAAACCATGGGCAGGGTTGAGGATAGACAGTGCACTGCTAGTAGTAATTACATTTGAGTGGATGGATCATAGGTGATTCTCTTTTTCTTTATGTTTTGTTTTTATTCTCAAGTTGCTAATGGGTGTGTATTCAATTATAATAAAAATAAATATTTAACATTCTGCGTCCATTTGCTACATGAGATCAATGCTTATATCACCCCTGCTTAAACTCTGTATTATTAAAATAATACATGCACATAGTCAACTGCTAAATAGTTCAGGAGGATTTCATATTGAAAAACAACTTGTTCCTTCATTTCTTTCCACACTTAATTCCTCTGGTACTGCTGGCAACTTTAATACTTTCCTATTTGTGTTTTTCCCCTTGGTTACTCCCATATCTCTAAATATTAGACTTATATAAAGAATGCTTGTTGTGTCCAATTAAACATTATCTTTTGACTTTAGACTACAATAAATAAGGATTCAGCTTGCTTAAACCATCCCTACTACCTTCTGCCTCCCAGATTTTGGTACGTACATCATAACTCTAAGTCCTTGTGTTGATTAGGTTTTTAACTTACGTGATATTCAGAAGGCTGCTTTTGCCCTTAGTGTTCCACAGTATTACATTAGCAAATGTGCTCCACACTCCCAATGTCATCGAGTTCAAAGGAACAGGTGTATTTAACACAGAGTTCAGAATTATGATCAACGTGGTAGAATTTATTGGCAATCTGGAAAAAATGTAGACTTACATCTAATACAACCTTAGAATTGTGAACTGTGTGATCATTACAGACTTAGGTTTTCAAAGCCCACTCTAAAACACTGTGTACTTCCTCTCAGAAGTTCACCATCGCCACGTACTAAGACGCACGGACAGAGGCATAATGGTTCTGTCTGCATGTTCCCACAGGCCTACTTCACCAAAAGGAAATGCATGACATGGTTTGTTTCTGAACATATATTAAAACAGCCATCTATTAAAACTGCTAAGCCTATAAATTAACTTATATTATTAATGATTGTGTTTGAGTAGGTTATGTACTGTTCATAACAGTGATTCTCACCCTCATATTGTACTCTGTACAAAAGAAGTATAGGAAATATAGTCTATCAGTAATAGTGGCTCCCTACAATAGAACTTCTCATCAGATGGAGGGTACCACAAGACATATGAGAATTTGAATGGGATGGCATAAGCACTGAAGCCTCAAAATAAGTCCTACTTCTCTATCCAAAGAGATTCTGCTACAACTTCTAAAAGCATATGGCCACTTCCTTCCCTGTCCTCAACTGTACCACACCACATTAAACATCACAGATTTAAACCATAATGTGAAGACTTACAGTCATTGGACCATAACTAAACATACTTTATTCACTTATTGCCATATATTTAATGAACTCCCACCACCTGCAGATGACGGTCGAGGAGCTGAGAGCCCCTCCCTCAAGAGCACAGACAGAAACTGCTATGCTCACAGAGCTGACAGTCTAGAGTGGGGAACGGACAAACAAACAGGCAATTACAACACAGAGCCATCAGGACAAGATCAACCATTACTTAAACTAACCCCAACTTTCTCTGGGAATTCTTTAATTTAGAATCAGATCTTCTCAGTGCTTTTCTGCAGCTCTTGGTCTGCAAGCAGTTTCATGCCAACTGCTCTGAAGTGCTTTTCATAGCTGCCAGAAGTTGATTTCTGTTACAACTACATGGTTTCTATTTTAATATTTTCCCCTTCTAGTTGGTCTCACCCATTGCCTTGGATTCTCCTGCATCTGCTTTCTTTCTTCTCTCTACCACAGGCAGAAACTCTGATAGAAATACACATCACATTCACTAGAGACAGCAATGCAAACCAAACTTTCTACATTTTCCTAACACAGTAATGTTTCTCTAAGCCTGTTTGTTCAGGACCCTACTATTTTCTTAGTAAAAACAACACAGTGATTAAAAATAAGTTTTATTGTATTTATTATCTGAAAAGATATTGAAAGTGGAAATGAAAATATTGACAACTGCAGACAAAACATCCACGATACTAAGAAAATTAACCTGAACTACTAATGGAACAACTCCAGCTGGAATGGAAAGCTGTGAGAATTATCATCGCTGAGGCTGCATGGAGATACTTCAATATGGGCATAATGGGAAGAAAATTCTTGGGATATAATTCCTTGGTAATGCTGCAGGTTGAGCATTGCGCAAAATTCTAAATGTACAAAATGTGAAAGCACAAATTTCTCCTTGTAATAAGGATGACAAATGTGGATGTTTTCATAATCAGGTTTTAACTATTACTACCTTATTTTAAGATTCTTTGGAGAACTGAATATCAGATTCTAGTTGAGATATCCATTTATTCTAGGATTCCATTGATTGTATCACTTTCAAAGTGATGTAAAGCTAAACATAATAAAACAGGATATAAAAGATGAATTTTGGGAGACTCTTACAGAGTTTTCAAGCTCCAAATTCTAAAAGCATATGCATGTAGCAATACATTGGTGGGATTCTAACTTAGTCATCTTTACTTAGAATATCTACCAAGAAAATTATTTTAAAACTCAAGACATGTTCATAATTTTATTACCTAACTGAATTTACTCACTGCCACAGGATAGCCATAAACCATGAATCTAACAAATGATCAACAAAGAGTAAGTCATGGTGGAAATTCATATGTCATTGTCAGGGAGAGGAATAACTGAGTCAGGGCGGACCACAGGTCTCCAAATAGCAAAGGGACTTCATCATCATCGCCAAATATTGATTTATCACCAGGCATAAACAAGGGAACAGGTAAAGCTCTGTTCTATACCAAGACATAGAAATTGGTCACAGCTCATCGAAGGGTCACAGTTTAGTAGAGGAGAACCAAAAAACAACTGTAAACACTGACTAGTCTCTTGTCAAATGCATGGTGCAGCCAGTGATGATTGAAAGGGTACAGGGCATCTGAGAAGTCACTGCGGTCCTATTGTAAATAATTATTTTATCAGGAGAGAGGACTTGCAGCAGTTCTCAATGGAAGAGCAGAACTTAAGAAACAATCATGTCTATAAATGCTGGCCTTGAAAATCCCAGGCTAAACATATCAAAGAAACTATCAGTCCCTGAAGCAAACATACAGAACCTGACAATACCTTACTTTTTAATTATTGAGAAAACCATGTCCCCGGACAAATCTGACATCTTAAATATAAGAACTTATATGTAAGACTATACATGCCAACTTGAATGTGACATTCTTTAACATATTAAATATTAGCATATACTATGCTATATTTTTATAGGAAAAATCCATATCTAGTATCTACTATAGTAGTTTTCAATGGTATTAATTTTGCTAAAGTTGACATCTGAGCTACCACGTTAAGTTAAATTGCTAAGATTATGACGTAAGCTTTAAAAGTAATTAACAATGCCTGTGACACAGACCTTGAAAAGGAAGAAAGGGCTTCATGAAGGATAATTGTAGAATTTGGGATGATATTCATAATTTTTTCAAGGATTTACTATAGAAAATTACTTTTTAAGCTTAATCTTGAAAAGCAATTTGATAAATTATAAGAAAACATTGAACCATTGCCTCAAGCAATGTTGTGAAAATTAAGTGTGCATTGCATTAAAAGTTTAAATGTGGATTACTACTTTTTAACAAATGTTAATTTCTAAATTAAAAATGATCACGTTTTCCTCTTACTATAAAAATTATTTGCAATTATATCAATTGTGGCATGTCAGAAAAATCATTATCTTGAAAAACAACTTTGTTTCTAATGCTTATTATAAGGCATGATTGTAATTTGGAAAGCAAAGCAATTACTGGCATGTGTACATGGGTGTATGAGTATACAGGTATGCTATTGATTAAAATGAGAAGCAATATGCCTCTTAAATTAGCTAATTACGCATTGTCATACTACTTTAAATTTGAGCTTAAAATCCTAGGGTAAGTTAGGCAACACCTGGTGTCGGCACTTAAGGGCCTATTTTTTTAAAAAAAAAGACAGACTTTATGACATGCAACAGAGAAAGTGGTACTTATGTCTATTTCCATAATGTGATATTTTACATATCATCTGAATTTTACTGTAGTTTGTGCTATGAGTTAGACATACTTATTCCACATTAAGCCATAAGAAGTCATCTTAAAAGTGAAATATTTGTATTTATAAACCACTACTCTACCTATATAGGATTTTATCTTCAGCCCACAAATATTCATTGAGTTTCCTAGGAACCAGTCACTCAGGGTCTGTGAAAGATGCTGAGGAAACTGAGGCCTGATGGAATTGACTGCACTGCTAAGCTAAAATCTGACTCTGACCGTCCAACTCCAAAGACCAGGCTCTTTCTATAGCACCACCATACAGCTTAATGGAGAACTGGGCAGACAGAATGAAGTACAGAGAATGTGGTTAAATACTGCTGCCTTGGGGACTTAAAACACCACCTCCCGTGCTCGGTATAATGGGATAGTGAAACTTCATGGCCATTCTGATTTCCCTGATTGAGTGTGCATATATCTAACACAACTTACCCATTCCACATGAGATTTCTTTAAAGATTATCATGAAATAAGGTGTATGAACATAAATAAATCCAATAGGCTAGTATAAATTCTCTTGGATAAGGCATGATATTGTAAAGGTGTCAAAATTTTCCATTTTGTGCATTTAAAATTTAGATCCATCCAATTCCAATTTGTTTAGACAGGGTCCAATGGATGCCCTAGTTTTATATTACTCATTGCTTAAGTACTAGAGAGTGAATTAAGCTTCTGATCTATTTTCATTTTGATATTTAAGGATCAAACAGAACAACTATACATGAAGTCCCCATTTCCATAATGGGAGATCAGCAACATCACAGGATACTGAATTCTACCGTTGCTTTATAATGTCCAGCTTGGCAGCTCAGATTCTTTCTAGACACTAGATCTACAGGTAAGCTGTTTGTTGTTGAACAGCAGGAACTAGGCAATGTTTTAGAAGTGGCATCACATGGCATCCAGAGAAAAATATGGAAGTGCTTTATGATGATTTTTAAAGATTTTTAAAAAATCATTATTAAAATGGCTATCCTCATAAACTTCAACTGCCACTATAACACAAAAAAAGCATACTGCCACTGTAACATAATAAAAACATGGTAATGTAGCCATCAAATATTTATTAACTTTCTACCAAATGGAAGCACTATTTCATTCAAGGTTCCAAATAGTCAAAACTCCCTGTCCTTATGAAGCTTACCTTTAAAAGGAGAGAAATAAACCATAAACACAAAGAAATTAGTAAAACACAGATGTCCTGTTGTGCGGGGAATATCAAAGCAGAGACAGTGAATAGCAATCGCTGGGAGAGGTACTGCTTTTTCTTGCTTTTCCAGCTCTATTTTTAATCTTAAGATGAATTAGAACATTTTTAATTCTGTGAAAATCAGATTTTTGGCATAAGAGGTCAGTTTCAAAATAGATCCAAATGCTTTCTATTCTTTCATAACTGCAAGCCAGGAAACCATCCTATGGCTGACATGGCATGACCCCTATTTACCTTCTCATCCTCTTATTCCAAACTCTCCCCAGTAACAGACACTGTGGAGTTCTCCCAGCATCAATTCCTTTTCTATCCCATTTGTTAATGGCCATGAGTTTGCATCGAATTGCTTGGCCACCACATTGGGGCAGTGATGGGGAGGTACGCTGCCCCATCCATTGTTAGACCCCATCCAGGTCTAAACAAATACAAGCAAGTTGTTGGATTTCAGGAAAATAACAGTAAAGCTGAGCACTTTCGTTTGATGATTAAAGAAAAAAGGTTCCTTTCTCCAAACAATATATTTGAAAATGTGAGATTCAAACATAGTAGCCTTTGTTTTCTGATAAGGGAAGACAGCCTACAATCAAGCTGACTCTTAGGAGAGGACACAGTGCTGGGAACCACACAAAAAAAGTTACTGGAGCCCCCATCAAAGCATGACTAAAGCCCACAATGCCAGGACACGTTTCCATGTCAAACAAAAAATTCCCACCATTAATTATGTGTTCTTGCCTGCTTTGTGTATGCAAAAGTAACCCAAACTATCACCCCCCACACACATACTCATATATACACCAAAATCTACTCATATAATCGGGTGTGTTTTAGAATCTTATTTGTAGAGTCATGCACTGCATAAGGACATTTCAGTCAATGATGGACCGCATATATCAAAGTAGTCCCGTAAGATTAGAATACCATATTTTTACTGTACCTTTGCTATGTTTAGATACACCAATACTTACCATTGTGTTACAATTGCCTACAGTATTCAGTACAGTAGTATACTGTACAGATATGTAGCCTAGAAGCAATGGGCCATACAGGCTGTACCAACTACTTGTGTGTAAGTACACTCCGCAATATTCGCATAACGACGAAGTGCCTCATGATGCATTTCTCAGAACGTATCCCAGTCATTAAGCAGAGCAGGACTTACCACAGTCTTCCGGAACAAAGTGAAATAGTATAGTTGTGCCTCAGCCACCCGAATCTTGGAATGTTTTCACAGTCTGAAGTGTTCTCTGTTCATTTTTTTTCATTTCGGAAGCCTGAATAACAACTTCCCCCAACACTTGTTATGGAAATGTATCAAACCATTTCTGCTCCTAATTTGGTCTTGTACAAGCTGAAATGCATATCCAAATATCCTTAGCAACAGATATTTTTGGTGATACATATATCTCATTCTAAGTCAACATCAACTTTCTAAAAGAGTCCACATCTGTTTTAAAACAAACACTTTTTTTATTATCTATTTATGTATTTATTTAGAAATTTTTTGTAGAGACAGGGTCTCGCTATGTTGCCTAGGCTGGGCGCAAACTCCTGGCCTCAAGCGATCCTTCAGCCTCGACCTCCCAAAGCACTGGGATTAAAGGCATGAGCCACCCCACTCAGCCTAGAACAAACATTTAAATCAGCATGCATGTAACTGACAAATGAACAAGACGTTAAAATGATGCTATAATTTTCATGCTTTACCACACGGCTACTGATGGGCACACTTTTAATACTCCAGGTAAATCCTGTAAGAATCTGCATAATGACTTGAGAAGCATAATCTATTACAACTACCATGAAATTACTAATAGAATGAGGCTATTATTTTAATTTAGATGCTTTTTTCTTTAATGTGTATTTACGTACCTGACATATATTTTCATCATCTATGTAATTACATTTACTTTATGTATCTATTATTTCTAGCATATGTCATTGTAACAATAATGGAAGTCAAATATTCAAAGTTCAATTAAGTTGTACCTAAAACATATTAAATCATGCCAATGTAGATTTTTTACATAAATATAAAATGCATCTGTATTTTGAAATGGAATGTATCTTTGTGTATCTACAGAGAGCAATCATGAATCTCATATATAAAACTGAAGGCGTCTTGACATTACAGAACTTTGAGTCCCCAGTGGACAAACATCTAATTAAAACATGTGGTAGAGGACAGCAGCTCAAGCCCACATGAGTGGGATATCACTGATGGACGTATTAACACTGTAATAGACTGCTGGTTTAAAGAGTTCTATAACACTAAAGCAGACCTGTCTAAAATTTACTTTAAAGTTTGCAAGAAATGGTGACAGCACATGTGGTGAGCCAGGTTGGAGAGCTGCAAAGCACACATGGAAAAGGAAAGTGAGTGGCTCCTGGCCAGCTGCAAAGGGAAAGCCAGACGCAGAGAGCCACCGTTGGTTAACGCTAAGCTACTTTCAATGATTTCCAAGCTGCAGTTTTTAATGGACAAATATCAAGGATCTTGCTAGCAATCCCTGGGTTTCACTCTGAATAGGACTCTGCAATGTTGCCTAAAGATAAAGAAAGTGTTCTCTACTTGACAAAATAAAATAAAACATCAAATGAAAGGATAGCAGAATAGCAACATATTTCTGGTTGTGAGACTACAATATAGATTGTTGTATGTAAGATTTCTAAACAAGAGAACTGAGTTGATATTTCCATTATCATGATCAATAAAAGCTAAGTTAGAATTGACCATAGCAGATTTAATAGTTTCATATTTTAGTAGTAAATGCAATTTAAAGAACTTATTTTTAAGATCTTTTCTTATTTCATAAGATTCTCATTAGTGAGAATTTTGTGGATGCCAGAATCCTACTTGCTAAAGGAATTATATCTACAAATTATATCTAAACATACAAATCCCTACAAAACAGAAGTTCATTAAGAGACAACAGATATCACTAAGAGGTAATATATAGGCAGATATAGAAATTATGTGAAAACTGCCATGAATAAAATGAAAATGGAAAAGGAGTTTAATTCAAAAACCATAGAGAAATTAGAAGTTTCTGTACCAATGAATTAGAATTAACATTAAATGTTAATTAAAATTAACGTTAATGTGGAATTTTCACCTATTTTACTTACTTAACATATGGAACTTGTAGAAAATACTGTCATAATTATGCCTACTTTTAGAATTATAACAATAGCAAAAGCTTATGTGAAAGATGTCATTTAATAAATTGTTTTAACCAATTGGCAGCTATTAATGAATTTTATCTTATAAAATCCTCAGGAGACTCAAACTGTGTTTTATGATTTATGATTATGATCAGTTGTTCTCTAGGCTACATAAACAACATTAATGGATTATAATCCCAAGGGGTTTTTTTTCTATATAATTCTATTAAGTAGTAACTACTACACACTGTTGCACAAAACCAGTGGTATTTCATGATAGATCTCGTAAAATCAAGTATGCCATTCAAGTACCAGCGCTTGTGCCAGCAGTTTGTTAATACAACAGGATGAAGAGTAGGGTTCTTGTTGTGTAAGCATTTCAGCAAAAGCCCAAACAGGTTCACATTCTCAGGAGCACAGCTGAGAGCAGCGACCATCAGCCTCCCCCAAGACTTGCCAACAGGTGGGGGATTCAGACACCCCCAAGACTTGCTAGCAAGTGGTGGCTCTGTTCCTTCTAACTTTGTGGGAGCAGAGAAAAGGCTCCTCCTCATCATCTCATGTCACTGATAAGGTCTCCAAGATACCCACTGAGATACATGGGAGTGCCTGTGAGCAAGGAGACAGCATCTCCTTGTCCCGTGGCCAGCTGGGCTGCAGAGCCCACGAGTGTACCCTGGTATCCAGCACAGAACACAGTTGGAGCGTGCCTGTGAGAGCCTGGCAAGAGGCCCTGGTCCTGGGACCCACTCATGCACCTGGGGGCTGCCACTTGCCTCCTGTCTGGAGAAACCTACAAACACATGCAGTGTGGAGCAGCCACCACGCCCAGGGCGAGGAGAGAGGATGTGAATAGATTACGTAAGCTCCTTTCTTTGGTGAGATCGGTCAGTGAGTATAGAGTTCCCACTGGCTACCTGAACACCACAAAAGAGAACTGAGCTTGAAACTTTTCAGAGAGATCCTGTCCCCAAGGGCTACCTGCTGGGACAAGGAGAACACAGAAACCAGATGTGGTTGGGAGATCTTCTGTGTGCAGCAACAGTTTGAGAGAGGGAGTCCCAAGGCTGTGTGACCATGCAAACAACATGCATCAGGGTCTACGCAGAACCTCAGAAAAACGCAATAGAGGGGCCGCAGTCAGCATCTGGGGTGCCTGTGGTTGGCTGGTGTTAGCATAACGGTTTTTCCTTAAGGCCCTCTCCCCTTGCTCCAGTACCAGAGAAGCCAAGTGCAGAGCAGGTAGGGGAGGGAAGAGAGAGAGAGAGGGAAGAGGGAGAGGGGGGGAAGAGAGAGAGAGAGAGAGAGAGGAGGAGAGAGAGAGAGGGGGGGAGAGAGGGGGGAGAGAGAGAGAGAGAGGAGGAGAGAGAGAGAGAGGGGGAGAGAGAGAGAGAGAGGAGGAGAGAGAGAGAGGGGGAGAGAGAGAGAGAGAGAGGAGGAGAGAGAGAGAGAGGAGGAGAGAGAGAGAGAGAGGAGGAGAGAGAGAGAGAGGGGGGGAGAGAGGGGGGAGAGAGAGAGAGAGAGGAGGAGAGAGAGAGAGAGGAGGAGGAGAGAGAGAGAGAGGAGGAGAGAGAGAGAGGAGGAGAGAGAGAGAGAGAGGAGGAGAGAGAGAGAGGAGGAGAGAGAGAGAGGAGGAGGAGAGAGAGAGAGAGGAGGAGAGAGAGAGAGAGGAGGAGGAGAGAGAGAGAGAGGAGGAGAGAGAGAGAGAGGAGGAGAGAGAGAGAGAGGAGGAGGAGAGAGAGAGAGAGGAGGAGAGAGAGAGAGGAGGAGGAGAGAGAGAGAGGAGGAGAGAGAGAGAGAGGAGGAGAGAGAGAGAGGAGGAGAGAGAGAGAGAGAGGAGGAGAGAGAGAGAGAGAGAGGAGGAGAGAGAGAGAGGAGGAGAGAGAGAGAGAGAGAAGAGAGAGAGAGGGGGAGAGAGAGAGAGAGAGGAGGAGAGAGAGAGAGGGGGAGAGAGAGAGAGAGAGGAGGAGAGAGAGAGAGAGGAGGAGAGAGAGAGAGAGAGGAGGAGAGAGAGAGAGAGGGGGGGAGAGAGGGGGGAGAGAGAGAGAGAGAGGAGGGAGAGAGAGAGAGAGAGAGAGAGAGAGAGAGAGAGAGAGAGAGAGAGAGAGAGAACTAGCGCTGGAGTGAGCCAGAGCCAGCGGGGTCAGCATAGCACCAACACAACCCCATTCCCCACAGGTCAGGCCAACGGGAGGGAAGGAGAAAGGTAGTGAAGGGGGGAAGCGGAGGGGACAGCTTTGCGGGGCAGCTGTGGTGGAAATTCTGAATCGGATGAGACTTAAGACATAAAAGCCGTGTGGCTGTTAAAATCAGACTGTTTTTATATGTGGAAGGGCATCTCCACGCTCTGTCTCCACAGGTTACGGCGGGGATGGGATGCGAGTCCACTCACAAAGTGAGAAACCATGGTTCAGCTCAATCAGGGCTCAGAATTTATGTTGAACACCAGCAGAAGCATATTTTTAACACTTAAGGAAAACACGATTATAAAATAAGAAAATGAATGCTTGGGAAGAAGCACATAATCTGATTCGGAAATGGCAGATACAGACTCAATTACAACTCCAGGCAAAACAATCTCAGGGGAGTTTCAAAATGCCATGAAGTGAAGATACGTATTATGAGGTGTTTTTTTTTTTTTTTTTTTTTTTCAGTTCTCCTCCATCCAATATCAAAGCCGCACATTATATTTCTTTTCAGAGCATAGAAGTGACGTTCATTTGGTAGGTTCTACAACACATGCTTACTAATACGACAGTGCGGAAATCAATCATTAATAATCTTGAAAAATTAGGAAGGAAGGAAGGATACACAGATGGAAAAAAGGACATTTATTGATTATGACATGTCTAGACATTATCATAAGGGCTTTGACAATATGGTAATGCCCATGAATTAATTCATTAACTAAATGCATCAACTCATATAGCGGTGATACCCGTGTTGCAGCGTTTACATCACACGGCTCATGACTGGAGGATTTCCTTTGACCCAAGCAGCCTGGCTCCTGTATATGCGTTTTTTCTTCTTTTCTTTTTTTTTTTCCTCGCTGTCACCCAAGCAGGAGTGCAGCGATGTGATCTCGGCTCACTGCAACCTCTGCCTCTTGGGTTCAAGCAATTCTCCTGCCTCAGCCTCCCAAGTAGCTGAAACTACAGCTGCCACCACCATGCCCAGCTAATTTATGTATACTTAGTAGAGACGCAGTTTCACCATGTTGGTCAGACTGGTCTCGAACTCCTGACTTTGAGTGATCCACCCACCTTGGCATCCCAAAGTGCTGGGATTACAGGCGTTAGCCACCGCCCACGGCCCTGTATGTGCATTCTTAACCGATATGCCCTATTGTATCCAAGTGGCAAGGAAATACTAGATTAAGCAAATTAAATAAGAGTACATCAAAGAGTCTACCTAAGACAGCATATGTCACACATCCACCAGGAAAAGCTCCTCTGCCAGGTAACATGGAGCCCTCACTGTGAGTAACATGGTCAACTCTGGTTTTGGATTATAGCGGGTTTCCTCTCCTCAGCAAAGAGTTGTGGCTGTGGAGGTGATGAGTGGAGGGAAGCAGGCACCATGTGTCTCAAAGACCTATTTGTTTTCCTTTTCAGAACCTGTTGAGAGGCTTATAAGTAGGCTTTACAGTTTTTTCTTTCCTCTTAGATTGCTGGTTCCTTGCAGGCAGGGGCTGTGCACTGCTCCTTGAAGATCTTAATTGAAACAGTATCTGTACAGTAGACATTCAATAAATACTTCATTAATACTAAACCTGGCTTTGCAAATGTGACCAAAGGAGGTATATGGAATTTAGACCACACTGTAATCCCAGCACTTTGGGAGGCTGAGGCCGGCGGATCACTGGAAGTCAGGAGTTTGAGACCAGCCTGGCCAACGTGGTGAAACCCTGTTTCTACTAAAAATACAAAACTTAGCCAGGAGTGGTGGCGGGAGCCTGTAATCCCAGCTACTCGGGAGGCTGAGGCAGGAGAATCACTTGAGCCCAGGAGGCAAGAGGTGGCAGTAAGCTGACATCACTCCACTTCACTCCAGCCTGGGTGACAGAGCAAGATTCCAAGACAGACAGACAGACAGACAGACAGACAGACCTCTTTTTATTTTCTTAATGAAGAAAACCCTGCAAAACCTTAAGTAATTTTCTTTCCTGACACTTATGGGGAAGCAAGACTAGACCAGTGGATCCACCCCTGTTCAGGCTCAGTAGCTGTGACAGCAGCAACTAGGATGTCACTATTTTCCTCTCCTTTTGGGTCTTCCTAAAGACCTACTTAGCAGTGGGAACCAGTGCAGAGTCTAGGCCAAAGTAACTTTTGCCGCCTCTTTCACTGTATAGCCCTGTTGCCAGGGACATGGAAATACTCTTGGCAAACTCTCCAGGAATGGCCTCAGCAGAATCCTGGGCCCTGTCTTGGAAGTTTATGATATTCCCTGCTATGGAGTCCTCAGGGTGGCAGAGGAGCTCTAAACACAGGCCTCCACACTGCCTGCAACAGTCTCAGAAGGTATGTTAGTGATTCTCTTCTTGCAAGGTGGTATGCTAAGCAAGCTCTTCCCTGACTGCTAAAGGAAGAGCCCTCAGGAGCACTCAGCCTTTAGCTTTCTCCTGTATTCCAATCCCTGTCTTTCAGGACTTGTGGTTGGAAGAGTAGACACAGGGTCACATGTCTGACTGCCTGCTTCCCCCGTGTTTGTCTCCCCTCTTTCCAACACTGTCAAGGAAAGAAAATGTGAGTTCCCTGGTACTTTCTGTCTGAGATGGACTCAGATACGAAACCCCATAGCATAACCTGTTAATCATGGTTATTGACACAGTCTATGGGAGGCAAAAGAATATGGGAAATCCTGTTCTAACTGCACATTCCCTGCCATTTATGTATCTGTCAAGTTAAAAGGTTAAGAATGTCAACTTGAGATCCAAGGCTGCCTCTTTACCTTGGGCAATGTCTAATATTTCACTCCATGGGACTATAACCCTTAAGGCTCAAACTTAGAAGAAGAATGGTGCCGGGGAACACGACTGGAGGTAAAAATTAAAATGCAATACTTTAATACTTAGAAAATAGTATCCATATTGCATTAACTCCTGCTCCAAAGTTAACAGAATGCCCTGTATTCACATTGCAGAGTTAACTCTATGGTGAATTAGTAAAATGACTATAGTCCCAGCTCACAAACTAAGACGTGCTCATGAAGAGTTTTACATATTAAAATGAAATTCTCTTGACTGCTTACCCTATGTTAAAGATTTCCTTTATGATAATTTACACAACTGCTCCAAATCTGATTTTCTTTTCCTATATGGACTGTAAATTAATGTGCTGCTTTGATAGGAGGTCTCCTGTTAATGGGGAACTCAATAATTCTTGCTCTATGTCTGTTGAACAAGTTGAGTAAACTCTTTGAAACTTCAGGTACTGCAGGATGTGGGTTTTAAAAGGTGCTTGTGTCTGCACTTGAAGTAATGAAAGGTTCATTTCATCCCACAAACTAATTGGCAATTGTCTGTTACTACTAGGATTATCCCGGTAACAGAAATTATTTTTAAAGATAAATTAAGCTTTCAGAGGGATTGACAATTCACAAACTAGACACCACTGGTCAAACTACTAATGTCCATGGTATTCTCTGATGATGTCTTGCACATATTATGAAACATCATATCTTTAATTCACATTGATTTTTTGGTAAAGAATATTACTTTCTCCAAATGTTAGCCAGTTATCAAAATACAATTGTCTGTACCTTAAACTCTGACTTCTAACATACAATATATCCAATATAAACTTAGGTCTAATACTCATTTGTCAGAACTTTTTGAATATAAGCTTATTCGTGTCATCTTATGTAAATTTTTATTTTAAAAGAAACATAGGGAAATACTGAGATCTAGCTGATGTTACATAAACTGAAGTATTTAAATGTGTAGTCTGTACAGTGTACTTCGCTTCACAACTTACTCTGAAAGCACCAACAATGAATTGATGGAAGAGTAAAGAAATGGCAAAGTGTATCAATACATGAAAGAATTCATAGAGTAAATTGTTACCTGCACAATCTAGGTGGGAGAATTCTTTCAACATTTCTGTCGCTTTAAGGGTTTCATAATAAAATGTTGGGAAATTTATTTCAAATCCTTCATGAAGAATAAAATAGCAAAACCAAAAAAAAAAATTTCATCTGATCCTGAATTGTATAATCTCTTCAAATGACCTGTTGGTTGACCCCTGTGTCAGTTCTACACTGTTCTAACTGCCCAGTCTTCTTTATAGGAAAACTTAGCATCTGGCAGGCCATGTTCCCCACTGTAAATCACTTTCAGAAATTACTTCTGAGAGAAGTGTCAATGGCAATGGCCTAAAATCAGTATAAGAGAGATTTAAATTCGCTTTGTTTTATCAATTAGAAATATGAAAATTTCTATTTAGTTGAGAAAAACTAAATCAATTCGATTTCATTTACTAGTGTTATTATTTTAACAATTTAATTTAGTACTCCATATACTGAAACCATTTCCTAATAAACCACCAGCCCAGCAAATATGTCCCCCAAATAAGTAAACTACACATTCAGTTCAGTAAGGATGCATTCTGAGTTTTTCATCAATAGAACAGGATTCCTCATTCTTTAAGTAATGATATGCATCATAATAATACACCCCATCTATGTAGCAATTACTATGTAATAGTACTATATTAAGTGGTTTATTTTTATTATATTAGGTAAATTGTAAAAACTATCAAATATAATGTCAATATTATCTTCATTTGAAAAAGAAGAACTTGAGACTCAGAGATATAAAGTTAATGACAGAACAGGAATGTGAGCAAACTCCTATCCTGACCTCTCTGTTACACCTCTTCCATTAATGTGGCAGTAACTGTCTATCAGTCTGTATCTCTACTGCTATGTTTTGGAGAGTTGGCATAAATTATGGCACAATAGTAATACCTTTGGTTGAGAAGAAGTTTTAGTGACATGGTAAAAACAATGAGCAGTGTATGCGTTTCAAATTCTTCAAAGCAATTTTAAGATAAAGAACTTTAATGACTCCAGCAATATATTCAAACAATACATGGTATGTGTAACAAATGAGTACTTTATTGTGGTAGGCAGTCTCAAAAACAGTCCCAAATAATTTCCGCATCCTGGTATTCACGGTCTTCTCCTTGAATAAACTCCCTCTAATCACACAACAACGTTGATGGGATTATCATTACCACAAATAAGTTATAAAATATTGTGACTTCCATATTGATAGTAGTCCCTCTCTAGTGCTGTTTGACTTTCACACTTTGAAAAGTGAGCTGCCATATTGGAGAGACCAGCATGGCAAGGAAATGAAGGAGACCTCTGACCAAAAGTCAGTTAGGATATAAAGACCTGAGTCCAACAATTTATGAGAAACTCAATGCTGCTAACAACCACTAGGTGAGAATGGAAGTGGATCCTTCCCTACGCATGTTTTCAGATGAGACTGTAGATCTGGATTCAGGCCTTGTGAGAGATTGGCAAACAGAGAATCCATCTAAGCCATGTCCAGATTCCTTACACACAGAAACCATAAGATAATAAATGTATGTCACTACAGACCACTAAGTGTTAGAGCATTTTTGTTATGTAACAATAGATAATTAAAATATTCAATTGCCTGTTAAAATTACTCAATTATTGTAGCCATTGATAATTTACATTTAACTCCAAATTCCTTGAATCCATATTCAGTGCATACTTTTAATATTCATGTCAACAATTAAAATATATATTCAACAATAATGAGAATTATATTCAGAAGTAAAACACTCAATAAATGAGGATTAAAGACCTGCACATGGGAAAGATTTCAAGTTCTGACACTTCATGTCTTCCAAAAGACTAATGAAAAGATGAAATTAAACAAAACCACTAATGATGCATGCAATTTTTTCCAATTAACGAGTTTGTGGATTTGTGCTGGGTGTGCGTTGGGAGGATTACTACAGTCAATCACGAATTGTATTGACTCAAATTTGTACTCAAATATTTTCAAAGAAAATGTCTCAGTATTTATTTTTTAGCTTGATTCTGAAAGTGTAACAGCCACTGTTACAAAAACACACTGGTGGCCAAATTGTTAATCACTGAGGATATTTTCATTGCTGAATAATGATAAAAACGTAAATATCAGTCATTATAAAACTTTCAGATTTTTAGCTGTTATGCAGCTCATTTTTATTAGCCAAATTGATGGTATATGCTATACTTTTTTATATAATATTTTATAAGGCAATGTTCTCACATTAGTAAATTTAAGGGAAAGGTATTATTCATGCTATGTAAAAGGTTTCTAGGCCATTAGGTACCATGGTAATATCATATTGTACAGTAGTACTTTAAAAATCAAGTTTTGAGGAAATATGAATTTTATCCAGGGAAATGCTTATAATAAAAAGTATAATATAAAATGTGAAGCTCAGCTGGGCACAGTGGCTCACACCTATAATCCCATTACTTTGGGAGGCTGAGGCAGGCAGATTACTTGAGGTCAGGAGTTTGAGACCAGCCTGGCCAACATGGTGAAACCGTGTCTCTACTAAAAATACAAAAATTAGCTGGGCATGGTGGCGGGATGCCTGTAATTCCAGCTACTCAGGAGGTAGGGGAATCGCTTGAACCGGGGAGGTGGAGGTTGCAGTGAGTCATGATTGCACCACTGTACTCCAGCATGGCAACAGAGTGTCTCAAAAAAAAAAAAAAAAAAAACCATGGTGAAACTCAATTTAAATACTGATAAAAAATTAAATGTTTAAAAAATTATTAGACTTCTTGTTGCCATGTCCCTCAGTATCCATCCAGGCTTAAACTAAGTGAGTTATACATAAATACCGCATTGGCCAATGAGAATCCATTTTATAAACATCCATAGTATTACGTCAAAAATTCAATCAACAAGTGTAAAACACAACCCTCTTCTCCACACCTTTGCTATAGAAAACAAAGGCATTAAAGGAGCGTCAGCAAATGTTTCACTTCAGGCCTGATGCAGGAGACAGCAGTGGCAGTGGTAGAAGCAGAAAGTGTCCCTTCAGGAGGGAGATGGGGAGGAAATCCTCCAACTCACCATGAGGAAGCAGGAAACTATCCACTGCTTTTGGGTAAAGGGTAGAAGCAAAAGCAATCTGCCTCTAATTGAAGGGAAATCTCTAGGGCTCTAAATTCCTCAGTGACACAAAGCAGAAGTCAGCTACCATTAGGAGAGATACAGGAAACTCTCTCCTACCCAAGAAAAATCAGAGATGCCGACGAGGTCCTAAACCCTAGACCTAAGAGGATAGGTTCTGTAAAACTAAATCTAGACTTGGAGAATCCTGCTGGCACCCATCATGTCTAACACTGAATCATAAGCCACAACACTTTACTTCTGAGGAAGGATAAGAATGCAGAGAAAGACACCCCTCTGTGGAACACACAGTCAAGTACTGTGTAAGAGAATAGGGTGACAGAAGCCTGAACAATTCTGTCACCCCAAACAGAGTAGGGGAACAATAATAGCTGCAAGATAATCAGAGTGCATCACTGTACACATCTGAGCCTGTAGTGAACTGAGGATAATACTAGCTACCACAAAACCCAACCCAGCTAAACTACTGGATTATTGACTTATCCTCCAACACTAACAGACTCACAAAGATTCCCATTTCCAGAGGCATATAGTATTTACCTTTGATTTTGCTGTTCTTCCACAAACTCAAAAAGAAAAAAAACTACCAGGAAATAAAAAAATAAATACTAAGATTCAGAAATGATGCAAGTATTGAAACTATCACATAGGAACTTTAAAAGAACTACAGTTAATATAGAAGAGGTGGGAACACGCACAAAGTGATGGGGATATAAGCAAAGAAATAAAACTATAAGTAAAGAATGAAACACTTATGAAAAATGTGAAAATAAAAACACAACAACAGAGCTGAAAAGTACCTTATCAGCCTTATCAGCACAAAAGAGCTGAAAAAAGGAGGAGTGAATTTCAAGATAACTCAATACAGATTATCTTTAAAAAGAATTTAAAAAATTAAACAGAGCATCCAAGAATTGTGGAACAGTATCAAGAAGTCTAACCTATGGGTAACTGGACTCCCAGAAGAAGAGGAAAGAATGAGGCAGAAGAACTATGTGAAGAAATAATTCCTGAGAATTTCCAAAATAAATCAAGAAGAGACAACAAACCAGAGACTATCAGAGAACATTAAAGAAAATGAATAATAATCTAACAATCCTGACCCATCATAATTCTGTTGCTTTTATCATTATTAATAATATTATTATTAATTTGCTTTTGCTGAAAATCAAAGATAAAGATAAACTTATGCTGGTAGACAGAATAAAAAGAGAAAGAAATATTACCTCCAGAGGATGAAAGCCAAGGATTAAGCAGACTTTTCCCCTGAAATTATGAAAGGCAAATAACAACGATGCAACACTTTGAAGGGCTGAAGGGAAAATTATGTCAACTAGGAATTCTATACCTAGTGGAAATAAACAATAAAATAAATCAACAATAAAAATAAATTAAAACTTTTTCAGGAAACAAATACTGAGCCATTTTCTTGCCAACAGACATGCAACGTAAGGCATAATAAGGGAAATTCTACAGAGCAAAAAATATGGTGACAGGAGTAAATCGAGATATACACAAAGAAATGTAGACTAGTAGAAACAGTAAAAGTCAAGGTAAAGGAAAAAGTTTTAAAATTTTTTAATCATTTAAAAACATAACGTTGACATAAGCAAAAATAATAACTATTATTGTGGATTTTACAACATATATAGGAAAAAATCATAGTTCAGATTCTGAGAAAGACAAAACAAAATTATACTATTGTAACTTCCTTACAATATATAAGCCACAGTGCAATATAATTTGCAGTAGACATAGTAAATTTTATATGAACCAAACACAATAAATCCTATAACTACTAGGTAAAAATAAAAGAAAGAGCTAGACTAATATGCCAATAGTGGAGATAATGTAATACTTTAAAAGAAAACTCAATTAATCCAAAAGAATGGAGAAACTTTGGGGGAAAATAAGAAACAGATGGGGAAAATATAACACAATGATCAAAATGGTTGATGTAAACCCAAAATACAATAATCACATGAAATGCACATGAATTAAATATCACCAAATAAAAGGCTGAGATTGTCATATTATATTTAAAAAGTGATATCCAATCTAATATGGTCAACATAAAGCCAAATTTCAATATATTACAAAAATACAAATTAAAAATAAAATGACAGAAAATGATAATATCAAGTACCATTCAAAAGAAATCCAGAGTGGTTATATCAGACAAGACAGACTTCAAACTAAAAAACAATTATAAGGAGTAATGATAGAGGAGTCAATTCATCAAGACATAAGAATCCAATCTATATATTCATACAACATTATTCAAAATATGTAATATAAAAATGTATATAATTCAAAGAAGAAAAAGATAAAATCCATAATTATTGTTGGAGAATTCAATACTCCCCTCTCAATAGTTGATAAAAGCAGTAGACAGAAAACTGGCCACAATAAAAGAACCCTACACAACGGTATCAATGAACATGATGTCATTGACATTAACAAAACATTCCACACAAAAATAGCAGAATAAATATTATTTAAAGGACACTTGGACATTGATAAAGATAGATCATATTCAGTAAAATAAATCAAATATCAATAAATTTACCAGAATTAAAATCCAACAAAACATTCCCTCTAAACAAAATGAAATTAAGTTTGCAACTTACAACATGCGGACATCTGAAATATCCCTAAATATATGAAACTCTAAAACTCAGGTGTAAATAATTCATGGGATGTCAAAGAAGAAAGTCAAAGCGAGATTATAAAATATTTTTAAATTGAATAAAAACACAACATAGCATATGTGGGACTCAGTTAAACTGTTGCAGTGGGCAAAATGTGCTGCATTAAATCCTTCGGTAAGAAAGCCAGAAAGATTGCAAGTCAAGAATCTAAACTTCTACCCTTAATAAGATGCGAAGTAACAATAATGAATAAAACAAAGATAGAAATCAATGAAGTTGAGAAAAGGGAAATAATAGAAACAAATCCATGAAATAGAAAAGCCTGTTCTCTGAAAACAATAAAATTGATACATCAGTAGACACATCAAGCAAGAAAAAGATAGAGAAAACATAAAATACTGAAGTCAGGGAAAAACAGAACATCACTACAAGAACTAAAGACATTAAAAGGAAAATAAGGAATTATTATTAACAATTTTATGCCAGTTATCTTTGATAACACAGATAAAACCACAAACTCCTTGAGAGACACAAATATCTAAATCTCACTCAAGGGGAATTGCACAACAAGTATAACTTTCTCCCTCTTATAGAAGATTTAATTCATAGGTAAAATCCTTCACCCAAAGAAAACACACAATTTGCTTCAAAGGTGAATATTTTAAAAGAAATTATACCAATTGTATATAAGATTTTGCAAAATATAGAAGGAACTGAACACTTCTTAAATCATTTTATGAGGCTCTTTACTCATACCAAAATCTAGATATATAGTCATTGCCAGAACAGTACAGTCCAAAACTGTAAGTCAGAAGAGCCAAGATGGCTGACTACATGCAGCCAGAAAGAGCTTCTCCTACCAAGAGCCCAGACCAGCAAGAAAACTGACAGACTCTGATATGGTTTGGCTGTGTTGCCACCCAAATCTCATCTTGAATTCCCATATGTTGTGGGAGGAACCCAGTGGGATATAATTAAACCATGCGGGCAGATCTTTCCTGTGCTGTTCCCGTGATAGTGAATAAGTCTCATAAGATCTGATGGTTTTAAAAAGGGGAGTTTCCCGGCCGGGCATGGTGGCTCATGCCTGTAATCCCAGCATTTTGGGAGGCCGAGGTGTGTGGATCACCTGAGGTCAGGAGTTCGAGACCAGCCTGGCCAACATGGTGAAACCCCATCTCTACTAAAAATACAAGAATAAGCTGGGCATGGTGGGAGGCACCTGTAATCCCAGCTACTTGGGAGGCTGAAGCAGGAGAATTGCCTGAACCCTGGAGGCAGAGGTGACAGTGAGCCAAGATCATGCCACTGGACTCCGGCCTGGGCAACAAGAGTGAAACTCCGACTAAAAATAAATAAATAAATAGAAAAAGGGGAGTTTGCCCCACAAGCTCTCTCTGACTGCTGTCACCCATGTAAGACATAAGTTGCTCTTCCTTGCCTTCTGCCATGATTGTGAGGCCTCCCCAGCCACGTGGAACAGTAATTCCATTAAACCTTTTTCTTGCAAAAATTACCCAGTCTCACATATGTCTTTATCAGCAGTGTGAAAATGGACTAACACAGTAAATTGGTACCAGGAGTGGGGTGCTGTGAAAATGTGGAAGTGACTTTGGAACTGGGAAACAGGTAGAGGTTGGAACAGTTTGAAGGGCTCATTAGGCAGGGAAATTGGGAAAGACTGGAACTTCCTAGAGACTTGTTGAATGGCTTTGCCCAAAATGCTGATAATGATATGGACAATAAAGTCCAGGCAGAGGTGGTCTCAGATGGAGAGGAGGAACTTGTTGGGAACTGAAGCAAAGGTGACACTTGTTATGTTTTAGAAGAGACTGGTGGCATTTTGTCCCTGCCCTAGAGATTTGTGGAACTTCGAACTTCAGAAAGATGATTTAGAGTATCTGGCAGAAGAAACTTCCAAGCAGCAAAGCATTCAAGAGGTGACTTGGGTACTGTTAAAGGCATTCAGTTTTGAAAGGGAATCAGAGCATAAAAGTTTGAAAAACATGCAGCCTGACAATGCAAAAGAAAAGTAAAACCCCATTTTCTGAAAAGAAATCCAAGCTTCTGGCAGAAATTTATATAAGTAATGAACAGCCAAATGTTAATCACCAAGACAATGGGGAAAATGTCTCCAGGGAATGCCAGAGGTCTTCACAGCAACCAGCCACTCCCATCACAGGCCAGGAGGTCTAGGAGGAAAAAGTGGTTTTCTGGGCCAGGCCCAGGGTCCCTATGCTGTGTACAGCCTAGGGACTTGGTGCCCTGCATCCCAGCCATTCCAGTCATGGCTGAAAGGAGCCAACGTAAAGCTCAGGCCATGGCTTCACAGTGTACAAAGCCCCAAGCGTTGTCAGCTTCCATATGGTGTTGAGCCTGCCAGTGCACACAAGTCAAGAATTGGGATTTGGGAACCTCCAACTAGACTTCAGATGATGTATAGAAATGCCTGGATGTCCAGGCAGTAGTTTGCTACAGAGGCAGGGCTCTCATGGAGAACCTCTACTCGGGCAGTGCAGAAGGGAAATGTGGGGTCAGAGGCCCCATACAGAGTCCCTACTGAGGCACTGCCTCGTGGAGCTGTGAGAAGAGGGCCACCATCCTCTAGACCCCAGAATGGTAGATCCACTGATGGTTTGCACCACACACCTCGAAAAGCCACAGACACTCAAAGTAAGCCTGGGAAAGCAGCCAGGAGGGAGGCTGTACCCTGCAAAGCCACAGGTGTGGAGCTGCCCAAGACCATAGGAACCCATTTCTTGTATCAACATGACCTGGATGTGAGACATGGAGTCAAAGGAGATCATTTTGGAGCTTTAACATTTGACTGCCCTGCTGGATTTTGGACTTGCATAGGGACTGTAACCCCTTTGTTTTGACAAATTTCTCCCATTAGGAATGGCTGTATTTACCCAATGCCTGTACCAACATTGTATCTAGGAAGTAACTAACTTGCATTTCATCTTACGGGCTCACAGGCAGAAGGGACCTGCCTTGCCTCAGATGAGACTTTGAACTGTGGACTTTCGACTTGATCCTGAAATGTGTTAAGACTTCAGGGGACTGTTGGGAAGGCATGATTAGTTTTGAAATGTGAGGACATGAGATTTGGGAGGGGCCAGGGGCAGAATGATATGGTTTGATTGTGTCACCACCCAACAATCATCTTGAATTCCCATGTGTTCTGGGAGGGACCCTGTGGGAGGTAATTGAATCATGGGGGCAAGTCTTTCCCGTGCTGTTTTCAGGACAGTTAATAAGTCTCATGAGATCTGATGGTTTTTAAAAGGGGATTTTCCCTGTACAACCTCTCCCTTTGCCTGCTGCCATCCATGTAAGATGGGACTTGTTCCTCCTTTCCTTCTGCCATGTTTATTAGGCCTCACCAGCCATGTGGAACTGTAAGTCCATTAAACTCTTTTTCTTGTATAAATTACCCAGTCTCAAATATGTCTTTATCAGCAGCGTGAAAACGGACTAGTACGGACTCCACGCAGATCTCCCAGAGGAAGGCATTGAGAGGCGAGAGGAAGCAGACCCTGGGCTGAAAATGGAGGAAGCTGGGAACCCTGCAAGGAGCTGCAGAGCACCCGGACTCCTTACGCACCTCCAGCAACTCCTAGGTAAGGAGTGAGTTAAACAGACCTGATGTGGCCCACTCTTTCCACAGACCTCTGGAATCTTCAATGTAGAAAAATCTATTTTTAAAATATATACTTGCAAATGACAATTGAAAATTAAAATAAAACAATACCATTTATACCACCAAAGCATGAAATATATAGGGTTAAGTGTAATAAAATATATTTGAAGTTTATTCTGTGAAAATTATAAGACAATAATGCAAGAAATTAAAGGAGAGTATGTTTGTGTGTGTGTGTTTATGTGTGTCTGCTGGGTTGGAAGACTCAACATGATTAAGTTGTAGATTCTTTCCAAACTGTTGATCTTGAAATTCAACACAATCCTAATAAAAATTCCGGCATATATTTATGTAGAAACTAACAAGTTGATATTATATTTTTGTGCCAAATTGAGGGACCTAGAATAGTATTAACAGAAAAAAAAAAAAAAGCTTGAAAAAGAAAAACAAAGCTGGAGGACTTATACTGCCTCAATCAAGACCCAATATGAAGCTAGAGTAATCAAGACAGTATCTTTTTGACATAAAAACAGACATATAGAATGAGGAGGAAAAAAGAGTTGCCAGGCGTGGTGGCTCATGCCTGTAATCCCAGCACTTTAGGAGGCTGAGCCGGGTAGATCACGAGGTCAGGAGATCGAGACCATCCTGGCTAACACGGTGAAACCCCGTCTCTACTAAAAATACAAAAAATTAGCCAGGTGTGCTGGCGGGCGCCTGTAGTCCCAGCTACTCGGGAGGCTGAGGCAGGAGAATGGCGTGAACCTGGAGGCGGAGCTTGCAGTGAGCCGAGATTGCGCCACTGCACTCCAGCCAGGGCAACAGAGGGAGACTCTGTATCAAAAAAAAAAAAAAAAGAGTTCAGAAATATTTCCCCCTCATAAATGAGAGCCACTGATTTTTGACAAATGTATTAATGTAATTCACTGGAGATAGGAAAGTCTTCCTAACAACTGATGGTAAAACAACTGGACATATTTTTGTATATAAGCATGAAAAGAACCTCATATCACTTCCAAAAACTTCAAGTTAATCATAGATCTAATGTAAAAGTTAATATGTACGAGTTCTAGAAGACAATGTAAGAGTTAGGCAAAGATTTCATATATATGATGCAAAAGGGAGGCATCAAAGAAAAAATATAAAAACAAAACTTCATTAAAATACAAAAGCTCTGGCCGGGCACAGTGGCTTATGCCTGTAATCCCAGCACTTTGGGAGTCCTAGACAGGTGGATCATGAGGTCAAGAGATCGAGACCATCCTGGCTAACATGGTGAAACCCCGTCTCCACTAAAAAATACAAAAAATTAGCCGGGCATGGTGGCGGGCGCCTGTAGTCCCAGCTACTTGGGAGGCTGAGGCAGAAGAATGGCATGAACCCGGAGGCGGAGCTTGCAGTGAGCTGAGATCGTGCCACTGCACTCCAGCCCAGGCAACAGAGCGAGATTCCATCTCACAAAAATAAGAAAGAAAAAAAAAACGAAAGCTCTGTTCTTTGACATATATTGTCAAGAAAATGAAAAGACAAGGCACAGTCTGGGAGAAGATATCTCCAAAGCACTTATCTAATAAAAGACTTGTATCCAGGAGCTAGGAAAAAAACAAAAATAAACAAATAAAAACCCTTACTACTCTAAGAAACAGAACAACACAACTAAAAAATTGGCAAAAGGTGTTAAAAAATACTTCACCAAAGAAGAGAGACAGTTAGAAAATAGAACATAAAAAGATATTCAACATCAATGGCTGTTTGGGATTCTCTCCCAAAGCAAAACCAGAATGAAATGCTACTACCCACCTACTAAAATGGATAAAATAAAACTATATTCCAGGCTGGACGTGGTATTTCATGCCTGTAATCCCAGCACTTTGAGAGGCCAAGGCAGGCGAATCACTTGAGCCCAGGAGTTCAAGACCAGCTTGAGCAATATGGTGAAACCTTATCTCTACAAAAAATAGGAAAATTAGTGGGTCATGGTGGTGTATGCCTGTAGTTCCTGCTACTCAGGAGGCTGAGGCAGGAGGACTGCTTGAGCCCAGAAGGTCAAGGCTGCTGTGAGCGGTGATTGTGCCACTGCACTCCAGCCTGGGCAACAGAGTGAGACCCTGTCTCTAAATAAATAAACACAGGAAAGAAAAAAAATTATATATATTCCACACAGTGCTACACAGAGCTGACAAAGTTGTGGAGAAAGTAGAACCCTTATACCTGGAATCTTGGAAATGGAAAAGTGGATGGCAATTCTGTAAGAGTTTGGTGTTTTTAAAAAGCTAAGCATGCAATTAAGAATATCTATTCCATTCCTAGGCATTTACGTGAGAAACAAAAACATGTTTGATATTTTAAGCAAATGTTTGTAGCAAATTTATTCATAATAACTAATGACTGAAAACAATGTCAAAGTCCATTAACTGGAGAGTGGATAAACAAATTGTGACAAAGCCACAATGAATACTACTCAGTATTTTTTTAATGTACTGTGATGTATGATACAACATAGTTTAACCTCAATTCCATTATGCTGAGTGAAAAAAGCCAGACACAAAAGACTATGTATAGCATGATTCTATTTATATGACATTCGGAAAAAGGCAAAATTACAGGGACAGAAGTCAGATGGGGTCGCCAGGGCAGGGAGGGTACAGGTGGTGACTACAGTGGGGAAGGAGGGAGCTTGCAGGGATGATGAAACTATTTTGTTTTTTTTTGTTTTGAGACAGAGTCTTGCTCTGTCATCTAGGCTGCAGTGCAATGGCACGATCTCAGCTCACTGCAACCTCTGCCTCCCAGGTTGAAGCGATTCTCCTGCCTCAGCCTCCCGAGTAGCTGGGATTACAGGCACCCACGACTACTCCCAGCTAATTTTTGTATTTTTAGTAGAGACAGGGTTTCATCAGGTTGGCCAGGCTGGTCTTGAACTCCTAACTTCAGGTGATCCACCCTCCTCAGTCTCCCAAAGTCCTGGGATTACAGGCGTGAGCCACCGTGCCCGACTGGAACTGTTTTCTATCTCCCTTTTGGCTGCAGTCACATGATAGTACACATTTTGTCAAACTTCACTGAATGCTAAACCAAAACAATTGAGCCTTATAGTATGTATATTATACATCAAATCCTGAATATATCCTGAAACAAAATTGAATTAAAAAATGTTAATCATATGACTGAGATCAAAAGGCCTAAGTCCACCAAAAAATAATCCTTTGTGGGAGAGGCAGGTGAGACCTAGGGGAGGGAATGGGGTAGTTTGCCTTCTGAAGGAGTAGATTGTAGTAAAGTGCTAAGGAAAACAGAACCTTGGGGAAATAAAATAAAAGCACACAGCCAATAAAAAAGGGCTTGCATTCTTAATAACTGCACCATCAAATGCTCATAAAAATATTAATACATCCCCCATGGTAAACGTATGCATGTAAAAATAAATGCAAAGTAACATCATAGCACCTTACCCTCTCTTCCTCTACCCATTTATCCAAGACAGCTGTAACCAGCTGGTATCTACAGATCTTTTCTATGCATTCTAATTTTTCTTCCCTAGATAACATAACATGCCAAAACAAGTAATTGAACAATGTTGATTCTGAATATAAATACAAAAAAGTCTTCCTCACCAAAAAATGGTAAGTATGTGAGGGTGATGAATATGTTAATTAACTTGAATTAGTCATTCCATAATATATACATGTAACAAAACATCATGGTGCACCCCATAATATGCATGTTTTATTTGTCAAATTAAAAAAATTAAATACCTATATAAATAAATAAGATGCTTTCAAAGTACTCAGTAAAACTGAATACACAAACACCTATATTCTGCAGGATCTTGGGTTGAATATCATTGTGAATATACCTTTTATTACATCATAGAATAATAAATTCTGACTCCTACACTGAAGAAACTAGAACTACAAACAAAAGTAGCACCCACTTTCGAATCTCCTGATTCACAGGTCTTTGAATTTGCCCCCTTTCAACATGATATCCCTCATAGAAAACATAGGACTAAAGAATATTTAAAAGTGGATGGAGCCAGGTACAGTGGCTCCTGCCTGTAATCATAGCCCTTTGGGAGTCCAGAGCAGGAAGATCATTTGAGTCTGGGAGTTTGAGCAGCCTGGCCAACATGGCAAAATCCCATCTCTACAAAAAATACAAAAATCAGCCAGGCATGCTGGCACGTGTCTGTAGTCCAGCTACTCAGGAGGCTGAGATGGGAGGATCACCTAAGCCTGGGAGGTGGAGGCTGCGGTAAGCCATGATCACACCACTGCACTCCAGCCTGAGCAACAGACTGCAACTACCTCCAAGAATAAAAATAAAGTGGATAAATGACGAAAGGAAGAAAACAATTTTTTTATACTGTTGGATTTGATTTTATCATTTTTGAGGATTTCTGCATCTATACTAATGAGGAGTATTGGCCTGTAGCCTTATTTTCTTCTACTGTTTTTGTCTGAGTTGGTATCAGGGTAATGTGGCCTCATAAAATGAGTTGGGAAATATTTCCTTCCTTCTGTTTTCTGCACAAAAGCATACACTATTCAGGATTGTTGTTATTTCATCTTTAAATATTTTGTAGAATTCACTTCACCGGGAAACCATCTAGGCCTTTCTTTCTTTTTTTCTTTTCTGGAAGGTTTTAAATTATGAGTTCAATTTCCTTAATAGCTATAGAATTATTCAGGTTACCCATTTAATGTTAGTGTTGGTAGTTTGTGTTTCTTGAGGATTTTTTCCATCTCATCTAAAGTGTCAAATATGTATATACAATTGTACATAGTATTCCCTTACTATCGTTTTAATAGCTGCTTAGTATGTAACGATATTCCCAGTTTTGTTGCTAGTGTCGGTAATGTGTCTTCTCTCTCTTCTTTGTCAGTCTTGTTAGAAGACTGTCAATTTTATTGATCATTCCAATGATCCAGCTCTTTGTTCACTGATTTTCTGCAATATTTGTCTCTCTTTAATTCCATTGATTTCTACTATTGTCTTTCTTCTGTCCTTCTTTCTGTTTGTTTTGGTTTCATTTCCCATCCCTCTTTTCTTTTTTTTCCTAGAGTCTTTAGCTGGGAGATTAGATTACTGTTTAGGACCTGTCCCCTTTTTTAATGCATGCATTTAGTGCTATACATTCCCCTTTCAGCACTGCTCTGCTTATGTCCCCAAATTTTTGATACAATGCATTTTAATTTTCATTCACTTGAATGTACTTTTTAAATTTCCTTTGAGAATTCCTCTTTGAGCCATGAATAATTTAGAAGTGTGTTGTTTAGTTTCCAAATGTTGGGAGATATCATCCCCCTTTAAATCAACAAATCACCACTCCATGTTGGTTGGGCCACGTCAAGAACAGAGCAAAATGTTTCATCAATGGAACACGTTTTTATACATAATTTATAAAGTACAACATAAAAAAGCATTGGAGACTAGAAGAGAGTGCTAAAATGATCATGATTTCCCTAGATTCTAAGAGAAAACTATAGAAATGTGGAGAATATGCTTATCTGAGAAAACTTGAGAATTAGAGAACCACATACTACTCTTTGACAGTGACTAGCTAATCAGTAGGCATGGTAGGGAAGACGTGAGCACATGATCCTTCTGTAACACATTAGCTCCACTTTCATGACACTATGGTTCTGCAAAGTCTCATTCTGCTTTCATTTTTAAAATTAGATAATACCACTAAAAGGAGCCAAACTACCAAAAAAAAAAAAAGATTCCATTAGCCAAACAGACAATTTAAAGTTCAAGCAAAGAAATGAAGTACCCATAAAGAAATTCTCTACTTTGAAAAAGGAAATACATCATCTCTTATCATGTGCTGATTAGAACCAAGAAAAAAAAAACTCTACTTTGCTAAAAATTCCATAAAAGCACAAAATTATTTTAAAGTAGCCTATTTCTTTGCTACTCTGTATTTAGCTTTACCGAAGGTAGGTATATTGGCAATGAAAATATGTGAGACAGAAATTACAATCACAAGAGAGCTGACAAATGACCTATGCTGCCTCTGCTCCTGTTATTTCAGGGGGATGGGATGAAAGAAATCCAAGGAGAAAATATCCATCGCCACCAGTGGTCCAAGGCAAAAGCTCCAAGCGGGGCCGCTCTGGGAAAGGTGGTCAGCAGCAGTAAAGGGAATTGCCATAGAGCCTAACTATTAGGATATGAGAACAGAAGGGGATGTAGTTTCAAAGAATAATCAGGGAATCAGTTGTGGATCTGGTACTTGTTGTTTTCTGACTTTGGTTCAACCACCACAATTCTCAGGGTGACCACTTCTCTAGCTCTGAAGTACACAGGAGAGAACACATGTCCGTTAAAGTCCCCTTCCAGATGAAAAATATTATGATTCCAATATTTACTGGACATCTACCTCAAAGGACATGAAAAAATCTGGTGAATGGAGGGAAAGAATAAAGCACTGAATCAAAACAATGGGATCAGATCTTCACTTTACATTTTATGATCTGTGTGGCTTCAGAAAGTCATTGGAAGTATATGAAGTCTATCTTGTTCAACATGGATGATTGTTTGAAAAATAAATGTGATGATGTGAATTAAAATGCTCTGTAAATTGTAAATATACAATGGGACATTATTGCCAGTGGTCAAGGTTTGAAGAACAGAACTGGTAAGGGCTTGTGAGCCAAGGGCAGGGAAGACTAGTCATCATAAGAGAAGGCAATCTCGAATCTCCATTCGTAGCTGGACAATCACACCACTGCCCTAGCTACTGGGTTTTAAGAAGATGGATCTGCAAACATTTCTAATCTAAATTTACAGTATGAGTATCTTTAGGAACAAGTCAGATCCTCTGGACAAAAGGTTTGAAGGTTTTGTTTGTTTGTTTGTTTTCTTTCTTTGTTTTCCCAGCTCAAAGACTTGTGAATCTGTTTTTTCCTTCGAAAAAAACAAAGGTTTTTTTCTGGCTCCAAGACTCCTGAGTGTACTATAGAGGGAGATGATAATGTGCACAAGTTTGGGTCACTAATATCTACAAAGTAGTTGGTTATTGAAACTCTAGGTCATTTTTGGAGAAGAAATCAATTCTGAAAACAATCAAATGTATATATTTTTGCTCTTATTAATTTCCAGGCCCTTTACTTGTCTCCATCACAGTAGCCATGACTCCATGACAAGCTCTAATTACCTTCAGCATGGGGCATCACCAGGCCCATAGAATTGGATTCTCTGACTCCAGTCTTGTGCTCTGCCAGGACAATCAATTTTACACAAGCTTCTGTTCTAGGAACACCAAACATTTTTTTGCACCTTGTATTCTAACATTCCCTTCCTATAAAACATGCCCTTCCCAACATCTCAAGGGACTCTGAGATGTTTCTCTCTCCTTCCCAGGGAATTTCCTAATTCTCCACATTCAGGCCTTTTGTTTCCACCAAACTTCAGAATTCCTGAGATGAATCTTTACGCCTTGTGGAGTTCTTTTCCTCCCAGCTCTGCGTTTTTAGATTACCTTAGCTGTCCTTTAAAAATTTCAAACACAGCAGGCACATTTATTTTGAACTTTCTCTGCCAGATGTGAAGTAAGTATGTTCCAGAGTAGTGGTTCTCAAACTTCGGGCAATCTGACAAAAATACAGAGGTTCAGGCTCTCTCCTTAAATGAATCCCAGCCTTTTTATGACTTATTAGCTCTCCAAGTAAGGACAGGGATAGACATGGACGTTGCTGGGGTTTGAGGTAATAGGATTCAGCTGTGACAGATTCAGTTTCAAGTAGCTGACTACTTAAAGTTCTACATTTTAGAATGAAGGTCAGGCCCTGCATCAGGTTCACCCAACTTATGACTCCTCCCTCAAGCCTATCCTGAATTTCTGAGATATTCTTTGCTAGAGTATGATACTATCATCATTAAATATTACATTGCATCAATTTAAGAGATAAATTTTTTCACATTTCAATGTCTTTGATATTGTGTCATATCTTAAAATCTATGACATCTTAAAATTATTTGTCAGCATCTTTTCTTCCACATTAGCACCTAACATAATGGTGCTTCTTACAATCAAGTTTTCTTAGATTTGGTGAAAAACAACAGCAAAGACATCAAGAAAAGAAAATTATTCTCTAACTCAAAGTTAGAAGAAGTAACCCAACAGCTCAATAAATATTGTGGAAATAAAGTGGTAGAATGATGTAATATTATATGATTTATCGAATTCAGGCTAGCATGCTTAAATATGAAAATTTTGAGGAGGAATTTGTCATCTGCACAATTTTGTAAAAATTCAGAGGCGTCTAGCTCTCTCCTTAAATGAATCTCAGCCTTTTTATGATTTATTAGCTGTCCAAGTAAGGACAGTGGTACAGATGGACATTTGAAAAGTATTGCTGGGATCTGGGGTCATACAATTGGTGATCTAGTATCTAATTACCCAGAGAACTGAAGCATATTCCATCGAATAGCCAATTTGGTCTGCTAGGGACCAATAAAGCATGGGGCATGGACCACATCTCAGTTCTTAACTGTCTATTGACTTGTGGGTCATCAAACTTAGGTTCATCCTGATAACACTTCAAAAACAGAGGTGTCTATATCTGTGTAACAAACTACCCCAGATTTAGTGGCATGAAACAATGACAATTTTTTTTTTAAACTATTGCTGTCTATCATGGCTCCAGGGATTACCTGGACTTAACTAAGTGGATTTCACTTGGGGACTTCCATATGGATGTTTTAATGCAAAATCATGAGTGGCTGGGGCTGGAGACAGCCCACATGTTTGATGCCTGGGTGGGAAGACACAAACAGCTGGGAGCTGAAACAGAGGGACACCTTGGGCGCCTCTCCCAATCTCCATGTGGCCTGTTTATGAGGTCTCTACAAGACACTAGCTTCACAGTAGTCCTATCTCTTATATGCAGGTTCTTGGCTCCAAAAGTGAGTGTCTCCAGAAAGAGAGAGAGACAGAGAGATAGACATAGGTAGAGAGAGAGAGAGAGAGAGAGCATCTACCTGTGAAAATTGTGTAGCTCTTCGTGACCTAGCCTAGGCAGGCGTGAGTCTGCTGCATCCTATTTGCTAGAATTGAGTCATTAAGCCTGTCTACAGTCAAGAGAAAGATAACTAAACTTATGGATATGTTTTAAAACCACCATAAAGAGACATCTTAAATGTTAGTGATCATTCTCTGAATCCAAAATTCAAGTCTTGCATTTTAAATAATCTGAAAGTTAATCAACACAAAATCTTTTTTCATTCTTAAAAAAATTATAAAAGCTACTGCAATATATTCATTAGGAAAAAAAAATTGTAACTACATCTGAGTGGTCTGCTGAGTCAAAGAGAACTCTAAGCAACCTATAAACATAGAAAAACCCACACACAACCTATAAAAATAGAAAAACCCACCCACCAAAATCCATGATGCCTGTCTTTCCAAAACACAAACTGGATCAACACAAAATCGCTCATCAAAGATGCTTAAAGTAGCATAAATAATGTTTCTTTGTCAAACATTAATTGTTTACTACTATGTATTGAAGATAATTTTTAAAGTACATTATAAAAGAACTTGTGTCCCTTAAAATTACTTCTCTCAGGTTAGTGGCTGATTTCATTTCTTATCTATGAACTGCACCCAGAGAGATGGGAAACCTAGAGGTCTGAATAATCAAGACGATAAATATCTTCTATGGTTTTATATTTTTCAAAGAAATAAATATTAAATGGGAAGATGCCCATTGTTTGTGATTTTGACTCAACTTTTAAAACTTGCACATTTTGATCTGAATGCTACAAACTGGACCCACCAAAATAACTCGTATCACTTCATGCTATTTAAGAATCATGAGTGTTTACGTGTAGGAATTCATGCTGTTTAGAGTAAAATAAAGTCTCCAGAATCAGCATTCTGGCACTTATTTTCAATGTAATGTAGGCACAGTGGGAAACTGTAGGTTTAACAGAAGGAAATACTGGTAATTAATGTATTAAATTTTAAAATAAGAAATACCCAAAAATCTGACTGCCCATGTATCTATACATTCAAGTAATTTGGAAACTCCACTTTTTAACGGGCATATCTACCCTATCAGGCAGCCACTGACAAACTTGAAATGGGTAACATAAAATATCTAAAATATTTTTATGTTGATAAAACTACTATAACAAACTTTATGGCAAACACCATGCTGAATGCCAGGAATACATTTTCATTGAATTCTCACCAGAAACCTATAAGGCCAATAATATTCTATTTTAGATCTGAGACAACTACTGTATTAATTACCCAATTTTATATAAATGATTCAAGGAATCATTTGAACTCCTTAAAATAAACAACGATGAACAAAAAAAAGTAAGGTAACTTTCCAAAGTGCAATCTTTACCCTCTTGTTTCTCACTAATCCATTTTAGAGACACTTTTATTTCTCATGCCAGCCCCTTGTTGAATTTCAGCATTGCTACTAGCCTTATAAGATGTCTAAAGATCAGCATTTAATCTCAGAACAAGAACCAAAAACACAAACAAAAAAATTAATGAGCCATCACCCCCACCCCTACCCCATAAGTCATTACAGTTAAATAATTATCTAAACTTGGAATATGGATCACTGTGTTTAGGTCATAAGTTGATTAAGTCTGTAAAAAATGCCTTCTAATCACATACTCTTTGCCAGGCAATGGGAGAAAACTGTTAAAACAAAATTATGGAACTTTTATTTAGATTGAAGTTGAGAGAGACAAAATACAAATAACAAAATAGATATAATAGACATACCACAATAACAGCTAGTGGTGAGAAAGAGAAATGAAGCAGGCCAGGAGATGGAAAGAGCGGGCTCTCTGGGGTGGTGACATTTCAGCAGGGGTGACATTATAGCTTCTCTAGACAAATCACATAACCTCTGTATGTCCATGTTTCCTGATCTGTAAAATGAGGAACTGGACTATAATGACATTTAATGGACCTCCAAGCCTTGAAGTTCTATGACCCTGAGCCCTTCCATTCACAAGAAAGCCTCCCAAAGAAGAGTTTTCTCTAATAGCTCATCTAGTATCCATCCAATTCCAATGGAACCAACAGTATCAATCAATCGCACTCCCTTATGAATAGTACCTCTCATCCCTAGAGGTGAAGGTCTGCTCTCTTCTTTTTAATCTGATAAAGCTTTCTGGTAAATATTGCAATGCAAGAGAAACAATATTTCTAAGCATCAGCAAGGAATGTGGCAGGATTCCACACTGGCTGATCTTGTAGACTAGACAGGGCAAGAGATGTAATTTGCTGAATTATTTACCACACAAATTCTCACAACCTTAAAAAAAAAATCAGTGAACCAGTTTCAATGCAGAGAACCCAGTCCCCTTTTTTCTCTGAAATGAAGGATGGTATTGTGTAAATAGTGTCAGGATGTAGGGATCACTTAAGGGGAGGCAGCAATTCTGAAAACACAGATTAAAGAACAAAGATGCACACTGACATCTCAAGCTCTGCTTGATGGGCTGAATATAGTAAGACGTACCAGTAACACAAGCAAATTCTATACTATGGTTTAGAAAACCAAAGTGCAAGAATAATATGGAAAGCCAAATCTTGGTAGCAACATATACTGGACAAAATCTCCTTAGATATGGGCCGGGCGCAGTGGCTCACACCTGTAATCCCAGCACACTGGGAGGCTGAGGCGGGCGGATCGTGAGGTCAGGAGATCGAGACCATCCTGGCTAACATGATGAAACCCCATCTCTACTAAAAATACAAAAAATTAGCCGGGCACGGTGGCGGGCGCCTGTAGTCCCAGCTACTCAGGAGGCTGAGGCAGGAGAACCGCGTGAACCTGGGAGGCAGAGCTTGCAGTGAACGGAGATGGTGCCACTGCACTCCAGCCTGGGTGACAGAGACAGACTCGGTCTCAGAACAAAAAAAAAAAGTAAACTGTCTCTTTTATAATTTTTATACTGAAAATGTCAAAATAATATGTTGGTGTGTTGGTTTAACTCAAACACATTATTAAATTTAATTTCACCTGTTTCTATTTGCATTTTTTCATGTGGCTACTAGAAATTTAAACTTGCTTATGTGGCAAACATTTTATTTCTCCTGGCAATGCCGCTTTAGAGACAATCAGGAACAGGTACAGCAGTTTTTTTCAAACATGTGAAGCGCTGTTGTATAGAAGAAACATTAACTTGGCTCAGTCTAGAAACAAGAATTAGAACCCTGCTTTAATATTGCTTCATCAGCAAAGGCAGGTAACAAATCTTTCTTTCCCAACAATGCCCAGAAGGGAATGTCATCACTCTGACAGATCCATCATTGAATAGGACACTTATGAAAAAGTTGCACTTCTTATCTTACTAAAAAACGTGAAAATATGGCAATAAAAATAAAACAAGAAAACCAAACTACCTATCAAAAAGCACTGTCTCATTAGTAGTTCCCAATGCACTCTCCTTTTGCCTCCAGAGAATAATTACATAAATCATTTTATTTTCTCTTTAGAGAATGAGAGGTGGACACCCAGCAGGCAAGAACATCATCAGAGGGACTGACATTCAGGTTTGCAAATGAACATTTTTCTGAAGATGCCACCTACTTTTGTTAAACTTCCTCATGGATACATTACAGATCATCTACTGGAAGAAATATTTGCTGTCTTGAGACTGTCAGGATTCCCAGACAGCCTGTATCATCAGTATCACAGGAGGAAAAAATAAATAATTTGTAAAACCACCCTGTGTCCATAAACCTGATCTCAACAAAGTAGCAAGACTGTCAACAGAGTTTAGCAAAAAATGTCTATCTCACCACTATGATATTTGAGATAATACTCAAGAAAATATCTTACCTTTATTACAAGTTAAAGCTACAATAATGCGACTTATATTTCACTAGTTCCACATAGTTCACCTTCTAAATGTGTATTAGAAATGTTAAATAATTATTTATGATCCTAGGAAATTGACTCTTTGACTCTATTTGGATCAATAAAATCAGAAAAAAACTCATTTTTTTTCCAGGGGTGGTTTGTTTGATTTTCTTTAACAGAACCAGGTTTTTAAAGGAAAAATAAAAGATTATATTGTTTGTACTAGCACAGAAAATCTTAACAATGGTTTGACAGACCTTCAAATTATAAAATATCAGTAGCCCAAAGTGTTTCAAACACTGCTGTCTTTAAGAAAACAATTTAGATTCAAGAGAATTCAGTCTGAGTCCCAGTTGTCATCAAGCTCAATCTGTTTATGAGATTTTAGTTTACTCATCATTTACTGAGGGCATTGGCTGTTATACTGATTCCTCCAGCTTTAACTTCCCACATTCCACATTTCTATGTAAATAGAAGGGAAAAATCACTTCCCATTTAACTAACTAAAGCCCATGCATATTTATTTTAATAAAATAGGTGTTACTTAGGGATGAACATCTTTACAGAAACTTTTAACACAGGTTTCTAAGAAGTCTGTGTAATAGCTCCCTGAAGACCTTTTAAAGTTCATAGAGAGATCTAACGTGAGTGCATTGTAAATATCTTGAAGGGATGGATAGACTGAAATACACACACACACACATATGCACACACACACACATACACACACATACACATACACACTGCTTGCCGGATTTTGAAGACTAATAATGCAACCTCTAAAGCCAAATTAGGATTCAGATTTGTAGATTCCCATTAAAATGAAAGCAATCATCAGTTATACTTACTTCATTCCATTCTGAAAATTGGAAAATATTTTATAGCATAAAATAGCTCTGGCATTAGTATTACAAAAAGTAACACAGAAGTTCTGGCATATCCCAGAACTCTAATTATAAAACTAATGAATTCAGGGAGCACCTGTTGTTTAATTTGAACTCTTTTATAGGTACCATGTATATTCTGTGCCAGCATTTTGATGAACTGATTTTTAAAAATCTCAATAACTAGCTCATTTTTCTAATCAATCACTGTATTTTCCTGGCAACCTACTTTCTTCCTAGTAAATTCCATATATACTAAGTCACATTAATATTGTTAATCAAGCTTCAGAGGAAGTGTCTGAGTTGAATTTGGAAGTCCTGAGGTTGGCTATACATAAAGGTAGGAAGGTGAAGATCAGGGAGTTAGCCTCTTAACTGACTGGCGGAGGGGGGCAGGGGGGCAGGGAGCCATCATTTTCATGAACGGGAGCTAGCGTGTGACTCTAACTGGAGTCCCTTACTGTATCGTGGCAAGAAACCTGACTCTCCAGTGGCTACTAGCCGAGGACGCATAAGGAAGCCACAGCTATGTTAGGACAGCAGCTTCAACGTGGAAATCAGGTTTCTACCATCTACTTTTAGGAAGTGAAATAGCCAGGACCTGAATGCTTGTCTTAGCACCATTTTGAATGTGATCTGCCAGTCAGCTTTATAAAATCAGGGTCTAAACATCTTGTTTTCTTTTTTTATTAACTGCTATATCACTCACCCCCAGCACAGTACTTTAATAACTATTTTTAAATGAAAAAGTAAATCTCATCTACTCCATGGTGGCTGATATGGACTATATTATGTCCTCCCAAAAATCATAGCATCATAACCCCCAGTACCTCAGAATATGACTTATTTGGAAACAGAGGCATCGCAGATGTGATTAAGATGAGGTCATACTGGAGTAGGATAGGCTTCTAGTCCAATATGACTAGTGTCCTTAAGAAAAGGAGCACCACATGAAGATGAAAACAGAGCTTGGAGTGAAGACACAAAAGCAAAGAAACAGAAAAGGTTGCTAGGGAACTACCAGAAACCTGGAAGAACAGACTCTCCCTCACAGCCTTTTAAAGAGACACCTTGGTCTTTGACTTCCATCTCCAAAACTATGTTTTTATTAATTAATCCACTCAGTTTGCGATGCTTTGTTACAGAAGGGCTAGCACACTAATACAATCGTCAAGACGATCTATGGCTTGAAATTACACACAAGTCATGGAAAGTTTAAATCTGAATAAAATCAGTAAGATATCAAGGCTAAGAAAGGATTTTTTCAAGGGATGTGTAGCACTATACTTAATGTTTGAGTCTGTGATAAATTGTGACTAGTCTATATTTAGAAAAGCATAAATGCCTAAAATAAATCAAGACATCTAAAATGTAACCCCCGTGAGAAAGAGAAACTTTGATTTGTACTTTGACACATCCCTGGAACATAAATCACAGCCTAGCACATTATGGCCACAAACCATAATGATTTCTAAATGAATGAATGGCTAATAGAGAATAATTATTCCAAATATAGGAGCGAATTGGTGAACTTGCTTAATGAAACATTAAAAACTCAAAATCCAAACCAGAAATAGGTATAAAAAGAAATTTTCTTACCTATTTCTATTTGGACAATTTTGTCATTGTTTTATTAAGTGAATGTCAGTCAATAAAAACAGAAATATTAATGGAAAAATTAGAAATATGGCATATGGGCTGTCAGTTTGAGAAAAATGCAAGTACAATAAAATTTTCAAATTTCAACAAACTATCAATCTTTGACTTCATACTGTACAGATGGCAAAGGTGCTGTGTTTTTAAGCATCAATTAGAAGTAACTGTATATCCACATATAGAAGAATGAAACCAGACCCCTATCTCTCACCATATACAAAAATCAACTCTAAATAGATGAAAGACTTAAATGTAAGACCCAAAACTATGCAATTAGTTGAAGAAATCATAGTGGATCAATGCTTCATGAATTTCAACTGGACAATAACTTTTTGTAATAAGATCTCCAAAGCAGAGACAATAAAAGCAAAAATAGACTAATGGGATTACATCAAACTCAAAAGCTTCTGAACAGCAAAGTAAACAATAAAGTGAAGAGACACCCTACAGAACAGGAGAAAGTATCTGCAAAATATGCATCTGACAAGGGGCTGATAGCCAGAACTTATAAGGAACTCAAACAATTCAATAGCAAAAATAAGCAAATAATCTGATTTTAAAACGGGCAAAAGACCCAAATAGACATTTCTCAAAAGAAGATATGAAAATGGTTAATAGACATCCAAAAAAAATCAACATCACTAATCAACAGATAAATGCAAATCAAAATCACAATGAGGTATCACCTAACCCCAGTTAGAATGGCTATTATCAGAAAGACAAAAAATAAATGCTGGGAAGAATGCAGAGAAAGCAAACTCAGTACATTGTTGGTAGGAATGTAAATTAGTTCAGCTATTACAGAAAACAGTATGAAGGTTCCTCAAAAAATTAAAAATATAACTACGGTTTGATCTAGCAATCTCATTACTGGGTGTATATCCAAAGGAAATAAAATCAGTATGTCAAAGATTTTATATATATATATATATATATATATATATATATATATATATATATATGCACACCCATGTTTACTACAGCAGTATTCACAATAGCCAAGATATAGAAATCGATCTAAAAGTCATCTACAAATGAGTGGATAAAGAAAATGTGATATACACATATACACATAATGGAATACTATTCGGCCATAAAACTGAATGAAATCCTGTTATTTGCAGCAACACAGATGAGGACATTATGTTAAGTGAACTAATCTAGGTACAATAAAACAAATATGGCGTCATCTCACTCATTTGTACAATCTAAATAAGTAGGCTTCATAGAAGTAGAGAGTAGAATAGTGGTTACCAGAGGCTGGGAAGGAGGAGGAGGAGGCAGGTAATAGGACAGTTTGGTCAGTAGTTATAAAATTACAGTTAGGAAGAATAAGTGTTGTGTTCTGTTGCACAGTAGGGTGACCACAGCAAGTAACAATGTAGTATATATTTCGAAATAGCTAGAAGATTTTGAATGTTGTCACCATAAAGAAGTGATAAATGTAAAAGTGTTGAATGCGATAATTACCCTGCTTTGTTCATTATACTATGTAAACATGCATTGAGACATCACATTATACCCCATGAATATGTATAATTACATGTCAATTATAAATTTTAAAAAACTAAATTTAAAAAGAAATTAACTATGTGAAACAATGTGGAAATAGATACTGAAATTTTTAAATAAGCATAATTATGACAACATATCTACAGATATTTTCATTAATGAATTACTTGTGAATTACATTGTCAAGTGTCAAATAGAAAAATCTTTCAATAACAATGGCAATTATGTTAAAAACTGGACGGCGTTTAGAATTATGTTAAAAAGTTATTTAATGCTTATTTTAATATATTTTAAAATATCAATGAGAATCCTAAATTCCTATAGTAACAATTTTCTATACTTCTACACATAATTTTCATAGATTTTTCTCCCTTGCAAGGCAAAAGTTTGCCCTCTATTCTTTACACTTTAATTTCTTTTATTCAACAATATTAAAATATTTACCAAATTACTTCCTTGTGTTTAAACATTGCTACATTTTATGGGGAAAAAATTATAACCTGGTCTAAAAAAGTACGTCTTTCAAGAAAAATAATGATAAAGACATACAGTTTCAAATTATTTTTATTATAGTTAGGCATGGACAAATACAACTAGGCTAGAAGTCCTTAAGTTTGCAGAAACTACACACTTATAAAATGTCAAATTATAAAATAAATGTAAAAAGTATAAAATAAATAAAATTCAAAATAACAACATTAATATAGTGCGTTTGATGTTGTAGCATGGGAAAATTAATTACTACCCATAACGTGAATTTGGGACTGACTGGTAATGGTGTAGATCTTTTGAAATTTGGTGTGTCACAGAATGACTAAATTTTCCCCCTACCTTATTTACACAATGGCAATGTTTACTTCCTAAGGACATGTTGCCCTTCACTTTGCACAAACCCTTCATGAATGTCCTAAGCCTGTATCATGCCATGCTTCACACTGTTAGTTCAGGCTATGTCTTCCACACCCAGAGCTTCTCGTAGAGAGCTTCTATACACATAGCTCTGAGGGAGGCATATGGTATATGTGGATTGTGTATCATGTGAGTCAAATCCTGACCCAAACCTCCTAGGTCAGAATATTTCTTTCTCTTGTCCAGGATGATTCCCATGAGATCCAGGCTAGATCAGGCAGAGTGAATCCTTAACAGTCTCTTGGAACCATCAGGAAAAAGTACATTCTTCCTATGGTTGCTCAACAACTAGCATATAAACTTGGAGCTCCCATTGACATATTGACACTACTTATAAAAAGCCTGCTAAAGATGAAGGTAGTAAAGAAGAAAGCAGAACTAATAGACAGTGTATTGGTCCATTTTCAGGGTACTAATAAAGACATACCCGAGACTAGGTCATTTATAAAGAAAAAAAGGTTTAATGGACTCACAGTTCCACATGGCTAGGGAGGGCTCACAATCATGGCAGATGACAAAAGGCACATCTTACAACGCAGCAGGCAAGAGAGAGAAAGAACCAAGTGAAAGGGGTTTCTCCTTATAAAACCATCAGATCTCATGAGACTTACTACCATGAGAACAGTATAGGGGAAACTGCCCCCATGATTCAATTATCTCCCACCAGGTCCCTCCCACAACATGTGGGAATTATGGGAGCTACAATTCAAGATGAGATTTGGGTAGGGACACAGCCATATCAGACAGAAAGAGAAAAAAATGAGCCATGATCAGTAGAACGTGGGGACGGAGCAAACCTCTAGCATTTTTACTTATGAGAGTCTGTAAATTCCACATTTCCTAGTACTCCAGGTTAAGTTCATTTTCCATGGTTTGCAAAGGGAGTCCCAACTAATCAGGAAACTTCCACTGGCTGTCAGTGATATGCCCAGAATAAAGAACTGGTCCATCTGGTGGTACGGTTTAGGTAGTGAGCACACTGCCCTTAACTGGAAAGGTAGGTATTCACTATCTGTTAACAAAGTGGCTGTTAAACACCTCTCTATGTATCTCAAACCACAAGTTGGAGGGTTGGAGAACTTGATGAAGTGTCCCGGATGATTCTCATGGCCTTTTGTAAATTTCTCCAAAGAACAGGCAGTCTTACACTTAGACTGGCACAGTGAGAAACAGAGAAAAGAAAATATCTGACCACAGTGGCACATTCTGCCCATGGCCAGGAACCCAGAATGGCTGAGTAGGAAAATCACGAGCCTTGTAGGGTTGAAAGCCAAATCTAGTCCAAGGCTCAGACCTCCTTTTCCAGCAATCTGGCCATAAGATAGGAGGTTTAAAATACACCCAGCACTCCACTGATGGGTGCAGCAAACGACCATTGCATGTGTATACCTATGTAACAAACCTGCACGTTCTGCACATGTATCCCAAAACTTAAAGTATAATAAAAAAACAGAATAATAATAAATAAAATTACAATAAAAAAGTACACCCAGAGGCTGAGGGGTAGGGATATAGGTGATAGATGAGCTGAGATGCTAATACAGAGCTCTCATGTATTCTCTAAGTCCAAAGGCACATGAACACCATCATGGAAAGACGTTTCACTCCACTCCACCCAAAACTCCATGGAAATGAGAAATATAAGTGAAAAAAGTAGCCTACAATTTTGTGACAAATTAAAAATGATGAACATATTTTGTTTCGTAAAGACAAATATATTCCCTAGATATGAAATTCCAAGGTAATAGGTAATAAAGTAGCTACTAACAATCAACTTCTCATTGATATAGAAAGTATGGACTTATCTGCATTTATACCAAATATATAGCTTTATTTCCTTTGTGAATACTAGTAGTAATTCTACTATACATTTGTAATAAATTATTAAATTGGCAGGAGACATTGTATCGGGGAATGAGAAAAAAGGCAATTATGATTAATAAAAAATATTTCTTAAAAAATAATGGGAGTTCTTTTCTTCATTTACTTTCAAATCCATTCTGCTACTGAGCCACAAAAGATAATAACACCCAGAGTGCCAATCCAAAATCACAGCATTCGCTCACACATATTTCCATCTCATTAATGAAAAACAAAAGTTTCTATTTGAAGTACATTTTGTACTATCCAATATAAACTTCCCTGTAGCTCGAACATACTATTAATTTATACAGTAAATAAATATCTGAAGCTTCCACATTTGCTGTGATAGGAAACTTTATGTGTCTACTTGGCTAAGGTATCATGCCCAGCTGTTTGGTCAAGCACATGTTTAGATATTGCTGTGAAGGTGTTTGTGAATTTGATTAATAGTTACAATCAGCTAACTTTAAGTAAAGCAGATCACCAGCCATCATGTTGTGGGCCTCATCCAATCAGCTAAAGAACTTAAGAGAAAAGACGGAGGTCCCCCAAAATCAGAATTCTCCTCAAGACTACAACATAAATACCCTGTTTGCGTTCCCGGCCTACTGGCCTGTCCCACAGATTTCAGACTTTATACTGCAGCATCACCCCTCCTTGAATTTCCTGCCTGTCAGCTCACCCCACAGGTTTTGGATTTTCCAGTCCCCATAGCTATATGAGCCAATTCCTTAAAATAATATTCATATTATCTCTCTAATACATGCGTGTGTGTGCGTATGTGGGTGTGAGTGTATATGTGTTCTGTTTCCCTAGAATGAATTTCTCTTATTAGAATAACATTTAAATGCCCCCAAAAAGATCTTGGCTGAAACTCTACCTTTCAGGAGAAGAAAGGTCTTTACTCTGCATGATTGAAAGAAATGGTACAGAGCCTGTTTTCTCAGCCCTAGTTATTTCCTAGAGGAATTTGCTGACTTCACTCTGTGGCCTGAGGGGAACTGGTCTCACCCATGTCCAGTCCACAGGAGCAGCTGGCTTTATGCAGCTTTGTTCATTAACACAGGGCCTGTTTGGAAATCCTACTTTTAGTCATTAAACCACGCCTACCCAGGACTTCTTCACAGAAGTGCTGGATTCCGCCTGTAGTACTGAGTCACAGGCAATCATGTTTGTATTTTGGGGAGTTTGCTTGGCCTGTGTGCTGCTGCCAAGTCTCCACATTGGCAATGGCCAATTCCATTTGTGATTTTGGTAAACACAGTATGTTTCATAAGGTACTGATGGTAAAAGTAAATCCAAAATTCTAAGCTTTGATTTTCAAAATCCTGGCCAGAACCAGCTATTTATATTTTAATCAGCAGTTAGGGCAGAGGGTAGCTAAATGCAGTCGATGCTTTCTAGAAAAGGCAAATAAAAGATTTTGAATATAATTTCCAGTCATTCAGTCATGGTATACATTCTCCTCCTACCTCAAGTCAGCTACAAGCTTCCCTTCACCTTCTATCTCCTGTTTCCTGTTACACATTTACAATTAACTTACGTCTCTTAACCACGCCACCTCTTTAGTGGCACCCAACGGCATTCATTGTTCCTTCCCCCTTGTTCCTACCTTTCAGACTCTACAGCTTCCATCTGATATTTCCCAGCACCCACTGTAGGCCATGGTATCACACTCAGCCCCAAGAATGCCACAGGAATGTCACCCAGAGACTGACCTCAAAATGCTCAAAGTAAAGCCATTCATTATAACCAAAGGTGATTATTCAAAGTCTGAAAGAGATTTTTTTAAGTGCGTTCTTAAATTTAGAAAAAAAAATCCACAATCCTTGCTTAATTAATTATAGATGAAACTCAGTCAGCACAATGCCAAATCACTATATTCCTACCTTGACCCTAAGTGATGGTCTAATGGCAGTAAGGAACAAATGGCAAGAATCAAGAGAGAACTGAGAAAAATACTGTGAGAAAACTGGAGTAAACATAACATTTGGGGGCACTTGTATGTGCACAGCATGATGTGAAGGAAATGCCAACTGTGACAGTATCACTGACCAAAGAAACAGGTACCAGTCAGGGTGATCCAAACAGTATCCAGTTCAGAAATACACATCTCATGAAAAGATACTGTATACTTACATTGAAAACCTCTAAGTTTCTGTTTACATGCAGTGGGAAACAGTCTCCTAGATCCTGGAATTACACTGACTGACCCTTTAGAAACAGAAGTAAGCAGAGAAGAAATGTAATAGAGCAACAAAATATATGTATTTGAATTACTTGTTCATAGAAGACCCAATTAATTATTCAGCAAAAAGAAAAGAGGCAGCTGGAAATGAACAATAGGAAACCAATTTGATAATGGGTTTGCCCTTATGTGTGCACTTTACCAGCTGAAAGGTCCAAGTAATCACTCTTTCTCTCTCCTTTGACTGTCTTTTACTTGCCTGTTTCTCTGTGTCTCTCTTTTGATGTTTTTCTCTCTTTCTTTTCAAACCTCTTCCAAATAAAAGAATCACATTCAAACCTCGGGAGATTAATCAAAGCCTGTCAAAATTGGAAAACACATAAATCTCTGGGAAGAATCTACTTAGTTGGAGATTGCTCCCCAACTTCTCACCAGGTCTCTTGTGCTAGGGAAAACTCACTCTTTTTCCCTCATCACTCCACCAAAACTGCTTTGGTCAGGCTCCCCAAGGACCATCCTCTTTCTAAAGCTGTGGACAATTTTTAGGCCTTCTTTCCTTTACCTTCCTGCAGCATTTGACAGGTGCAGGCACAGCCAAGCTCTTCCTGGGTCTTTGTGTTTGGCTTCATGAACAGCATTCTCTGCATGTTTTCTTCCTACTTCACTGGCCACTTCTCCCTCTTCTGTTGTCTCCCCCTCTCCCTGGCATCCCAATCATGCTCACACCAGGGCTCAGTGGTCTTACCACCTCCTCTTTATTTACATTCACTTTCTTGGAGATCTCATCCAGTCTGGTGACTTTAAATATCACACCTACATTGATGAATCTCAAGTCACTGCCCACACCTGGACCTTGACTCCTAGATCCACCTGCCTACTGATCCACTGCCACTTAGATCCACTGACAGCTGGGTGCCCCATAGGCCTTGGTGAACTTGAAACTCATCTCAAGTTGATCCACCTCTCAGACCTGCCCCACTCACTTTCTTCTCCTTCTCATTTGGTGCCAATTGCATCCCTACAGTTTCTGAGGCCAAAAATCTTGGCAGTCACTCTTAACTCAGCCTTTTCTCTCCCATTGTACACCTAATCCACCAGGTAACTCCGTTGATTCTACCTTCTGGATAGGTACAGCGTTTAGTCACTCTTGCCACCTCCATTGTTCTCTCCTCCTCGTCTGAGCCGCCATCATGAGTCATTTGGATTGACAACATCATCTCTGAACTGGTCTCTCCGTGTCCACCACTGCTGTCCTGCAGTCTGTTCTCTACAGGTTCATCAGACTGATCCAAGTCTATGTCAGATCACATCACTTCTTGGCTCAAAAGCATCTATGATAAACAAGGCCCTGGAAAACCTGGCTGAGCATTCGTTCTCCTAAGTATCCTCCCTCTATTCTCCTTCCAGCCACACCGTCCTCCTTGTTGTTCCCAAAGCACGTTCAGCACACTGCCACGGGTGGCCCGTTGTGCTCACTGCTCTCTGGGCCTGGACCCGTCTTTTCAAAGCCAGGGTCATGGCTAACTCCCTCACCTCCTTTACTTGTCAGTTCTATATAAGTATCCAACATAAAAGTTCAACTGCATTACTTTTGCCTGGAATCCTTTCTCCCCACCATTTCTCCACTTTTATTTTGTTTTCCATGGCACTTATCAACATCTAACATACAATTTACTCATTTCTGTTTGCTGTTTATTGTCACCCTCCCAAACAGCTGGGCACCGAATCCTAGCCAAGCAGACACTTAAAATTACCTAACACAGTAAATGTGGAAGCTTCTGATATTTATTTACTTTATAAATTAATAGTATGTTTGAACTACAGGGAAGTTTATATTTGTTCTGTGATATATTCCAAGAATCTAGAAGAGTGCCTGGCTCAAAGAAAGAGCACAGTAAACACTTGTTGAGTAAGTGAATACTCAAAACTCTAATTTGAAAACTGTATCCAATATGTGCAAAATCCTTCCTAAAGCTTACAGAAGGTATATATTCCATCTTAACACAAGTATCGAACGTACAGTAAAATCAACACTGAACTAGGAATTCAAACCCTGGATCTGAACCTGGATCTCGTTCTAACGATTTGGCCACGAAGTAGTTCTTCAACCTTCCTGAGACTCAGTTCTTTACCTGTAAAATCAGGATAACGTTTCACAGTTTTTGTTGTTGTTTTGGTTTTTAAAACCAAATATGATGATGCCTGTAAAACTATAAATTCAGAAAAGCAAGATCATCTGATAAGAGGCCCCACTATTCTCTTCTAAACTGGGCCATTTGTGGTGCGCTGTCATTTTTCATAAAGCAAGTGATAAAAATATTCTGTAACTATAATGTGCAGCTGCACTCACAGACCAAAATAAATCTGATTAAGACACAGTTCCTTAAAGAGCGACGGTTACTTGGGTTTTTGCAATCAAGCATAAAAAACCTGTAATGCCGGAGGGCAGCCTTAAACCAGGGATTAGCTGGAGATGCCAAAAGGATTTGTGGAAAAGGCTTCAACCCACAGGTTGAAACAGGGACAGCAGCATCTTATGTTACCTAGAGATACCAAAGGTCGGTGGTGAGGTGTGTGGGCTCCTGAGCCAGACTCCCCAGGTATGAATCCTAGTTCCCCTACCTTTCCTGTGTGTATAACCTTGGACCAGTGAACTAACCTCACCTCACTGGAAAAACAGAGACCAATTGTAGGATTAGCATGAGGATTAACTGAGCTACCAGCTAGGATGCACTATGATACGTGCTCAACAGAAATTCCTTTGGGCAAACAAGGGAGTTTAGTGTGTACATCCAACAGGTAAAAGCATTTTTCCTTCCAATTAAATAAAGACCAGTGGAGAGGAGATCTGTAAGCACCTTATTAGGTGAAAAACAAAATCTAAAGATAAAAAGGTATATGAAATACACACAACTAAAAGCCACTTTTAACTCATCTTGAGATTATTCAGAGATTAAGTGTTCTTGAACTCAGTCACTTTAGAATAGAGACTTCTGGTCACCCTGCATAGAGGTTCCCTAAATGAGGTTCTGATGCAGAGGCATTCACATCACCTGGCAACCTCTCAGATATGTGCATTCTTAGGCCTCACCATAGACCTAATAAATCAGAAACTCTGGGCCCCAGACCTAGAATTTTAACAAGCTTTCTAGATGATGGGGATGGAGGTCATAGTCTGCAAACCACTGCCCTAAGCCATCAACTCCAAGAGAGAATAAAGGATATTGCCGGATAATTGAACTTGACTCTTCACTGCTTTATCTAAGCTACTCATTTATAAAGTGTGGTTGCAAGAAAAGGCTTTGAGAAAGCACTGAATGAATACTATGTGCATTAAGAAATTGTGGTTAGTTTGGCAGGACACAAAATCTTCAACTCACAAATATCTATTCAGCATTAATTATCTATAAGCCACCATGCCATAAACTGGGAGAGACAAAAAGAACAAAACATGGACCTTGCCCCCTGGGAGTTTATAATATTATAAGGTATTCAGATACAGAAAGAATGAACAAAAATACAAAGCAAAATATATTTTCTGCTTTCACAACTAAGAAACTGAGCAAAGTTCTGGAATATTGACTACACAAGGCAAGATCAGAACAGGAGTTCATTCGGCATGGCCAGAGGGAACGAGGTAAGAAGGGATGCTGTGGAAGGGGAGGCTGATGGAAAGTTGGGAGTGAGTGTCATCTGAAGGAGTGTGGTCTTTATCACTTTTTCAGCACAAAGTTGCTGAAGCCTTTTGCAAAAAGCTGTGTTTCTCTGTATTTGACAAACTCGGCTCAGGATGATAGTTTAGTATCAATCTGAGTGTCGAAGGTAGAAAGAGGCTAGAAACAGGAAGAAAAGGTAACTGTCCAGAAAAGAGAGGTGGGAGGGAAGAAGCGGAAGTAAAAAGTGCAAAACAGAGGATAGAATATGAAAGGGCATCAGGAACTACAGCGGCAGAATGAATTACCAGATAAGTCAAATAGCACCCCAGGTTTAAAACTAAAAAGAACACCAGAAAATACATCTCCCTTCGACATATATGTGGTTTGTGATATGATTCACTTACTGGTAACATGGCTGAATCTGAGCTATCTATAATATTTTTAAAATATGTACTTGGACCAGAATAAATTTGAACCTTATGTGATGAATTCCTGGCACAAGAAATAAAAACAAAATCACAGCATTTTAGAGTGTGAAAGCAATATGGGTGGTTTTGGAAATCCCTTTAATAATTATATAAGATTATTTATTTTCAAAATTATCAAATTCCCAAACAACCCACTTAAATAGTTGAAATTAGTGCATGCAGACATATGAATGTCCAATAAGCTGATATAAGACCATGCATTTAAAAAATTTCACGTACTTCACATTAAATATTTGAACTTAAAAACCATTCTTATACTACTGACATCAGGATTAGATTCCTAAATTATATAGTCCATACTAAATAATATAAACATTGGTTTTCACAGTTCAATTTCCCCTACTCTTACATGGTTAATTTGAACCCAATACAAGATGAGATAGAGGAATGGTCCTCCCTATGGAGCAAACGTTGGAAAAGAGTCCGGGATGATGAGGATGTGCCAGCCATATCAAGGTACAAAGCTCTGGCAGGGGGAATGTTTGCAGGGGGCATGTGTGGCGATACAAAGGCACCGAGGCAGGAACAAGCCTTGTTTGTACAAGAAACAAAAATGACAATGAGGCTGGAGCACAGCAGTCAATGAGGGTGTGTCAGCAGGCCGTGGTAAAGATGAGCTCCCTCCTGCACGAGAGCCGGACAGGGTGCGAGCAAGAGGACAATACGATCTGATGACCCTTTGCTGATGAGTTTATACCTGTGTCCTAATGAGGCCTGCAAATCTTGTCATTTGGAGCCAGAATAATGCACAAGGCTCTTGACTCATAAGGGTTATCTATGATCTTTGGGGTCAATAAGCAGAAGAGCTGATATATATTAAGTACGGGTTAACCTAGTTAGTGTCATATTTAATAAATTTGAGCTGAGCTACAAATGTGCATATTGGATCAGGGACTACCTATGCTATTAACGAAAAAATATCTTCTCTATAAGGGAAATGATGCCTCTCTGCTCTACAATGTGTTTTGTGATCGTGCATGAGCATATAAGAAAAGGAAGAATACATAACATGATATATTATGATTTCAACACGAACCTTCCAGCCAGGATCCACAAGAGGCTGACAAGGTCTGCCCATGATCAGGATGGCTGTGAAATGGAAAAGAGAACTTTTCAGATAGGAAGCACAGAAACTGTGGGTTCCTTAGGGGCCTGTAGCTAATCTGGTACTCCTTATGGCATATGTTTGGAGGTTGGACTTACTCCCTCAAAATGACTGCAATCAAATGAAATCACAGGTAATGTGGCTTCAACCCAGCCATGGACCATTTTTTAAAGTAACTTTATATGGGGATTGCTTGTGCTTATTTTTCACTCTTGTTTCCCTCCAGTTTTAATTTGATGTTTCTTCTTATCAATCCCTAGACACCTTCTTAAAGACTTTCCACAACATTGGATTCCATTTAGTTAATAACAAAAATAGGTGGCAAAGTTGGTTTTATATAATATTGCCTTATAAATGATGTCAGTATACATGCACACAAAGAAACTCCCAGAATTTTACAGGCAAATATCCAGTTGATAGGAATGGGGTGAGGGGGTGGAAGGTCAGATGACAGAAAGAACTTGGAAGTGTTCATAAGGTAACTAAACCCAAAATTGCTGCTGCAAATGTAAGGTTATAATACAATCAATACAATACCAATATCTGTCCTATTCCTTGTACTTTTACCAACTATATTGCTCTACACGAACCCTGCAGATAACTTATTGATATATGTATCATGGATGCATATTCTTAGCTATGAAGCATTAATTTTTCTGTTACTATCCACGTTTAATCAAATAATAAAACAACAATAAGAATAAGTAAGAACAGGCTGGGCACGGTGGCTCACGCCTGTTAATCCCAGCACTTTGGGAGCTGAGGTGGGTGGATCACGAGGTCAGGAGATGGAGACCATCCTGGCTAACACGGTGAAACTCCGTCTCTACTAAAAATACAAAAAATTAGCTGGGCATGGTGGCGGGTGCCTGTAGCCCCAGCTATTCGGGAGGCTGAGGCAGGAGAATGGCGTGAACCTGGGAGGCGGAGCTTGCAGTGAGCTGAGATCCCACCACTGCACTCCAGCCTGGGCGACAGAGTGAGACTACGTCTCAAAAAAAGAGTAAGTAAGAATAAAACAACAATAAAACTAGCTAATATGTCACAAACTTATATACGCTGTCCCCAAGTTAAATGCTTTACATGTATTATCTTGTTAATTGGAAAAACCCAATGAAGTAGATTCTATGATGGTCAAGTCACAAGGCTAATGGCTGGAATCAAGCCTGAACTCAGACACACACTGAACCACTGCAAGAGCATCTCCTTCACGACTGTCTGCTAAGACACAGCTCATGCTCCTTTCCTGTATGGAGTCTTCACTCTCCTTTAACACTGACATCTCCTTCCTATGAATGACTGAAGCAGTTCATTTCTGTGCCATTATGTGTTATGCTTAACACATGGTGCCTTGTTTCATAATTTGCACTATCACCACAGGTGTTAAATTCCACATGCAGACTTTCATATGGTCACAGATCTAGAAGAACAAAACAAAATACAGTAAATGACAACGAAAATAGAAATTAAAGTATCTTCCCATCAATCACCAACCCTAATGATTATAAAATTATTGTAGGAAGAATAAATATCCAGTTCTTGAACGAAAACAAGTTCATGTATCATCTGGACCCCCTATATGTCTACACGGCTCTGGGGGACCTCTTATCAGTCATTTTCCTGCTGCCCACTACTTGCTTTCAATACAGGAAAGGCCCTAGAGACCTTGCACATGATTTCCACAGAACAATCTCCTATTCTTACCCTTAATAACTGCTGTTCATCTATGAGAGCCACCTACATGCCTGTAACTCACACAAACCTCACACAACATTAGCCTTTGTCTCAATACTCTCTCTTCCAGATCCTGCTTTCTTCTCACTTAACCTTTTTCTCAGTAGCAAAATTCATTCATTAATGGGGTGAAATCAGAGTCCCCATAAAACTCTGAGCACCACAAGGGCAGGTACCATACCTATTTTGTATTCAGCACTCTTTCCTTAACACCTATACTTACCACAGTATAAGCACACTCTAGGGACTACCAGATATAGACTGAAAGATCCCTCCCCATCCCTTTATTTGCCATTTATTTAAGGAACTGGCAAAATAAGGGAGAAAAAATAATACAGTTGAATTGTTACTGTACTTTTTACAACTGTCAATCATATTCATTCATCATAACAACTGTGATCAATCGGATTAAATATCTAAAATATTTAAGGTTCAATTGGTTTATGCTACAATTAAACATGTGAAAACTTGACAATTTTATCAGATTGGCCATAAAATATTTTAATCTCATGATGAATTCATCTATTGAGAGTTATTACATCTTTTAAGCAAAATAGCACCCACATTTCCCATACACAATGCTTTTTACAGATTTACTAATGTTTCAACCACTGGACAATTCTGTAATCACATTTGCTGGACAACTCCGTTCTTAGTAAATTGTAGAGCTCTGTTGTAAATGCTGTTGTTTTAATAATATTTTGTAGCATTTTAAAAGATACATAATCCCTAATGTTTAACACAGAGGTTTATAACCAATTCTCTATGAGAGCTAAGTACTGTTAAGCTCATCTGTAAATTTCACCGTTTTAGTATCTTAATTGGATTTCAGGTAATTATAGCTAAGATTCTATAATGCACATAAGAATTGTTTCAGCTACAAAAATAGGAAAAATTTAAAATATACACATGCCTTTACTGCTTATAAAAATTACAAGCCAGCGGCTATTTGTTTTTATAAAAGTGCTATAATTTACCTTACAACAGATATGTAAAGAAACTAAACCAGGTAATTTAGGTACCAATTAGAACTTTTACTTTACTTTTATTCAAGCAGTGACATAATCTACCACAGTTGTAGCATTTAAATACAATAGGTTTTTGAAGAAGGTTGGCACATCTCCGTTACTCCAGGGTCTTGCATAAAACATGTCAACCCCCTAAATATTGCAAATATAGGGCATTGTACCAAGTCTGCCTAAATTGCCATCTACACATTACTATAACAGTAGAGGTTTTCTCTCAATAAAACATAATTTTCTTTTGTTGCTAAAAGGTAAATAATGTTTTCAGAAATCTTTCTATGGTAAGTATTTTGAAGTGATCTTGTTCTAAAAGGTACTGGAATGCTCTTCCTGTTACTGCCCTCTAAGATGTAAACTATAGAAAATGACTTGAACAGAAAACAACCTCTCCCACATACATGTTCTGACATACATAAGTCCATTTTTTACGTCTGTACTGCATGATCACCAGTGTATGTGATGGTTTCGAGTCTTTGAGTTTTATGTTTCAAAAAGTCTTAGAGTCCCATTCAGCCTTCTCTGCTCAACTCTAGACTCGTATCATCTACTGCCTATTGGACCCCTCCACTCAGACATCTGATAAACCTCTGCCACATGACACAGCATAATACCACATAACAGAACCGCAAAATAAAAACATAACAAACATGATCTACTGAACCTCTCCCACCCAAACTTCATTTTCTCCTCTATCAGTGAATAGAATGCCATCCTTCCAGTTGCTATGCCAAAAACTGGGAGTCATCTTTTATCCAGCTATTTCTTATACTCCATCCAATCTGTCAGCAAATTCTTTGACCTTCAGAACATAACCAGAAGATGATCACCTCTCTCGCCATCTCTCCTCTGAATGCCATTGTCCAAACCGATGTCATCTTTTGTTCAGGCCCTCTGCAAGGGCCTGCTATCTGAGCTACCATCCCCACCCCACAATTGAGCAGAGCAGTCAGAAGAATCCTTGCAAAACATGAACTCGATCACGTCCCTTCTCTGCTCAAAACTCTGCAGTGTGAAAGCCAAAGGGCCCTCACAGTGGCCTACAGAGTCCACTTGATGTGTTCTCCCATCATCTCTCTGAAGTGATGACTACATTTCCTATGATTTGTCTTTGTGCCTGTGTGCCAGCCATGATTGGACTCCTTGGCATTTCTTGAGTATACTCGGCATTCTCACACCTTAGGGACCCAATTTACTGTATCTACAAGGCTCCCATCCCTATCTTGTTGAAATATTAGCTCAAATGATGTCTTCTCAATGTAACCTACCCTGACTACCCTATTTATTAATAGAACTTCCAACAATGCCCCTATCATTTTGTGCCCAATCCCTCTAAACTTGCTCTGTGGTTTTCTATAGCACTTGTTGCCTCATTAGATAATCTATACTCAAATTGGGTGAAATGGAATTAAATGGGAAATAGAAATTAAGACTTCTTTCAACTACTGATTTAAACAAATTTCCACATTTATATTATCTAAATATGGACCAATTGTTAGGAAACTTTTCTCAAAGATTGTCCTGTTTTAACCAACTTACTACTAGAAATTTTCCATTTAAAATATTCCATTTAAAATGAATAATTTATGGAAAATAGAAATTTTCCATTAAAATGAAGGCACTTGTTATAGTAATTCATGTTTACTATAGTATTTTCAGGACAGCTGGTCAAATTTTGGGACGGTTCCCTCTCAAATCTTGGAATTTGTTCAAGTATGCACTAACAACATGACATTTTCTTACTTTGAAGGCACCATGGTTTTGAAAAAATTTATTCCATCTATTCAAAGACTTCTTCCCAAAAGTACATTCATGGAGTATGGTTTTAGGAAACTAGAAAACTTGATGCATTTCTTACCATTAGTTCTAAAACAGACATTTCCATGCCTTGCCCTATAATCCTAAAAGGTTGATATTTTTGAAGAGTTACTCAAAAAATAACAATCATATTACTACCATTTCACCTGCTTTCTCATTCCCTAGCCCTTATTTCAAAAAGGAGTCTTCATTTTGCCATAATTATTAGAACATTGTTTCTTGGCTATACGACAATTTATCTCCTTTGAGACATTGGCCAGCTCTTCTGTTTTCAGCCTCCTGAGAGTTCTCAAACTGCTTTATATTTGCTGTCAGTGCACAGAAGATGAGAAAAACAAGCACTATATTAAACTGAATATGAATAAAATAGAGTGAATATCATTTGAATACACAAGATAAACAGTTTTCTGTATCCCATTCAAGAGAAAAATTCGGGCTAACATGAAATATAAAGACTAGTTAGACTTCAAAATTCAACGTATACAGCTCAGAGTTAGATTTGGAGTCTCTGTACTGCTTGGCTGTCCCTAGTTTAGCAATGCAACCTGAGTACATCTATTTTCTCGTATTTCATTTAACCTTTGAACTTACACGAAAATGTCCACGTGTTTAAATTGTGTTTTCCTAAGAAAGTTAAAAGCTTTTTCTTTATGAAAAGAAATTATGTGTTGATATTCATCTGTATTCTCCACAGTACAGAGCACACTGTTATGCAAATAGATGTTCAATAATAAAACTGTTGATTGCCAAACAATTGTTGTTTCTTAGTGTAAATGGTATATCCCGAAAATATTCTCTCTCAGGACTTGAGGGCTGTAGTTCTCAAAGGATTTTGCTCAATGGGAATAAATCAAATTATGGGGCCAGATATATCACACCAGGACCTCATGCACAATAGCTTCCTTAGCTTAGGAACCAATTATTTTTGATTGGTGTAAGCATTACATGGACAGCTGCTACCAGGACAATAAAAATTATTAATAACTTCCGGCAGTAAATTCAATTATTGTGATTATAGATGCTTGGATATGTGTTACATGGGCAAACCAGGAAGTGAAAGAACCTCCTTTTTAATGCTGATTTTCATAAAAATAATCAAATCTGAGCACTGGAAGGCCAACTTAACAATTGCTTGGCAAACTCATGTGCTACAGTCAGCATAAAATGATAATCACCATCCACACTTTGCCTCTTCTATCAAAGTACCACTTCTGTCCAAACCAAATTTGAGAATAATAAAATCGCATATTGGAAGCAACATATTTAACACAAGATAATAGGCAATTTAACAGTCTGATGCAGTGTTGTCTGACACAAAGAGATGGTTTTACACCTCCAAATTCTACAATTATCTTCAACGTTCTCTACAAAATAGATATAATAGATAACTGAAATCAGCAGAAGTACACCTAGGACTAAGAGCTCCTGATGTCAGGTTTTATTTAGGGTACATCTAAAGCAGAACTCCACGTTCTTTTAGCAGTTCGGGCCTGCTCTGCTGATTCACCACTGCTGCATCATGAATTGATCAGGATCACGAACGTCATGTTTCACTGCTCTGCTCAGGTCAGTGTGTCCACGTCCTAATTACTGCTTGACTTGCTTTGTCTTCCTCAGTCACAGGAAGCCACTCCCCACAACGAAAGGCAGGCTTCCAAGAGGTCACTCGAGGGACGCCACCAGCAAAGGCCTTGACCAACCTCCGCTGCCTGAAAAAAAGGGTCAGGTCCCAGAGACAAATCGTTCTTCAATTTTAACAGCAGACAAATGATGCTGTTCTTCCTAGAAAGTTCTATTGCCAGTATTTAGTAGAAATCATTATTGTACTACTTAGAAATGTGGATGCCACAATAAGCAGATGCGAAATGTGACATTTTGATTATTTACAAATCCTCTGACCATGATTCTTGCAAAACAAATATGATCATCTTACAACCAAAGGGAGTTAAAATTGTATCTCAAAGCCTCACCTTTCTCCTCTAGAAAGGCCACTCAGCTTACTGGTCCCAGCACCTGGCTGACTCTCCAGCAGACCTAGGATTAGCACTCCCGCTGCCTTTCCTGGATCCACCATCTACCTGTCTGGTGTAAGGCAGGCTTTCTCAGCCACAGGACTGCTAACATCACAGGACAGATAACTGTGTTGTAGGGGGGCTCTCCTTTGTATTGTAAGATGTGAGTGGCATCCCTGGACTTTACAGCCTAACTTAAGAGCAGCCCTGCCATGCCTCCTCCACCAGTTGTGATGTGCAAAATGCCTCCCGTCAGTGCTCAGTGTCCCTCAGGTGGCAAAACTGTCTCCACTTGAGAGCTACTAGTCTACAGTGAATCACAAACCTGTCTGCCTGTCTGATCTCAACTGTTCTTCTTCTTCCTTTTTTTTTTTTTTTTTTTTTTTTTTTTGCGATGGAGTTTCACTCTTGTTGCCCAGGCTACAGTGCAATGGCACGATCTCAGCTCACTGCAACCTCTGCCTCCCGGGTTCAGGCAATCCTCCTGCCTTCAGCCTCTCAAGTAGCTGGGATTACAGGCATGTGCCACCACGCCTGGCTAATTTTGTATTTTTAGTAGAGACAAGGTGTCTCTATGTTGGTCAGGCTGGTCTCAAACTCCCGACCTCAGGTGATCCGCGTGCCTCGGCCTCCCAAAGTGTTGGGATTACAGGCATGAGCCACCGTGCCAGCCTGTTCTTGTTTTTGAATGTGTAAAATGGGCTGATTTAAGAATATGAGATGGAGAAGAGCATATTTACAAGCATATTCACAAAAGTTCCTTTCAGAACTAGGACTATATTGCTTGGAAGTTCTCTTTTTTTGTTTGGCAGCCTATCTGTCACTGAAAGGAAGAAATTTCAAAGAGCCTGATATGGGAAGAACTATGTGTTTTGAGAAAGGGAGAGAATTTATCAATAACTTCAAAAAGAAGGGAAAAGAGAAAAAGGAATTACTAAAGGAGAATAACTGTCAACCTCTTTCGGTGTCAATTAACTAAATAAACTCTTGATATAATTCATTTTTATTAATAGAGACCAGCAAAGGAGACAGATTTTCACTTCTAAGTTGGATCAGTGTGGGAAGCAGAAAATACCCGCCAAATGCATACATGTTCTAATTCCTAGAACCAGTGAATATGTTATGTTCAACACAAAAGAGAACTAAGGTTGCAGATAGAATTAAGGTCTCTAATCAGCTGAATTTAAAATTGGGAGATTACCCTGGATTATTGAGGTGGGCTTACAATAATCATAAGGGTCTTGAGAAGTGGACAAAGGAAGAAGAGGAGAACTATAGACGTAATGTGGAAAGTACTCAGCCTGTTGACACGGTCTTTGAACATGGAGGAAGGAGCCACAAGCCAAGGAATGTGGGGGCAACCTTTAGAAGCTGGAAGAGACAAAAAAAAAAAAACGAGTTCTCCTCTAGAGCCTCCAGAAAGGAACACAGCCCTAGTGACACCTTGATTTTAGCCAACTGACACCCACATAGAGCTTCAAACATAAAGAACTTCAAGAGGAACAGGTGTAGTGGCTCACACCTGTAATCCCAACACTATGGGAGGCCAAAGTGGGAGGATCTCTTGAAGCCATTAGTTTGAGACCAGCCTGGGCAACATAGAAAGACCTCGTCTCTACAAAAAATTTAAAAGTTAGCCAGGTGCAGTGGCATATGCCTATAAACCTAGCTACTCGGGAGGCTGAGGTGGGAGGATTGCTTGAGCCCAGGAGTTTAAAGCTGTAGTGAGCTATGATTTTGCCACTGCACTCCAGCCAGGATGATAACGCCAGACGTTGTCTCTAAAAAAACCTTTAAGAAAATGCATTTGTGATGTTTTAGGCCATGAAATTTATGGTGATTTGTTATAGCAGCATCAGAAAATGAATGCAGTCAGGTATAACCAATGCATCATGTGAGGACACAGGACTTGGTTAAGAGGAAGCCTGAGCAGGATGTTCAAATCTCAGTTGCCCTATAAATGGAAGTATGGGCCAAGGTTAACCATCTACAAAAATTAGGAGGTCCCCACTGACAGCTCTGACACAGGAAATTTAAAAACAAATACATTTCAGAGACTGGGAGAACTGAAGGAGATTTTGTACCTAAAGTGTGCAGCACAGTGCCTGGCACATCCTACGTGCTAAATGTTTTTCGTGGATCTCCTACTGCATTTTTCCTACAAACAGAAAAGCTTTTGCCACAATGTAATCACCTTTCCCATGTTGTCCTAATAACAAACTACACTACTGCTCATGCAAAATAACGCACAGGGAGAAAGAGAAATCACATGCCATTAGGCTTCTCTTGGAATTCTTCGCGTGATCAATAATGGCATTCTCTTCTGTGTGGTCCCAATCAATACATGATTCTAGTTATCATGAACTCACTCCAAGACACTGCCTCCCTGACACCTTATCACGAGCAGTAGATAAGCTGTAACAATTTTTCTAGATATCTGCAAGCACATCTATCACTGTGACAAATGCATGATGTGGCATTATATCTTCTCTTCTTAGCCTTGTTTTAATATCACAAGTCTGTATTTAATACCACAAGGTTCTGATCCAAGCTCACATTTTAACGCTTTCTGGACTGCCAATGCATAATGACCTTTCTTGACTATCCAGCTGGTTGGCTGGTACAAAATACTGTGAAGCCAGGGACAGTTTCAACAAGCCGAGTTATTCCAGAGAAGGATGAACTTGCTAGAGGCTGTGGTACTAATTTTATTGCATGTTAATTCTAGCCAGGAAAATTGCCCTTTGCTCAGACTTTGCACTGATTTCAGAGAAAAGTCCAATAATTATTTGAGGCAAGAAATAATGGCTGTTTTTGTTTTTACTTGGGGGAAGAAAATACAAAATCACAGAAAACATTACAGGCAAGGAATAACATCTCAGATTATTATAATCAGCCAATCAGAACTTTAACGAGCTGTTTAAGATTTTCTCTCTCTTCCACATGGAGATGTCAGTTCTGTTTCATTAACAGGATACTCAGTCACATTGGCAGAAAATCCTGTGGCTACTGTTTGAGAATGAGTGATCATTATTTTTAGAATTATTGTGTATTAGACCAGAAAGTAACTCAAAAGACCCACCAGTTTTGCCATTAGTTATAGATACTGAGACCATTCATTCATTCATTCATTCATTCAATAATATCTATGCTCTATAAAGCCTGTGCTGGTCTCAACTAGTCAAAGACACTGACCCTAAATCACCCAGCAAATCAGTGATAAAGCTGTGATTCCAAGCCAAGAACTTTGGCAGATCACTGTAATCAATACACCTAGTAAAACACCAACTTACACTGTGACTTCATTAAAATAATGTACTATTTATAAATTGTAAGAATTTATGAAAAACAGAAACAGTGTAAGCAGCGCTGGACATCTAGAATGCCTCACTGTTTTATGATCTAAGGCACATCAGATTGTTTTTCCCAATTATCATGGAGCTAGTTCCCTACACTTCACCTCAGTGCTCTTTTGTCAACCAAGATAAACCCCTGATGGCGAAGCAGGGGCAGGATAGACAGAGTCCCCAGGTGGAGTACTAGAACTAACACTTACCATTATGTGTGACCTCTGACAGGTCACTTCACCTGCAGGCACAGCTAGAGCAAGCAGTGACGCATGCGCAGGGGTGTCCCTTGCCTCCAATGCAGCCACCATCCCAGCTGTGGTGCTGAGGATCACACTAGCCCCAACTAAGACCTGCGGCTGGACTCCTGCCTCTGCTCTGTCAGGACAGTCTTTGGGTGCTCCAGGGTGGTGATTGGGGTGTGAATTCCACCATAGGGCAGTCTGATGTGGGAAACACTAATGACAGACCCAAGCTACCAGTTTGAACATCATCTTACCTTCAAAAGAGGTATGAAACCCACTGAAAGTAAATTAATCAAACTAATGATCTTTGGTGTTAAATGACTGAATATTCAGAATCAAGGGGATCATGGAGTTTGCCTGCTCTTTAAAAGTATCCAACTCAACAAGAAGAAGAAAATGCAAAAGGAGCAAATGACTTGAATAGACATTACTCCTAAGAAGATTGCTATCGTTTCAATATTTGTCCCCTCCAAAATGCACGTTGAAACTTAATCCTCAATGTGGCAGTACTGAGAGATAGGGCCTTTAAGAGGTAATTGGATCATGAGGGATCTAAGTTCATGAATAAATTTATTCATTAATAGATTAATGAGTTACCATGGGAGTGGGACTGATGGCTTTGTAAGAAGAGGAAAAAAGACCTGAGCTAGCGTGCTCAGCCCTCTTGCCATGTGAGGCCCTCCACAGCCTTGGGACCATGCAGAGTCTCCAGCAGCAAGAAGGTATTCACAAGATACGGCCCCTGGACCTTAGACTTCTCAGCCTCAATAAATGTAAGAAATACATTCCCTTTATTTATAAATTAGCCAGTTTTACATTTTTGGTTATAAGCAACCGAACACAGACAAGACAAAGACACCCAAATGGCCAATATGCACAAGAAAAAACACCCAACATCAACAGTCATTAGGGAAGCACAAATCAAAATTAGAGTATACCACTTCATATCCATTAGAATGGCCATACTTTAAAACATGGAAAATACGTGTTGGTGAAAATGTGGACAAACTGGAACCCTCATGCATTGCTAACAGGCATGTGAAATGGTACAGTCTATTCACTCAAAACAGGTAAACACAGAATTGCCATATGATGCACCAACCCCACTCTTAGGTATATACCCAAAAGAACTGAAAACAAAGACTCAGATACTTGCACACCAATGTTCACAGCAGCATTATTCACAATTGCCAAAAGGTGAAAGCAACTCGAATGTCAATTGATGGATGAATGGGCAAACAACATGTGGTTTATTCATACAATGGAATATTATTCTGACATAAGAAGGTGCCAACTTCTGACACATGCCACAACATGGATTAACCTTGAAAGTATCATGCTGAGTGAAATAAGCCTGATACAAAAGGTCAAATAATATGTGATTCCACCTATATGAAGTACCAAGAATAGCCAAATTCATAAAGACAGGAAGTAGACTGATGTTGGCTATGGGCTGCAAGAATGGAAAGATGGAGAATTACTGTTTAATTGGTACAGAGCTGCTATTCGAAATAATGCAAAAGTTCTGGAAATGATAATGACGGTTGCACAGCATCATCAGTGTATATAATGCCACTTACTTCTATACTTAAAAACGGCTAAGGTGGTAAATTTTATGTATGCTTTAATGCAATAAAAACAGATCTATTTTTCAAAAGTATTTTGTCCAAGAGGTACACTAGAAGGTGAGGAGACAAGTCAATTTAGTCCAAATATGTGTATTTCCTTTTCCTGTGCCAGAAGGGGGTCACTAAGGTGTTAGGAACAAAATGCAAAAAAATAAGGAAGCAAGAAATATTCTAATTCCCCTGACACAACCGTAATTGGTAGCAGGATGAAAATCTCAAAATGTCTGCACCTTGAGAATATTAGAGAGGCCTTGAAGAAGCATGAAACCACCCGGCAAATACTTACACATAGACTGATTTAGAGTGGAAAAATGGTCATATTGCATCCACTACCACAATGCCTAGCAAAAGAGCCCAATGGAGAAAATCAAAAGGGAGAATATAGCACTGCGATAGGGGTTGGGTCCACGGAAAGCCTCTGCAAATCTACATCAGTGGTTCTCATTCATAGGCAATTCTGTCCCCTAGGAGGCATTTGGCAATCCCTAGAGACATTATTGGTTGTTACAGCTGGGTGGTGGAGTTCTGCAGGCGTCTAGCAGAGGCTTGCGATGCTGCTCAATAGCCTGTAATGCAAAGGACAGCCCACAACAACAGTTATCCAGTCCATAATGCCAATAGTGCTGAAATGGAGAGCTGTCAGCTACATGAAAGCTGAGCCTTCTATGTAGTTGGTCAATCAGTTAAGATGGAATGACAGGTACACTCATGAGCGAGCTGTACAGTCAGCAAACTTGGAGATGAATTTGCTTACAAAGAATATGCTTCTGCAGAATTCCCTGACTTAAGTAAGCTCGAGGATAAACAGACTCTCCCTTGGCTCAATTCCCTATAAAAGGAAGTGAAAAAATGCATCAAGTGCCTAGTCGGCTTTTACAGAGCAAAGCAAGAAAACCTGTCCTTTCCACATCTCCTGAAGAGCAGAGAATGGTTTGGTCCTTGCTGTTGCTACCATTCTGCTCACTCAGTTCAGGCATGAAGAGGTGGCCCCAGCATGTGCTAGTGCAAGAACTGGCAGGAAAATGGAAGTTAATGCCTGGAGGGAAACTTCCACAAATTCAAACAGTCAGGTGCAGAGGACAAACTTATTACCTACTGATAAGACATAACTCTGTAATCTCAATTTATGGAAAACTAACCTTTGGTGGAGACACAGGGGTAAGGTTTCTGCAACAGAATGAAGGTTTGTGTCCCCCAAAAATTCAAATGTTGAAATCCTAATTCCCAGTGTAATGGTATTTGGAGACAGGGGTCTTTGGCAGGTAATTAGGTTTAGGTAAGGTCATGAGGGTAGAGCTTCCATGAATGGGATTTGCCCTCTTGCAAGAAGAGGCCAGAGAGTTATCTAGGTCTTTCCACCATATAAGAATATAACCAGAAGTCAGCTAACCCCTGCTCAGAAGGGGGGCCCTCATTCTCAGACTACCAGCCCTCAGAACTATGTGAAGTAAATTTCTGCCATTTGTAAATTTCCAAGTCTATGGTAACTTGTTCTAGCAGGCACAAACTGACTTAAGACAGCGTTCCTCTAAGCCATCTCTCATGTTTACATGGCTTAGTCTGTAGATGATACCACATAGAGACAGAGAAGTCTGTTAATTTCCCTATGCCATAGTTTCCTCATCTGTAAAACAAGGATAAAAACAGTCCCTGTCTAACAGGATTATTAGGGGGATTCAGGGAGTTAATATTCGTAAAGGACTTGGAATAATAAAAAAGTGCTACATATGTATTTATAAAATAAAGACTGTAAAGAGCTATCATATTAGAGGCAGCCTATCTGATTAGCATCATTTCTTTAAGAACGATCAGACTTAAAAGAATTTGTATTTTAAAGAAGAAAAGATAATAAAATCTTTAGGAATTTAACTGAGAGTTTACCAAGATTTCATCAGTATACCAAAGAAAGACTTTCTGGCACCCTCTAGAGATTTTATTTTTGTCTCTAAATAATCTTCATAATGTTGTTCATATTTTAGTATTTTCAAATGAAACAACTCTTCACAACTTATTGTGAGACTTGAGATTGGACAAGCCCGAGACACAATTATACTAGTAAGAGTTTTCACTGTCAAATTTCTTATTCTAATATTGGGAAGCAGAAATGATTACATAGTTTTAGGGGGAGGCGTAAAGATGTAGGATATTTCCTACAGAAAAATCTATTCATTCTTTTTTATTATTATCACAAGTTCTGGGACACATGTGCAGAATACACGTGCCATGGTGGTTTGCTGCATCCATCAACCTGTCATCTACATTAGGTATTTCTCCTAATGCTATCCCTCCCCTAGCCCCCCACCCCTCAACATGCCCTGGTGTGTGATGTTCCCCTCCCTGTGTCCATGTGTTCTCATGGTTCAACTCCCACTTATGAGTGAGAACATGGGGTGTTTGGTTTTCTGTTCCTGTGTTAGTTTTCTGAGAATGATGGTTTACGGCTTCATCCGTGTCCCTGCAAAGGACATGAATTCATCCTTTTTTATGGCTGTATAGTATTCCATGGTGTATACGTGCCACATTTTATTTATCCAGTCTATCACTGATGGGCATTTGGGTTGGTTCCAAGTCTTTGTTATTGTGAATAGCGCTGCAATAAACACATGTGTGCATGTGTCTTTATAGTAGTATGATTTACAATCCTTTGAATAGATACCCAGTAATGGGATGGCTGCATCAAATGGTATTTCTGCTTCTAGATCCTTGAGGAATCGCCATACTGTCTTCCACAATGGTTGAACTAATTGACACTCCTATTAACAGTGTAAAAGCATTCCTATTTCTCCACATCCTCTCCAGCATCTGTTGTTTCCTGACTTTTTAATGATTGCCATTTTAACTGGCATGAGATGGTATGTCATTATGGTTTTGATTTGCATTTCTCAAATGACCAGTGATGATGAGCTTTTTTTCATGTTTGTTGGCTGCATAAATGTCTTCTTTTGAGAAGTGTCTGTTCATATCCTTTGTCCACTTTTTGATGGGGTTGTTTTTTTTCTTGTAAATTTGTTTAAGTTCCTTGCAGATTCTGGATAGTTGTTGGGAAAACTGGCTAGCCATATGCAGAAAACTGAAACTGGACCCCTTCCTTATACCTTATACAAAAATTAAGACAGATTAAAGACTTCAACATAAATACTAAAACCATAAAAACCCTAGAAGAAAACCTAGGCAATACCATTCAGGACATAGGCATTGACAAAGACTTCATGACTAAAACACCAAAAGCAATGCCAACAAAAGCCAAAATCGACAAATGGGATCTAATTAAACTAAAGAGCTTCTGCGCAGCAAAAGAAACTATTGTCAGAGCGAACAGGCAACCTACAGAATGGGAGAAAATTTTTGCAATCTATCCAACAAAGGGCTATTCCTTCTAAAATCTGTAGAAAACTAACATTTGTTGGAGACACAGGGATTCAATAGTGTTATGCTTATCTGTCCAAAACCCGTATATAGTAACAAAAAAAGCAAAAGGTAGTTCCAAGATGTTTACAGTGTTTATGGCAGAGCACATTTATGCACAAGAATTTAAAATTTAATATAATGATATGACTCAAAATGACTCAAATTGATACTAAAAGATGAAACAGTTATCCCAAAACATAGCTGCATTTTGCACATCAAATAAGGCAGCATGCAGAGGTTAAAGTACAGCAGATCTGCTCCCAAACCTAGTTAGTGGATATACAGAGACACATTCTGGCAGGGCTGAGGTTACTTGCCACCAGCCCCTTTATATTTATCTTTCAAGGTGAACTGGATCACAAAGAGATTTTATTGACCGTCTGTGAGTTTACCACTTTATCATAATGTTAAAATCAATAAAAACATGTTGTGTATAAGTCACCTCTCCGTTCTGAACCAATTAAGAAATATCAGATGGAATTATAAAGATAGCATCCACTTTACTGCTAGTGGAGCTGAATTATCACCTTGGGCTAGATACCAAAGCAGCTACCCTGCTACTTCACTTTCTGCGTGGGAATTTCCCAACTGGACAAGGGGCTGGAATGGAGTCCACCCCTTTGACACCTGCCCAAGGTGGAGGCGACAAGGAGGAAATGTGCAGCTTCACAGTAGCCTTGCATCATGCACTGACCTTCAACACATCCATTCCATCCCAAAGCGGGACCAGCTGGTGACACAAGCCCCCACTGGTGACAAGGAAGTAAAAGTAATACAGAGGGAGCCTAGAAAAGGCAATCTAATATTACTACCTGCAGGGGAATGGCAGTGATGGGGAAATCAAGTGCCCTCACAACACAGACATCCAAGCCCTACTATTCAGCAGTGAATGAAATGGTAGGCATATTTACAGCCTTAGTTTGAGAGCAAAGAAAAACAAACAGAAACGCTGGAATTGATTAAACATGCATTGAAGTCCCATCCTAGTTTTAAGTTAAAATAGCAACTTTTAATGATAAAATTCTCTCACTCTTATGACCTCTTTGTGAGAAAAAATTGTGAGAAATTTTAAATAACCTCTGCACTGCAAAAAACCACAGCAGTAATATCAAATATCATTGAACTAGTAAACATAAGATAGCAGTCTGAGGGGAATATGTGCCAGAATCCCCAAAACCGCAGAAAGTACCAAATCCTCTATATACACTAGGTTTTTTCCTACACACACATACCTATGATAAAGTGAAATTTATAGTTAGGCACAGTGGGAGATTAACAATAACTAATAATACAATAGGACAAGTATGATATACCAGCATCGCTACTCTTGTGCACTGGAGCCATTATTAAGTAAAATAAGGGTGATGTGAACACAAGCACTGCCATATCCCAACAGGGGACCCCATCACCAAGACAGTTCATAAGTGACTACAGGGTTGCAGGGAGCAGAGACAGCATGCATTCCCTGGAGAAAGGGGTAATTTACATCCTAGGTGGGAAGGAATGGGACAGCGAGATTTCAGCATACTACTCAGAATGTCACCTAAGTTAAAACTTATGAATTGCTTATTTGTGTAATTTTCTATTTAATAGTTTTAGACCACAGTTGACTGTGGATAACTGAAACCTGAAAATTGAGGATAAGAGGGGACTACTGTAATGTTTAACTCACGAAATTGATACCACAATCCCTTACCCAGATAGCCTGTACTATTCCCAGGTAAACACCATCATTAATTTTCAAAGGAAAATATAACCCAGACATCTTTTAAGTTACATATGAAAGAATGGAAATGTACCAGTGATGAGGTGATTCTTTCAAACAATTGTGAAAAAAATACATAAATAATCTAATCACAAATTGGTTTGCCCATGTAGAAAACAAAGAAGAATTCTGACCTCATATAGTAATCATGACTACATCCTTTCACTTAAGTGGATAACTTAAAAATAATTTTCCTATGGAATCACAAAACCTCTGTCCCTTCAGAAGCAAAGGTTTCTAAATTGTTCAATCATTCTGGTAGAAACCTTTGTTGTTCAGGGTTTCAAACTCTAAGTACAAGCTAGCTGTTAGACGATTATACGTAGTTCTTCAACTTCAAAACTACCTCCCTCTTCCTACAACCTCAATCTTTGCTTCCTAACCCCTAATTCACTATTGAATTTTTGTAAGAACACTGCTATTTATGGTTGCTTCTCTGAAAATACATAATTCAATTTGAAATATTCATACCCTGGGAAAGAAAACTGCTGCCCAAAGCATTTTACACATTTGGGATTAATGAATATAATGGACTGAATCTTTGTGCTTCTCTCCCACAACCAAATCCATATGTTGAAGCCCTAACTCCCAATGTAACAGTATTTAAAGCCAGGGGCCTTTGAGAGAAAATTATATTCAGATGAGGTCGTGAGGGTTGGGCCCTCATGATGGGATTTTACCGTCCGTATAGCAGGGGAAGAGATGTCACAACTCTGCCATGTGAGGGCACAGCAAGAAAGCAACTGTCTGCAAGCCATCAAGAACCCAACCCTGCTGGCAGTCTGATTTTGGACTTCCCGGCTTTCAGAACTGTGGGGAATAAATACTGCTGTTTATAAGTCACCCAGACTACGGTATTTTGTTATAGCAGCACCAGCAAACTAATAAAGTAATCTTGAATAGACTCAAGACTATACTAGGAAGATTCAATAACTCATGGAGTTTCCCCTCCATAAATCAAGACCAGAAAGTAATCAAGGTTATCAAGACCAAATGTTGGTTCACCAGCAAGTTTGCTTTTGCTTCCACACAATCTCACAAGGAATATCCTTGATAAGGAATAAAACAGATGAAATTGTGAAGAAAGTGTATAAATTCTCTAATTTTGTAACAGCTATAGCATGACTAAGTAACATTACTAAATGACTCCCATTTATAAGATCTTCAACCTGGTGCTATTCATACAAAGAAGTGGAAGACACGATCATTCCCTATCCATGGTCCCTTAGAATATGGGCAGAATCTGTAATGGTATGATTTCAGATAGATAGGTAGAAAAAGAGGAGAGGAGGGAGGAGGCAGGAGGGAGGAGGCGGGAGGCAGCAGGGAGGAGGTGGGAGGCAGGAGAGGGCAGGAAAGGCGGGGAGAGGGGAGAGTGGAAAGGGGAGAGGCGAGAGGGGAGGAGAAGAGAAGAGAGGAGAAGAGAAAAGAAAAGAGAAAAGAACGAAAAAGGAAAAAAGATTTTATATATAATCTTTCAACTTGGGTCAAAGGTGACTTGGGTCAAAACACAATTCACAGAGAAGAATTCCATCTAAGAGTCAGCAAGTCTAACATTTAATCATAGGGTTAAAATCAATATAATCATATTCGCAACAAATTGACTGTGTATGTATACACATGCACATATAATTAAAAAGCACATAAATATTTAAACAAAAGAGAAGGATTACTTTGCAAGGGAAATAAAGCTGGGAGAAATAGTCCAGTAGCCTGATCTGGGTAAAAGACTGCTTTTAAAACACACCACATTATTAAATGCTCTTAAAAGCATTTAATAATGATGTAGATTGAAAAGGTGTTCAAAGCTAGCATTGTTTAAGTTTATACATTAGGCGCTTTAATTGGCATTGAGTTATAAACAATTTCTAAATTTCGTTATCTCAATGTTAACTTTTAAAAGTAATTTTAAATTATTATTATAAATCAAACATGAAAGAAATAAGCCACATTTAACATCATGACATTTAGTCCAGCAAACTTGCTGAATTCCCTTGTTAATTATGACAGTTAAGACCTTAGAGTCCCTTGAAATTTGTAAGTAAATATTATCTGCACATAGTTTTAAGCTTTTCTTCTTGTTCCTGCCCATGCTTCTTATGTCTATTCTTATTTTATAGCAATGACTGAGGTTAAAGAAGTGCTGTTAGCAGATATTCTTTTATTTTTGTGTCAGAAATGGGATTATAAGCCTTAGATTTCAGTATTATTTAGCCTAAGAATGTTTTAATTCCTGGTTCACTAAGAGATACTAATTAAGTCTGATATTGAAATGTATCGTTTTTAAATGTGAAATATGCATATTTGTAATAACTGATTTTCATCTTTCTTTCATTTTACTCCATTGCCATTATTTTCCTAATTTCTTGAGATGAGTACTTAGTTCACTAATTAGCAGTTATTCTTTTCTAATAAATTTCCCTCTGTGTACTAAACTAGCTATATTCTTTGAGTTTTGCTATTTGCTGTTTTAATTGGCATCCAGTTATAAACAGTTTCTGAAATTCATTATGATGTCTCAAAGTTAACTTTTAAGAGTAAACTTCTTAGAATCATCATTATAAATCAAGCCTATAAGAAATAAGCATATGTAATTTTTAAAAGAACCATATTTTGAAATATAAGCACATAATTTTTAAGCTGTGTTACCAATATTTGAATACGCTTGAAGATTAACTCTGATATTTAAAGTATCTAATATTGAGAAGCTTTCATTTCATATTACTGCCTAATTCACAGCAAGAAAATCAAGGTTTGCAAAAAAAATTTCCCACCTTCAATAATGATAGTTGTCGACAGCACCATCACCATCATCATCATCATCATCATCATATTCTACCAAGAGGTATCATTTCTCTTTAAGACAAAATATAAGACTATCAAAATCTGAAGGACAAAAAGACTTTTCTTTCATTTGGGAAGAAGTGCTATAGAACAAAGAGAGGAAAAATACAATTTCAAATTATTAACATCAAGTTTCATTAAACTATATATAAATCCATCTAATATATAAAAATATTTAAGTACCAAAGAGCAGCATGCAAAATTCTGAGACTTTGTATATGGCAGAAACAAATAAATATATCTTGTGTATAAGAAAAGAAATGTAGAAGGCAATTATCTTCTACTCAAGCTTTCTTCTTTTGAAAGTGTGGTACAGAATAGCTTAACAATTTTGTACACACACACAGACACACAAAGGAACAGAAATTGTAAAAGCAATCAGAAACACTCAAAAATGTGATTATATCCTTTCTAGTTTTTCATTTTATATTTGAAAAACTATAGCGGTATATATTAACAAATGTGGTATACAATTTTATATATAAATAACTCCATTATAAATATTACACATTTTCTGGCTCTGATCCCTAAAGAATTTCTTCTACCTCTTCTTTACTCTCTCTCCTCACCAAGATGTGTTATTTCTTACAAAAGTTTGCTGGCTTGTCTCTGGGATGAGCTCCCAAGAGACAAGGTCAGGCCCAAGTAAGGTAGGGTTCACAGGAGCCCAAGAAACAATAGCATTTGTACCTTCAGTTTACTTCAAATCTTCAGGATAGATCAATACATAGAGAAAACAGATGCAAATGTTTGGCAGTGTTCTATACCCCAGATCTCAAACTGAATACAACTGCACCAGAAACCTGTTCTAAGGCTTGAACAGCTGGGAAAGTGACTAGATGTTATTTCCGGAATCCTGAGCTGAAGTTTGCAGTGTAAGATCCACTGACCGTGAAATTCGGTGTCTACACCTTTTCAGGTTATTATTTGCTAAGAGTCCTTGCTGCTTCATGCACGTTAGCAGTCACTCACTGTGGAGACTCACTCTAGTCCAGCCTCAAACCTTCCCACACCATATTTCCTGAGACACCAACAAAGAAAAAGCATCCAAAGAGAGAAGGAAGCATGTGGACATTGGGGCACCATCATTTGCAAGGTGGGGAAGGGAGATGGGGCCTCATGGGAGTTTCGCTGCTAGCCTGGATGTCTCAAATTAATAACATTTTTCATTTCTGTGTCTGCAATTGCACTGGAAGCTTTTACAGGGTTCTTCAAGGCCTCCTCGCTCTTTGATTGCCTCTGCCAGCTCCAGCCGCCCCACATGGCAGAGCTGCCTGCAGTGCAGCCTGTGGTTACCATGGAGACAGTACCCCACGGAAGAGAAAGGGTGAGGCAGATGCCAAGTGGCACCGCAGAACATGATTGCAGCACCACGGAGCCCCAAGTACTCGGGACAGATGTGTCTATGAAAGGAGAGGAAGGTGGAGGGATGACAGAGCAGCAGAGCTGTGGGGCAGACAGGCTACGGGAGACAGAGGGAGATACAGTTAAAATTGTCAAGTGTTTCTGGATATGATTCACTGTTTCTACCAAAATGAAATATAAAAATCAGAATTTCAAGTGTATTAAAAAATTAAATGTGTGTATATATATATATATACATATACACACACACACAAACATATACATACATACACATATGCCTGTGCATGGGCATATACAAAATACAAGAAAAGTTTGATTTGCCTTTTCTTAACATCTGGGAACAGCATTTATAGAAAGGTTAGTTTCCATGGAAATCTCAAAAACCAGCAAGATGGCTCTGGAGCATGCTACCATTTTATTTGAGCACATTATTGTAATAATATTTCCAATCACAATTCACATCCTATTCTGTACCATTGATAAGCTTTTGACATTCTTTTTCTCTTATACAAAAATCTCGTTTCTATTTTATGTACAAGAATTATGAAACAAGACTTTTTTACTAATAAAAACTATAGGTTCGCAAAGAGTAGCTCTCAAAATGAAAGTATATATATGCTATCCAATTCTCAAAGTACACAAATTCTCAAAAGTACACAAAATGCTTTTTCTATGATGTGGGTAGGGCTGTTCTCCAGTATTTCATTTCTTCATCCTCTGGGCATATGGAAGGACTGGACTTCCCTCTCCCTTCAGAGCTGGGCATGGTCACATGGCCCACTCGGCCTGACGAAATAGGGACATACGACTCAATTTTCCAGGTTATTTCCCTATCTCCATGGCTATGGAAGATTGTGCTGAGATGGAGGATCCACTGTCCTGGGTTCTGGAGTCACCACAACTGTCAAACTCTCCATTCAACTCTTGCCAATCCATGCCAAAAATGTACCAACTTTTACTCTTGTGGGCTGCTGAAACCGGGAATTATTTGTTAAAGCAACCTAACTTAATTCATCCTGATACACAACCCCCCTTATTCAATTATAAAATATTTTCATGAAGACATTATGCTCATGTGTAAGAGGGGCCCAGAAATTTATAACATATTCTCTTTTCAGGGTCTGCCAAGTTAGGAAATGATTACTATAAAAGGTAATATGTGAAATATTCCATAATAAACGGAAAACAAAAGTTCTGTAAGAGTTCACTTTGGGCAGAGGTTAAGACTAGAATGATTAACACAACAAAGTGCATTTAAGATGGTAATTTTAAAGAGTTAATAAGTCAAGAAGAAGGCCTTCTATCACAAGTCAGGTGTGGGGGTCTATGACATGGAATAAAGGCTCAACTACTACTACAACCACTACTACTGCTACTAGTACTACTACTACTACCACTACTACTACTACCACCACCACTACTACTACCACTACTACTGCTACTAGTACTACTACTACTACCACTACTCCTACTATCAGCACTACTACTACCACTACTACTGCTACTAGTACTACTACTACTACCACTACTACTATCACCACTACTACTACTCTACCACTACTACTGCTACTAGTACTACCACTACTACCACTACTACTACCACCACTACTACTACCACTACTACTGCTACTAGTACTACTACTACTACCACTACTACTATCACCACTACTACTACTCTACCACTACTACTGCTACTAGTACTACCACTACTACCACTACTACTACCACCACTACTACTACCACTACTACTGCTACTAGTACTACTACTACTACCATTACTACTACTACCACCACTACTACTACCACTACTACTGCTACTAATACTACTACTACTACCACTACTACTACTACCACTACCACTACTACTGCTACTAGTACTACTACCACCACTACTACTACCACTACTACTGCTACTAGTACTACTACTACTACCACTACTACTACTACTATTATCATTATTATTAAAGGGAATGAATTGTAGATGCCCTTGTGCCCAAGAAACTCTGCATGGATAAATTAACTTGATTTTTTCATTTAATTTTTAATTGCCACCTAAGAATTATACATATTTATGGCATACACGTGCTATTTCAATACATGTATACAATGTGTAGTGATCAAATTAGAGTAACTGGCATGTCCATCACTTCAAACATTTATTACTTCTTTGTGTTGTGAACATTCAAAATCCTCTCATCTAGCTATTATTGCTAACTATAGTCACCCTACTGTGTTACAGAACACTAGAACTTATCCCTCATAGCTAAATGTAATGTTGTACTCATTAACCAACTTCTCAGTATCCCTCCCTCCCCACTATCCTTCTCATCCTCTGGTAACCACTATTCTACTCTCTACTTCCATGAGATGAAATTTTTTAGCTCCCACATATGAGTAAGAACATGCGGTGTTTGTATTTCTATGCCTGGCTTATTTCATTTAACATAATGTCCTCTAGGCTTTTCCACCTTGCTGCAAAACACAAGATTTCATTCTTTTTTTATTTATTCATTCATCCATCAATAGACATTTAGGCTGATATCATATATTGTTTATTGTGAATAGTGCTGCAATAAACATGAGAACATAGATACCTCTTGAACATACTGATTTCCTTTCCTTTGTATAGATACTCAAAAGATTGCTGGACCATATGGTATTTTTATCTGTAGTTTTTTGAAGAACTGCCCTACTTTCATAATGGCTGTACTAATTTACATTTCCACCGACAGTGTAAAAGAGTTTCATTGTCTCCACATTCTTGCCAGCATTTGTTATATTTTTTCTTTTTGATTATATCCATTTTAACTGGGTTGAAACGATAACTCATTGTGGTTTCAACTTGAATTTCCCTGATGATTAGAGCTGTAGATCATTTTTTCATGTACCTGTTAGATATCTCTATGTCTTTTTGATTATTTGCCCATTTTTACTTGGATTATTATTATTATCATTATAACTGCTGTTGAGATTCTTATATATTCTGGATATTTACTCCTTGCCAGATGGATAGTTTGCAAATATTTTCTTCCATTCTGTATACTGTCTCTTCACTCTATTGATTGTTTCCTTTACTATACAGAAGTTTCTTAGTTTAATATTGATATGATCCCATTTATGTATTTTTGCTTTTATTTCCTATGCTTTTGAAATCCTATCCAAAAAATCTTTGCCCAGACCAAAATCATACAGCATTTCACCAATGTTTTCTTTTAGTAGTTTCTTAGCTTCAGGTATTACAGTTAAGTCTTTAATCAGTTTTTGAGTTGATTCTTCTATATGCTGAGAGACAGGGTTCTAGTTTTATTCTTCTGCAGAATAAAGGATAATAAATAATAAGGGTCTAGTTTATACCGAAGAATCTCTCTCAACATATACAAATATATATATATAGTTTTCCCAGCAGCATTTATTAAAAAGCATGTATTAAAAAGATTGTCTTTTCCCCCACTGTGTGTATTCTTGGAACCTTTGTCAAAAATCGGTTAACCAGAAGTACATGGATTTATTTTGGTGTTCTGTTTCATTGGCCTATGTGTCTGTTTTTATAACAGTACTATAGCTTACTACAGTACTGGTTACTATAGATTTATAGTATATTTTAGAGTCAGGTAGTGTGATGCCTCCAGCTCTGTTCTTCTTGCTCAGGATTGCTTTGGCTACTTAGAGTCTTTTGTGGTTCCATAAAAATGATATAATTGTTGTTTCTATTTCTGTGAAGAATGTTATTGGCATTTTCAGCATGATTGAATTGAATCTATAGATTTCTTTAGTAGTATGGACATATTAATTTTAACATATTAATTATTCCAATCCATGAACATGGGATATTTTTCTATTTTTGTGTCCTCTTCAGTTTCTTTCATCAATATTTTATAGTTTTAATTGCTGAACTATTTCACCTGCTTTGTCAAATGTATTCCTAAGATTGGGGGGTTTGGTAGCTATTGCAAATGGGATTACTTTCTTCATTTCTTTTTCTGACTGCTCACTGTTGGGCATATAAAAATGCTACGATTTTTTTATTGGTCATTTTGTATCTTGAAACTTTACTGCATTTATCACTTATTTTATTATACTTCAAGTTCTGGGATACATGTGCAGAATGTGCAGGTTAGTTACATAGGTATACACGTGACATGGTGGTTTGCTGCACTCATCAACCTGTCACCTACATTAGGTATTTCTCCTAATGCTATCCCTCCCCTACCGCCCCACACCCTGACAGGCCTCAGCATGTAATGTTCCTCTCCTTGTGTCCACGTGTTCTCCTTATTCAGCTCTCACCTATGAATGAGAACATGTGGTGTTTGGTTTTCTGTTTCTGTGTCAGTTTGCTGAGAATGATGGTTTCCAGTTTCATCCATGTCCCTGCAAAGGACATGAACTCATCTTTTTTATGGCTGCATAGTATTCCACGGTGTATATGTGCCATATTTTATTTATCCAGTCTATCACTGATGGGCATTTGGGTTGGTTCCAAGTCTTTGCTGTTGCAAACAGTGCTGCAATAAACATACGTGTGCAAGTGTCTTTATAGTAGAATGATTTACAATCCTTCGGTTATATACCCAGTAATGGGATTGCTGGATCAAATGGTATTTCTGGTTCTAGATCCTTGAGGAATCGCCACACTGTCTTCCACAATGGTTGAACTAATTTACACTCCCAACAACAGTGTAAAAGCATTCCTATTTCTCCACATCCTCTCCAGCATCTGTTGTTTCCTGACTTTTTAATGATCGCCATGCTAACTGGCATGAGATGGTATCTCATTGTGGTTTTGATTTGCTTTTATCTAATGAACAGTGATGTTGAGCTTTTTTCATATGTTTGTTGGCCACATAAATGTCTTCTTTTGAGAAGTGTCTGTTCATATCCTTCACACACTTTTTGATGGGGTTGTTTTTTTCTTGTACATTTGTTTAAGTTCCCTGTAGATTCTGGATATTAGCCCTTTGTCAGATGGGTAGATTGCAAAAATTTTCTCCCATTCTGTAGGATGCCTGTTCACTCTGATGATCGTTTCTTTTGTTGTACAGAAGCTCTTTAGTTTAATTAGATCCCATTTGTCAATTTTGGCTTTTGTTGGCATTGCTTTTGGTGTTTTAGTCATGAAGTCTTTGCCCATGCCTATCTCCTCAATGGTATTGCCTAGGTTTTCTTCTAGGGTTTTTATGGTTTTAGGTCCTACGTTTCAGTCTTTAATCCATCTTGAGTTAATTTTTGTATGAGGTACAAGGAAGGGGTCCAGTTTCAGTTTCCTACATATGGCTGGCCAGTTTTCCCAACACCATTTATTAAATAGGGAATCCTTTCCCCTTTGCTTGTTTTTGTCAGGTTTGTCGAAGATCAGATGGTTGTAGATTTGTGGCGTTATTTCTGAGGCCACTGTTCTGTTCCATTGCTCTATATATCTGTTTTGGTACCTTTTTGGTGGTGTCTTTAAATTTTTCTAAATGTAAGATCATGTCATCTGCCAACAGTGGATAATACGACTTCCTCCTTTCCAATTTGGATGCACTTTATTTTTTTCTCTTGTCTATTCACTCTGGGTAGAAGTATCAGTACTATCTTGAAAAAAAGTAGAAAAAGTGGGTATCCTTCTCTTACTCCAGATATTAAATAAAGCCTTTTAACTTTAACCCATTCACTATGATGTTAGCTGTGGGTTTGTCACATACTGCCTTTATTGTTTTGAGGCACGTTCCTTCTATAACTAATTTGTTGAAAGTTTTTTATCATGAAGTATGTTGAGTTTTATCAAAATGTTTTTCTTCATCTATTGAGATAATCATATAGTGTTTTGTCCATTCCGTTGATGTGATGTACCATAATTAATGATTTGCATATGTTAACCCATCTTTGCATTTTGGGATAAATCTCACTTGATCATGGCGTATAAAAGCACTTTTGGATGTGCTTCTGAATTCAGTATGCTAGTATTCTGTTGAGGATTTTTACATCTATGTTCATCAGAGATAATGGCCTGTAGTTTTACTTTTTGTTGCTGTTTCCTTGTCTGGTTTTGGTATCCAAGTAATGCTGACTTCATAGAATGAGATTGGAAAAATTCCTTCCCCTTCAATTTTTTGGACTAGCTTAAAAAGAATTGATATTTGTTTTTTAAAAGTTTGAATTCAGCCATGAAGTCATCCAATCCTGAACTCTTCTGTTTTGGGAGACTTTCTATTACTGATTTAATCTCATTATTTGTTATTGGTCTGTTCACGTTTTCCATGCAAATAGAAACCACAAAAGAGCAGAAGTAGCTACATTTATATCAAAGAGAATACACTTTGAGTCAAAAACTATAAAAAAGAGACTAACAAGATCCTTATATAATGATCTTTGGGTCCATTCAGCAAGAGGATATAATAACTGTAAATATATATGCACTCAACACCAAAGTGCCCACTTATATAAAGCAAATATTAATAGATCTAAAAGGAGATATAGGCTGCAGTATAATTCAACAGTCTACTTTCAGCAACGGACAGACAGAAATTCAACAAACAAACACTGGAGTTAAACTACCCTCTGAACCAAACAGACCTAACTGACATTTATTGAACATTTCATCCAACAGCTTCAGAATACACATTTTTTTTCATCAGCACATGGAACATTCTTCAGAACAGACCGTATGTTAGGCCACAAAGCAGGTATCAACAAATTTTTAAAAATAAAATCATATCAAGTACATTTTCTGACCACAATGGAATAAAGCTAGAAATCAATAAAAGAGGAACTTTGAAAACTACAAATATCATGGAAATTAAGCAACACGGTTCTGAACAACCAACGGGTCGATACAGATTTTAAGAAGAAAATTTTAAAATTTATTGAAACAAATAAAAATGGAAACACAACACAACATACCAAAACCTATGGAATACAAAAAAGCAGTACAGAGAGGAAGTTTACAGCAATAAATGCCTACATCAAAAAAGTAGAAAGATTTCAAATAACCTAAAAATGCACCTCAAGGAACCAGAAAAGCAGGAATAAACCAACCCAAAATTAGTAGCAGAAAAAAATGTCGGAGCAGAAATAAATGAAACTGAGACAAAAATATAAAATATCAATGAAACAAAAAGTTGAGTTATTTTCAAAAGATAAATAAAATGACAAATATTTTGCTAGACTAAACAAGATAAAAAGAGAGAAGAACCAAATAGTACTTTGTTTATCTGGTTATTTAATAACCAAATAAAACCAGAAATGAAAAAGGAGACATTACAACTGATACCACAGAAATACAAAGGGTCATTCAAGACTACTATGAATAACTGTATGCCAAAAAAATTGGAAAACGTAAAAGAAATAAATTCCTAGATGCATTTAATCTACCAAGATTGAACCATGAAGAAATCAAGTTCAATTTGGTTTTCTGAAAAACAACAAATAATTGTTTAGTATAAGTGTGTCCCATGCAATATTTGGAACATACTTAGACTGAAAAAAAAAGTATGGTTTATATAAAATTCAAAGTAAAGTAGGCATCTTGTATTTACATTTGCTAAATCTAGCAACCCTAACTATGTGTACTTTCTAAGAATTACACGGGTTGTGTAAAAGGGCTGGTGAGGGGGCATTAAAAGTTTATCTTCAGATTATCAGTAAGATGATTCATAAAATAAAGAGTAATTACACATTTTTGGCCTTGTAAATGGAAAGAAGATAGCATTCCCACTCATTTGTTAAAATAATTTCCAAACATGATGAAAATGCTCTTTGCTTCTATAAAAAGCCATTCTCTAAACAAAATACCTGAGCAATTTTACAAATTTCAAGTTATGTTTCTTTTGATTCCAAGCCACTATCAAATAAGATGTTTTCTATCCTACTGCTTTTTTTTTTTTTTTTTTTTTTTTTTGAGACAGAGTCTCGCTCTGTCACCCAGGCTGGAGTGCGGTGGCGCGATCTCGGCTCACTGCAAGCTCTGCCTCCCGGGTTCACTCCATTCTTCTGCCTCAGCCTCCCCGGCAGCTGGGACTACAGGCGCATACCGCCACGCCCAGCTAATTTTTTGTATTTTTAGAAGAGATGGGGTTTAACCATGTTAGCCAGAATGGTCTTGATCTTCTGACCTTGTGATCCGCCCGCCTCAGCCTCCCAAAGTGCTGGGATTACAGGCAGGAGCCACCACATCCGGCCTATTCTACTGCTTTTTAAAAATAATTTTGAGTACTTATTCTCCTTCCCCTCACCTTTGCCAAAAATCCATGACATAACTGATAAAAATATTTTAGGCTGATTTGCTATTTAATTAGAAATCAATTTGAATAATAATTCTAAAATATTAGGACATAGTCTAACCCCACTAAAATCAAACAAAAACATCGTTCCCTTTACAGAGATCTTTAAAAACTTTGAGCAAGCAAAAAAAAAAACTTCTAGTGTTAAAAATTAGGTTGTAAAAAATAAATAAATTTTATCTTTTAGGACCTAATTTCTCCTATTATAAGCATCTTAGATTAGTATGGCACATTTGTTATAATTAATGACCAGTATTGATACATTATTATTAACTAAAGTTCATACTTAATTCAGATTTATGTAATTTTCCCTAAAGTTCTTTTACTATTCCAGGGCCCCATCCAAAATGCCACACCACATTTAGTCCTCATGTCTCCTTGGACTCCTCTTGGTTCTTAGTTTCTCAGACTTTCCTTGTTTTTGATGCCTTTGACAGTTCTGAGGCATACTGGTCAGGCATTCTGCAGAATAAATGTCTTCCACATGATTAGACTGAGGTTATGGGCTTTGGGGAAGAAGCCACAAAAGTAAAGTACTATTTTCAACACATTGTATCAAGCTATATATAAAGTAGATTTTTTTAATTGACACTTTTTATGAATTGCTTACTCATATCCTTGGATGCTAAATTATATTTTAATGCTTTCAACCTGGTATTACCAGCATATTCAATCTGAAGTAAACATTTGGACAAGACTTGAGGGCTTCAATTTTATAAATGAATGGCATTCTTAAATTAATTCTAACCTCATTTAGAATAATCATATGACATTTCAAAGTGCAAAAACAAAATGTTGTTGAAACTTAGAAAATGGAATATTGTAAACATTAGAACATTACATCTGTCCTTTAATTAAGCCTAGTGTAGCTTAAAGGCCAAAGTTACAACCTTACGACTAGGCTAAAAGACCCAGGAAAGGTAGAATGGTTGACGAAGATAAGAGTATTTCCCTGTGGCAGAGAGTGACTGCGTGCACCCCATTCCCCAGGGCCAACGTACTAGCCTGTGGGCTCAGGGACTTAAGCTAATTCTTTCCAGCCTTGCCAACCTTAATCCAATCAATGGTTTCCCCCATGACCTAAGAGTTGGCACATCTCCCTTAGTATTTGAAAACACAAGAGAATTCCAATCTCTTATTTGTCAAGCCACCAAATGAAGAATTTCAGGGGGAAGAAAGGAATACATGTTATTTTTCACTTATTAATCAGCTCCTCCATTGAGGAGAGTGAAAATAATTAGAATAGTTATTTTTATAGATCAAACATGGTTACCTGTTAGAAATTTCACATGATCCTCCTACCTACTACTTGCAACACAGCAATGTCGGCCTGGTTGTGTATTTTTCAAGTTCTCAGAATGACTCTTTTTTTTTTTTTTTTTAGATGGAATCTCACTCTGTCACCCAGGCTGGAGTGAGGTGGCACAATCTCAGCTCACTGCAACCTCCGCCTCCCAGTCCCAGTTCAAGCAATTCTCCTGCCTCAATCTCCTGAGTAACTGGGATTACAGGCACGTACCACCATGCCCAGCTAATTTTTCTATTTTTAGTAGAGACAGGGTTTCACCATGTTGGCCAGGCTGGTCCTGAACTCCTGATCTCATGATCTGTCCACCTCAGCTTCTCAAAGTGCTGTGATTATAGATGTGAGTCACCACGCCCAGCCCCTAGAATGACTCTTAAATAGAAACCTTTTCACGGCATGTACCAACCTTGGTAAATAATCAGATGAAGGCCCCTTTTCCTTCTTTCTGTAAGACTCAAAGCCAAAAGCTGGAGTAACTAGACAGCATGCAGAATGTCAACCATGCAGCTGAAGATAGGGAGAAGGGGCCAGAATGCCACCTTCCACTGAGCTCTGAGATTATCTACACCCAGACACACCACAGGTAACACATTTTCAGTTACAAACCTTCAAATGTCTCTCTAAGACTAAACTGAGTTAATGATTTTAAGATACAATTTAGAGCAGATTCAAACACTAAAGATGCACAACTATGTAGCCAATTCAATGCTCCAAGAGAGAAACAACTCATTCTAAATTAGTGTTTGAGTGGGTAGCCACAATTAAACACCAAAGGGCAACTACCTTAAAATACTCGTTAGGCCAAAGGAACCTCCCCAGTCTAATGACACATTTGATAACTTCAAGCATTTCTGTGTGCAGGTTTATATTTCAAAGACATAATTCACTAAAGGCACAGCTAATTTAAATAAGCAGGGGATTTCATGATAGTGGAGTCCAAACAGGAAATATTAAAGTTTATAAAAGCAATACTTCATTTTATATTAATATAAATTCTCAGATACAGACATTTCTTATATGAGATGAAATAAAAGTAAACACAGAATTACTAAAATATCACTCTTGAAGTCACAAGAATTCACTTCTAACATTTTATTACATTGCAACTTTTAAAACTCCATATCCCAAACACATTAAACTTTCTTCTTTATAAAGGACATCACAATGTTTTCAACCTTTATCACTCAAGGTCTTATGCCAAAATTAGCATCTGAATATTTTATAGTCTTTTAAAATATTCTACTTTTCTTTTAGTTGACAATATTCCAAGTCATAGACAGTACCTTCAATTTAAAGATAATGAAAAATATAAATTCACTTTGAGAAAATAAATCTACTTTCATAATTATATATGTTGTGTACTTCCAATTTTGCCATTATTCATCTATACTTTCTCATTATAATATCTTGAAAAAGTAGCCTGAAAATTCCCATCAGAATCAACTTTTTCCTGCAGTTCACAGTCCACTACTTTTTCTGAGATGCTGATTACTGGTCCCTGAAAACTTAAACTTGGTACAGTTCTATTTCTTGGTTCTATATTGGTTCATATTAAATCATGAACCAAAAGTATAGTCTCATATATTTAACATATCCTCCTGCCACAAAAACCTGTCACAGCTGTATTTATCATGAGATAACCTGCCTTTGAAAGACAACCTGCTCTCTCTGAGGATGCCAGGACATCCATGGCAGCTGACCAGAGAGGCAAAAAGCACTATATTACACCTGTACATGGAAAGGCAGGCAGCTCTTACAAACTCATCTTCATATTGATCTCTCACATCCCTTCAGATAGACTATCCGTCTTCTGTCTTGTCTTCTCATTTCAACATCTATCTATGATATGACTTGATGAATTAAAATTTTATCCTTCATAAGGCAGCTACTTAGATGCCAGGTATGCATTAATGCTTGTCAGTTCCTATGTGTACTATATCAGTAAATGATCAATTTTAAAGTCATTTTAATGATCAACCTTCGAGGAGGTTGCAGTCTAATGGAAGGAGACATGGAAACAAACCTGTAAACCAACAAATAAATGAGATGATTTCTATCACTCATATGTTATGAAAAAGATAAAACAGGGTAACTGTTAGGACAGAAACACTTGCTTTCGCAGGATGATCAGCAGAGACAGGCGGCCAAAGTGGCTAGAGCCTAATAAACCCAGGGACAGAGAGGGGAGATAAGATAAAATAGAAAGAAACTGGACCTTTTGCTGGTTGTCACCACTAGGGTTATAAGCTAAGGCAAGATGTGGGTGAACTAGAAGGAGCCCTAGGACGGCTGTAGGAATGATGAGCTCACAGTGGGTTGGCCAGCCAGGAGCCTGCTGCAGAAACCCTGGTGAGCAATGAGACAGCTGGATCAGCCTCTTAACACTGAAGGTGACAAGAAGTGGGAGGTTCAACCAAGATGAAAAGCATCCATGCAATTTTGAAAAATACACTTAAAAAGGAACTCTGGAATGCCATATGTTAATAAATACAGACATGTGGGTCTAGGTACTCTATATACCATATTGTTCTATGTATCACATTCTGAATTTTATAAATCAAAGCAAAACATTTAAACTGAGCTGAATAATCACTTATTAATAAAATAGCTCAAAGAGCTTCATATTATCCATCAGGAATTATCATTCATTTAGGGAGTAATTCAATACCAAAGTTCCAAAATCTGCCACCAGAGATTGGCCTTCCTTGACACTGGGTAACTTGCTGGTTTCATCCTGTGGTCTCTGTTATAGATTGAATGTTTGCGTCTTCTCCTCACCCACCAACAAAGTAATATGATGAAGTCCTAGCCCCCGATGTGATGGCATTTGGAAATGGGACCCCCGGAAGGTAATTAGTGTTAGATTAGGTGATGGGGATGGGGCCCTCAAGAAGGGATCAGCAGCTTTCTAAGAAGACAGATGAGAGATCTACAAAAGGCCATGTGAGGAAAGAGCAGGAAGGCGGCCATCTGCAAGTCAGGAGGAGAGCCCTCACCTGGAATCAAATCTGCCAGCATCTTCATTTTAGACATTCCAGCCTCTAAAACTGTGAGAAATAAACGTTGTTTAAGCCACACAATTTAGGGCAGCCTGAGCCAACTATGACAGTCTTGGAAAAAATTTGGTGGAATCCTTCCAAAGCCAGGATGCACTATCACTTGACATTGGACAAGTTTTTCTGAACTTCTGAGATGACAGGGAATATAGTATGTTATTAAATTTGGAAATATTTATGCCCTTAGGAAATATTTATGCCCTTCAGTGTGGTACTCAATTATCCACTCAGTGCTACAGCACAGTCTGTGAATCTGTTGTCAAAACGTCCTACCATCTTCTCTTGGTGATTCATGAACAGCTTCACAAATTCTTCTGACATCATAATATTCTCTATAACATCACACATCTGCACATCACAAAACCTGACACCTTACATTGTGTCTATATTTTTAAGCCCAGAATGCACATGCAGCTTAGCTTGTCGATGATGGTGAACTTTTCCACATGCAGCTTAGCTTGTTGATGATGGTGAACTTTTCCACATGCCAATGATTTCATGCAAAGAGTACATATAGCACCAGTGCTGATACTGGGATGAATAGCCTACCTTATTTGTCTTCTCGATGCCTTCTAATCAATGTACGAACAGTCCTACATTTCTCCAAATGACCATAAATATCTATCTTCAAAGCTATGCTGACAGTAAACATGAAAGTAACAATGCTCTACTAATATGAAAACCATTCAGCAGACAAACTGAAATTACTTCTGTAGTAGAACTAACTATTTAACATAAGTCCTGGGTACACATATTGAAAATTAATAAGCTATAGCAAAGAAGAAATATTTTCCCTCATAATCCACAAAGCAATTTGCTCTAAAGAATAAAAAGAAAAAGGAAAGGCAATGGACAGTTGTGTAAGCATCAAAGATCTTGAGAGAAACTGCCAAAAAAAAGACAAAATCTCTTCGGAGTTAGACAGCACCTTCTTTGGGCCAGAGCTAAAAAAAAAAACCTCACATAGCCACCAAATCCCAGCCCACCACATCTCAATTAGCTAAAATGATAAATAACTGTAAGGAACAGCATGTATATTTAAAATCAGATGAATATCACCTAAGGATATTCCAAGAATCAGTGAACACGACGAAATCTACTACTGGTCCAAAAATCTGTTACATTGCTTTCAAAATTCTTATCCTCCCTTTCAAGAGATAAAATATGAGAAAGCACTTGTAAAGACTAACATGCTATAAAATTCTACGGAATAACTTTGCTTATATTTCCTCCCACACTCTGTTCAACTTAAGACAGCACTTTACCCAGCCCTGTCACCAGCTCTCCCACTTGCGGCTCTGCACCGCCTGCCATTCTGTAGGTCTAACTGCACTACTGTAAAATGCATGATTTATCAGGCCACAAGGAAGCCATATAAACTCATATTATTACTCTGTAAACATACAGTATTTATGTTTACTACTGAAAGATCTTAAATCCTAGTAGCAATTAATGCATTTTAAGAGAATCGGCACATGGAGAAAGGGAAGGATTTCAGAGATGTGATGGAATTAAGGCTGCACAGCCATCTCAGTTGGAAATCCATGTTTGAAAAGGATAGAAATAGCTACCCTTCAACTAGAAAAATAAATGACTAAACCATTCAGAGGGGGACAGATTATCTAGCGCTGGAGGTATATACATCCAGAGCTTGCTGCTAACTACTAGTTATAACTTCTTGCCTCATTTAAAATTAAATTTGTCCAGTTTGTTGAATGAATGCATAAATCAATAAACAGTGGACTCGCCCATTATAATAGTTCTGTTTCTAAAACTAGTTTAAGCTACCTTGCACCTTTCCACTTCTTGAAATTCCTGCATTTACCAGGTATTACCAAACTCCCAGCTCCTAGCTCATGAAAACATCCTCAGCTTCCACATCCATCGCCTATATTTGCAAAGGAAGAAGGATGCTTTCTGAACGTTAATTTCCTCCAGCCATCATCTTGGCTCTATCCTCTCACACTCCGCTTCTGTCCTAGGTCCACAGGCTAAGTACAAGCTAAGTACACCCCATGGATCCCCTCAACTGCTGCAACAGGAAATATGGTGTCACTATACAATTTATCACACAACCCATGCTAAACTGCTGAAAGAAGACTTTTGATTTATAAGATCATATCTGAAATTGCTATAGGCAGTCAGCAAAACGAAGATTAGCATCCCCTCTCAAGTACCTAAAACTTTGTAACTCACTAAGTAACATACTCATTGAGGAATGTTTAACTTGACTTCTTTACTTCCTTCAAAAGTTTTGGGAATCGAGAATAAATTAGATTTCTGTAACTTACACATGATTTCTTCCTATTGGCAGACTACAGTTAGAGCGATAAGAATTCTGTGCAATTTGTTCAAAGTATTTAAGGAAATATCTCAAAAAATGGAAGCCAACTATGGTTCACACTTCTAAAACTGTTCTGATAAAGCCTCACAGGTGCCAGACGCGGCAGCCCACCAAGAGAGAAAATAATATTCTGGAGACATTTCTACAGACTTCACTCTTGAAGGACAATAGGGCTTCATTCCACTCCCATCTTTAAGCAGCAAATATCTGCACCACAAGGAAAAAATACAAGAAACTTTTTGGGCCAATTTTGTATAACTTACAATATTTGAAGTGGTATGAAGAAACAACAAGAATTACTTCTACGGATGGATAAAGGAGAATTCTTCCTTTAGGCAATAGCCAATAGCATGAAATGTAGCAATATCTTTACAACCACTATGGAAGTGGGCATTTTATAAACACATTAGTAACAAAATTCAGAGATTTAGTTTTATAGGCAAGAAAATCTTTTGACTCTAACTCTTACCCCCCACCATTACTGTATTTTTGAAGTGCATCAAAAGTTCCAGAGAATATATTTTATACTTAAATGTTTATTATGATTAAGCTTCCCAAAGCATTTTCACCTAAATTATCACAGCACATTCAACAAAGCCCTGTGAGTTTTTATCCCAAGGAACAAATGACAAAATAGGCAAAGATGCAAAGTCACAAGAGAAGGCAAGTGCCAAGCACGATTTAGATCCCAGAACTTGGCATCCTAAGGCAGTGGTCCCTCCAGGGTGCTGCAGTGTCTGTACCCAAAACCAACCCAAAGCAAGCAAAGAAACCTTGGTTCAGAAACCATTTTTGCCCCAAATGATGAACTAAGTGTTTGTTACATGCCTACTACTATCCTATGATTTGTGGATCAATTATTTTAAAAGATAGATTACCAGTATGGGGTGGGGCTGGGGAGAAGCATGGTCCTATGTGACCAGAGAGAAGGAGTGTGTGCCTGAGAGCAGGGGGAGAAGGTAGAAAATCATGTGTTTGCCTAAAAACAGTGTCCTGGCTCTTCCCAACGAACTTGAACTTGAGAAATGAGACATCCCTGAAGAACACACAGTCAAGTGCCAGAACCACACACAAAGCACTGCACCTGTGAGCCCCGGACTGCCACAAACACCTTGCCTTTTCACACAGTGATCCTGGAGTCTGTGCAGGTGCGTTTATGCTTCATGTGGGAAAAGCAAACGCCAGAATTACAGAAAAGCATCTGGCATCTGTATTATTTCGCAGTAGAAACAGCTAATGTGTGTTGTAATAGTGAATATACCACATACTCTGCTATGTATTTTAAGTCCATGGTCTCTTAATTCACCGTCGCAACAACCTGAAGACACAGGAATTATTGTTTCCCCTGTGTTATGACACTTAGTAGTAAAATAACCGTTCACTTAGAAAATGATGAAGTTGGGATATGAACTCAGTCAGTTGGGGTACAACTTTGAAGCTATTTTCTCAACCATTTGCTCCACTGCTGTATTTACTACTGGGACACACGAAATCAGCAAGCAGTAAAATGTTTCCTTAAAGAAGAACTCCTGTAGGACAAGTGAGTAAGTTTAACTTCAAGCTTTAGAATTATGCTCCCAAAATAGGAACCAATAAAATGATATATAAACTGTTAAGACATGACAGAGTGACATAATTACTATAGACAAACAATATAAATCAATTTTAAAAAAGGAAAATAGATAAATTGAGAAATGTGTATAAGATATAAAAAGATAATTCACAAAAAAATTAGACGTAGACACCAACAAATTAGAAAATATTTAACCTCAGGAATATTAATAGAGAAGCAAATGAATTAGAGAAAAACACAATATTTCTCCTATGTAATTAGAAGTTTTATTTTTCTCATTACAACACCCAGTGTTGTTGAAATCATGGGAAAATTTGTACACTCCTGCCTTGCTGAGAGAAATATAAATTATATAATCTTCCTGGAAGACAAATGAACAACATATATCAACAACCTTGAAAACATCCAGTTCTAGGAAGTAATCTAGAGTAAATAACCTGATGACAACTATTTAGTTATTAGGATCTTAATTACAGCATTAAATATAACTACCAAAAATGAAAATGTCATCAATCTCCAATAACAGAGTGATGTAAGTAAATAATGTTATATAAAGGTATGGAAAACAGACACTAAAAATAAATACTAATTACATGAGATGTTAATAGGTAACTAAACAGAATATGAGCAATGTTTTCTAAATTTAAAAATGTGTATCGCTTGATATCTCTGCTAAAAATATGGTCATTTCTGGGGCTTGCAACCATGCATGAATTTTAACTTCTTTTAATCATTTCTGTATTTTTGAATTTTCAATGAGCATGCACTACTTTTGAAAACAAACAAATCTCAAATTTAAAGGCGAGAAAATGTAAGTATGGCTGATCAAAATCTGTGTAATCTACATTCCATGATGAATGACCTTTGTTAACTTTAAGTCATGCATTCAGCTAATTAATGAACTTCACCCCAAAATAAATATATACTATTCTTTTCAAGAATGGAAAGGCATGCTTTTCTTCTGCATAATGTAATATATATATTAAACTATGATATATTTAGTGGAAAAGTAATATATAAAGAACAAAACTCTTGAAACCCTGACATAAACACTGTGTTCTCAGTGTTCTCACATTTGGGAGTGGGTATGTGTGCTGGGTATCACATTCAATATAGTTATTTGCCTTGATTATCTTCTTAGCTTTAGTATTATGAATAGTTCTCATATAATTAGCTACTCTGAAACTATAATTCATAATTGCATATTTCTTTGGCTAGAGGTGCCATAATATATCTATGCACCTGCTATGAATTTAACATTACTCTTTTTCAACCTGAGTTAAGCAACACAAATAATCTGATCCAGATGCTACAAGCCCCAGCCTTCCTGCATCAACCTTCCATGTCCTGGGTTAATGAGACAATTTGTACTATCTCTGAGACTTTTTATATAACACCTGTCTGTCTTTCTGGAGGATTCTTCTTCCTTATTTGGTTTCCCCATGACCCCAAGAACAATGCTCCACACCAGTGAAGACTGTGTTAGAGATGAGAGATTGAACTGTGGCTCTTTTACATTTGGAGCTACCAAAGAGGTTGCTCTTTCTGGAAATTACATTATTGTATACTGTTGAAGGTAATGACTGCTATATTAGTCTAATATTTGAAAGTCCAAATAAAATATGTGACAGAGGATAAAATTTGTTTTAAAAAGTGAGCATTTTTAGATTGAGTAGTCATGCTTAGACTTAAATACAACATCGTATCTATTTAGAAAAGCAATGTTTATCTTCTTTCTTTACTGTGTCCATGATTTCTCCTATTAATTGCAAAACATCAAACAGCCACCAAAATCTAATTATTTATACTGAGGCAGAAAAAGCTGTGGAAAATAGCTAGCCTAGATCACTTATATATGGTTTGGGAAGTCAGATTTTAACATCATCTTTTTTATGTCTAATTCTCACCACTTACAAAGCGATCCAATTATTGGCAGTTAAAGAATAACATGAAAAATAGGGGAAGAACGCCAAGGGTAAGTTATTTTAAAGTTGGCTATACATAAATCTGCTGAATTTCATGGACCATAGTTGCTACAAATCAACCAGGGCATTAGACGCTACCTTGATAACTCTTGATGTAGTGTCAAAATACCATGAAATATTTAAAGAGCTCAACTACCAAGCAAAGTACTGTGAAAGCTACTATATCCAGAATTCTATCAACTAGAATTCTTCATAAACCATGCCAATGGGGAACACTTCTTCTCTATTCTGATATTTCCTTTCAGGCAAAGGGAACTTAATTAATGTAACACTGCTGGCCTCTCTCCAGCTTTTCACTTTCTCTGCCTCTGAAGAATAAAGAAGCAGCTTGCCTTGCTGCTTCTCTCTTCCTCTGGAGATCATCCTCCCTGCAGAGAGCAAGGCTTGGCTCTGCCAGCTCAGAAAAAGCTCTGTCCCTGTGGGGAGGGAGGAGGGAAAGAAGGCAGAGGACCTGGGATGTAATTCAACTGCCACACCAAGCTATGTCTAATCAAAACTGATATTTTTGCCCATGGCAGCCAATTATTTATCTTTTTCCCTTCCAATATCCCAACATGCTGAGATGGGGAGTGGGGAGGAGGAGAGCTTGATATTTATTTGATTCCTTAAAGACACCAACAACCCACATTCCTGCACATTTTGTAATTCTTAAAGTAACTATATACCTTTCTGTGGTTTATGTAATTGCATATTTAAATGCAAAGAGATAATACAATAAAGCATTTGTACATTATAAGGAGGTTTCTAAACCAAAAGAAAGAACTGCATAAAACATGCACAAAATGCAGTTTTCTTAAAATTTCTAATGACAGTTGTGATAATCACATCTGTTAAACCAAAAATGTTACTAATACACTTCTCTGGCCTTTACCTAGGCAAGAGAAGTGTATTTTCTAATATCAATGATCCAATTAATTGTTCCCCCATCATCTAGTGTTATAAAGTAAACATCCTATTTAGTAACATTTCTGTATCATTCAAAACTTGTAGAAATGTTACATATATTTATTTAACCAAATATAATTGGCTCACCTGCTTACTTTGATCCAAAAAAACAAAAAAACCCAGTAAGGCCTTTTATCATAACATGTATTTTGCTCTGGTAACTTATAATTGGCAGTTCCCACAACAACACATAAATTTGAATACAAATAACCACATTTATTGTAAAAATGTTTTTCTGACTGAAGATAAATTTGTCCCCCATTATACAGCTCACATTCTGAAACAAATTCCAAGATACATCGAATCGTAATTATCCTAAAAATTATGTTGCTGAAGATCACAGTTCTAAATGAAGCCCCTCTGGGTTTGATCATCCCAAGGAGCTGGACATCTTCCAACCTGGAAGAGCTGGGCACTTTTTTGTCTTCACTGAAGCTCTTAAGAGTGAAACAAAGCAAAAATGACCATCTATTTTCAAAGAGGTACCAATTCACACACTTTTTAGTTCTCTTCAAGGACTTGATTTTAATTGGGGAGGGGGTCTTCCCTTTATGTAATACATTTAGCTGTTTAAGGTTTCTTTTTTCTCTATCATAATGACATGATGATGAGATTCATGCTCGGTGGTTCTAAACAGAGCGGATGTGTAATATCTGACCTCACAGAGAGTGATGCTTATTAAACTGTCTATGATAGTCTTTGTACAACATTAATCTTTGTAGAAAATTTGATCTTAATCAGGTGACTAATATAACACTAATAAAGAATATCAAAGTTTTGTAATTTCTACTGGGTTAGAATCTTTTATAATAATGGTGTTGGGAGATATAATTTACTTCTCCTTTAGCTTAACTGCTATATACTTTAATATATAAAGGGCTGGTATGTTTCAGAATAGAAAGTTTAGCATATTTTATAAGCAAATCTGCATAATGAAGCAATATTACAATAGGGGTTGGGGTAGGGAAATTACAGCCATTTAATATCCTTTGTTAGAGAGGATGGTAACCTAGATAACCTATTTAATTAGATATGTATAAAACATTAGTACCTGTCTTAATATGTATATATTGATTTCTTGTGTTCACATAAATTTTGTAATTTACAAGCCACTTATCCATGCTCTTACTCACTTTATCCTCAAAGAAATCTTTTAAGATATTGTGTCTTATTCTACCCATTTTACAGCTGAAGAAACTGAGTTAACAACTGAGGATCACATAAATGGTGAGGGATACACAGCTAAGAAGAGACAGGGCTGGAATCCACCAAAAGCCAGTGCTCTCTCCACATCTCTGTACCCACCAGAAGCAGAATGCAAAACAGCATTACACTAGGGAAACTTATTTTTCCAATAATTGTCATTTCAGATCACAAACATATTTCTAGAGAAATAGTTGGGCTCTGACATATAACGTGTTTGTGTGTGTGTGTATGTGTAACTTTATTACAAAATATTGTAATATATAATATATAAGAACCCAATAAAATGTTTCAATATATGTAATTCATTTTGCACGTAATGTGCCAAGAGAGACAGGTGAATATTTATCTAAGATAGAAAGGTTCTAGGAAGCATTGTTTCACTTATTTAGTCATTATTTCCAATTTGTCAAAAACTAATTGATACAGGTACTTCAATATCCTGACATAGCTAAGACACTTCCTACAAATCAATTAACCATGATTCAGAGCTTGGAATTGCACTTAACTGCTATGTGATCAAAAGATAAACAACTGGAGGTGTCATAACTGCAGATTTTTGTTATGAGTCTTAATATTTAATGGACTAAAAAGCACAGTATGATAAAATATTTCTGTGAGTTCCCTGTGTTGGAGGTACTGTTTGTGACTATAACTGAGTTTATTAAACCCAACCAGGCAGTTTGTTAATCAGTAGGCTGGATTGGCAGACAATGTGATAGAAACTATTTATTGATGACATGTTTAATATTTTATATTAATATAAAAAGCTGTTGCTTTGGCATATAATCAGATAACTTGAAGCTAGCAACAAGTATCATGAACTGTTCCTACTCAAATTAACTTTTCACACACCAGAAGGCTATCAAAGTACTGTGGACAGGAGAACACCTTCAGAAGATGAATGAGGAAAACCATCATGGAAGCCAACAATGAATTTGGCTTGGCAGTGTATTTCCAACTTGCAAATCAGCCAGCAAAGAACCACACCTTCAGCTGAAGTACTGGACTTGAAAATGACTAGCAGTCCATGCTTAGTTTTTGTTCATTGTCTGAATTATGACATCCAAGTTTAAGTACTCCCAACTATGTTAAGTCTTTTAAAAATAAAAACTCTGTTAGGAAAAGTGAGACTAGCATCAAGGATTTCCCTCTAAGAAGTGAAAATAATGTTCGCACAGAGAAAAAACAAAAATGGGTGTTCCCATTTTCTGTGGCTAATCATAAAGAAGAAAACATTGGAAGTTCAAAATGTAACAGTTTCTATTTTAATTCAATTGGCTTGTTACAGCTGTATACACTGGTCCATACATAGTGTACTGACCCTATGGACAAATTACAATAAATTATTTCAAATGTAATGTTAATGTTTTCTTAAAGACAACCTGATGAAATTACTCTGAAAACCCCTTCGACAAGTCCACACAAATTCATACCACACAAGAAAGAAGTCTGATAAGGCAAAACAGAAAAGAGCAAGTTCTGTAACATTTTCTGCAAATACACTGCATATTCAACTAAATGCCAAAGTAATATTATATTTGAGATTATAACTTCATTTTTAATTTTAGAAACTATTATGAAAGCAATATTATCCTTAGAAATTATTTAACAAAACTATAAATTGCATTTGCAAACTAGTATTTGAATTTCATTTTTGTCTCTGATGAACAATTTCACTGGGAGAAAGAATTGGCTTATATTCTATTGTGAAAGATGTAAAGTGGATAGAAATACTGTAATTTGACAGTGTATGACTTTTATTACGAACAATGAAAACATTAGTGACATCTATAATGACTGGGTTATACAACTACACAAACGTACACCAAATTAAATAACTCCTTTCCGCAAGACTATGACAATTTTATTAGGGCAACAACCTCACGTACTTACCACAATTGCCATTCAATCAGATAATATCATTTTCAATCCACAATATAACATAAAACCCACATATACAGTATATGTAGTTTTTCACATGCCCATCGGCCGCTCTGGGTACACACACAGGCACAGAGCAGTATCAACTAGTCCTTTAAAAATCATGTTTAAGAATGAAACACTAGGCTCAAAAGGAAAAAAGAAAAGGAAACGAGACATGTATGCTACTTCATCTATTGCTTTTGAAAGAAATTTTATATTAAAACAATGCAGTGGGCATAACGGTGTGTTCAAAGTGCTCTCGGAAAGTTCCCTGAATGTGAATAAGGTGAAACTAAAGCAATATTGCTAAAGACTAATCACAGTATTCAATCAACTTGAGCCGTATAGACCTTGCCAGTCCTCCTGCAACACTGACTTGTGATTAGTGTAATCAAAGGCCTCCCAAATTTCAACACTTAACTCCGAATGTAATCGTCTTCCTTCAAGCCCTGAGCCCTTGGAACCCACAGATCAGTAATGATGCCACTTAACATTTTTCCCCAACAACAGTAGGAACATTCTCCGTATGGCAACCATATGCTAATAAAAGACATTTGAGGGCAGTTTAAAGCATCTAGTTCGTATTTGAGGATACTCGCCCCTATATATCACACGTCTCGTAGCAGAAATCCCCAAAATAATGACAGGTTCACCGCCATAACTTGATATGAGTCACAGCAAACACTTCTCCATGGGATTTTAGAAGTGGTGCAGCCCCGAAGCCTTGTCATTATGTAGGTGAATGACCAGCAGCAGAGACCAGCTGGACTGCCCTCGGTAGCTTCAGCCCCTGATGAAGTATGCACAATGAGATAACTCCTAGGGAGTTTCAGCACCTCCTTGTTTTCATGGAAGTCACTGCAGAAAATCCCAAGACTCTTAAATATTGGTCACATAGTTCTTAAAAGTGAAAATTTACACCTGTCAGGCCTAATACTATGCTGACAACATTCTCTGTTTTCTAAATCAACATATTTGCTTGAGCACAGTAAAAATACATCTTAATAACACCTGCCAGAGCTAAGGCGAATCAGATCAGCTCAAATGAGGCACACAAGAAAAGAAAAGAAAAAAAAACACCTTGGAAACACAACCTGCCCCTCTATCTCTCATCTCCCACACCCTTCATACCCCCACGGTTACAGCAAAATACAACTTTGGGCATTTTGGAAGTAACTGTTATTTGTGACACACACACACACACCCCAAAAATTCCCAAGTCTGTTTTCCTACCACAAACACCAGGGAGGCTGCATCACCTTTCTAGTGACTTAATTCTGAAAGCAGAGGCTCAACCTGCCGAGTGGCAATCGAAGAAAACACACTACACACCAGAATAAGATGAGGGTCGGGAAAAAAAGAAAAAAGCAGCTTCGCTTTCAGCCATTAATTACGGATCACCCCAATTTTGCATCGCTCATCTCCCATACACACGCACAGCCTTCCAAACCTGGCTTTCAGGCGGCGCTTTCTGGAGCCTGGCTGTCTATTGTCAGCACGCAGAAGCCCCCGAAACCTGTGAAGCCGGCTGCAAAGGCTTGCTGGGAAGCCGCTAAATATAGACCAAGGGGGCTCAGGGTCTGGCAAGCCGCGGGAGCCTGAAGACACGGCCATGGACGCATATGACTAAGTCTTTCCATTTTGTTCTAGCCAAACATCGTAATGACATTGAACATAAGGGCAAAAGACTGGAGGGAAGTCCTCCCCACCCCCACCCCGTCTCCTCCCGTATATTAGGGACGTCATGAATGCACCGAGTATGTTCTCAGGGTGGCGGGGAGCAGCATTGTCGGTGTTGCCCTAAATACGCTTCCTCCCGGGGAGATGGGTGGCAGGGAGGGGGAGCACGCAGGGCAGCCACTTGGTAACCGCTCCAAGAAAGGCACTAACCCCGGACCCCCTTCCAGGCACAGCGGCTTCCGAGGGGGACCTGGCGCGATCGCGGTCCTCCCCGAGGCAGGCAGAAACCCCGCAGCAGCCGCCGCCGCCGCCTGCCGGCCGGGAGCCCAGGACCACCCCCACCAGCGGCAAGAGGAGGAGGACGGCGCCGGGAGGAGGCTGCGCCCGGCCCCGGCCGCCCAGCCCCGCAACTCACCCAAAGGCGCGGCGCCCGGCGGCTTCCTCGCAAACATGCACCCTCCGCCGGCGACAGCTCCTCAGTCCGGGAAGAGGCGTGCGCGGCGCCGCCCGGCTTCAGGGCAAGGTCCTGACCTTGCCCAACTGCAGCATCTTCCGCTTTTGTTGTCTGAGCGCGGCCGCGGGACAAGGGATGCTGGCGGGCGGCAGGGGCGAGCGCCGCGGGCGAGAGGCGGCTCCCGACGCGAGTGCGCAGCGCCCGGCCCGGCGGCCCCTCCGAGCTCGGCGAGCGCAGCGCCCCCTGCCCGGCTCCGCGGGCTCCACGGGCTCCTGCGGGCTCCTCGGGGCTCCGGGCGCCGCCGCCAGCCGGCCGGGCTGAGAGAGCAGCCGCCGCGCCCGCAGCTCCGCTCAGCCGGCTGTCGCCGCGGGCGCGAGCCTGGGGCCGCCGCGGCGCCCGGCGCCGAGCGCTCCCGAGCTGCGCCCCGCGCGCGGCCCGCGCCACCTGTGCCGCCGCCGCCTCAGCCGCCGAGGGCGAGGCTCCTCCCGCGGCGCGCGGCAGCCTCAGCCTCCACCTAAACCTCGGCGGCCGGCCCGGGCGCCCGGCTAGTGAGGGAGCGTCCGCCCCGCCGCCGAAACCGGCCCCGGGTGCGGAGCATGCCCAGTGCCGCCGCGAGAGCGGCGCTTCGCCGCGCGCGTTCCACTTCTCCTGGTTTTCGCGGCAGCAGCGGCAGCCGCGGGAGAGAGGGGAGGAGGCCGCGGGTTGGGAGAGGGCCGAGCATCCTTGGGAACGCACGCCCTGGACCTGAGATGGGTGGATGCTCCGGAGCTAGGCGAAAGCTGGAAGGGACCCGGGAAGGGATGGAACCCCAGGTTACTCCGCTTCCCTAATTCACGTGCAAGGCGCTGACAGTTGACTCTGGTGGGGCAGATGTCAGCCTGCAACAAAGGACCAGGGTGCGAGGGGTCCTAGAGTGGCCAGGTGGGTTGGGGGAGGGAGGCTGGCGGAACGTGCTGGTGAGCGCAGGTAGATGCTCTTGCAGATCCTGTGATTCCAGAGCTAAGGAGGCACGAAGTCCAGCAGAGGTCTTCTCCACAGCACCTGCCCAATCTTGCCATCACCTTCCCTGTTCAGATGGCATGTTTTTGGCGGGTAGTGAGGGTTTCTCCTTAGGCAAAATCACTTCAGATTTGAAACTGGAATGTCTGTAAACTTCCTGCAAGAAAGACCCTTGCCCAGTCTGGAACTTGAGCAGATTAAGTTCTCTCTCCTCCCCTTCTTGTGCCACCTTGTCCTCCTCTCTTGGTATCTTCTGCTGCATCTCTGCCACCTTCTCTTCCTCCTTTTCTTCCTTATTTCAAAGTGAACCACTCCCCTGATCCTTCCCCACAGTCTTCCAGTGCATCTCGCATTGCCTTCTTCACGTTCAAATCAGTTTTCCATATCACCTCCTGGCTTGACTGCTCCTTGACCCCATCGGGACTTCCCCATGCGTAGCCTGCTGTGAAATACAGCAAGTGGAATCACCGTATTCAAAGTCTTGTTGAAAAACGAAACCCAAAACATGTGCCAAGGAAGGCCTCTGGGCCTTCGCCCCTGTCCCTCTGATTCAGCAGCAGTCAGGACGGGGCTCACGTCTGCTGCATTCACAAGCCAAGCCAAGCAGGGCACAGCCTGCCCAGGGGCCAGGTCGAATGTTCCTCCTAATTATGCCACGGGCATGACCCTGAACACCGCAGACTGTCTGAGGTTGTGATCTCCTCCACCCCCCCCACCCCCCCCACCCCCGCAGAGCTTGTTTCTGAAACACAAATAAGCATGACAGAATGCAGGAAATTGTAATAAAAGGGATTTGGTGCTTACGATTCTCAGTAACATTGTGCTTCTATTTTGTGTTGAAAGAGATTATCCAACAAACTTAAATGATTTGAATATTCAAGTCTATTCTTTATTATACTTGGGAGTAAGTTGAAATATAAATGGAAGTAAGAGTGAAGGAGAAAAGCGGTACAGAGGTTAAATAGGTAACAAATAATTGCTAGGAGGAGCAGATTAAGCAGACTATTGACAACAGTACAAATGTTCGCTTTTATTCCTCCTACCCCAGGTGTGGACATGCACACACAGGCTTTGTCTCACCTGCAAAAAACAGTTCTCCAAGCTAACTCCAAGTGTCTTAAAGCCAGTTTGATATTAAAATATCCTGAGTCCTGTGAGGGAAGACATGCAAGACCATTTTTTTCATCACACGTTTAATTGTAATTTTTATCTTAGTTCTCAGAAAGGCAGTTCAATTACACTGAGTACGTGGTACAAGACAAATTAGCAGCACCATATCCATTAGGCCACATTATATTTCAAGAGATGTTCTTAGTTCCCACCTGAGCTTCTGTCAGTCTGCTATCGTTTGGTTTTCTCTTTGCATCTTCTAACTCAAGAAGTCAGTGGGGAGGTGGAAAGGGAGATGAGGGGACATCAGTTACTCTTTAGATTAAAATGGAGGTAGATGTGTAGATGCTATCCACAGGTAATATATGTGTCTTTTATGCCTGATATAGATCTAAGTAAAGAAAATAATTTTCTAACGTTTTTTAGTTACTATCGAGATGAGCAATGACAAATTCTATCAACTAATTGTGTGTCTGGGAAATGAGCTGGAGGCAGTCCCTACAGATACTGTTGGGGCTGGGGCTGGTGTGATATGGTTATTTAGGAAGCAGAGTGGTAAAGTCCAATGTCCTGGACTGCTTTGATTTCATTTGCTCAGTGCCCCATTTCATTGAAACATTTATGACTTTTATTATTCTAGAATAATTTGTAACTTAAGATATTATTCAATTCACAATTAGATAATATTGAAAAATAAAGCAAAATGAACATGTATAATGTTAGATCTTGGAACGACTCACTGCTGCCATCTTTTGCCTCCTGCTTCCGATAGTTCCTATATAAAGGAATATTCTGAATCCTCAAATTCACTATGAGACTAGAACATTATTAGTTTATTATTTTCAAATTACAGTACTCAATGCTCAGTGAAAAACCTTCATTGTATTTCTTCTGTTTATGCATTAATAGAGTTATCTGATACAGAAATCACATATAAATACTAAATGCTATATCTCTTGATTTTTCAAATCACTTTTCAAAATTTGAAGCAAACGTTTTTATATGGAAGTGTAACTTAACTTTAGAAATAAAATCTAACAATTCCAAATATTTTTTATAAATGTATGTGTCTTATTTTGTAATTCAAAGTATGTCGATTTTAGGAGAATGGCATTCTTATTTAAGTCACAGCTGTTTCAATATGGCATTGTTTGTTGCTATTGAGATTCAAATAGAAGATAATATTTTTGTAATTTTTTAAGTGAATTACCCATTGATAAACAATTGAGAAATTTTCAAATTGGGAAATGAAATCAGGTGAGTGATTATTGTTGCTGTTCAGCATTTAAATAGGGAGAGTAATGATACTTCTTTCAATTCACAATTTAAATTTTAAAGCAAATTACCTGAAATAGTAACCCAATAGTGTCATCATAAGTACATGTGTGTATATATTTGGGAGGCTAACACACACTGTTTGCTCTTGATCATAAAAGTTATGATATTTGTTACCTGAAAGTATCTCTAAGTTTTTGAAGACTGTAAAGTAGTTAACTAATTTAAACTAACCATTTTAGTTAAGATCAACGTGTGGGTCATTTCACTATTTGATTGCAAACTTCACATTTTCACTCAAATTGCCTTTTATTATTGCTGCAACTCCTATGATGGTATCATTCATTCATTCAGCAAATGTTTATTGAGCATCCATCCGCTGTGGTTCAGTATTGGCCAAAATTTGGAGAATTAGTAGCAAACAATAGAGAAGACAACAAATTCCTTATCCTCCCAGAGTTTAATTATGAATTGGGGTTATGGGGGAAGCAGAAATTGAAGCACTGCAGAGAGGTAATCACCACCAGAAGCTGAAATGAGGAACACAAATGTCCTCATTTCTTCCTAATTGTCTGTGTGCCTCAGTGTATTGGCTTCCTGTTATGGGAGGAAAGTTCATCTATATTGGATTAAGCCGTGGTGGTTGGATTCTGTTACCTGCATCAAATTCAAGCTCAAATTGAAATATATGTTATCTGTAATGTCTCCCCTCTGCTCACTATAGCTGTTATTACTGTATTTCCCCCACAATGTATTTCCAAAAATTAAAACATTTTTTCAACAAAGTGAGTAAATGAATATGGTCTAAATCATATGTATTAGAAGATAAATTAAGGAATAATATAAGACCAGTTTTTTATTGTCACTGACCAATAAATTCATGTTCAAAGCATTGCACAATGAGTCCACCTCAACGATTTTTATACTGTCTCCCAAAATGAAATACCTCATTTTCAGTCTTTGTTCTCCTTAATGTTCTCTACCCACTCCAGTGTCACTCTCAAGTTTGTACAGAATACACGTTCTGAAATTGATTTACTCATTAAAATGAAATCCTTGAAGCTCTCATTTTATTACCCATAAATAAGCCAAATCTTGCCTCTTGCTTTGTTGTGAAAATTAAATGAATGAATCAGTCTATGATAAGCAAATGGCTCTATGCCTGGCAAATAGGGAGCAATTAGTAAATGATGGTGAACATGAGTCATGACATTAGAATATCTCTTTCACCTCTGCTGTTTTCGTCGGCTTGCTATATCAAAACACACTTATTATCTGATTGCGCATATCTTATTCAGTCATCAAGACACCTAGAAGATACCATTTTGCCAGTGAGCTTTTTCATATTCATTTCTTTCAAATAATCATTAACTAAATTTCTCCTACATGCAGGTAATTATATCATGCAGACTAATCATGAGAATTTACAGGGATCTCCATTTGGTAAACTGGTTGTGTTTCATGCTTTCACTGAATTTTTAGGAATTTGAAAATACATCACATTCAGATTACAGAGTCAGGTAGCTTACCTTTTTGTCATATTTCATCATGTCTATATATTTATATGCTTTGTCTACTCCATACAATGTGTTGCTTTAGTTTATATGTTGATAAAGTTATCTAACATTATTTTCCATATTCTCTGAGATTGTGTCTATGTACATAGAATATGTATGTGAGCAGTTTGATTTTCTATTTGTGAAGTATATTATACTTCTATAATAAGCAAAAATCAATGTTTCACAAAATCTTTACACAAATGTACTCTAACATGAAATGTTCAATTATTTGAAAAAATCATTTTCGTTATGATTCTGCAAAGATTAAACATATATTTTGTTAGGAATAGGAACTTAATGAATTTTTCAAATCATTGAGCATTTCGTGTTAGAGTATGTTTGTATAAATATTTTGTTAAACATTTATTTTTGCTTATTAGAGAAGTAACAAGTTCTCATTTAAAAAACTTTAAAAATCAGAAAGTTATGAAAAACATAATTCTACCACCCAGAAAAAGTATAGTGTACAAATGCCTATCCTCTTATTTACTTAAAATTACATTCCTACACTTTCCCATTCCATTTCTCAAACTTTTCTAAGGTTAGATTATTCTTTATATAATGAGTTTTCTGTTTTATACATTTTGACTGTTATCACATGACCTCTCCCGTGGTAAATAAAGGTTCAATGAAGGTTGTTTTCTCAAATTGTTTGAAAAGAAAAACACCCCAATTATATCTATTTCTGAGTAGGATGAAATAGCTTATGGGACCTCCATGCCTCTGGTAAGAATAATTAGAATTTTTGAATGAAAAACAAAAATATTTATCTTATGCATCAGAAACCTGCTGAAGCAAAAAGGACTGGAGGAGCCAAGATTCCAGACAGGCAAGAATGTGGATGCCGAGCTAATGTGGTATGTCTGCTTTTTCCCTGATAACTTCGGCCAGTTCTGGATACAGTGAGAGAGGCTGGGTTTTGAGGCTTTTCCTGGGTAGAGGCCACTGTCTGAGACAGAGATATCAGCAGAATCTTTGTTAGCCTCATAGGGCTTTAGACTGAAGCCCAAGGGATCAAGATCCCAGTAAGAAGAAAGGAGCAGAGAACTGGGACAGAAACATAGCTGGCATTCCCTTCAAAGCTTTTGATAACTTATAAAGCTTCACAGGACTAAACAGCTAAACAAAAAGCCTCTGAAAATCAGATATAATTTTAACAGTCCTGCTGTGCAGAGAAGAAAAGCATTCACATCCAGGACCAGCCCCACCTTGGGAGATATTTCAAGTTATCAGTTAAAACTCCTGGAGTGTTGCACCCTGAGAGCTAGAGAAAACAGAGGTGGAATAAAATGTAACAATACTGTAATTGTCTCCAATTCAGTGATGTTGCTGATTGGAATAGAGGTTACCAGGTGATTTATCTGCCTAGCAGAGGAAAGGGTGAAACCTTTTAGGCAAACCTCTGCAATTTTTAAATATTCATTGTCCAGCATTCAGTAAAATCTGTTCTTCAGAGTTAGGAGCAAATGACCAAAAAACAACTAACAAATGTAGAATTGGAAAAGACCCATGGGTGATCTATATACTAGAATTAGCAGACAAAATATCTAAAATGATAATGACCAATATGTCCAACAGAATATAGGACTGTAGAAAAAGATGAAAAAGAAAAAACATGAAAAGGAAAAGACGGAGAAATTCACCAAATAATTGAAAACTGTGAGAAGAATGAATCCACTGGGAATCCTAGAACTTAAAAATGTGGCAAATTAATTTAGTAACAAATTTTATTTGATCCATCAAATATAAAATTGTATCAATCCACATGTAACATTTGACAAAATCAGCCATGTGCTGGATTGTAAAGCAAGTCACAAGCATGAAATGATTGTATTCATTCAGAGAATATTCTCAGAGAACAGTGTCATTAAGCCAGAAATCAATAACTAAAAAAAAAGAAAATCTTCCTATACATAATTTAATCTGCACTACTTCAAAATAAATCTACTTGAGAAACTTGAATTATTTTAACATAAATGATAAATAACATGTGTACAATAAAAATTGCAAGATGCAACAAAAACAGTCTTTATGATATCTATAAAATATATTATATTATGTACAAAATATATAAAAACAAGTTGCAGACACTTGACAGCAGCCAATGTAAGGCTGCTATTCTTGAGCTATTCTGGAGAGACAAAGTATTTAAAAGTCACTCCACTTTTGCACTGCCTTTTTCCCTAGGTACATTTTCTGGGGTGTGGTACAAGCAAGATCTTGCTTCCACTGAACAGAGAAGGCAAGGATTAAATCTGGGTTTATTAAAGTGTCTCCAATGTGGAAGAGACAGTGCTGGAAAAGAAAGAGTCATAGAGAGGGAAATCCAGAAGTTTACATAGAAATGCCCCTTGAGGCCGGGTGCAGTGGCTCACACCTGAAATCCCAACACTTTGGGAGGAAAAGTTGGGTGGATCACCTGAGGTTAAGAGTTCGAGACCAGCCTGGCCAACATGGCAAAACCCCGTCTCTACTAAAAATACAAAAATTAGCTGAGTGTGGTGGTGTGCACCTGTAATCCCAGCTACTAGGGAGGCTGAGGCAGGAGAACTGCTTGAACCCAGGAGGCGGAGGTTGCAGTGAGGCAAGGTCATTCCACTGCACTCCAGCTTGGGTGACACAGTAAGACTTCATCTCAAAAATAAATAAATAAATAAATAAATAAATAAATAAAATAAATCCCCCTTGAGCCTTGAGTAACTTGAAGAAATTGTGGATTCATGAGAGTAGAACAAGACTCCAAGAAGCTAGATAGAGAACTGCTGGGAAGCAAAGAACTGAGGAAAGATTTCGCAGCTTCTTCAGTGGTATGGATTTTGGTGGTCAGGCCCAACTAAAGTGAAGAATGTTTAGAACAAGTCAAAGATGGAGTTGAGATGTCAGACATGCCATCAGATACAGGTGTTATAAATTGAATCATGTTCCCCTCCTAATTCATATGTTGAAACCCTAACTCCCAGTGCGCCTGTATTTGGAGATGGGGCCTTTAAAGACATAATTAAGGTTAAATGAGGTCATAAATATGGGCCCTAGGCCAGGTGTGGTGGCTCACACCTGTAATCCTAGCAGTTTGGGAGGCCAAGGTGGGTGGATCACCTGAGATCAGGAGTTTGAGACCAGCCTGGCCAATGTGGTGAAACCCCATCTCTACTAAAAATATAAAAATTAGCCTGGCATGGTGGCGGGCGCCTGTAATCCCAACTACTCGGGAGGCTGAGGCAGGAGAATCGCTTGAACCAGGAGGTGGATGTTGCAGTGAGCCAAGATCACGCCATTGCACTCCAGCCTGGGCGACAGAGTGAGACTCCATCTCAAAAAAAAAAAAAAAAAAAAAAAAAGGAAAGAAAAAGAAAAGAAAGAAAAAGGGCCGTAATCCAGTACAACTTGTGTCCTTATAAGAAAGGAAGACACCAGGGATGCCTGTGCACAGAGGAAAGGCCACATGAAGATGCAAGAAGGTGGTCCTCTGCAAGCCAAGGGGAGAGACCTAAGAGAAACCTACCCTGCCAGCATCTTGATCTTGGACTTCTAGCCTCAAGAACAGTGAGACAATAATTCTCTGCTGTTTAAGCACTCACTCTGTGTCGTTTTGTTATGGCAACCCTAGCAAACTAATGAAAAGAGTAAAGATAAGTGCACTTTAGGATTGAGGTCTACAACCTAGAAATATGCGGGGGCGGGGGGCGGGAAATGTGATAGATCTCTTTGAAGAGAGTGTAAAACCAGGGCTTAACAGCTCAATTTATTCCATTAGTACTTTGTTGCCAACATAAAACTCAATACTTTTTGATGGATAATAAATGAAATCCAGTGCCTTTTCAAGATATTATCAGAAAATTGACAAATATAATTTTAAAAAGGAAGAAAAAATAACCAGGTTGTACAAAGAAAAAAAAATCTATCACAATGAAGTTGTTGACAACCAAAGATTGAAAAAGTAATTCTTGAAAGCAGCTAGAGAAAAAAGACACATTACACACAGAAATACAATTGTTACATACATTGGTAACTCAAAAGAATTTATGGAGGCCAGGAAACAGTGAAACAAAATCTTTTAAATACAGGAAAAAAGAATATAAGTGAAAGAAAAAGGAATTCATTGCTAGCCGTCTTGTTCTAACAGAAATGTAAAAGGAAGTTCATCAGGCTGATAGGAAGAGAGCAGAGGAAAACTTGGAACTTTAGAAATTAAAAAAGAGCAACAGAAATAGCAAATATCTGGGTCAATATAAAAGACTATGTTTCCCTCTTCAAGTCAGTTACATATATATAACTGTTAAATGTTAAAATTTTAACATTTTCCAATGTGGCTTTTGATATTCATTGAAATAACACATTTAGAAACTGTAACAAAATGTCAGTTGGTGATAGTTGGTGGTAGGGTAGGGTAAAGGGACTTATATGGTTGCAAGGGTTCTGTATAATAATTGAAGTGGTACATTATTAACTCTACTAACCAATAATAAAAATAATACAAAGACATGTAGCCAGAAAACCAACAGACAAATTGAAATAGAATATTAAATATACTCGAGTAATCCATAACAAGGCAGACAAGAGAACACAGAGGAAGAAATGCAGAAGGGACAAACAGAAAAATGAAATAAAATGGTAGACATAAATTCATTTATATTAATAATTATATTAAACATTAATGGCTTAACTACTTCAATTAAAGGGCAGATATTGACAGAGTGAATGAAAAGCAAGATCCTACCAGAGGCCAAAAACAAAAGCACAGTTATTGAAAGTAAAGGATAGAAAAAGATCTACCCTACAAAACTAAGCCAAAGAAAGCGAGGGCGTTTATATTAACGTCAGATAAAATAAACTTCGAGACGCAGATAATGTAATTAGATAAAGAGGAACATGTCGTAACGATAAAAGGGTTAAATTATCAAGAAGAAATAACAATTTAAAATGCACATCCCAGAGCCTCAAAATACATGAAGCAAAAGTTAATAGAATTAAAGGGAGACCCAGACAATCATGCATTGTAAGAGATTTTAACAGCCTTCTTGCAGTAATTCATATAGTAACCAGACAAAAAGTCTGATTATAAACACCATGTTCTTTACCTCCTGATTATACACACCATTGTGTGAGTCCCTCTTCTTGAGTTTAGGCTGGACCTAGCAACTTACTTTTACTGAATAGCATTCATATATCTGCAGAAATTATAAATATCCATAGAAAACTGGATTGATATTTTAAACCTGAAATTCATTTATGAAAGACTGTAGCATCTATTGCTTCAATTATTTCTTTCTGGTTCGTCTAGCTTGATCGTTCTGATGAAACATCCTGCCATGTTGTGAGCTGCTCCATGGAGAGACCCACATGGCAAGGAATTGAGGGTGGCGTCTGACCAACAGCCAGTGAGCAACTGAGGCTCTCATCAAAGAGCCCATGTGGAACTGCATCTTGCCACACCACACACACACACACACACACACACACACACACACACACACACACACGTAAACCCGGAAGTGAATCCTTCCAAAACCAAGACATAGTTGACTGCAGCCCTGGCCAGCAACTTGACTGAAACTTGTGAGAGACCTTGAATCAGTGGTCAAGCTAAGCCACACTGGAATCCCTGAACCACAGAAACTGTAAAATAACAGGTGTTTTTATTTTGTTTTGTTTTTTGAGTTGGAATCTTGCCTTGTTATCCAGGATGGAGTGCAGTGGCGCGATATGAGCTCACTGCAAACTCCACCTGGCGGATTCAAGCGATTCTCCTACCTCAGCTTCCTGAGTAGCTGGGATTATAGGCACGCACCACCATGCCAGGCTAATTTTTGTATTTTTAGTAGAGACGGGGTTTCCCTATGTTGGCCAGGCTGGTCTCGAACTCCTGGCTTCTGGTGATCCACCCACCTCGGCCTCCCAAAGTGCTGGGATTACAGTCATGAGCCACCACACCCAGCCAATAATAGGTGTTTTAAGTAACAAAGTTCAGGTGAAATTTGTTACAAAGCAATAGATGATAAATACAAACCCTATCTTGACAAAGACTACTTCAGTACTTCAATTGTAAATTAATATTTAAATTAAAATATAAATTGTGTTTGTTGTTTAGTTGATTGATTTAATTTTGAAATTAAATTTAAGCACTCATTCCAAAAGCAGTAGAAAATATGAGGCATATATATATATAAAATATAAATATATATATATATAACATAAATTGGATCCATAATTCAAAATCTTTTTACAAAGAAACTCAAGACAAAGTAGTTTTAATAGTAAATTATCTTTCAAATACTTAAGGAAGAAAATTATTCTGATCTTATACAAATTTACCAGAAAAGAGAAAAAAAAGGAGAGCACTTTTGCACTCATAGTATGAGGCCACCATAAACTTGACACCAAAGTCTAACGTGGACTTTACAGAAAAGCAAAAATATGAGTTTTATCTCATAAATGTAAATACAAACTCCTAAAGGAAATAATTAACTTCCAATTGAGTTAACAGATACATTTTAAAAATACATTATAAACAAGTGAAGTTTATCTTAGGAAAGTAAAGCTTTTTTAAACATCTGAATGTCAACTGCCATATTCACCACATTAACAGAATAAAGGAGAAAAATCACAGATTCAGAGAAAAGCTTTTAATAACATCCAATACCCATCTAAGGTAAAGAAAGAAAAAGCAATTTAGCAAACTAGGATTAGAAGGAAACACCACTAATCTGATGGTTAACTGGAAAAAAAACACCTGTAGATTTTCCTCTGAGTTCTTGAAAATAAGACAAAGATGTCTACTATCACCACTTCTTTTCAACATTTTACTGTACATGCTGGCCAGTGAAATGAGGCAATAAAGAGAAATAAAGATTATAAAAATAGAAAACATGGAGAGCAGGATGATTCTCCCCCAAAGATCTCTACATCCGAATTGTTGTAACATAAAAATATGTTCCTTATATGGCAAAAGGGACTTTTCAGATGTGATTAAATTAAGGATTTTGAGATGGGGGGTTTATCATGGATTGTCCAGGTGGGCCAGTGTGACCACAAGGGTCACTGTAAGTGGAGAGGGAGGCAGAAGAGCGAGAGCGAGAAAGAGGTGGAAGTTCTTATGGTGCTGGCTTTGAAGATGAGAGGAGGAACGGACCTCAGCCAACGAATGAAAGTGGCCCCCAGATGCTGGAAAGGCAAGGAAAATAAATTTTCCACTAGAGTCTCCACAAAGAAGCAGCGTCCTGCCAACATCTTGGCTTTAGCCCAGTGCAAACCATCTCGTATTTCTGATCTTCCAAATTGTAAGATAATGAATATGTGTTGTTTGAAGCCACTAAGTTAGGGAGTTATGGGTAATTTATCATAGCAATAATAAGAAATAGATACAGAAGAGATTGTATGTGTACAAAATCTAAGAGTCTGCTATCAAATTCAATATGTGAATTCTCAAGAACACTGGATTCATATTCAAGACGTGTCCATTGTATTTCGATAAACTCGCAGCAAAATATTGGAAAACAAAACACAATTTTTAACGAACACCATTCACAAAAAATATTAAATACCTATATTGCATCTAACAAGGATAGGCAAGATCTTAACAATGAAAAGTATAAAATTTGCTGAGAATGACCAAAGAATTTCTACATAAATGTAAAGATATTCATAGTTGTGAATTAGAAGACTCAAAATTGTTCAGATAAAATTCTTCATAAATGTATCTATACATTCAGTGCAACACTCATAAAAATCCATGGTGTTTTTAAACATTGATATGTTGATTCTAATATTTGTACAGGAGTGAAACATGCCCAGGATAACCAAGTCAATCTTGGATTTGAAGAATAAATTTCTAGGATACACACTACTGGATGCAAAACTTATTATATAAATCTACAGTAATTAAGACAATGTGATATTTGCACAAGGATAGAAAAAAGACAAAGGAGTAAGATAGAGTTCAGAAATTAACATACATGGATTGTCACTTGACTCATGCCAGAACCATCAGTGAACAGCAGTGAACAATCCCAACAGCAAGATGAAGACTGTATGAGTGAAATGCCTTTCCTTTGTGAAGTTGGAAAAGGGGGAAATTTTGAGAGGGGAGTAGGGAAGGAAATTATGCTCTTATATCACAATATGTTGCTGAGAAAATAAACTTTACAGAAAAAAACATATTTGATGTTGATCATTTGAAAAGTGACTTCTTTAAACTGAATGGTACCCTTGAAAATTCAGTGTGTGCCACCACGGTGATCTCACACGGGGACTGCTGGTTTGTAATGGAGATTCAGGAACCTTTGTCAGATCTCAATCACTAAGTTGATTGGTGAGTAAATGGATGTTCTTATTTTACTCTTTTTAACTTATGAATAGCTGTACTTCGATTTAATTTTAAAATTATCACGCATGTGGTTCTGGAAGATTTATAATACATAAATATAAACATAAACTATATAAAGATAAAATATGCAAAATATAATTATGGAAATAAATAATAGTAATGATCGATGTAATTAAAATAGCTTTGAAATATCAATATTCCTCTATCAAATTTGCAAAGTCTTCTTCACTTGTAATATTCAGTGTTGGTTAGAAGGGAGAGATGCCAATGAAATTCACATCATCACCACAGTTTTAGGGGAGAGTTTGCAATACACGTTGAGATCCTGAAGAACTTAATCTACTTTATGGAAAGTGATTTTTGAAGGTCTCATTATGAAGCAGAGCATGGGAAACTGAAGTAAACCTTTCATTGATAACTCAGACCAATAATATAGATGTTAATGTACTGTGACACCATGATAGCCTCAGGTGTCATTGCAGTGTCTCTTGACCTGTATTAAATGACCCTAGTCTTTGAACATTTAGCTATCACCAAGCAAGCATCTATCTGTACAGGCCATTTGAGTGCTTCTGCTTTCAGGATTCCCTTCCCTGCATGCACACACATGTGTAGTGTGATGGGTCCCCTACCAGGTTACTTAGGATGTATACCCACTGCTTGAACCCAAAGGCCAGGCATTGAGACAAGACCCTGATGCCCAGCAGAGGAGCAAGTGTTCCTGAGAACTTAAACATCCCTGGAGTATATGAGAACCTACCAAGAAAACCAGTCTCATCACTTAACACAGTAGGCAAAGAGCCAGAAAATCAGCTTAAAAGTACTTTACAGACAAGAGGCAGCATAGATCTCTAGCGTTGCCCTGCTGTTATCCAGGAGCACCCTGTATGTAAGTCCTAATAAACTTTATGTAATTGTCAAGTTGGACTTTCCCAAGTAATTATTTGGTCTCTCAACACCTTCCTCGTTGCAGAGGTAGAGGGGGGTGTGGGTGTTATAGCCCCAAGTTTCTCTCTTAACAATATGCAACATCAAGATTCCCATCTGCTTTTGTAACAGAGTCCCTGCTGTAGTAGAGATCAAGATACTTTTCTGGGACATTTCTAGCTTTATTTTTGCAGGATGTATAAATACAATATTTTGCAAAACACTTGAAGACAAAAAAGAATGTAAAATAAGAAAGCAGGATGATTTTGCAGTGCAATGGATAGGCAGGTTGTTTAATGGATAAGTATCAACCTGAAAAGAGGACTCAGTAATTTGTAAGTAGCCTTTCCTGGCTTTGTATTTTAAGCCTCTACATTTAAAAGGAGGCACATGATATCAGTTTGGGAAAAGAAAGTTGAAGAATTGAAAGACAGCATAAAGTCTCAGAACGTATTTCAGGAGATAGCGCAGTGGTCTAAAATTAACAAGATGAAATTCAATGGAGAGAAATGCAAAGTCCTTCCTTAGGTTAAAACAATGGTATAATAAATCCAGGTTAGGAGGCTGTGGATTCTGAACTGGGATCCATGTACCAGAGCTGCACTGGCCGCGCCCAGGCCTTGGGAACGTGGGTGTTCCTGGAATCAGTTGCTTCCCACTTGGTTCAATCTGTTCAGGGAAATTTCCTTCAGTGCCTACAAGAGAAGATTGGCCTTTCTAACTACTGCAAGCTGCTGCTAATTTTATTCAAAGGCGAGTATCGGAGACACCAGCAGATTCCCCACCTGCCTGGAAAGCTGCCTTCATCTTAGTATCATGGAACGAGAAGCTGAAGCACCAATTACGGTCTGCTGTGCCAATAATACCTCTGACACCACCTGGAACTTCATTTGGAGTCTTCCTTATTGTGACTCAGCACTGCCATCCTCAGCTGCACAGAAAATTCAAGCCCTCTGGTCACTTTGCTTTTCATTATTTGTTACCATCTTGCAGCTCTGTGTTCTTCTCTGGAAATTTTGGCTGAACATAATTAAATACCCCTAAATTACTTTTTGAACAAATTAGTTTTAATTTTATTCTTAAAAATTCATGACTTTGTACAAATTATTAAGAGACCTCTGTTCAGGTTGACATCTATTCATTAAACCCAAGTTTCATAGTTCTTACTCTTTTTATATGACTTAGTGTTGTTTTTCATTAAGCATAAATCACTCTTATTTACCTATATTGTTTATTCCTCAGTATACTAAAGACATGGAAATGAACTTAAATTTCAACTTTAATAAATGAATTTACAATAATTGTTGCTCTAAATCATGAATAGTCAATCACAACCAAATTGTGTTTATTTAATTCAGTTCCCTTTATTTAAAGCTAAAACCTTGAGCCTGGGAGTTCAAGATCAGCCTGGGCAACCTAGTGAGACCCCATATCTACAAAAATATACAAAAAATTAGCTGGGCATGGTGGCATGTGCCTGTAGTCCCAGCTACCCAGGAGGCTGAGGTGGGAGAATTGCTTGAGCCTATGAATTTGAGACTGCAGTGAGCCAAGATCACACCACTACACTCCAGCCTGGCTGACAGGGTGAGACCCTGTGTTTAAAAAAAAAAAAAAAAAAAAGTTAAACTCTATTCTACCTCCCAACAAAAATTGAACAACAGGTAATTCATAGGCCTCTTACTTGAAACTTATATTACATGTATTTCCTGATAAAATTTTATCAGAACTTTGTTTCTCTAATTTACGAGATGGTTTTTTCACCTAGATTTTAGATTTCAGGTCATTCAGCTTACTATGCAGAAAACTCATTCCTGCATCTGCTTTTACTGTGTTCACCTCTGTATTTCTAGACTAGGTTCTTGTCTAATTCTTGGTTTATCCAATGTAGCTACCAGGTTAGTTTCTAGGGCTGCCACAACAAAACACCACAGACTGGGTGGCTTAAACAACAGAAATGTGTTTCTCACAGTTCTGGAGGCTAGAAGTCCAAGATCAAGATGTTGGCAGGTCTGATTCTCTTGAGGCCTCGCTCCTTGGTTTGCAGAGGAGCCTTCTCCACGTGTCCTTCCATGGTCTTCCTTCTAGGCATGTGCATCCCTGGTGTCTCTGTGCATCCAAGCTGTCTTTTTCTAGAACACCAGTCTTATTGGATTAGGGCCCATACTCACAGCTTTATTTTAATATAATTATCTACGTAAAGGCTTTATCTCCAAACACAATCACATTCTGAGGTACCAGTGCTTAGGATTTTAACCTATGAATTTGGCAGGACACATCTCAGCCCCAGACAGCTACCATCTATTTTTTGTAGTGGTATTTGAGAATTTCATTCTCCTTTAGTCAGCCACCCTGCAGTTTTACTCCCCTTGCCGGCGCCGGCTGATTGACTGTTCATTCCTTCATTCACTTGCTCATCAAATGCCTTCTCAGGGGCAGGCCATGCTCCAGGGTCTGAGGGTGAGGAAGTGTCACTGCCCTTGTAGCACTGACATTCTGGAGGAGGACAACAACAGTAAACACAGAAACCGACTTTTCCGTATTGTGGTGTCAGATTGTAAGTGGTAAGGTCTCTGAGGAAAAATAAAGAAGGAAATGGGGCTAGAGATGTAAGAGTGCTATTTTTGATGGATTGTTCAGGAGACACTTCTCTAAGTAGATGTCATTTGAATAGCGACTGGAATAAAGTGAGAGAGAACACTTTATGAATATCTTGGAGATGTGTCTTTGAGGCAGAGGGCACAGCAACTGCAAAAGCCTGGAGTAAGATTATTCTTAGCAAATTTAAAGAATGGAAAAAGGAAAGCCAATGTGACAGTCAAGGGATGGATAATGTAGAGCATTTGAGTTACAGAAAGGTCTCTTTGTATTATAAGTCGCGGGGAAGACTTCGGAGAGTTTTGACCAGGGGCAAGTTGTGACCTAACTTACCCAACTTAGAGCCTCAATGGAGAGTTCTGGATGCCGTGTGGAGGACAGGTCACAAGTCACAGAAAGGCAAGAATGGCAGTGTGCTGCTACCCTGTCAGACCAGGACAAAGATCATAGCAACACAGGTGAAATTGTTACCTGATATGGTTTTGCTGTGTCCCCACCCAAATCTCATCTTGAATTGCAGCTCCCATGATTCCCACGTGTTGTGGGAGGGAGCTAGTGGGAGATAATTGAATCATGGGAGTAGTTTCCCCCATACTGTTCTCGTGGTAGTGAATAAGTCTCACAAGATCTGATGATTTCATAAGGGGTCTCCCCTTTGGCTTGGCTCTCATTCTCTCTTCCCCACCATCATGTAAGATGTGCCTTTCACCTTCTGCCATGATGGTGAGGCCTCCCCAGCCACGTGGAACTTTGAGTCCATGAAGCCTCTTTTTCTTTATGATATACCCAGTCTTGGATTTGTCTTTATCAGCAGCGTGCAAAGGACTAATACGCTGGTGGTGGAGGGAGGAGAAGCAAGAAGTGTGAAGTCCAGGAATCTCTAGTAAAAGCAAACTGAGTTTGATGGACTCCTCTCACCTGTGCTAGGAATGCAAGCCAGCAGAGTGACTTTGTTAGTCCTCATCTTTGTGGTGTAGCCGAAGATTGAGCTCAAAACTCTTCCTCCTGCCAGGCAACAGTATAAACTAAACTGGATAAATGTGGGCAAAAGTGAAGGAGGTGGCACAGGAGCCAGACCTCCCTCCCTCAAGGTTGAGTAAAATGATGCTATTTCAGCACCTTACAATGTTGCCAATTGTCCACAGCTGGAGGTAATATGAGATGACATTTCTGCTGGGAAAAAAATTCTCCATGAATCTTTACACATTTCCGCACAGTCAGAGCATGTTATATTCTGAGCAAAAGTGACTCTCAACCTGGGTTAAAGAATGGTTTAATGGTAGGCATGCCTGGCAAGTTAGAAACTCCACGTTGCTCCAGGGACAGTTGCTTACTTTGTAGCATAACAAACTCCTTTCTTGACTCCCCTGGAACCGCTGGTTTATATTCCAGATTAGAGACCTTCTCCTCCTCTCCTTAGAGATGATTTCTTCGTATTCCAGAGACATATTTTATCTCTGTCTCTGTCTCCATTTATCTGTCTCTCTGAAAAAGAAGAGGGACAGATATGACAGCCACACTAAATATGATCTGAGTTTCATAACACTGAGGCTCTCCTCTTCTGCGTGTGCAGGGAAGATCAGGCAATCATTGCCTTGCCCCTGGAGAAATTAAGGAATAGGGACCAGCACTAAGATCTCTCTGTTTTCTGACCCAGAGAGCTTGTATTTCCTATCAGGATGAATAAATAGACATTAAAATGTGACAAATTCCACTGTGATTCATCCGAATTAAAATGTCCCTGAATTATCAAACTTTGAAACTTGATACATCCAATTTAATGAATCTGGATAGAAAGTCATGAATGGTCATGGAGGGTGCAAAATCTTCAGAATACATTATTCGTACTTACACAGGCCATATGTTTGGTATGAGTGAGATCATGAGTAAAATATGTTGGGACACATCCTGCAAACTGGAAAGTGAAGCTGTGTAGAATTCCATCAACATAATGACTATGTAGACAAGTTCATGTACTATGCAAAACATTCGGGAGATACTGGTCTTTGGTGTATGTTATGGGCTGAAGTTGGTCTCATTCCTTCCCATCCAATTTCATATGTTGGAGTCCTAACCCTCAGTTCCTCAGAATGTGACTGTATCTGAAGATAAGAAAGTGGCAATTAAAGTTAGAACAAGGTAATGAAGGTGGGAAACTACTAATAGGAGTGATCATATGGTTTGACTCTGTGTCCCCACTCAATTCTCATCTCCAATTGTAATCCCTACATGTTGAGGGAAGACCTGGATGGGAGGTGATTGGATCATGGGGGCGGTTTCCCCCATGCTGTTCTTGTGATAGTGAGTTCTCTGACTAGTATTTGATTTTACAGGCTCATAGGCGGAAGGGACTTGCCTTGTCTCAGATGAAACTTCAGACTTGGACTTTTTAGTTAAGGCTGGAATGAGTTATGACTTTTTAGTTAAGGCTGGAATGAGTTATGACTTTTAGAGACTGTTGGGAAGGCATGATTGGTTTTAAAATGTGAAAAGGATATGAGATTTGGGAGGGGCCAGGGGCGAAATGATATGATTTGACTCTGTGTCCCCACCCAAATCTCATCTCAAATTGTAATCCCCATGTGTTGTGGGAGGGACCTGATGGGAGGTGATTGGGTCATGGGGGTGGTTTCCCCATGCGGTTCTCATGACAGTAAAAGAGTTCTCATGAGATCTGATGGTTTCAAAGTGTAGCACTTCCTACTTCACACTCTGTCTCCTCCTGCCATGTAAGATGTGCCTTGCTTCCCCTTCTACCATGATTGTAAGTTTCCTGAGGTTTTCCCAGCCATGCAGAATGGTGAGTCAATTAAACCTTCCTTTTTTTTTTTTATAAATTACTCAGTATCAGGTAGTAATATGAAAATGGACTAATACAAATGGTGTCCTTATAAGAACATTAGATTAGGACACAGCCACACACAGAAGAAAGACCAAGGAAAAGACAGCCATCTGCAAGCCAAGGAGGGAGGGCTCAGAAGAAACCTGCTCTTGTTCTCAGACATCTAGCCTCCAGAATGGTTAGAGAATAAATGACTGTTTTTTAAACCACACAGTCTCTGGTACTTTGTTATAGCAGCCCCAGCAAACTAATACAATGTATATAGTGTGTGTGTGTGTGTGTGTGTGTGTCTGTGTGTGTGTGTACATATATATATTATATATTTGAGAGTATATTATACATGCATTTAATTATGTTATCTCTGTTGTTGGTCACTAACCCTAAAGAGAGGGCCAAAGATTCTTAACCTCATGCCCAAGTAGCTTGGGACTCCTGATACAAGGCAGGGCAACTCTGGATGGTTTTTTTGTTTTGTTTTGTTTTGTTTGGAGATCATTCTTGTATTGACTATTCTTAAGCCCAGATCATTATTTGTCTAATTTGAACATTCTGATAAGCCCATGTGATTAGAACTGCTGGTGGGAGTGGAAGAGTGCTGCATAGAGGCATAGAGGTCTAATTCAGTTCTTTCAAGTTGAATCTTGACTCAGGTGTTTTCTTCCACTTGTGAAATGCAGAATTTGCAGAACAGTGATCACTAGTGAGAACATCAGTAAGAGCTGCTACCTAGCACAAAAGACAAGGTGGAAACTGTTGAGAAGGTCAAGTAAGTAACACACATATCTTTATAAGTTGGGGCATTATAATTTCACTTTCATATAAGAGAAAAATGGGTTCATAAATCCTACAAATGTTTTTCTGACATATAGAAAGTTATAGTAATGGAGAAATCCAAAACGAAATCTATGTTGGAAAATAGAGCATTAGCTAGCGGATAATGTGATAAGGAGGGAAAATAGTAAATTGAGAAAAGATTAGAATTAGAAGAGGGAATATTGCCAACAACCACGAATCACACTTTAACAGCATGAATCAGCAACCTTGCTAAATTCTCTAATTAGGTCTAATAGTTGAGACCAGGCGCGGTGGCTCACACCTGTAACCCCAGCACTTTGGGAGGCCGAGGTGGGCAGATGACCTGAGGTCAGGAGTTTGAGACCAGCCTGGCCAACATGGTGAAACCCCGTTTCTACTTAAAATACAAAAATTAGCCAGGTGTGGTGGCAGGTGCCTGTAATCCCAGCTACTCGGGAGGCTGAGGCAGGAGAATTGTTTGAACCCGGGAGGGGTTGGTTGCAGTGAGCCAAGATCGCACCATTGCACTCTAGCCTGGGGGACAGAGCGAGACTTTGTCTAAAAAAAGAAAAAAAAAGTTGTTGGTGGAATTTTTTGTTTGCACTTTCTTGGTAGACAATTGTTAACATAGAAGCACAGGTTGGTGCCTTTCTCTTTGAAATCTTAAACTTTTTGTTTATTATTATTATCATTTTTAATCTCATTGCTCTGGCTAAGAATTCTGGAGCAACGTTGGAAAAAAAAAATAGTGACAGTGGACAATTTACCCTGTCCTTGATTGTAATATCTCTAAAATTTTACCAAAAATTGTTTCCGTATATGATTTTCCTATCAGATTTTGCATTATGAGGTCACAATTTTTGGTGTCTTTTTTGTTTTCATAATTTCCCTCTGTAGAATAACCTTGGTCAACTTATTCATTCTTCTACCTGATTTGGTTGCCTGAGCCAACATTTGAACTTCTTATAGAAGTTTTATTTTTTTACTTTTGGCAAAATGTTTCTTGATGCCTTCTGGAAAGTCCTGCATTGTAACATTTGATGACACTGATTTGCTTTTTTACATTTAAGATACTTAGCAATGTGCCCCATGTGCTTAATGTTTGTAGTCCCGGCATCTTGAAAAGTCCCAAAATACAATACACTGCCTACCTTTACTTGCTGAGCGAAAGTAAAAAGGAATTCATGCACAGCCTTGAGCATGAGGAAAGAGTGTAATACTTGGGAAAATTAGGTACATAGGTAACACAGTTTCAACTTTTTGGTGAGGAGGACTTTGAAACTTGACCTTGTATGTTCTTTTACGTTTCTTTTGCATTTAGACTTGAAAAATAGAATTCTGGATTTGTCAGAGTAGGCAGAGGAAAAACAAGCCCAATGAATTCTCCAGTAATCCCTAATCCTTCTTACACTGTTTTCTACAAAACTGTTTTAAAAACACTGCACTCTTCAAATTACAGTCACCTCCTGACCCTAGTAAGAATCACAGATGAGGTAATCTGCTACAGAGGAATAGACTTCTTGCAAGAGTGATTGCTCAGGAGACTGACTTGTAGGGGAGTTGGTTTCCAGTGCTTTGCCCTGCAAAGATTTGTTTAAAGGCCACATTGGGCAGGAATACTTGTGAGGCCTATGAGTACATCACTAAAATATGACCAGTGCCAGAGCATATCAACAGTATTTTGAAAATAGGTTTCACTGAATGGGGTCAGACAACTTGATAACGAAACTATTGTTTGTGAGCAAAGGGTATTGTATTTATGGCATCCAAACTCATAGTGAGTTAATGTATGGGAAGAGGTTGTAATGCTATCCTTTATCTTAGTAGAAATATTATTGGGAAGCTCAACCCCATGTGTGGATGCAGTTTTTAATACCAATTCTGTATAATTTGGGGAATGACTTTTTCAGATTCCACCAATATGAAATATGAGCCTCCTGCCTTGAAATATTATGTGCCAATATAGTAAACACTATATGGGTTACCAAGATGATTTAGAAGTACAAAGTCATGTTTCTCTTACATAACCATGGAAATTAAATTTTCCTTTGAGCAAACCAAATTTTTTATCAAATTTGTCAAAACTCATAGACCTGTACCCCCCAAATTAACTTTAATGCATGTACGTATACCCCAACAGAAAAAAATACAGATTTAAATATATCTGAGAAAATGTCAATATTGACAATGCATTAATAAAATTATAGCTTATATATGTAGGTACTTCTTAAATTTTATTACATTTTTCTCTATCCTCAATGTAGAACACAATTCCTAACTCCCATCTTGGGACTCAAAAACTGATGCCCCAAAATATGGTGTCTTGACATGCTCAACTGAAGACAAAGCCTCAAGGTCTCTCTGACCTCTTCGCTGCCACCATCTCTTCCAAAGAAGTTGAAGTTCCTTTATCTGCCCAAGATCCGACCCAGCAAGGAGAGCAATTTTTTTTTTCTTCCCACTCCTGTAAGACCAAGAATGTAACCACACCTGAGCAGACATTTTCACTGTCAAAGAGAACTATTTACAAGTTAATTACTGTTCCTGCATCCATTCATTCTCCCTAGTATCCCCTCAATAGAACTCCTCTTCTCCCCTCTCCCACAGCCTGTTTAGCAAGGATGATATATAAGTTCCCGAACCCCACTGGGGTGTTGGGTCTTCATTCTGAAAGCTTCCATGTATAATCATTAAATAATTGTGTGAGCCTTTCTCCTACTAATCTACCTCATGTCAGTGATTTTTCAGCGACCCTTCAGAAGGCAAAAGGGAAGATTCCTCTTGGTTTCTCTACATTCCTATTGGCCAAATTCAATTACCACTACCAGGATAGTGACTCTTTGTACTAAATTTAATAGGATTCTTCCCCACTCCCTGTATCTGTCAGAGTTCTCCAGACAAATAGAATCAAGAGGAGATACATACATATATATTATACATATTATATATATATGCAATTTATATTTATTATGAGGAACTCGCGTACATGATTATGGAGGCTGAGATGTCCCATGATCTGCTATTTGCAACCTGTAGGCCCAGGAAAGCTGGTGGTGTAATTCAATCAGAGTGATGGCATAAATTCCAGTCCGAGGAATTTCCCTAAAAATAATGTTTGATCATTAACTACACCTAGAAAAAAATGTTTAATCTGGGCATCCCCAGAATCATCACGATTCCCCAATTCATGTCCACCTGGAGCCTCAGAAAGTGACCTTATTTGGAAATAAGGTCTGTGCAGATATAAGTGAGGAAGTTAGGATAAGGTCCTACTGGATGATGGTGTCCTTCTAAGAAAAGGAGACAACACACAAACACAGGCAAGGATGCAGACAAAGGCCATGTGAAAGTGAAGCAAGGCTGAAGTGATGCAGATGGAAGCCCAGGAGCACCAGGGATTGTATGGAGCCATTGAAGCTGGGGAAGGGGCAAGAACAGATTCTTCGCTAAAGCCTTCAGAGAGAGCAAGGCCCTGCCAGTAACTTGATTTCAGACTTCTAGGCCCCACAACTGTGGGAGACAAAATTTTTGTTTTTTTAAATGACCAGTTTATAGTAATTATGTGTTATGGTTGCCTTAGGAAACTATTACAATTCCCTTCTTGCCCAAAGGAACTGGGGGACAGTAGCAACTTGCTGTGTCCCCTGTTGGAAGTGTTTCCGTTTTGGGGACCAGGACTCCTGAACCTGCAGAACCCAGCATTACAAGGACAGAAGGCACAAATTCAAAACACAAAACAACGACAATAACAACAAAAACCCAAAACAGCAAAAAAGCTGATGTTTTTCACCTTTGACTCCTGAACACGTGTATTCTTCCCCAGGGCAAAGCAATGTATCTAAAGTCCTTTAACTCAAAATCTATACTGGGTCCTGGGAGAAGATCATCCATCCTTGGGGCATACCAGCTCTGAGCAGGCACTGCGAACTGTGCCTTTGCCCAGACTACCATCAACTCTCTGACCATCCACTTCTGGGTGGTGGAGAACATGATAAAACTAGCTGATGTGGGCCTATTCTTGTGCTTCTTTTCTGTAAAAAGGATCCTCTGGTCATACCTTAGGTTATGTGAGATCCCCAGTTGCCAGAGAGGTTCTGGCTGAGGCAAGTACATGGAAGAAATGAAGTATTTGTATTAAAGTATTATTTTGCCTCAATAATAATTTAATAAAATAATGACCTGACTTTTACAAAATGTTTTTCCACACATATGAGAATGACAAATATAAAATATATGCTGTCTTTAGCTGTCTTATTATATTGTGCCTGTCTTTACTAGACTCTCCTCTTTCTGGTCCCCTGTTAGAACTATTATTTCTTCATTACAGTAATCATCATTCAGGAGTTTTATGTGATGATAATGGGTTCAGTACATGCTAGTCTATGCCTCTGATCTAAAATTTGCCTGAATTCAATTCAGTCAACATTTATTAACTAACAACATAACAACGGTGTTGGGAAGGGAGTGTCCATTTCAAAGTTGTTCCACTTAAGAAAATGAAACAAGTTATACTATTTATCTTTTTCTGTATAACCAGTGGTCACAATATTTTATGACTTAAGACAACAATAATCATGTATTAGTCTGTCCTAGTTTCTGCAGGTGAGGGTTTAAACAGGATATAGTGAGAACAGCCCATCTGCTCCAGTTTTGGAGCCTCAGTGGACGATGTGGAGGCAGGGTGGCAGGGGATTCGAGGCTTATTCACCCGTGGGGTGGGGGTTGACACTGGCTATTGGCTGAAGCCTTGGCTGGCACTGTCAGCTGGGCCACCTCACTGTGGTCTCCCCATGTGCACTGGGCTTCCTCATACCACAGTGGCTGCTTCTCTGACAGAAGGAGAGCAAGAGCACACAAGCCAAACAGGAAGAAACTGTGTTCTGTAAGTGACCTGGTTTCAGAAGGTAGGTGGCTTCATTTTGATGTACTCCAGTCATCTTGGGAGTCAGAAGTACCGAGCAGTTTCAGCAGGAAAACACATAGACTTTGTTATGGTTTGACTGTGTCCTCATCCAAATCTCACCTTGAATTGTAGTTCTTATAATCCCCACATGTCATGGGAGGGACCCAGTGGGAGGTAATTGAATCGTGGAGGTGGTTACCTCCATGCTGTTCTCATGATAGTGAGAAAGTTCTCAGGATATCTGACGGTTTTATAAGGGGCTCTCCCCGCTCTTTGCTCTGCACTTCTTGCTTCCACCATCTGAAGAAGGATGTGTTTGTTTCTCCTTCTACCATGACTGTAAGTTTCCTGAGGCCTCCCCAGCCCTGCAGAACTGTGAGTCAACTAAACCTCTTTCCTTTATACATTAACCAGTCTTGGGTATTTCTTCATAGCAGTATGAAAATGGACTGACATAGACTTCCTGTTCTGTGAGATGAGTGTCAATTTCACTGTAAGGACAGATGTGAGATGGGATAATGTATTAGCGTAGCCATCATTGAAAATGGCCACAGGAATGAATGAACCCACATTCAATATACATTTGCTCTGTGTCTGACACTGCGCTGAGTGTTGTAAGCATATTTCTTATTGAATCTTTATAGTACCTCTATGAGACAAGTACTAAGAGACCTTTTCTCATCTGCATGATGTCACATGTAAATACTTGACTTATATAAAAATATCTGAGGTTGCCAAATAGTTTGCATTCCAAGCCTCCTACCCAAGGCTAATAGTGAGGGGAGCTATAGGAGTCTTGCCCTTTTTAAAATTTCTGTTCACAACATAAGAAAGGCAAGACACAAACATGGCAAGTACATCTCTGATTAATTCTTACTTTTTATTTCAGACTTATTTTTATTAGATTCAATATAAGTGTATGTGGTGAGGGTTTATAATTAATTTTGAAAAGGGAGATGAGTTGAATTAAAAATTACATTTTTGTCAGAGATGCCATTAAGTGGAAGACTTTTTTTATGACTCTGACTAAAATGTTAGTTTTTAGTATCACAAGATTATGATAGCATGTTTTATCTAAAAAAAGCTAGACATCATTTGGGTAGACTCCCTTGTTTAGTATCTGAAGCATAAAGAAGAGAAATTATTTGTCCGAGGTCATAAGAGGTAGGATGAGACCTCAGACTCAAAGGTATGCTTTACTTCTAATTTATTTTCAATTAAATATTTTTTAGATAAATGAAGTATTCTGTAAGGATATTATGTGGATATTGACCACCTCCTATTATTTGCTAGATTCACTATTAAATAACAGAGGAAACTTGTTGAATAACATTATCTGCCTTCAGTAAAAAAAATTTAGAAATTAAAATGTTGTGATAGAAGCAGAATGCTATGGGAAAATAATTATTTTCATATAATGATATTGAAATGATTTCATATAATTCATATAATGATTTTCATAATAATGAAATGCAGTTAATATTATAGATTTCAGTATGTAACTCAACAGAGTATTTAAAAACCAGAGTAACACTGGATCCTCTGTTAGTACACGGTTTAAATCTTTGGAAAAAAACTTTTTTTAATGTATGTGCAGATATTTCTGAATTTTGGGAGCAGCTTCATCAGAACCAGTTTATCTTGACTATTAAGCAGCAATTGAGTAGAAAATTTCTCCATATCAGAAATGTTTTATCTTTGCAAACATATTGTTTTCCCAAAGACACAGAAAACACTTATGGCCATTTTTATTGCTTGTAGTGAAAAAAAAAGGAAAATAAGTAAACACCACAATTCTGAAAAACAAGCAGTATATAAAACAATCAAGTACATATATACTTCACACATGAGAAAAATTATGGATAACCATGGGATATTTTTGAAAACTTTATAAAATAGCAGTCTTATAAGACTGACATATTATTTATTTAAAAAATTCAAAATTAACATTAGCCATAGAAATACTTTCTCTCTTAAACCTACACAGATTTCTCTGATATAAAACATAAAGCAGGCAGGAGATAGATTTTTTTTCGTATTTCTTGCACATGATCTGTTAGAATTCAGTTTATTTTATTTTAATTGAACTATGAAGAAAATACTGGTTTTAAAAATTTGAATAGATTACCAGGAAATGCTAATATTCATTTATGAATATTAATGTGTCGGCATGCATGAAAGTCTCATTAATCAGACAACTGGCACATGGTTGAAATGTGTAGATTGCTACTGTGTGTATCCCTGATGTTATATGATCAAAAAAGTTGAAAACTCACAACTTGAGCTCATGTATAATTACCCAAACTTCTTGAGTTTTGTTATGGACTGAAATATGCCCCCCTAAAATTCATATTGAAAATCAAAGCCCCCCCCGAGGCTGCTAGACGTAGGCGTTAGGCATGTCCCACCCACCCGCCGCCTCCCACCGCACCTCGGGGACACCAGAGCTGCCGACTTGGAGATTCCTGGTCTGTGAAGAGTCGGTGGTGCCAGCAGGAACCGGGCTGGGCCTCGTGCGTCCGTGGGGTCTGCGCTTGGTCTTTCTGTGCTTGGATTTGCATATTTATTGCATTGCTGGTAGAGACCCCCAGGCCTGTCCACCCTGCTAAGACTCCTCAGGCAGCGTTTGGGTCCCGCACTCTGTCCACATTTCCCCGATGTCCCCTGCGGGCGCGGGCAGCCACCCAGGCCTGCTTGCTGCGGCCCCCTCTCGGCCAGGCATTGGCTCAGCCCCCTGAGTGGGAGGTCATGGGCCAGTCCCCGAGGAGTTGGGCCCCTGCACAGTGCCTGGCCACACCCATGATGCAGGGCTGGCCTCCAACCCTGCGGACCGCGCCAGGCACCAACTCCGTGTTTGGTGTCTGTCTGTGTTTGTTTTCAAGAAATGATTCAAATTGCTGCTTGGATTTTGAAATTTACTGTAACTGTCAGTGTACACATCTGGACCCCGTTTCATTTTTACACCAATATGGTAAAAATGCTGCTCTCAGCCTCCCACAATTAAACCGCATGTGATCTCAAAAAAAAAAAAAAGAAAAAGAAAAGAAAAGAAAGAAAATCTAAGTCCCAATCCCCAATGTAATGGTATTTGGAGAAAGGACCTTTAGGAAGGTAATCAAAGTTAAATGAGATAATAAGGGTGGGGCTCTGATCTAATGGGATTGGTGTCTGTATAAGAGGAGGACCAGACTCTGGGGAGTGCTCTGTTTCTCTGCTTCTCTCTCTCTCTCTCTGCCTCTATCTCATGTGGACAGAAGAAAAGTCATGTGAGTACACAGTGAGAAGGTTACCATCTGCAAGCCAGAAAGAGAACCCTTACCAGAAACTGACCTTGCTGAACCTTGACCTTGGATTTCTAGTGTCCAGAAGTGTGAGAAAATAACAGTCTGTTGTTTATGCCACTAAGCTTGTGGTATTTTGTCATAGCAGGGTAAGTAGACTAATACAGGTTTTCTCTTCAGTTATTCAGAATAACTGGGAAATTGGAAAATAAATTCTCATTTTCAGGAAAAATACATCTTTTTTTACAAGTGTGATTTTCTCATAGTTAGAATTCATGAATTGCATTCATATATTATATAACAGTAACTAGAAGAATATGAACTGGTGTTTAAAGGGAAAAATAAGTTAAAGTAAATGGTGCACAGAAATAGGATTCTTCAGCACAACATTGGAAAGAGGAGACTAAGCTAAAAACATCAATGAGGGTGATGTCAGCAAGATGGCAGAATAAGAAGTCTCAACTCTCTTTCCCACATGGAAACACCAATTTAACAATGATATATGGACCAAATATCATCAGTCTATGTACCTTTATGAGAGGGTCAGAATCCAGTTGAGAAACTGCAGGCTTCTAGATAAGCACAGAGCTGAGAATGGCTATATTGAACCAGGTAAGAGCAATTTTACTTTACTAGTGTCAGCTCTTTCTCCAAGCCAGCATAGCTCAGCACCAAGAGAAATGGGCTCAGCCTACAACTTCTCCCTCATGGATGCAGAGAGAATGGACTGTGCTTACAACAACCCTGGCTTTTTAGTTCACTGCCTAAAGAAACAGATTCTGTCTTGCCTCACATGGAGTTCTGAGAGAACTGGCATACTTCAGATGTCCAGAGATGGTCAAGGACAGAGAAAAAGCGGTGGGGGCTTACTGCTGCTGGCATGGCTCTGTGAGATAGGGAGAAGGAGCTTCTTCACAGAGAATGATGGATAGAAATGTAGTATGCCTCCAATGTTCCAGCCTGTGGTACAGGGGTCAGATACCAGAAGGAGTAAGAGATTGAAGCCTCCTGGAAAGAAAAGAAAAAAGGAAAGGAAAGAAAAAAGAAAGAAGGAAAGAAAGAAAGAAAGAAAGAAAGAAAGAAAGAAAGAAAGAAAGAAACTAGTAAATCTGTCTACTTACCTATGCATTCGTTCAGAAAATACACATCCATGGAAGGGTTTGAGAAGCTCCCAGAATCTCTCCCAAGGCTGACTGATGAAGGTCTCCCTCTGTCTGAGTCAGTCTATAAGGACTGGAAAAAGCAGCTATTTCTGCAAATGCACAAACACCAACACAAAGCTACAAGGACCATGAAGAATCAGGAAACAACGATACAGCCAAAGCAGCAGAACAAACCTCCATTAAATGACCCTAAAGAAATTGAGATCTATTAATTGGCTGACAAATAATTTAATACAATTATCTTGAAGCTCAATGAATTATAAGAAAACAGACAACTAAACAAAATCAGAAAAATAATACATGAATAAGATAGAAATATTAACAAGGGGGTAGAAGCTATCAAAAAGAACCACGCAGAAATTCTGGAGCTCAAGAATATAATAACAAAACCAAAAACTTTAATACAGAGCTTCAGCAGCAGATTTTATCAAGCAGAAGAAAGAATCAGTGAACTCAGAGAGTGATCATTTGATATTGTTTAGTCAAAGGAGCAAAAAGAAAAAAGAATGAAAAAGAGTGAACACTTAAGGGAATTATTAGACCTAATGAAGTTTTTATTGTTCAAATTTTTATTTTAATGCATTATAAAAGTTTCAGAAAGGAGAAAGAGGGAAAAAATCTTATTTAAAGAACTAATGGCAAAAAACTTCCCAAGTTTGGGAAGAAAAACGGACATCCAGATTGCTGAAGCTCAAAAGGCCCCAAAAGTATGAACACAAAGAAATATACACCAAGACACATTATAATCATATTGTTAAAAGTCAAAAACAGTGGGAGAATTTTGAAAGATGCAAGAGAGCAATAACTTGGCATGAACAAAGGGGCCCCAAAGACTACTAGGAGATTTCTCAGCAGAAACCTTGTAGGCAAGAAGAAAGTGTAACCATATATTCAAAGTGATGAAAAAATTTGTCAACAAAAAATACTATACCTGGCAAAATTCTTTTTCAAAAGTGAAGAGAAAATAAAGACTTCCAGAAAAAAACAGAAGTTGAAGAAGTTCATTACTACTAGACCTGCCTTACAGGAAATGCTAAAGGGAGTTCAAGTTGAAACAAAAAGGACAAATATGAAAGCATATGAATGTATAAAACTCCCTGGTAAAGGTAAACATGTAGACAAACACAGACTACTGTAATACTTCAATAGTGATGTGTAAATACTTTTGGTTTTAATATAAAATTTAAAAGAAAAAAGTAGTAGAATTACTACAACTACAATAATTTACAACATGAAAAGCTGTAAATTGTCACATCAATAACAAAGTGTATTGGAGGAAGAATTAAATGTGTAGCATTTTTGTATGCAATTGAAGTTAACAGCATAAATGTAAGCCTAATGGTAATCACAAAGAAAATACCTATGGAAGATACACTAAAGGAAAAGAGAAAGGAATCAAAATATAGCCTGAAAATTCTTCAAATCACTAAGGAAGATAGCAAGAGAGGAAAAGAGGAGCAAAAGTACTCCAAGACAGACAAAAAAGAATTAACAAAATGACAATAAGTACTTGCTTATCAATGATTACCTTAAACATAAATAGATTAAATTTATCAAAATCAAAATACATAGAGTGGATAATTTTTTAAAAAACAAACCATTTTCAACTATATGCAGTCTATAAGAGACTTATTTTAAATTTAAAAAATATATAGAATGGAAGTGAAGGGGTGGAAAAGGATATTGCATGCTAATGACAAAAGAAAGCAGGGGTCATGTATTTGGCCATTCTTGCATTGCCATAAAGAAATAACTGAGACTGGGTAATTTATGAAAAGAAAAGAGATTTAATTGGCTCATAGTTCTTCATGCTGTACAGGAAGCATCCTGGAATATGCTTCTGGGGAGAACTCAGAAAGCTTTCAGTCATGGTGGAAGGCAAAGTGGAAACAGGCATATCACATAAGAAAGCAGGAGTGAGAGAGAGAGAGAGTGGGGGTTTGGCGATGTCACACACTTTTATGTGACCAGATCTTATGTGTACTCGGAGCAAGAGCTCACTGATCACTAAGAGGATGGCCCAAGCTGTTTATGAGGGATCTACTCCCATGATCCAAACAACTCCCACCAGGTCCCTCCTCCAACATCGAGGATTACATTTCAGCATGAGATTTGGACAGGGGCAAATATCCAAACTATACCAGGAGGCTATACTTATATATAATGGACTTTAAATAAAAAACCGTCTCAAGAGACAAAGAAAGTTGTTATATAATGATAAAAGTGTCCTGTTGTCAGGAAGATATAACAATTATAAATATATATAATATATATATATACATATACATATATCCAATATTGAGCATATGTATATATAGCAAACATTGATAAGTCTAAAGGAAAAAAATGAATGGCAATATAATATTTGTAGGATAATTTAATATCCTATTTTCAGAAATAAGGAAACAGTGGAGTTGAACAGATCCGTAGACAAAATGGATCTGATATATATTGTATTGGTTTGTTTGGGCTGCTCTAATAAAATATCATAGATTGCATAGTTTATAAACTATAGACATTTATTTCCCAGCCTCCTTCTGGAGGATAAGAAGTCCCCCATCAAGGCACTGGTAGATTCAGTGTTTGGCAAGCGCGGATTTCCTGGTTTATAGAAGGCAGCATTTCACTGTGTCCTCCCATGACAGAAGGGGCGAAAGTCTCTCTGGGGTCTCCTTCATAAGGGTACTAATCTCATTCATGAGGACTTCACCCTTATGACATAATCTCTTTCCAAAGACCCCACCTCCTAATCATTTTGGGGGCTAGAATTTTAGTGTGTAAATTTGGGGGTTACCAACAGTCAGACCATAGCAAGACATATAAGAAACATTCTACTTCACATCCGCAGAACATATACTTCTCAAGAGCACTTAGAGCATTCTCCAGGATATATCACAGGCTGGTTCACAAAGGAAATCTTAACACATTTAGGAAGATTTAAATCATGCCAAGTATGTTTCCTGACTACCATAAAATAAAACCAAAAATCAGTAAGAGAAGGAAAATGAAAAAAAAAACCCACAAATATGTGGAAAACGAACAATATACTCTTGAACAATGAGAAATAAAAATGAAATCTTAAGGCCTCCAGCTGACTGAATGGACCTCCTCTTGGCCTAGGGGACCCTAGCAAAACCTTGAAAACAGACTTTGTGGCCATGACAGTATGGGAGGTCATTATACCCCCTTCCTCACTAACCACCTTTACCCTTTCTTCCCTAAGGGTTAACCTGAAACCAGCCCTTTGGAAAGGCTCACTACACTACTATATCAACCAGCTGCCTGATTCTGCCCCTCCCATTTGTGATTTCAATAAACTGTCCAGTATTCCTTCCCAATAAGAGACCACTGGCCACAGAGTGGTTCTGCCAGTCTATGGGGGATGTGCAGTGAGGGTTTCATGTCCTCTGCTTTACCTTTTGATGTCAAAGGGCTGAAAACTCCATCCCAGAATCATGCTAATGCCACCATTTTTTGAACATGGGTCCCATGGTGAAGCATGAAGCTCGGCTGAACATCTGCATTGTTCTCCTATCATAAATACTCATGACTTCTCCTATAGCTTATTGAATATGGATATTTGGCCACCACATTCAGCATAAATCCCTGTCTTATTCTTTCTACCCTGAAAGGGTCTGTTTCTGGCTTCTGGGTGGAGATTACCTTTCCTAGCCTGTCAGAATGGCCACCTTGCAGGCTGCAATCATTTTTGAGAAATAAAGCTCTCCTCTCCAAGTTTTTGAACCTCATCATTCCTCAGTGGACACAACCTATGGGTCAGAGAAGAAATAAGCAGGGAAATTAGAAGGAATCTCAAGACAAAAACAAAAACAAAACACAATATGCCAAAACTTAGGTGATGCAGCAAAAATAGTACTGAGAAGTTTGTAGTAATGAATGCCTACATTAACAAAGAAGAAAGATCTCAAATAAATGATCTAAATTTATGCCTCACAGAATTAGAAAAAGAGCAAATTAAACACAAAGTTAGCAGAGGGTAAAAATAACCAATATTAGAACAGAAATAAAGCAGATTAAAAATCAATAAAAAAACTGCAGTTAGGAGTTGACTTTTTGAAAAGATATGAAAATTCGACAAACCTTCATCTAGACTAAGAAAAAGGAGAGAAGAGTCAAACAAATAAAATCAGAAGAGGAGACATTATAACTAATGCAACAGAAATTAAGATCATAAGAGATTTCTATTTAAGAAAGTGTATGCTAACACATTGGAAATCCTGGAAGAAATTAATGATTTCCTAGAAACATACAACCTACCAGACTGAATCATGAAGAATTACAAAATCTTAAACACCATGTCTTGGTCAATTTGGGCTGCTATAAAAAGGGCCTTAGACTGGGTAATTTACAAGCAAAATAAAGGTACCGCTCACAGATCTGGAAGCTGGGAAGTTCAAGGTGCAAGCATTATTGGTGTCCGGTGAGGGTTAGCTCTCAGCCTCATAGATGGCACCTTCTTGTTGCATCCTCACACAGTGAAAGGGGCAAACAGGCTCCCATAGGCCTCTTTAATATGAATACTAATTCACCATTCATAAGGGTGAAGCCCTTGTGATCTAATCACTTCCTAAAGCACCACTTTTAATAAAATTGCATTAGGGATTAGGTTGCAACAAATGAATTCCAGGGGAGCCAAACATTCAGACCATGGCAGAGCAATAATGAATAATGAGATTGAGCCTGTAATCAAAATCTTCCAACAAAGAAAAGCTCAAGACTGTATGCCTCCATAGGTTAATGCTGCTGAACACTCAAGAAAGAATGAACACCAATCTTCCTTAACTTATTTCAAAAAATCTAAGAAGAGGAAAGATTTCCAAACTCATTTTATGAGGCTAGCAGCACCCTGATACTAAAGCCAGATAAAGTCACTACAGGAAAAGAAAACTAAAGGATGATAACCCTGATAAACATAGTTGCAAACACCCTCAACAAAATACTATCAAACTGAGTTCATCAGCATAGTTAAAAGGGTCATACACCATGACCAAGAGGTATTTATCCCCGGGCTTTAAGGGTGGTTCAATATATGCAAATTGATTAATGTGGCACACTGTAACAGAATAATGTAATGCAACAAAATGAAGGATAAAAATCATCTGATCATCTGATTATCTCCATAGACTGCAGAAAAGCATTTGATAAAATTCAATATCCTCCTTGATAAAAACTCTCAACAAACTAAGTATACAATTAACGTTAACATAATAAAGCCCCAATGTGAAACACCTACCACCAGTATAATACAATATTCAATGTAAAAAACTGAAATCATTTCTTCTAAGATCAGAAAGAAGGCAAAGATGGCTATTTTAGTCACCTGTATGCAAGATAGTATTGGCAGTCTTAGCCAGTGTAATTGCTAAGAAAAAGAAATGGCATCCAAATAGAAAAGGAAGAAGTAAAATGATTTATGTGTGCATATGACATGATCTTATATGTGGAAAACCCTGAGGACGAAACACACACACACACACACACACATCCCACACACAGACACACACACACACACACGCACAAACTGTTAGAACTAACAAATGAATTCAGTAACATTTCAGGATTACAAACTCAACATAAAAGCCATGTTACTATTAATGACTATCTGAAAAGGAAACTTAGAAAACAATCATATTTAGAATGACATGAAAGATACTCAGAAATAAATCAGGGAGGTGAAAGACTTTGCCTTGGTCCGTTCAGGCTTTTATAACAAAATGCCTTAGACTGAGTAATTTATAAACAACATAAACTTATTGCTCACAGTTGTGGAGTTTGGGAAGCCCAACATCAAAGCAGCAGCAGATTCGTTGTCTGGTAAGGACCTCTTTCTCAGAGATGGTATCTTCTTGCTGCATCCTCACATGGCAGAAATGGCAAAAAGTCCCTCTCACTCCTCTTTTGTAAAGGCACTAATCCCATTCATGAGGGCAGAGCCCCTATGACCTAATTACCTCTCAACTGTCCCACCTCTTAATTTCATCACATTAGGGATTAGACTTTAACACATAAAGTTTGGAGGAACACAAATATTCGAACCATACATAACAGGCTTGTACACTGAAAACTGTAATGCATAGATGAAAGAAATTAAAGAAGATACAGAAGACAGAAATAAATACAAAGACGTGTGATCATGGACTGGAAGACTTAATATTGTTAAAATGTTCATACTGTCTAAAGCAATCTACAAATTCAGTGCAATCACTATCAATATCCCAATGGCATTTTGCACAGAAATAGAAAAAAAAATCTATCCTGAAATTTACATGAAAATAACAAACTAAAAACCCCAATTAGGCAAAGCGATCTTGAGAAAGAAGGACAAAACTGGAGGCATCACACTTACTGATTTCAAAATATATTTAAAAACAAAACAATGTGGTGTGAGCATTAGAAACAGACAAATATACCAGTGGAAGAAAGTCACAATCCCAGAAATAAACCCACATATAATGTCAACCGATCTTCAACAACGATGCCAGAAATATACAATGGGGAAAGGATAGTCTCTTCAATTAATGGTGCTGGGAAAACTGTACATCCACAGCCAAAATAATGACACTGGATCCTTGTTTTACATCATACACAAAAATCAACCCAAAATAGATTAAAAATTTAAATGTAATACCTAAAATTGTAAGACTTTTAGATAAAAGCATAAAGGAAGAGCTCCTTGAGATTGGTCTTTGCAATGATTTCTTGGCTATGACACCAAAAACACAGTACAAAAGCAAAAATAGGTAAGTGGCATTTTATCAAAGTAAAAAAGTTACTGCAAAGCAATGGAAACAATAAACAGAGTGAAAAGGCAGCCTATGGAGTGAGAGGAAATATTAGAAAACCATATATCTGATAAGGGGTTGATACCAAAAATATGTAAGGAAATCCTACAACTCAAGAGCAAAAAAACAAATATCTAGATTAATAAATGAGCAAAATACTTGAATAGACATTTCTCCAAAGAAGGCATAAAAATGGTCAACAAGTAGATAAAAAGATGCTCAACATCACAAACCATCAATGCAATTCAAAAGTGAAAAATACAATGAGCTATCACTTCAGACTTGTTAGGATGGCCATTATCAAAAAATGACAGATCACAGGGGTTGCCAAGGATGTGGAGAAATGGGAAGCCTTCTATACCGCTGGTAGGAATATAAAATGGTTCAGCTACTATTGAGAAAAGTATTGAAGTTCCTCGGCATATTAAAAATAGAACTACCGTATGATTCAGCAGTGTCACTTCTGGGTATATATATGAAAGAAATGAAATCAGGATCTAGAAGAGATATCTGCACTCCCATGGTCACTGCAGCATTATTCACAATAGGTAAGACATGGAAACCACCTGAGTGTTTACTTACAGATCAATGGATAAAGAAAATGTGGTGTGTACATACAATGGAATATTATTTAGCCTTAACAGAGAAGGAAATCCTGACATTTGCAACAGCATGGATGAACCTGGAGGACATTATGTTAAGGGAAACAAGCCAGTTACAGAAGGACAAATGCTACGTGATTCCAATGATATGAGCTACCTAAAATAGTTAAACTCACAGAAACAGAGTAGATTCATGGTAGTAGGGGTTACACGGAGGGAGAAATGGGAAGTGTTAGTCAATGAATCTAAAGTTATATAAGATGAATAAGTTCTAGAAATTTGCTGTACAGCACTGTACCTGTAGGTAAGAATACTGTATAGTACTGTTAAAATTTTCTTTACAAAAAGGAAAACAATCAGGTAAAGAGCCTATAGTCATTGTAAAATAAAAATCAGTCTCTTGGTTTTGCATTTTTAACTAGCAGGTAACACAATGAAGAGATTTTTAAAAGAAGCTTATAATTTAAAAACCTGCCTATTGTTGCTGGAAATTCACATTGAATGGCATTGTCATATATGTTATTTATAGGTCTGCTTCACTCCTATTAACATGTTAGCTCACCTTACTAACTTGCCTCACCCATGATCAATTAAATTTTCAGTCTCCAGGTAAATCTTGTTCTCAGCAGACAACATACTCTCAGTGAGGCTCAGCAACCAATGATGGATAAGCTCTGACTCAGATGTGTTCTCCTCCCTCAAGCTTTGCTGCACCAAGCCTGCCCACAGCTAAAGGAATCTGATGTTACTCTAGTTCACTCTACACAGTCACTTAGCAGGCTGGTCATTCTCAGCCCACTGAAGCATGTGAGTGGAAAGGGGTTGTGAGCAGCCTAAAGAAAACAGTGGCATTATTGTTGCTTAATAACAGAAACACATAAAAGAGAATGAGGAAAACTTCAATGTCACAAAGTTATTTTCATTAGAATAAGCAATATATGGAATTTAGAGTTGGGATACTATTTAGGTGATAAAAGTAGGAATGGTGCTTTCAACTTCATATATTTTTAAAATATCACAGGCTATTAATACCAGGTCTATATGCCTCTTTTATGTGTAAAAGACATAAATACATTTGTTGTTAAAATATAAGAATCTACTTACATATAATTTCTATTGAATGATTTTTTCCTACTCTTTTTGTTTCATAAAAAAACCGTCACCTTTTTATCATACACACACACACACACACACACACACTTTTCATGATATAGGCACACACAAACATTTCTTGTAGCCAATATGTGCTAACAGAGTCATCAAATGATCCCTAGGTATATACTCAAGAGAAATGAAAACCACATGAAAACAAAATGTTCATAGCAGCATTATCATTATTCATAGCCAAAAAGTAGAAACAACCCAAACATCCATCAACTAATGAACAGATAAACAAATGCAGTATAGTCATGCACTAAATAATGACTTTTAGGTTAAGGAGACTGCATATACAAAAGTGGTTCCATAAGATTATAACGGAGCTGAAAAATTCCTACTGCCTAGTGACATCGTAGCTGTCATAAAGTCGTAGCACAGTTATTTTAAAAATGGAATGTAGCATAAGTGTGCAGTGTTCATTAAATCTTCACTAGTGTACAGTGATGTCCTAGACCTTCATATTCACTCACCACTCACTCACTGACTCATTCAGAGGAGCTTCCAGTCCTGCAAGCTCTGTTCATAGTAAGTGTCCTATGTAAGTATACCATTTTTCATCTTTCGTTTCTCTTTTCTTTTTGTTTGTTTTCATTTCTTTTTGTTTCTTTCTGTTTGTATGTTTTTTGACAGAGTCTTGCTCTGTCGCCCAGGCTAGAGTGCAGTGGCATGATCTCGGCTCACTGCAACCTCCGCCTCCCAGGCTCAAGGGATTCTCATGCCTCAGCGTCCCGAGTAACTGGATTTACAGGCGTGCACCACCATACCCGGCTAATTTTTGTATTTTTAGTAGAGACAGGGTTTCGCCATGGTGGCCTGGCTGGTTTTGAACTCCTGATCTCAGGTGATCTGCCCGCCTCGGCTTCCTTAAAGTCCTGGGATTACAAGCATAAGCCACCGTGCCCGGCCCTTATCTTTCATATTGTATTTTTACGGTACCTTTCATGTGTTTAGATACATAAATACTTACCATTGTGTTGCAGTTGCACACAGTATATTCCCTACAGTAACAACACGCTGTACAGATCTGTAGCCTAGGAGCAGCAATAAGGCTAAGCCATATAGCTTAGGTGTGTAATAGGCCACACCATCTAGGTTTGGGTATGTACACTCTATGATGTTTGCACAACGATGAAATCTAATGATGCATTTCTCAGAATGCATCCTCCTCATCAAGTGATGCATGACCGTATCCTCCCGATGGAATATTATTCAGCAATAAAAAGGAATGAAGTACAGATACATGCTGCAACATGAAAATGAAAGTGTTATGCGAAGGAAGCCAGATACAAAAGAAAAAAGTATTGTATGGTCCCATTTATATGAAATGGGGAGAACAGGCAAATTTATAAAGATAGAGAGTAGATTGTTGGTTGCCTATGGCAGGGAGTTGGAGGTATGGAGGGCAATGGGTAGGACTGCAAAAAGTTATGGGGGCTTGTAGGGGGTACTGATAAAAATACTTTAGGTTTAGGTTGTGGTCGACGGTTGCAACAATATATGAATATGCTGAAAACCATCGAATTGTGTGCTTGAAATGGGTAAACTTATGGTTAGTGAATTATATCTCAATAAAGCTGTTTAACAAAATAGAAAACACCAGGATTGCAAAAGGACATTTCATCAGGCCTGTATTAAAGCAGGATTGGTAACTGCTATGATTTGTTTGTCCCCTCGGAAACTCATGTTGAAGTGTGATCTCCAATCTGGTGATGTCTGGAGGTGGGATAGTGGGAAGTGTTTGGTTCATGGGGGTGGATTTCTCATGAATAGATTAATGCTTTCCCACAAGAGTGAGTGAGTTCTCTTTCTGGCTGGACTGAATTAGTTGCTGAAGAAATGAGTTGTTATAAAAGTGAGTCCAGCTTCCTAGACTCTGTCTTGCTTCCTCTCTTGCCATGTGATCTCTTTGCACATGACCACTTGCTTTTCTGCTTCTTTGCCATGTTTTGACTCAGCACACAGCTCTTACCAGAAGCCAACCAGATGCCACGCTATGCTCTTGAACTTCCCAGTATGCAGAACTGTGAGCTAAATAAACCACTTTTCTTTATATATTACCCAGTCTCAGGTATTCTCTTATAGCAACACAAAACAAATACAGTATCTATGGCCTAGATACCAGTGACTTCCTTAAATTTCCCCTTCCCTTCCGTATATCTGTATTTCCCAATGAGCATCTTCTTCACAGTGAACATTAACAAAATACAAGTCCAGACTCTTTCATGTGAAACCTTGATCTGTGCTGGAGCTGCTTCCCCACAGGCAACTCCATCTCCTACATGAGAGGCAGGTGAAACTTTTAATAGGGGTCCCTGAGAAGTAAAATGAAAAATGGTACATAAAAAGCTTTTGACAAAATTGGAGATAATTATGGCTTTATGTCTACTATTCCAATTACAGAGTGGCAAACCTGCATTTTAAAATTGTTCCTTTATATATTATTTCACTATGACCAATGATTCTCCTGGACAATGGAAGATCAAATGCATGATTTATAATTAAAACGTTTCTGTTCTTATGCCAGGAGATGTATATATTGAAATTCAAAAGTATTGCAGCACACTTACAGTGATTCAATATTACAGGTAAAATATATTTCATGTTTCACTTATGACAGGTGCTAATTAAAGCAAGTTACATGCATTAGTTCAAAGAAAATTTTTTTTCATTTTTTTCATTGGCTGGAGCATAATCAGAAATTATCCTATGCCTTTGTTGACATTTAAGAAGGTGTCTTAGAGATTTTAATACAAATACAAAGTGTTTGCAACTGGGAAGTAACTTTAGAAATTATCCATTTCGGTGTTTTCATTTAAAAATGAGGAAACCGAGAGAGGTGAAAGCCCTAAGGTCGTTAGAACTAAGTGGTAAAAAGAATATAAATGCCAGTGTTCCCAGTCCCATCCCATCAGGATACTTTCTTTCAAAACTCACATAAACTAAAATAAACATGTCTACAAAGAGACGACACGATATTCTAGTTCTGTATTAGCCTCTTAATACTTGTGGGTGACGAACTTACTCAAACTGAATCTAACCTTCCTGATTTTTACAATATCTCACCTAAATTCTATGAATTTTGTGATGCTCAGATTAAATTACACAGACAACATGTGCTTCGCAATAGGTATACCAAGAATTACCATTAAATCTACTATTGCCCACGTTGAAATCTGGGATCTAGCAAAAAATCAGCTGTATGATAACAGGCAACTTTCTTAAAAAAAAAAAATCCCTTGCCATCCCTCAGTTTCTTCATTTTTTCACCTAAGGATAGCAACTGTATCTACCTGACAGCATTGTTCCATGAGGATTAAAATGACAGTGGGTTTTGAAAAGTGCTTTGGAAAGCATTTCATACTAAGGGCCCTTTAAGTTGTTTGAAAAGTTATCAATATCATCATCATCAATCATTATCATGATAATCATTATTATAATCAAGGAATTATTTACCAGGTGCTAATGTGTTTATTGGCCTATATGTCTTTTCCACATAAATGATTCAGAAATAAGAATTTCAAGATGGTCAGAACTTTGTGAAATCTGAAAGATCATAATTTATATTCAAATATTTGGATGTAACCTTGATATACAATGAAAATTAGGTCAGCTCACATTTAGTAATTTAAAAAATCACTGTGTGAGAGGAATGTTTTAAATATGCTTTTGGGAAAGATGAAAAAATTCAATCAGTAAAGTAAAACTGTTGAATTTCAGTATTGTTTTTATTAGTATAATTACCACAAAAAACAACATAATCAAAAGGAACACTTGGAACAAATTGTAAATGAGTTAGTATTGTACATTTTCTCTCAATTCCAGAGCAAATATGATTACTAAAAGCAAAGGATATTTTTGACACATACTCTTGTTGTTAACATGGACACTAAACCAAGGTTTATGTAACAATTACAGTTTTTAAATGAAATTAATTTCAGCTTTTATTCAGTTTCAGTTCCAATATACATTGGTAAAAGTAGTCATCGTGACTGAAAATGAGTAATAAGTGACACAGTATCTTTCATAAAAGATTTTTACAATCTTTAAAACCAGTGAGCAACAAATGATAAAAATTTATATTATCTCTACTGGATAATTATCAAGCCATAAGTTTATTTTAATAAATAAATATAAACATGACAATTATAAGTGCATATTTAAAGTTAACTTGCTAGTAAAAATTCAGTAGTATTCCAAAGTCATTATATGCCAGATTTATTTGGCAGAAATGTGTCTGACTCCAGCTTACCTTTTATATCTCATCAGGAAATATGCACCTGAGAGTCATTTTTCCCTTACAGGAGCCTCCTGTGATGACTGAAGAAGCCCTAGCCCTTTTGAAATTGGTGATGTAGAGCTTCATCATTTCCTGTTTAAACCAAGAAAATTGTGTGAGTTGCAAAACTCTAAATAATGGATCACCAGTGAGAATAATATCATTTGCCAGTGACATAAAGTTGATAAGAAAATGTGCTGGCAAAGTGGGGTGGTAGGAATGGCAATTGGTTTAGACATCTTTCCTGTGTTGTCTTTTGGCCCATCTATCCCAGTTTCTTAATTTTACAGATTAAGAAAAATAAAAAATAGAGAAGCAGGAAAGGAAGATATTTGCTCAGAGACTCTCAGGTAGTTAATGAAAGGACTTTGGCGTCCTGTATAGGTTCAAGAACCTGTAGGGTTCTTTCTGCTACCCCATCTTAAGATCACACAAGATGTATGATTAGAATAAATTTTGGAAAAGTACACAGCTGTAAAGCCACTAGCCATTTTATTTCCTAATAGGAGAAAGATTGGAGCTTAGGGAATTAGTGTGATATGTATAACATAAAATGTAAGGAATCAGAGTAAAGGAAACCTTTTTTAGTAGCACATGCCATGGTGCATATAACCAAGAAATAAACATCTACATTGATTAACATGGAAATAAGTAAAATTGGATTGCTAAACCAAGTAATTTAATTTTAAAATTGTAGGATTTTCACATTGCTAAAATGTTAAAAGTATTTTGAAAAGGGAATCATTCGTTACTTATACCCTAAATTCTTTCAAAGAGAAGTAAAGCAAAATGAGAGATACCTGAATTTATATAGAAGCATAAACTATAAGAATAAAGAATGCTGTGATTTGGAGCTTAGACGCCGTAACACTAAATGTAATGCCACATTGTTAAAAGTACCCTGGGTCCAGACCAGTCAGATGCAAATCTTGACCTTACCACTTGCTTGCAGTGTGAACTTGTACAAACTTAAGCTACGCTTGCCTCAAAGAATGGGGATAATAATGAATCTACATACATACACACATAGATCAGAAAAGTGCTTATAGCAATGCTGAAAGTATACCTTGTGTTAGTCTGCTAGCACTGCCATACCAAAATACCACAGTCTGGGTGGCTTAAGCAAAAGACATTTATTTCCCACAGCTCTGGAGGCTGAAAGTTCAATATGAAGATGTTGGTAAGTTCGGTTTCTCTTGAGGCCACTCTCCTTGGCTTGCAGACAGCCACATTCTCCCTGTGTCCTCACATGGCCTTTCCTCTTTCTGCATGCATCCTGGGTGTCTCTTCTTCTTCTTATAAAGACGCAATCACATTGGATTACAGTCCCACCCTAATGCCCTCATCCTAACCTAATGTCCCTCAGGAACATTATCTCTAAAGATGGCCACATTCTGACATACTAGGGGTTGGGATCTCAACACATAAATTTGGGGGAACATAATTCGGCCCATCACATACATCTTGGATCTTCTACCTTGTGGAACATAACTGGCGGAAAGGCCAAGCTGCATCTGAAATGTACAATGCACTTATTCTGAGGCTACACTTCCCACAGGCCAGTGGCTGAGCATCACAGGATCACTCAGGAAGGCCCCTTTGTATAAGCTTAAGAACTCCCTCTGGCTTTGCAGGAATTTTCTTTAAAATGCACTGCACTCTTTCTCCTTCTTTCTCTGTTTCCTTCCTTCCTCCCTCCCTTCCTTCCTTCCTTCCTTCCTTCGTTCCTTCCTTCTCTCTTTCCTTCCTTTCTTTTTTCCCTCCTTCCTTCCTTCGTTCCTTCATGGTTCCACTCTCCATGGAATTTGAACATGCTTTAATTACCATAAATCTATTTTTAAGATGTGTTGAAGCATTTTTGCTGAAGAACTATCAGTAATTACAGTTGCTAAAAAGCAGCTTGATTTTGTTTTCAGCCTGGCGCATATCTACTTTTATGTCAAGTGACCAAGGCGTGTACTTTACAAGAACAATTTTATAAAAGAATTCTGTAAGGTGTCATCATTTACTGAAAAACTACATGACTTTTAGCACCTACATTCTTCTGGAAAGGTTGATTGGTTCAGCAGAAGTCTTGAAAAGTGGTAAGAATTCATCTAAAGTGTTCACAGGTACCTAGAAGCTTTGGTTCCTGGCCCTGTGTTATGTTGATAGGTGGTACATGCCATGAACACATGCCAGACTCAGTAGTCTTTGTAAAGTTTCTTCACCAATGTTGATGGAGATAGTGAACAGTTTGTATCATGATGAGTAGTTTCATAGAGAAATTTATGGAATACCTATTTGAATTCATCTGGTGCCACCATCAGACTATCTTGGGAGTGTCAGAGATTACCTGAGCGAAGGGTTAGACCAGGTAGCTTCAATTCTTTCTTTATAAAATCTCAAACTAAACAATTATTATTGTATAGTGGCTTATTTGGAATCCACCTATAGATTTATCTTTTGGTACTTTAGATAGGATTATAACCTTGGTAAAGACTCGTTTGGCATAATGATCTACTAGATAATTTCTTTTAACTTCCATATTGCCCCTTCTTGCATGGACCTAAACCATTATCATAGTCATCTGTCTAAGAAGTAGGAGTGCCTCTAAAAGTTCCTTAACTATAGTCTATTTTTTTTGGTCGGTGTTGTCAGCTACCTAGAAACCCCTTTGTTTCCAAAGCATCTCCTAATCATGTATTACTCCAGAAGCGTGTTTGTTATCAGTATATATCCCTCTCTGAACTTCGGTGAATGGAAAAGCTCTAGCAAGTGCAGTAAGTTCTCCCATCTGGGCTGATTTTCTCTCAGGTATAAGATTGTATTCTAAAGGAGAGCTTAAATTAGTGAGAGTGTATCCTGTTTAATCCCCTCCAGTTTCAGTTTTGAGGTATGATATTAGATGAAGTTGCTCAATGTAAGCCTCTAATACATCTGGGTGAGATAGTGAAGGTTACCTAACCATGGTAAGGTGATCTTGAGGTCCTCTTTATTATGACGAAGGCAGGAAAGCAGAAGGACTCAGGGTGTTGTAGGACTCAGTAGTTTAACTGAGACCTAGGTCAAGCATGGAGCCTAGAACTAGTTCAGCAGAAATATTGACATGTAATAGCAACTGGCCTAAGACCAAGTGAACAAGTCAAATGAGGCTATAGTAAGCATTTGGGTTTTTTGTTTCCCATGAACCACAGAGGACAAAAAGGCTTGTTCAAACCACTTATGCACAAATAGACAAAAAAGGCTGTTTGCAGTTAACGAAGCCTAGGGAAGAAAGCTTTGAAAAACCTTCCTTAGGTAATAGAAGGCTTGTTCATGTTTTGAATCCTAAAAGAGAGAGTCTCTTATTTAGGACTTAGTCAGTTAATAAAATTGACGCAATTTCAGAAAAAAAAAATTGGCACATGTTGTCTGCAATATCCAGTTAAACCCAGAAATCCTCTCAATTATTGTATTGTAAGAGGTTTAGGAACAGTTCAGTAGTGTTTATTCTATCTGAAGAGAGGCCTTTTTTTTTTCTCCTTAGATAGATCATGGCCTATAATGGACTGTGTTTTGGTAAAATTGTAATTTAGCTTTTGAAACTTTATGTTCTTTCCCACTAAAGTTGAGAGCAAGTAAATGGATTCCTTTTTTATGGGTTTCCTTTTTCTCTCAACAAAATAGGTCATCTACATATTGTGTCAAAGCTGAATCAAAAGAAAATTTAGACCTTCTGTCTTGATTGAAGGTCTGGAAAAAATATGAGGGTGCTTTAGTTAACTTCTAGAGCATAACAGTGCAGGCATATTTTCATTCTCCCCAAGTAGGACCAGAAGATATTTGTTGTCTGCTCTAGGGGCATGCTGAAAAAGAGCACAGATCTGCCACAAGGACTTAAGTAATTTTAGGAATTGACAACAAGGTGATATTTGGATTAGGTACTACTGGGAAGTGAGAAGTGAGAAGTGGGGGCTAACAATTTTATTGATGGCCTTGAGGTTTTGAACAAATACATATCCTTGGCCATTTGTTTTGCAGGTGGTGGTGTTTTTCTTCTTTCTTTTCCTTGTAGAATGGAAGTGTTACAATGTTACAAAGGCTAGTTCAGAGTAAGAGAAGGCCTTTGGATATAAGGCCTTTGCCAATGGGTCTGAGACTTTCTCTTGCTTCTGGCTTCAAGGGATATTGGTGAAGATTGGGTAACAGTTTGGTGAGGTAAAAGATTAATAAGATCTGTTCCAATTATTTTCCCATGTTAGTGTGTGTCCCATAGTGTGTCAGGTATGATGTCAAGATCGCTAATGGAGGTATGCATCAAATGTAATGGAGAGGACAAAGGTATATCAAAGTATAATCTACAACTTGATCATGAACAGAGAAATCCTCTGAAATTTCAAAACATACCTGGAACTTCTGGTGTGCATTTAATATTATGATCTCATTTGAAAAGTAAATCTCTCCCTGTCAAATTTGCAGCTGTGTTATTAGAGAGGCTGAAAGAATGTTTTTAAGTCAAATGCCCAAGTGTTAAAAACTGGGAGATAGTAAAAACCTGTGGGTTATTGAAATACCTCCTACCTGTGTGGTAAGTTTATTCTGAGGAAGAGGAAGGATTTCACATGGAACAAATAGTACCTGTGTCCACCAGGAATTGATGAGGTTGACTAGTTTTATATATATAGTCAATTCAACTTGATTATTTAAGGGTAAGATAGGCATGTTTTTCCCTTGAAGTACAATTATTAATCTGGATGGAGGAAGTTTTTTTTGGCTTGAATTTTCTTTTGTAAAATAAAACCATTATTATTCCACTTTTGTTACAATGTTAACAAGCATCCTTGTCAATACAAGATCAGTTTTAAAATGGGCTATTTTACTGTTTGATCTGCAGGGTAATAATTTTATTTTGGGTCTTGTCTCAATTTTGTTGTAAATCTCTTTCAATGTGTTCTGAGTTAGGTGCAAAATTTAGGAATGTAATGAGAGAAAAAAAAGTTTTCCTGGAAAAGAAGATAACTTAGACTTAGCTGACCCCATAGGAGCTGGCAATGGTTGGTCACTAGTGATACTTGTGTACATTGTGTGTTTGACCCCAAATTTGATAATTGTCTGCCACTAAATGCAGATGTGACTATCTGTGCTTCTTGATAAGTGGAAATGAGAGAGAATGCTTTCTCTAGAACAAAGCCACACTCTTAGAACAAAACAAAACAAAACAAAACAAAACATGAGTTGAAATGGACTTCATTCGGCTTTATTGGTGACCCACTGAAATGTCTGGATGTATGCCAATCTGGTGAGAACTGCAAACTCACTATGGTATGAAGCAAGCTAAACAAGTTTATAGGGACTATGCCTAGGTTATATTGTGTGATTTTGCTTATTATGAAAAACAACACTTTTAGACAGTACAACATAACATAGGAGCACAAGAAATAGTAAACATGAATGAATAGCAATGGCTCAATTCCACCAGGGTGCCGAACAAATGGAAATCAAGGACAACACCTGGGGGTACCAAACTAAAAATAGTTGAGGAACCCATCACAAAGGGACCTGTAATAGTCCGTTCTCATTATTAATATAAATAACTACCTGAGACTGAGTGATTTATAAAGACAAGAGGTTTATTTGACTTACAGTTCCACAGGCTGTACAGGAGGCATGGCTGAGGAGGCCTCAGGAAACTTACAATCATGGTAGAAGGGTGAAGGGGAAGCAAGCACATCTTCACATGGCAGTAGGACAGAGAGAGAAGCAGGAAGTGCCACACACTTTTAAACCACCCGATCTCATGAGAACTCACTCACTGTCATGAGAACAGAAAGGGGGAAGTCCACCCCAAGATCCAATCACCCCCCACCAGGTCCCTCCGCCAACATTAGGGATTGCAATTCAAAATGAGATTTGGGTGGGGATGCAGAGCCAAACCATATCAGAGTCAGACTTCAGACCTGTTCTGTGTTAACACGTTGGCACAGAGTCAACAAGTCTGATATGGTTTGGCTGTGTCCCCACCCAAATCACATCTTGAACTGTAGCTCCCATAACTCCTACATGTGGGAGGGACCTGGTCAGGAATAAATCAATCATGGGAGCAGTTTCCCCCATACTGTTCTCATGGTAGTGAATAAGTGTCATGAGGTCTGATGATTTTATAAGAAGTTTCCCCTTTCACTTTGCTCTCATTCTGTCTTGCCTGCCACTATGTAAGATGTGTCTTTCATCTTGTCATGATTGTGAGGCCTCCCCAGCCACGTGGAACCATGAGTCCATTAAACCTCTTTTTCTTTATAAATTACTCAGTCTTGGGTATGTCTTTATCGGCAGCATGAAAATGGACGAATACAAAGCCCCAGCAGCAAGGCACAAGGGGCTTGCTTGTGTCCTATGCCTGTTTGAAGGCTGGGGTTTGCAGTGATGTGCAGTGTAGATCATTTCTTCATGGGGCTTCCAGGAAAACTCTGGAAATAAGTGAAGCCCACTCAAGTGAGGAAAAAACCCAGAAACTTATCTATTCAGAGCTTGCTAAAGTAAGGGTGTCAGCCACCATTACTGGTGCTAGATAGAGATTCAAAGGCAGGCAGAGGAGTGGGGAGGCTTCATATTGACAAAAATAAAAAGGGAAGCTTTCAGATAGGCTCTGATTGGATGTTGTTGGCATGAGGAAGCTGAAGACAGGCTACCTAGAAGTGAGACATCTCATATGATAGGTTTTGGAAGCATATTTGGCTTTCTCTAGTTAGTCTCGAGTTGGAAGCAGCGGCAACAAATAAGAAAGCTGACTGTCTTTGACCAAGCCATGATTTTTCTGGGCTTATTGTGGTTCAAGTTGTTGTTTGACTTACCGAGATGGTTGCTGCAGAGGTTGTGAGTCCCAGCTTTATTGTCATACGTGGTCATGTGACCTGGCCTTTGTCCATTTGTATGTGGAGTTTCTCCACTTCTATTGTCATTATTAGTGATATCATCCACAGGACATCATAGCCCCCAGTTTGTTACAAAGAAAGAAGCAAACATCAAAGCAGAAACTTCTGGAGCACAGAGTTGACTCCTCTTAATTTGATTATAACACCATATATAAAACCTCTGGCCCAGGTTTTGAGATGATTAAATACCATACATATGTTTGGAAAGTCTGCCTATAAAATCTCTCAAAAGTCAACACTCTGTGTTGCCCTCCAGGAGTTCAGCACAGGGGACGCAGACCTTACAGTAATCTCCCTTGCAAGAATTCCCTTCAAAAGGAAGGACATCTTTGCCCCACTTTGTCATTCCTTCTACACATTTCACTTAGAAGTTCATTTTTTCATGGTTTTACATCTCTATATGAATTTTAAATCCTGGATGGAAATATATCCATGTCTCTTAAATTTGGATGCACGTCTTACTAACTTTTATTCTTGTGTGTCCCATCTGAAATTGCTATCTTTTCCACACTAGGTTTCTTTTCTTGTATTTCCAATTCTTTTGTCCACAAAATGCCCATTCGTTCAGTTTCCAAAACTTGAGACAAGTTCCTAGCCCTTGAAGCACATAGTCTTAGCCCACCTTTGATATCAGCCTCATCATTCCTGGGTCTGGGTGGTGCCAACTTTACCTTTAAACTATATTTGGAAGCTGTATTTTCCTCTTTAGTTCCACTGACACTTCCCTAATTTGGTTTCTCATTAAATTCAGATAGGCTGATGCTCTCCTACACTCCAGCCATTCTCAGTCTGATTCAATGAAACCATTGATGTCAGACTAAATTCTTTAGAGCCATACCTGACCATTTCACTTTTCTGTTGAAAAACTTCACTTATTCCTTTGGTTATATAAAGTAAAGCCTGTATATCCTAGCTTGTGGTGCAATGCACTCTTCATCACCATCTTCTCGCCCTTCCTTTCCCTATTTATAAGCCCATACCATCCTTAATCTGAGCCTCTCATATGACTTTGCATGCTCAGCTCCACATCAGAGGCATCCAAGTCCATGTCCAATCTTTCGTATTGAACAGAAAGCTTTATGAGCAGCATATCTATATTTAATTCATCTTATTTTTAATAACATTTAGAATAATTAATGACATTTATTAAACAATAAAAATTAAATTCTTGAGTCAAAACAAATATATATATGAAATATATATGAAAATCATTTAAAAATGCAATGACAATGGCAAAATGCAAACTTTGATAAAAGGTATGATTATGGCAAAAATTATGTGCTCTAGTACGATAGCGGTCAATTTCTACAGTGAAAATGTTGAATGGAGTTTGGATTTGATGTAAATATTTAATGAATTATAGGATTTTTTTTTTTTACATAGGAATAACACAAAACCCCATGCTAAGAAGAGGAGATAATTTCAGGAAAGTTTTTGATGTGCAGTTACAATGAGCATCTTTATCTAGTTAGATAACAGGGAATCTTGAGTATCATTGGAATTCATCCCTATTTCTCCTCTCTTCTCTCCCTTTCTTCTAGTGTCGAAACAGGTACAAGAAAAATCAATGCTGTGGAGAATAGACCATAAATTAAGTGTCCCAATAATTTGAACATATGATTTAAATTTAAATATTTTGTACTACAGTTGATAAAATGTAGTACTAAAGTTCTAAAAAATAACTGTAGCTCTGCAGCTATGAAAAGAGAATAAAGCAGGATAGAAGTATGTTTTCCCTGCACTTAAGTTCAACAAAAGAGTAAAAGCTTGTTTACTGTGGAAAGTATTGTGAAAAAGAGATTTCACATTATAACTTCAGAGTTTTTCTGATTAGATCCACATTTTACTTTGGCATAAGTGAAATATTTATGAAAGATTGGCCCCATCTTTCTTTTTTTCATTTAGTAACAGCAAAGTATTCCAAAGGGATTCTTCAACTAAACCTTGATTAACCAGAACATTCTTTTGTAAAACAAATGGAAAATCTTGATATTACCATAAAAACAAGAGAATTTTTAGCCTTCCTACAACCCTGGCTTTCTCTTGTATGCTGAAAACCATTACTCTGCCCTCTAATGATTTTGAACATTGCTGGCTCAGGGGAGAGATGAGAAGCCAATTGGATCAATATCTGGAGAGGAAGCTCTTGGGTAAAACAAAATGCATAGCTGTGATAACCAGGATTGTTTTATCATCTTGGGAATTCATAACCAGTAGAATCATGTTCCAGGAAATGTGGAAATGGCTATGACTCACAAGAACCCAGCCAGCATTTACTAAGCTTATTCCATGTATTTTATGAGAATGTGGTCACTTTTCCTAGAGGTAAGAATTGTTTGTAAGCCATGGAACTTCAAATCATTAAGAGTAATTTTCTCTATTGTCCCAAGAAAGGTCAAGTATTAGAGGGCTTATCAGGGGGACAGAACAATCTTTTGGCCTCTGTCAATTAAAGGATACCATGTGTGGTTATTTGCCACTATACATCTATTGAATTGGGAATTGTAGCTATGCTTCCTTCCTAAGATTAATATCTCAATACTTTTGCATAATAGTCTGGAACACGGAATTGTACAGGTATTAGGAATGCTTTCCCACTCTAACCTGAATTAGAAAATGCATTGGCCTAAATTTAACTTGTCTAGGTATCTTTGAGATTTCACCCAGAAAGAATAAAATTCAGATGAAATGCTTCCTCTTTCAGTAGATGCTCCCTGGCTATTCCAGCAATGCAAGGAACAATTTAAATAACCATAACAATCTAGCATGGTTTGCCCATTTCTAGAACATTAATCACATCTCAACTTAAAGTCATTCCCTATCTGACCTCCTCACTAAATCTCTTGGCATATAGACTTCTGCTTTTAACTTTGAGGCAGCACCCACATGCAACTGTGCTTTGCACACAATAGGCACTACCTATGTTTCCTATGCATAAATTTCCAAGTGTTAATTCTTGAGATTTCTCTCACAACTCTCCAAAATGCCATTTATATCGATATAATCAGTATAGGTTTGCTCATATATTTATGGTGTGCATTTTCAGATATTGTTTTATTAATTTTACACATCGTATTTACTTGACTATTCCAAGGCAAACTGTCTTGAATGTCCTATCTTTATTTCACAAATGGCCATTATTAAACTATTTTTTCTTTATATATTGTGATGGCTGGTCCCTTAAGGCAGATGTGTCAGGAGCTCATGTGTTTAAGGAGGTCTAAGATTATGAACAATCCTCAGAGGGAAAATGGGATAATGGACCAATAATTGCTGCTGATTGCAAAAATAGATTTTCACCCTTTCATGAGATAAAAAGAAGCGTTGTGTAATTGCTGTAAATGTGTCCTATGCCTTCAGGAATTGGATTCAGAAGATATTGCGACGTTACACCTGGGAGTCTAAATATGGTTTTGTACTGATTGCTGATTATTATTTTTAGGTATTTGCAATCTCTTGTCTTAATGTGCTACTATATGAATACTCTGATAATACCTTGAAACAATCCCATTAACTCCATTAATGTTTGGCCAGTTTTCATGAGAGGGGTCAGTATGTTTCATGAACTCAAAATTTTATTTTAAAGAAAGGTTACTAGTGTGGTATGCATAGGAAAAAAATGAGTTATCAAACAAATGAATGAGGCAGAAGCCATATTTGTTTTAATGGACTTTGTATCTATTACTGTATGAAACCTTGACAAAATGATGGGAGAATCCGTTAAAAGCAAATCTGGAAAATGAGATACTTGCACAGTTGGAAATGTTGAACAAAAGTTATTTATTTTATAGACAGTGACATTATCTTATAGGTAGCTTACAATTGAATTTTTTTCAAGAAATTTAAGTTGTAATTTTTACTTGAATCTTTATTGTTGGTTCTTTCCTGCAATTTTGGCTATATTTTTTTCAATCTCTGCCATTAGACAAATCTATATTTTCATTTCAAGATCATTTGTGAAGTACTTTGAAGCAAAACAAACACAAACCTAAATAGCCTGAAACGAATTATTATGACTGTTCTCAATACTTATCAACTCATACCAAAATAGCAAGTATTTTGCTGGTAGCATACATTGTATCATTGAACAATAAAGTGAAATTGTAATAGAAATGTATTATATTTTAGTCTCTCTGGGTAGAAATTCAAGTCATTTTACCTTTCTATGCTTCAGGATTCCTGTCAATAAAATAAAGTTTTTTAAAAAATTATTTTGAGGGCAACATTCATACCCACTAATCTATAAGTATAATGAGTATATTTTAGAAAAAAAATCTGATAACAAATAGCTGAGTTACACCATGAGCTGAGAGTATATTTCTTAGAAAACTTCAATCTGCTTTTGAAATAAATAAAAACTATGCCTGTAGTCCCAGCTACTCAGGAGGCTGAGGCAGGAGAATCGCTTGAACCCAGGAGGCAGAGGTTGCAGTGAGCCAAGATCGCGCCACTGCACTCTAGCTTGGGTGACAGAGTGAGACTCCGTCTCAAAAAAATATATATTTTTTAAAAAATAGGAGACACATTTTTATTTTTGGAGATAAAGAAAATTTGAAGAAGATATTTAAAATGTCAGAATCGTTTCAGTTAAGTCATTTCTGAAACAACATTTAGGTATTTCATGTATGACTGAGTCAATTTCCTTTACATTAAGTCCATTTAACAGAGACGGTAGGATTTTAATTGTTTTCTGCAAATATTTTTAAAGGGGGAATTTTAGTACTGTTAGTGTTCATATGTTTTTATAAATGACAATATCAGAATTTAGAATATTTACAGAAAACTAACCAATCCCAATCCATGATTTGTGTGAATGGCGTTAATTTTATGAAATATGGGAGTTCAAATAACACAAAATTTACATACCCTGTCTTGAGTGCTCTATTTATTTCATGAAGGGCCGTTATTAAACTCTTTTTTCTTACATTGTGATGGCTGCTCCCTTAAGGCAGATGCGCTTGGAGCTCATGTGTTTAAATTTACATATGAAATGTTACATAATTTTTTCCTACAAAGAAGTCAGAATTAGCCTTATTTTGGTGATTTCACCTTTGGCATCTAATTAGGTGAGAAATGGCTTTGATTTACCTCTGTCGCTTTGTCAAAGGGAGCATGTAGACCTGGATGTCAAATTCCATTGACAGGAAAAAGGGACAAGACTGGAAAACAGCCTGGAGGCAGAAATATCAGGCACTTGCAAGCCTGATGCTATCTGCTACTCAGATTAAATTCTCTCACATCAAATTCTGCACAACGAATTTTTTTTTATAGCTTTCCTTCTATTACTACTGCTGAAAGCAAGGAAACAAATATATAAATCTCACACCCAAGCTCACAATAGAAAAACAGCACTTCACCAACTTAATTGCATTTCTTTCTACAAAAGAATCACAAGGGAAAACACCAAAAATCTGAGTTTTGTACTCTTGTGGGTAATATTTTTTAAATTTCCCCAATTCTTTCTTTGAAGCTTCACTTTAAAATACCTTATGAGAATAATATTTCTAAGGTTTGGATTTGAATAAAATTATTGAGAAAATTAACCATATACTTGAAATGATAGAGGCTTTTACATTTAATTTTTTTTTTCAGGATATTGGTTTAAAATATGTACTGCCAAGGAGAGAACACTTCTCATTACAGCATCCTTAGAGAAAACCACGAATTTAGGCTGGTTTTTCACAGAGGAGAAAAGATCAATTAACTTGTAATCACTGAAGCGCATATGTTTTAGAAGACTAAAGTAGGCACTACTTTCTGTGTTTCAAAAAATTGATTCCTGTTTTTGAGTTGTAACAAAGGAACTCTTGATTGTTCCTAGACACCTGCCGGTCACTTAGAGACTGCCCACCCAGAACAATCAGGCAGTACAGAAATGAATTTGAAGTCTGGTCGCAGGAGTATGAATGTCGTATCATGTGTTAGGACATGTTGCATTGTCTCCAATAGCTAATCCAAATAAAATTGTAGTTATTGGAGCACGTTTCACAGGTATTCCGTTTAATAATTTTTTAGTAATAATATTCTAGAGAGGTCAAAGTGTTAAAACCACCATTCTCTGTAATATCCTTTAAACACAATATGCCATTAGTCCAAGTTTTAAAAGATGTGAATTACCTCCTCTCCACAGAGCTTGTATTTCTTTTTACTTTAAAATTTCTCAATTTTTATCACAGCTCATCCATCAGAATCATATGTACCTTTATTTTTATACTGGTTTCTATACTGTTGTTGTAAATAATGTTTCCCTTATTAAAATAATAATACCTGTTCTTAGGTTTATTATAGCATTTTAATTTGACCAACTAACAGAATATCATGTGCTATAATTAGAGTTTTTAATGTCTTTGTAGACAGTGCCACTGCTTTAGTATTTTATTTTTCAAAAAATCCAGGCTGATTTTAATGTAAGTGTCCACAGCCTTGAGAAGATTAATAAATGATCCATACAATTACATATTATTGAAATAAACCATCATTTTTAAGACAGTGTGAATAAGACTTCCATAATTTTCCTTCAGAATCACCTATAATATTCCATTACCTTTTAATATATCTTCCATCTGATTGTAATTTTTTAATTAATATTCTGGAAACCTGTAAGTTTCCATCTGAATAAATTCCATGTCATTTTGATGTTTCCACATCATGACCAACTCTACTCAATTGTTGCTACACTTGGCCAGGGGACACCATTTTTAGATTCCTGGGCAAGTAATATATTTTTTAAGATTCATAGCTCATAAATCTGAAAATAGTTTCTTTCTCATATAATAAAATGACCACAAATAGCATATAGAATAGAATGTATCATAGGCATCTTCTCATCTCATGACAATATTGTTCATTTATTTGTTTTCTTGAGAAAATAAAAAATATATATAAATTAAAAATCAAACCAGTAGATTAAAAATGCAGTAGAGTAATTATAAATTGGCCAGAGCTATTTTTAAAGTATGAGTCTTTTATGTACACTTAGCCCTATTATTTCAGGTTATCTGTGGGAAAAAAAGTTAGCTATTTAAAGGGAAGTGCTTTTTTGTTGTTGTTTTCCTAATCATGAGTTTTATTTTTCACAAATAATTTAAAAATTTAAAATTATATTGAAAAATAATTTTTCAAAAGTAATATTCACATGGTTAGGAAAACTGAACATTAAAAAATGCCATTATATTATTTGTAAATTTCTGAAAAAGAGCATTTGAAACTAATGATTTCCTTCACAAATTGGCATCAATATACTATTTAGAGTAGAAATAATTAAGACACCAGGGGAATATGACACAGGATTCTTGAAAGGTAATTTATATAAACATAAAAGTCGATCGTCCAAACTCAATTTTGAATATTCACCATTGCAAACATTTTTGAAAGAGGTGGTATTTGAGAGACCTCTTTATTCAAAAAATTTAGATACAACAATGGTGAAGAGGGAATTTTTTCTCTTTTAGAAACAGCAGGAAAAGTGACTCTAACTATAAATGACCATTCAAAGGGGTTCAAAATCGGTTTGAAATAATTTGAAAAGAGCCTGCCTTACCACACATTAAGTTTTCATGATCCCTTATTGTAAAGAGCTGCATTAGTTTTCATGTGTGTTAATCAACGTACAAATTTTGTTTTCTAATTTATAGTACACGTTAGTCTAAAATGCTTAATTTTGTATTTGATAGAATTGCAAATATGTAAACCAGTAAAACGCTCATTTTTGATGAGCGACTACTTGGATTTTTATTAAAATGTTTAGTTTGGACTATTAAAAACTGAAGACATTACTGGTCTAAAAGCACATGCTTATTATGGCTATTTTGTCTTTATAGTTTACTTGTTTCCAGGGATTTTCTTGTGTGTTCTTTATTATTTATGATTAGCCAATCAACCAGACTATTTCTGTTTAGTTAATTTGGATAAGAAATTTTTCAGAGGATAGCAGGAATAGTAGTTGACGAAAAATTTTGTTAGGAACGACCCCCTAGCTGAATGGATTGCAGATCTCAGCAAGTCCTGTTACTTAGGGAGCCTCATGAGATTTTATCTGTCCTTTGTTGCCTTCAAAGCTTTCTGTTAACTGATCTCATTGCTTACAATATCTATTACCCAGAGAAAACGGTTTAATATAAATGGCAAACCTGGGATGGACTTTATACTAGATATTTTCACTCTGAAATAAATTATTTTAGTTGAAGTTGACTTTTGACTGAAGACTATCACAGTTCTGTATATAAGTGCATGAGCTCTTTCTGCAGCAAAATATCATTTTACAAATAACCTTACCTCAATTTCAATAATATGTAAACAAATAAATATTTATGTGAATAAATAAAAAGTCAGTGCTCATTCTGAAATAATGGATTTTTAAAAAATACACTCAGGGCCGGGCGCGGTGGCTCATGCCTGTAATCCCAGCACTTTGGGAGGCTGAGGTGGGCGGATGAGGAGGTCAGGAGATCCAGGCTATCCTGGCCAACATGGTGAAACCCTGGCTCTACTAAAAACAGAAAAAAAAAATAGCTGGGTGTGGTGGCGCGCGCCTATAGTCCCAGCTACTCCGTAGGTGAGGCAGGAGAATCGCTTGAATCCGGGAGGCGGAGGTTGCAGTGAATCGAGTTCGCGCCACCTCACTCCAGCCTGGTGACAGCGCAAGACTGCATCTCAAAAAAAAAAAAAAAAAAAAATACGCTCAGTAGACATGGAGAAATTCTTATTTGTTTACAATAGGAAGCACTCCAGATATCTCCAGATATATTTGTTGATCTGGAGTGATGTTACCAGTACAAAGTATTGTCCCCTTTGAAGAAGCCACCTTTGAAACATGTGTTTTTAATCCAATGATTAAAACCTCTATTTATGTGTCCTTTGTGAAAATTGTCTCTAAAGCCCGGGTACTTAGAGGTGGTGCAGTTCTTCAGAGAGAAGTTTATAAAGCCCCAGGGAACAGTAGCCAGGCTGCCAACAGGACGTGCTCAAAGGTCAAATAACTTCAGCCGGCGGGTAATCCATGGTTGTGGAGCTTTATAAAAAAAAAAAAAAAAAAGGAACAGAATTGTGGACACTCTAGTTGTATTTGAGAGATAAACACAACTGCAAGAGAGATGTCAGTTTGATCTGGGAATATTCAGGAATCAGAGCCTGGAGGGCAACTTTTAAAAATGAGGGCTGGTAGGTTTGCCTTCAGCAGAAAACGTTTTCCAGAACCTTTGGCTGCTTTTAAAGTCCTTTAGTCATGCCACCTGTGAATTAAATAAGGTGTTTGATATTTAAATCTATATACGAAATGTATATTGTTAGACAATATATTATCTAATTTGTTACTTCTGAAGTACCACTATTTTCAGCCTTAGAATATAGTTGATATTCAAAGAGCAATCAACACACTTAAAATGTTTGGATTTTATCACCAAGAGCTACTTAAAAATTAGCTCAATGTGTGCAGTGGGATTTTTAAATAGAAATTTTCTAATTCCAATTATAGCAATAAAATAGTATAAATTTTGATGTTCTAGTCTCCTTTATTTATCTTGCCTTTTAATTTTTTCCATGAAAGCTTTATACATTATTGTTGTTTTTATTATTATTATTATTATTGTCATTTGAGATGGAGTCTCACTTTGTTGCCCAGGTTGGAGTGCAGTGGTGTGATCTCTGCCCACTGCAACCTCCACCTCCCAGGTTCAAGAGATTCTCCTGCCTCAGCCTCCTGAGTAGCTGAGACTACAGGCACGTGCCATCATGCCCAGCTAATTTTTTGTATTTTTAGTAGAGACAGGGTTTCACCGTGTTAGCCAGGATGCGCTCAATCTCCTGACCTCATGAGCCACCCGCCTCAGCCTCCCAAAGTGCTAGGATTACAGGCATGAGCCACCGCAGCCGGCCAACTTTACACATTATTTATGAAAGTTTATACTTACGTACCTTCATATGGTACTCTAATATGGGATATTTTATTGAATATATTTTCTAACTGTTATAGTTCTTTCACCAAAGCTATTGATTTTTACATACCTACCTTGTAACTAGCAACACTGATGAAATTCATGATCAGTTCAATTTGTCCCTATTTCTGCTAAATAGACATATTTATCATAGCAATGATGGGTTTTTCCCATTTCAAATATTTTACTTCTTTTGTTTTATTGTATAGAATAGTCTTTTTTATCTTTTTATGTTGATACTATTTGCCGAACAGGTCAGCCTTTTCTTGTTCCTGACTTTAAAGAAGATGCTTCAAAGGTTTCTTCATTAAGTATGGTGTTGGCTGTAGGCTTTTAATGGATAGACTGATATCATTGTAAGGAAGTATTGATTTCTTTGTTTTCAACTTATCGTAAATGTGTATCAAATATTTCCAAGTAATTTCTCCACTTCTCATGAGGGTTTTATTATTATTATTTTCATGAATTTTTTCTATTTAATATATTAATATAATAAATTGCATTCATAGATTCCTAAGTGTTTAGGTACCTCTGCCTTCTTGGAATAAACTTCAACTTGTTCATATGAATTATTTAATACACTGCCTGATTTTAACTTACATTTTTTAGATGTGTATTTGTATATACATATTGGACTATAATTTTTCTGTGACTTTATGCTTATTTTTCTTTGAAAAATTCTCAGTTATATTGTTTTCTTTTTTATTGTTTGATTTCAAGGAAATAGCTATTAGATTTTTCTCTTGTTTTCAGTTTTATAAGGTATGACTGACAAATAAATCTTATGTATTTAAACTGTGCAACGTGATGTCTTGATAGATGTAAACATGGAGAAATGTTACCACTAACAAGCTAAATTAACATATCCATCACCTCACACAGTTACCAATATTTTGTGTGTGGTGAGAACATTTAAGGTCTACTCTTTTTGTATATTTGAAATAAGCAATACACTATCATTAACTACAGACACCGTGTTGCCTCTTAGATCTCCAGAAATTATTCATCCTGCATAACTGAAACTTAGTATTCTTTAAAGAAATAGCCACTGGATTTTTGTTATTCTTTCTAATATTTTATATTTTTCTATTATTTTCTGTTTTAATCTTTACTAATTTGTTCCTTCTGCTTTTCTCAGGCTTAGTTTTTGGTTCTGTTTCTAACTTTTAAAATTAAATGCCTAATTAATTCATTTTAATTTATTTTTGCTAAGACATGAATACATATTTTGCCGGGAAGATTTCTCTAAGCCCTACCTTGTAGTTATTCCCTAATTTCTAAAAGGTAAGGTTTTCATCATTGTAATTTTCTATATATTGTGAAAATGTAGTTTGATTTTCTTTGGCCTTACAGATCCTTAATTAAAGAATTTCTAAGTAGAACAGTAATTCATTTTTCACATTTTTGCTAATTTCCTGCTTTACTGAAGTATCCAATGACGTTTTGTGTGTTGATACATGGTAACCTTTAAAAACACTTAAAAATAGGTACTTGCTACAAAGTTATCAATGAGTATAAATAGAGTAGTTAATAAAAATACATCAATTATATTTGCCTAATTAATTATTTTACATGTCTATGCACCGCACTTTTTCCTACTTTTTCCACTGGGCTAACGGAAATCATACAAAGTTTCTTAGGTCTTTATGTTGCCTTCTCCTTGTACTTCCTGAAGTTTCCAATTCATGAATATTAATGTTATATAATTTAATAAATAGTACTCGTTATGGTTAGATTTTTCAATGTAGATTATCGTATTTATCATGGTAAAGTTTATTTCTGTATTTTGTTTTCCGTCTTTGTCTTGCACTTAACCTCAGTAAATATTGCTATTCACACTGCTGTGTTTTTAGGAAAAGAAGGGATTATTCCGACAATATTGTACCCAGCCACCCTTCCTTATCTTCAGACACTTTCACCAACGTATCACTCGGGAGCATATGAATGTAATCCAGAAACATGGGACGTCTTCTCGGCCCACTGTGGAATACCTAAGCCTGCTTCTGTGTGTGTGTGTGTGTGTGTGCGCGCGCGCGTGTGTGTGTGCCTGTGTGCAAACACGAATGGAACCTTATATCTGTTTGGCGAACCCAAATCATCAAAGAATCCTACCTCTCCAAATCTCCACCTCCAACATTTCTCCATCAATAATCTTTTTGAGTGCACTGTTTTCTCATTCAACTCCACATTCTCCAGCTCCTGCTTAGAGTCAGTGAGCTGTTACAGAGACCCCTTTGTTTGTCCCATCCAGTTGTTCCTAAGCTTTTTCCCCATATTATTTATTTATTTTATTTATTTTATTTTGAGATGGAGTCTCGCTCTGTCCCCCAGGCTGGAGTGCAGTGGCGAGATCTCGGCTCACTGCGAGCTCCACCTCCCGGGTTCACGCCATTCTCCTGCCTCAGCCTCCCGAGTAGCTGGGACTACAGGCGCCCGCCACCACGCCCGGCTCGTTTTTTTGTATTTTTAGTAGAGACGGGGTTTCACTGTGTTAGCCAGGATGGTCTCGATCTCCTGACCTCGTGATCCACCCACCTCAGCCTCCCAAGGTGCTGGGATTACAGGCTGGAGCCACCGCGCCTGGCCTTTCCCCATATGTTTAAGGAACACAGAATTGGAAACATTGTTAGTTCTGCACAGGAAGTGAAGAGCCCAGCATTATATTTTGGTATGCCTGCTTACCCTACTCCCTCCCATTGGGCACTGGGAAAACTTCTTCAAAATTAAAAATTAATAGTGTTCCTTAGTTACATTGACTACAGGCTTCCCTTTTCTATTCTGCAATTATCTTTGCTGCTTTCCTTTGTTTCAGAGAGGAGTGGAAATGCCTTTACCTACCAATTTAATCTGAAATTCTCAACAGTTTTGAAGTGGTCACAGTTGTATACTGGAAATGAACAGGTCTGAAAAATTAACGGTCTACAAAATAATTTACACAATAAGATTTTTTCCATATATCAAAACGATATAACATGCTTTTAGTAAATATTTAATTATGAGGGAACATTCTGTAGGATATTATTTGCCCCAAGTTTTAACAATGATTAAAAATATTTGAGTTAATAAACTATTTTAAAACAGGATACTGCAAATTGTTACATGAGTAAATTTGAGTAATGAATATTTTATTGCAAAAGATGAAAACTAAACATAAAATCGAAATTATTTAAAGTACTGTACAGTAAAAATTACTTGAAATTGAAAATAAAATACAATAAAAACAGGAAAACAGTAAATCTATACCAGTTAATAATAACTTATACTGTAAGTTATCATATTTTTTCTCTACTAAGAAAATCTAACGTGTTTAAAAACTGAAGTAAATTATTTACTAATTTGCATACTATCTTAGCATGTTGTTGAATTATTAAATATAAATATATCTCATCGTTTAATGGTGTTTTATTTATTTCAGAGAGACAAATTTGTATTTACCATGTCTGGCTAAACAATCATAAATGCACTCTCAGCTGAAAATGATATCATTTAATTAATATCCTTCAAACTTTTCTCTCACATGTTACTCTAACCTTCAAAATAGCCAGTGTGTAATCAACATTTATATAAATCAAAGATGTTATAATAATATCGATTTAATGAAAATTATACCTAGTGATAATATTTTGCACATGAAAATGGCACTTAAAAATTTATAATCATTTATTTCCACTAATGTGTAGCTTCTTATTTCACACTTGTGAAAATCATGCTGCATTTTATTTAGTTTCCAGGTAGCTGGAGTAGAGTCTGATTTTAATAGTATTCAATACTCTTTGCAATGACATTATTTTGCTATTTTAATACTTAAATATCCACAGGAAAAGGATGAAAGATTATTGCTTCTCATTAGAAGAAAAGATAATAATAAGCAATATTATGAAGACTGAAAGATTTTTATATCTGAGGATAAAGCAACAACTCAGGGTTATCTATTTTAAATAATTTTAATGGTTGCATGTATTTTAAATATTCAGAAGGAGGGGTTTAATTTTATGTAGACTGTGTTGTATTTATATGTATTGAGTTAAAGTTTAAAATACTTCAGGCCCAACTTGAGAATTAAACCTTAAATCAGTCAAAGCCCTTCTCTCTTCCTAAAGATAACCAGTTCCTATATTTGGTGTTAATTTTTCATGTGTACAATATATAATTTTTTTGTGTTTTAAAGCCTTATAAAATATGTTGCTGTATTCTATCTTTTCTTCCTCTCAAATTCATTAACGTCAGTACATGGGCTGTAATGTATTAATTTTCAGTGTTTATTATATTTAAGAAGATCATATCACAATTTATTACCTATTTGCTTACTGATAAGCATTAATATTGTTTTTGATATTTTCCAAAGACCACCAGTGTTGTCTTCTATACATGTTGCTTGTTCACATAATATTCCTTAGGATATACCAACGTCTGGAATTTCCCAGTCATTATTGTGTATGGGTATTTTCAAATTTCTAGATATAGCATCAAATTAGTGTTCAAACATCTTATCCCAGTTAACAATTCCCATAGTAGGATATAACCAACATGATTGCTTATATTCTAAACATCTTATCCCGGTTAACAATTCCCACAGTAGAATATAACCAACATGATTGCTTATATTCTCACAAACACATGGTGTCTTCAGACTTGATCTTTGCCAGTCTGTTTAGGGTTACATTGTAAGTTTTCTAGTTTTAATTTGTTTGTCTTTTGTTACTAAGGAGTGGAAGAACAACTTTTCAAATGTTTATTTGTCATTTGGATTTCCTCCTCTGTGAATCTCCTAATTTTGTCTATTGGAAAACCAAAAGACAAAATTGAGTATTGTTTCAGTTTTTGTTGTTTTTTGTTTCTGAGACAAGGTCTCGCTTTGTCACCCAGGCTGGAGTGCCGCAGCCTTGACCTCCCAGGCCCAAGCAATCCTTGGTAGCTGGCACTACAGGTGTCCGCCACTACGCCTGGCTACTTTTTGTAGAGATGGAGTTTTGCCATGTTGTCCAGGCTGGTCTCGAACTCCTGGGCTCAAGTGATCTGCCCGCCTTGGCCTCCCAAAGTGCTGGGATTACAGGGAGGAGCCTCCGTGCCTGGCCTAGTACTATTTCTCTTTTAAGAATTCTTCAAGGTTTTGAAAATTAAATTATTTGTTGAAGTAAATATTACAAATAAGTTAGTCTGAAAGTTCCTTTTTTACATGTTTAAAAACTTTTTTGACAGAGTTTTTTTTTTTTTTTTTTTTTACCTTTAAGTTCAGGAGTACAAGAGCAGGTTTGTTACATCGGTAAAAACAAATGCAAGTCTGTTACATAGGTACACTTCTGTCATGGAGGTTGGTTTTACAGATTATTTCATCACGCAGAGATTAAGCCTAGTATCCATTGGTTATTTTTCCTGATCCTCTCTCTCCTCCCATCCTCTGCTCTTCAAAAGGCCCCAGTATATGTTGTTTCCCTCTCTGTGTCCATGTGTTCTCATCATTTAGCTCCCACTTATAAGTGAGAACATGGGGTATTTGGCTTTTTCTTCCTGTGTTAGTTTGCTAAGGATAGTGGCCTCCAGCTTCATCCATGTCCCTGCAAATGACATGATCTCATTTTTTTTTTAATGTCTACATAGTATTCCATGGTGCATGTGTACCACATTTTCTTTATCCAGTCTATCATCGATAGGCATTTAGGTTGATTCTATGTCTTTGCTATTGTGAATAGTGCTGCAATGAACATATGTGTGCATGTGTCTTTATAATAGAATGATTTATATTCCTTTGGGTATATAACCAGTAATGATATTCCTGGGTCAAATGGTATTTCTGTCTTTAGGTATGTGAGAGATCACCACACTGTTTTCCACAATGGTGGAACTAATTTACACTCCCAACAACAGTGTATAAGCATTCCTTTTTCTCCACATATATGAAAAAAAAGATGCTTTTAATTATATTGTTATTGTTCATACTTTGCTTGTATACTTTAAAAAGTCATTTCTTAACTAAAGGTTATAAAGATAATTTCTGTGTTCTAGTTTTTTTCAGAAGTCTGTTTATAATTGTGAATCCATTTGCGGGTAACTGATATCTTAACAAATGTTAGTATTACAATCTATGCATATGGATATCTTAAGACTTAAAATTTAAAAAAAGTATGACTTAGCTCCATAAAATTTATAAAAAAACTTTCTTTAGCTTTTTTGTAGATATTTTATGCTTTAATGCTATTGTAAATGGCATTCCAAAAATTATCTTTATACTTCAGAGTTTTTCTTGCAAGTTATGAATCTGTTATTACTTTTAGTGTATCTTTCATCCAAGAACCTTGATCAATTATTTTTAAATTTTAATTGTTTTTTAAAATCTTGGCATTTGTTGTTTAGACAATTTTATAGTCATTATTTGAAAATAATAGTAATTTGTTGCTTTGCTTTCATTTTTTCCACTTTTATTTGATTACTTTTTCCCTCTAACTTTACTGCTTAGAATCTTAAGAGCAGTGCTGTATTGAAGTAATAATGGGTATCTGTCAACTTTCAATTTTTAAAATGAATTGTTTCTAAACCTTGATGCCTCCTTATTTATTTACTTATTTTTCAGACGGGGTTTCAGTATGTTGCCCAGACTGGCCTTGAACTCCTGAGCTCAAGTGATGCTCCTGCCTCAGCCATGTAAATAGCTGGGACTACAGGCATGCACTGCTGCTCCCTGCTTCTCCTTATTTCTGTTAGTTTTGCCATATGTTTAGCTATCCATGCATATATATATATGTATACATGTGTGTATATATACACATATGTGTACACATATATGTACACATATATATGTACACACATATATGTACATATGTGTACATATATGTACACATATATACATATACACATATATACACATATGTGTGTGTATATATATATACACACACACATATACAGTCACATTCATCTTTTTTTGGCTACCTTTCTTCTTGCCTATTAAATCTTCCTTCTGGAATCGTTCTCCTTGTCAAAACATAAAATTGAGAAATTGAGAATTTCCTGTGTTAAGTTTCTGTTGATTAATAAGTTCTGTCTTAGGTTTCCTGATAGTGCCATCATTTCAACTCGGTAATTGAATGACACATTGACCAAATATAAAACTCTAAGTTGACTTATTTTCAGCATTTTGTAGTCCTCATTCCACTGTCTTCTGGATTCAATTGCTCCTCTTGAAAAGTGTATGAATGCCCTATTTTCCTTTTGTAGGCATTCTCTCTTTCTGGTTTTTCTCTTTGTCTATGTTTTAAAAATGCCTCCCCCAATTTTTTTTTTAGTTTTATTACAATCAGATGGACGTACAATAAAATTATTCAAGCTAAAGTCGTGCTATAGGCTGAATGTTTGTGTCTCCCAAAAATCTGTAAGTTGAAACCCAATCAATGATATGATGGTATTTAGAATGAGTGTTTTAGTAGGTGATTTGTCATGAGGATGGAACCCTAATGAATAAGATTATTTTTCTTCTATAAGTGACTGCAGAGACTTCTCTTCCTTTTTTCATCATGTGAAGACATGGCTAGAAGGCAGCCATCTATGAAGCAGGAAGTGGGTCCTTACCAGACAGCAAATCTGCAAGTGCCTTCATTTTGGAATTCCTAGCCCCTATAACTGTGAAAAATACATTTCTGTTGTTTACGAGTCACCCAGTATATGGTATTTTTTTTTATAGCAGCCCAAACAGGCTAAGACAGAAAATTGGTTCTAACAGGTAGAGTGCTGCTGTAAAAAATACCTAAAAATGTGTAAGCAGCTTTGGAACTGGGTAATGAGAAGAGGCTGGAAGAGTTTTGAGGTGTATGCTAGAAAGAAACTACATTGCCATGAAAAGACTATAAAGGGTGATTTTGGTGAGAGCCCAAAAAAGAAAGAGGAGTGCTGTAGAGAATGCCCAATCTTCTCAGAGAACACTTAATGCATTAGTCCCTTCAAACTGCAAACTAGGAAAACTGGCCTCCAGAACTGTGAGAATATACATTTTTATTTAAGCCACCAGTTTATGGTATTTTGTATGGAAGACCGAGCAGATTAATACAAGCTCCTTTCACAACTCTAAGGTAACCAAGCATTTTGTTTTTGTAACATGTGCAAAACTAATATATTTTCACGTTCGATTGTTTAAGGGTGCTCTATGTTCATTTTTAGTCTGACTTCTTTTTGTGAGTGCCTTGAAGGGGTCATGAGCATTTTGAGCATCAGGCAAATGGAACAATAAATTGGGCAGTCATTTAAATTTGTGCATAGTCACTTGTGTTACGTCTTTGGCAGTCTCTAGTTTGTATAATTATGTAATTGCTAGCTGTCCTGATGTAGGCTGGCTCCGGGTGAGTGTCTACCACTTACTAGTCTGCCTCATTCAAAATTAACTTTGCAGAGGTATAGGTTGGAAGCTCATATTGTGATACAAAAGTGTTGTTACCTGGTGTTAAAAAGATATGGGGAATGAAGAACAGGTTGAAATAAATGGGGTCAGAAGCCATTCTGTGGCAAATTTTCAAAAAATCGAATGGATAAAATTGTAAACAGATAATATGATTTTCAACAATACTAGTGAAAGCAGAATTTACCTCCTAATACAATAATACTTGATAATTCACTTCTATAACAGTATATTTTTAACAATGGGAATCCATGAAATAGAATTTATCGAAACTCTTATGTTTGTATTGTACAAACATGTAACAGTATTAAATTAAGTATGTCTATAGTGGCGTGTTTATTCATCCTAAAATCAATGATAAATGATTATAAACCAGGGTCAATTATCCTAGAAGAGTAATTTTCAACAGAGTGTAACTTTATCCCCATGTCCACCTAGGGATGATTGGCAAAGTGTGGATATAATTTTTGTTGTTACAACTATCATCTAGGGGTTAGAATCCAGGGGTGCTGCTAACCAACCTACAATCTATAGGACAGCCCCCACAATAAAGAATTATCAGGCAGGAGAATGGCGTGAACCCGGGAAGCGGAGCTTGCAGTGAGCCGAGATTGCGCCACTGCAGTCCGCAGTCCGGCCTGGGCGACAGAGCAAGACTCCGTCTCAAAAAAAAAAAAAAAAAAAAAAAAAAAAGAATTATCCAGCCCTAAATGTCAATAGTGTTGAGGTTGAGGGAGTCCATCTTAGAGGAAAGACTAAATTATCTCTTTTGCATTATAATTAAAACTGTCACCAAATCATTGTCATATAAAAAGATAATCTATGAATAACTAGCCAAATATTAATATGTGTATGTGATTGTTAATTGTTAAATATGTTATTTCCGCACTGTGTGATTTTGCAATATTTATCACAAACCTTTTAAAATTTGTGATTTTTTTCTCAGTCTAAATGCATTTTGACTTTTACATTTAATTGTGTAGTTATAAGTTTGTATTCTTTCTTTTTTAAAAGAAAACCCCCCAAAGTTTCAGGCCCAATAAAACCTTGGTGGTACTTCTGGAGATCATTCTGGAATATGATAAATGTATTAGTTATCTGTTGCCGAGTAACAAATCACCCCAAACCTTTTTGGTTTTTGAACAACAACCATTTATTAGCTAATGATTCTGCAGTTAGCAGTTGGTCTGGAATCAGCTTCTCCTGGGGCCACTCATGTAATTGCAGTCATTTGACAGGCTACATGGGGCTGAATGGATTAGGTGGTCTCACAGATGTGTTTGGCCAATGGCACTGGCAGTCAATCGGGCACTTTAGTTTTTCTACTTTCCTTTGTGGCTTCCTGAGCACAAGGGCCCAGATGAAGTTCTTTATATTGAAATCTCAGGACAGCAAATCAATGGGTCAAGAGTGGAAGCTACTCTGGAATTCAGTGTCACCTCTGCCACATTCTACTAGTTAAAGCAAATTAGGAGGCCAGCCGCAGTCAAGGAATGTGGAAATGGACTTGCCTTTTGATGGTGGGCAGCCAAGTAACATTACAAAGTCATATGACTGCAAGGGGGCTAGGCTTTTATTGGAGACATTGTTTTGCACAGAGTGCCACAGCCAACATTTACTCAATTTTCCACACTGTAATTAGATATGATGAATGTTTTTATTTTATTCTCCATTTTTCAAAACCATTCTTTCATATTTTCCATCTGTCAGGTCCCAGCCCATGCTGAGGTCCGAGGGGTGTGGGTGGATAAATGGCAGATAGCTGAAAAAAAACACTCAGGGGGCCATAGGTAGGTGAAATACGGCTTTATCCAGCAGCTCTCTCATCAGCAGCTCTCTTACACTGTCTGCTCTGTCTCGGCTGCTTGGTTTGGCCGCTCCCATGAACACCTGCACAGTTGGCTCTCTCTTGGCTTCAGGGTCAGCTACTTAACTCTTTCTCTCTCTGGGCACGAGCACCTGTACCACGTCAGCAGGGCAATTATACCTTTTAAAGACAATAGTGGCTTAGAGCCAAATGATGAGCCTTCCTATATTATGGCTACATGGCTGTGATAACAAGCTGAGTTATACGCCTGTGTTCTAAACTCACTGAGTCACGTAGGATGTTTACCTTGGCCATGTTCCTTACACCATCTATGGCTTTCTAAGGTGCATCCTGGATAATTTCTGCAGTTATAGCCTTGAATCTACATATTCTTTTAATTAGTCTTCCAATTAGATATCTAACATTGTTACCAAATTTTCAATTTGCTGATATTATTCACTTCTAGTCATATTGGTTATTTTTCAAGCATTCCTATTCTTTTTATGGTATTTATTTAGTTCATATTTTTATTTGTATTTTGAAAAACTATTCCATACTTATTTTACATTTCATACCTGAATATTTCATTATCTGAAGTTTGTAAGGAGGTGTCATATTTTATTCTTTATTATTTTTAGTGATTCTTAATAATGGTTTATTTCCTTTTGCTTTTATAATTTCTTTTTCTAAATTGTGACCTTATATTCAGTGGGGTTTTATCTATGAGAATCCTGTGTGTCTGGATATGAAAATGTCCCTCCAAGAAAGCCCTGCTGGGCTCTCCAGACACTGAGGGATATTGCTAACCTGAATCAGGCACTCAAACTCATGTGAGAGTGCGTGTGATGAGGAAGTTTTAGAGAAGAACCTACAGATAGAAAAGTATCTTGTCTCCCTTTCTGAAGGGTTCACTTCCTCCCTTCCTAAAACCCATCCTTTACCAAAGGTGCAGTTCCTCAAGAGAACCACCTTTGTGGGATTCCATTGCCAAGCCCTCCTTTTGCATGCCTGTATTAGTCTGTTCTTATGCTGCTAATAAGGACATACCAAGACTGGGTAATTTATAAAGGAAAGAGGTTTAATGGACTTACAGTTCCACATGGCTGGGAGGCCTCACAATCATGGCAGAAGGCAAATGAGGAGCAAAGTTACCGCTTACATGATGGCAGGCAAGGGAGCTTGTGCAGGGGAGCTCCCATTTATAAAACCATGAGATCTCATGAGGCTTACTCACTACCACGAGAACAGTATGGGGAAAACCGTCCCCATGACAGAATTATCTCCACCCGGCACTACCCCCGACACTTGGAGATTATTACAATTCAAGGTGAGATTTTTGTGGGGACACAGCCCAGCCATATCAATGCCTAATCATATGTCATCTATGTTACGAGGCAATTCACACTGCAGTCTTTTAATTATGAAGTCAGAATGGCCACACTAGCATCACTCACAAGTTTCTACCTCTTGTTTCCAGCTCCCCATGCATTTTGGTACCTGATATTTTCTTCTATTTCCCTAGCTTTGCACTTAAAATCATGGGTGAATATTTTATTCAGCATTTCAGGAAACGATTTTCTGGATATTTCGCCTGCCACATTGCTAGAAATAGCAGTTCTACATTACATTATATAGGAGGCATTGTTACATTAAAGCATTACAGCCTGTTCAAAGTTCAATTAAAAAGTTAAAAGTTTTAAATTAATATCAACACCATATGAGGAGAATACTTTGAAGTGGCTTCACCGTTTTCATCTAGTAATATTTTTTCTTAAATGTGCTTGTGTATTGGTTTTGTTCCTACCTCATTATTCCTTATATATTAGCTATGAAATAAATCTTTGAAAATATTATCCTTAGAATAAAGGGTAACACACGTTAGGGTGTGTATTTTTGTGCTGTTAAATTCAATCAGCCCTTGGTTACTGAGCATATTCTATAAATTCACATTTTAAGAATGTAATTCAGAATTCTTACTCAGTCTTTTGTTGAGTAGCCAGGTGAACACGCACAATCTATCAAAGGGTCGATGTCTAGGCTGGGATTGCTCAGAAGAAAGGAAGAGTCTCAGACACATTTTTTTTGTTTGTTATTGCAGTGTGGCTGAGAATAGATTTTTTTAAACATATACCATCCCATGCTTCATTCTGTAGTTATATTCATTAGATACCAGATGATGCCAGATTTCAGTGCTTGACATTACAAAAAATACTTATGTGTGTGTGTGCTTTTTTAACAAGATTTTTTCAAATGTGATATATTAAAAAATAAATTTATATAGAGCATGGTGTTTATTAATTTAAAAAGCAAAACCTGTGTTTTAGAATTAATATGTTTATAGTTAAAATCACAGTATTTCTTCAGTTTTTTTACCCACATCGATTATTACTCCAAGTATCTGAATTACAGCTGCCAAAAATCGTTAAAATTGTTATATTTGACAATTGTTTTATGATACTGAGTCCAAAAGAAGAAAGATAAAATAGAAGAAGTTTACCAAATAGGATTCTATGTAGTTCAGTAGCACACATCAAATCATATCACATTTAATGTTAGATTGTTTTAGTGCCTGGGTAAACTTTTTATTCTTGCACTTTACTCTGAATATAAATATTTGATTTTTTTTTTTTGAGTCTTGCTCTGTTGCCTAGGCTGAAGTGCAGAGGAATGATCATACCTCAATGCAGCCTCCAACTCCTGGACTCAAGGCATCCTCTTGCCTCAGCCTCATGAATAAATAGGCTCAAAGGCCTGTGCTAAGATGCCCAGCTATTTTTTTTTTGTTGTTTACTTTTGTAGAGACAGCGTCTCCCAGGCTGTTCTCGAACTCCTGGGCTCAAGCAGTCCTTCCTCCTCTGCCTCCCAAAGTGCTGGAATTACAGGTATGAGCCACTGTGACAGACCTGAAGATTTAATTATATTTGTCCTCTCATTAGTCTGTTTTCTTTGATGAAGTGAGTAATTGGCCCTTTTGGACCCCAGGTGGCGGTGGGAAGTGTGAGAAGTTGTTTCTGGGTGGGAGGATGGGAGTAGGCCTCTGAGGTCACCTGAGAGAAGCCATTTACTCCAGGGCAGGAGTGGCCAAGGAAGTGTCTACACACTCAATCACATGTGAACTCATTCTGGGGCTGGCCTGGGGCTCCTCCATAGCTCTATGAGAACAGCCTGGAAGGACTTTCCCACATGAGGCTTGAGACCCAGACCTGCAGAAGGTGAGGGGAAGCTGGTACCAGGCAATGTCCAGTCTGAGCACAAGAGAGCCTCCCAAGAAGACAAGAGAGAACAAAATCACCATGGGATATTAGCCACATCCAGAGGTCACCACCAGGCTTGCATCTGTGTCTGGCCCTCAGCCCCTTCCCTCCTCCTGTCCCCCTTCTCATGGAGAAAACTCAGAGCCACTATAGGGAAGGGAGTAGCAAAGAAGAAGGGCAAGGATGCCTACTCTTCCCGGCTCCCAGAGTTCCTCCTCCAACCCACACTCCCAGAAGCAGGCCTCAGCTGGGAGTGAGAGGGAGTCTCAAATGGGAAAACTATGGAATTGACTCCATAGGACTTTTAATTCAAAAACAAGAAGGTTGCTTGTCTGAAAATGACCCTAAGTCTTTTTGTCATCTGTCTCTGACTGGAAAAGTTATGAAACCTCGGCAAATTTCATCCAAAGTTTATGGAATAAATGGCCCACATTATGGGTTCAAGGGACAATAAAAAGGAAACCAAAAAATGATACTGATTTATTGAGTAAAGCTTTGTCAATAGATAGTTAAGAGCTGGCTTTGTATTAAACTTGAATATCTAGAAAATCAGATACACAGATCTTTCTTATTTAAAAAGACATCTAAACTACTATATATTATATAGTACATGAGGTATCATAGATTATTTAATGGGCATGTGTATGTAGTTTGTGCTGTGCAAACAATGCTACAATTGATTGATTGATTGATTCATTTATTGACTCATACATTCACTGATTCAACAAGCATGTAGTGAGCACTGAGTATGTGCCACATTCTCCTAAGAACTTGGCAGGGGATAAACAATTTGTTTGCTCATGGAGTTTCTACTATCAGGAAATAGACATCCTTAGGATACTGTTGAGAATAGACAAGTACTGTAAATTCCTAGCAGAGGAACTGTTGAATAAAAGAGCATGTGTTTTTGAAATTCTGCTAGATACTGTTAAATTGCCATGCAAAATGTTATCCCCGTTGACAAACGCATCAACCATATAAGGGATTGCCTGTTTCCCAACCCTTCACCTACATGCTATTCATATATTGTTTTTAAATTTTGCAAATTTGATTTGTAAAGCTTGCTCTCAATATCATTTTATATTTCATTCCTTTACCTGTGAGTGAATTTGGACATCATTTTATAACTTTATTTGCCATGTTAATTCTTCCATAACATATCTATTCATAGCCTTTGGTGTCATATGTACTAGGAAATTATACCAGGAAATTAACATTGATACAATGCCATTGACTAATCTACAGCCTTCACTCATGTTTTGACCATCTATTCAAGTTACTGGTCCAGATTGCCATCCAGGATCCCTGTTGCATTGATTTGTTCTGTCTCCTTAGTCCTCCCAAATGTCAGCTGTTTCTTTGTCTTTTGTGACATTGACTGACACCTTTGTGAAGTATTGGTTATTTAACTGGATGTCTCTGAATTCAGATTTGTCAGCTATCTCCTTACGATTAAATTCAGATTATCTATTTTTAGCACAAATACCACAAAGGGATGTCTACCCTTCTGAGTGTAGGATATTGGGAAGAACACGTCACCTTCTCCATCTTATTACTGGTTACCTTTTATCACTTGCTGGTGTCTTCCAAGCATAACCACTGTAATGTGGTTTCTAATTAATATCTTGTGGGGCAATACTTTGAGGCTATGCAAATATCCTGATTCTTACAATTTTTTAACTCACTAATTTTAGCATCCTATTTATGATTCTTTGCAATAATTATTACTGTGGCATTTGTCAAATGGCAGTTTTTTTTTTTAAATCAGGATTGTGTTTTCATATTTTGATTTCACACAACAACAACAATGAAGCAAAAAACAGGCTTTGGTAACATTGTGTATTGTGTAATTTGGTTTGCTGGGCAAAGCCATGTCAGCAGAAGCCATATTTTAGGTTGTATGAATAAACATCTAGGAAAACTCAAATACCTGTGACCTTCAAAAGACTATTTTTGTAATAACTCTTCCTTGATAAGCATAGTTGATATGAAAGATGATTTGAGAATCTAGACTTATTTTTTGGTGGAGTCATAATATTTTTGTGATATATATAAATGTGATTGATGGGTTACTTTCAGATTTAAGCATGTAACTCATGTTAACAACTCTTATGAAAAACATTGCTGGTATCTGTCTTCTACCTAAAAAGTGGAATTTTAGATTGAAAAAATAATTGAAAATCTCATGTTTTAAAAAACTTACCACTGTTCAAAAATGTCACCTACTTTTTCTTCCATCAACAATAGACTGTTGGATAAAAAGTTGTGAACTTTTAGACCTGTCATCTGTACAATTTACTTGTGCTTTATTGGCTTAAAATATCTGCTAGGCAGCAATTGCCAGTCTAAAACTTAAATACACATTTCAAATCTAATTATTTGTCAAAGCAACTTTGCAAAAATGTTATTTTTTTGAACATGATCCAAAATTTCCTGTCTAAAACACATTTCCTTTAAAACTCAACTGATATAAAAGACAAGTATGGGTACATTTTGCAGAATATTATTCAAAGGGAAAGAAAATGAGATATTTAGGTTGATGAAATAAGAGAATAAGCAACTGACAATAATGTAGACCTCCACTTCAGATTGTATTTTTTTAAAAAATCAAATACTTTTCTATGACTTCTCTCTAACCTCTTCCACATAAGTAGTTGAGTTTTATCACAACATTAGTATAGTATATTTGAATATTGTGCTAACATAACAAATGTGTCAGTGACTTAGTTTTTGCATAATGGAGCTCATATATTTATAGCTAAACTAATATTCTGAATAGTTGTTATTTTTTCCTTGGTCTCTGGGTGGGTCCTTGTAGCAGAGTACCCTCAGTTTCATTGTGGACATACAGTGTGAGCGAGATTTAAACCTTTCATTTGTTAAATCATCAATATTTTGAATTTCTTTCTTATAAGAATATAAGCTTAACCTTCCCTGATTAATACAGTTACTAAGATTTCCCCCCTCTCTCCTATAACAACTTAGTTTCCTTAGACTAAATACTCAGATGTGGGACTGCTGGATCAAAGGTATGCCTATTTTAAGTTCTGCATTTTTCTAGAGTACTTTCAAATAAAAGGTATAGGAATTCACAGTCACAAAATCAACCAGTAGTACAGTATAAAATCTATTTTATTCATTCAGTGAACTATGAATGCATCTAGTAAGAGGAAGGATTTAGATGAGAAACTCTCAAATGTTTTGGTCTCAAAATTACTTTATACTCTTAAACAATATCGAGAACTCAAAAAAAAACTTGCTTAATGGGTTGCATCTGTTGATATTTCCCATGTAAGCAATTAATATTGAGAAATTATAAATATCATTATGTACAATTAAGTATTTTAAAAAGAGCGGTAGAACATCTATTGCATGCTAAGATAAATAACATTTCTATAGAAAACAATCATGTTTGCCAAAATGAGAAATAACTGTGGGAAGAGTGGCATTGTTTTAATTTAAAAAACGTCTGCCTCGCTAGAAGATACCTAGATCTCTCAGCTGCCTCTGCATTAAATCTGTTGTGATAATTGCACACAATATGGCCTCCGAAAAAGTCTACTGTATATTTGTGAGAGAATAAGTGAAGCAAAAAACTAAGGTCTTAGTATTATCATGGAAACACTTCTGACCTTTCAGTCAACCAGCCAGAAAACTTACAGAACTTCTTATGGTCTGAATGTTGGTGTCCCCCCAGAGTTCATGCTGAAATCCTGACTCCCCAAGGTGATGATATCAGGAAGTGGGGCCTTTAGGGGAATGATTAGATTGTGAGGGCACAGCCCTGGGAAATAGGATTAGTGCCCTTTTAAAGGAGGCCTGAGGGAGCTCTTTCACCCTTTCTACCATCTGAAGACGGGGTGAGAAGGCGCCATCTATGAACCAGAAAGCAGTCCCTCACCAGACATCAAATTTGCTGGCACCTTGATCTTGGACTTCCCAGACTCCAGAACCACAAGAAATTTTTTTTTTTTTTTTTTTGAGATGGAGTCTTGCTCTGTTGCCCAGGCTGGAGTGCAGTGGCGTGAACTCGGCTCACTGCAAGCTCCGCCTCCTGGGTTCAAGCCATTCTCCTGCCTCAACCTCCTGAGTAGCTGGGACTACAGGTGCCCGCCGCCACGCTCGGCTAATTTTTTGTATTTTTAGTAGAGACGAGGTTCTGGGCTTGGTGGTGGGCGCCTGCAGTCCCAGCTACTGGGGAGGCTGAGGTAGGAGAATGGCGTGAACCCGGGAGGCGCAGCTTGCAGTGAGCCGAGATCGCACCACTGCACTTCAGCCTGGGCGACAGAGCGAGACTCCATCTCAGAAAAAAAAAAAAAAAAAGAAAAGAAAAGAAAAGAAAAGAAAGAAATTTTTGTTGTTTTGAAGCCACCTAGTTTCTTGTATTTTGTTTTAGCAGGCTGAATGGACTAAAACAGAACTTCTGGTTTAGATCATTAGCTACCAACTTGGGGGAATGGGGCCAGGCTGCAATAAATGACAAAGCAATCCTAAGAGATGGATTATATATATTATATATATAATATTTTAATATATATTTTATATATGCATATATATTTTTATATATGCATCCATGTGTCTATATATGTGTGTGTATATCTTTAACAGTAACACCTACTGTTAAATATACCATTAGAAAAATTCCAAAGGTTGAAACTACTGCACAGAAGCGTATCTCTGTCCAGGGTTGTCTAAACACTGAAGACTCTCCAGGAGAATTTGCCTCTGGACGTTAAGGTGATTGACCTGGGGACTTTAGTTTTTGTTGCTGTGTAACAAATTACCCAAATGGAGTGGCTGAAAGCAGGAGCCGTTTGTCATCCCTCAGCTCTTTAAATCAGATGTCTGGCCCAACGTGAGTGGTTCTCTGTTTGGGTATCACAAGGTTGAAATCCAAGTTGAGCAAAGGTCTCATCTGGAGGCTCTGGGGAAGGATCCCCTTCAGAGCTCATTCTTGTAGTTGGCAGAATTTGTTTCCTGTGGCTATAGACTGGGGTCTCTGTTCTTTTGCTGGTTGTGAGACTGGGGTTCCCTTCAGCTCCTACAGGCTGTTCTCTGTTCCTTTCCATGCAGCCCTGTCTATCTTCAAAGTCAACAATGAATAATCTCCTTGGTTTGAGTATCCTTCCACATTCTACTTTCTCTGACCTCCTAATCTGCCACCACATGAAGACCATTCTCTGCTTGTAAAGGGCTCACGATTCAGACAGGTCCATACAGATTGTCTTTCTTACAGTCAACTCAGTCATATAACGTAACATAATCACTGGATTGCTATCTCATCATATTTAGAGGTTCTACCCATACTCAAAAAGGAGGAGGTTATATATATAGGCCAGGGTCATGGGTCATTCCAGTTTGTGCCAACCACATGAATCAGAGAATCTGGTTAAACATGATGTGGTAGACAGCCTCTGAGGTGGCCCGCTGTGATCTCCATGCTTGGTATTTACGCCCTTGTGCATCTCCTTCCTCAAGTGACCTGGACCTAGTGACTCACTTTTAACAATGAGCATATGGAAAAAGGGATGGGAGGAACACTAAATAAAAAGGTGTACATTGACTCAAAGTCACATGGACAATGCACATTTAAAAACATTACTCTGTGAAGAAAATCTTGGTGACATTGTAGCAGATGATATAGGAATACTGGTCCTTGTGCCACTATCTAGATTAGAGTAATATTTATCACATATTCACCTACACAGTGGCTGCCATCTTTGTCAATGCAGAGCATTAAGAAAGGACCAAATGCCCTGACTGAGAGGAGGAATACAACTGGAGTGGAAATGTAGTTGTCAGCAGAAAAGAGATGGAAAATATATTTAGGGGTGGAGGTGGGATTTGGGGTTGAGGAAAATGATGGGAGTGTAGGAACTGTAAAAACAGAGGTAGGCATACTTACTCTGTTTCAGTTCTTGACAATTGGCAATCTTAAATTATGAATGTTTATTCTTTATTAAGAGTATTTACAATATTCCTTTCCTAACAATGCTGAACCAAACTGATTGGATAATACAGTCATAAATTTACCTTCACACTTCATCAAAATTAAAGGAATAAGAACAGCTACATAATGCCTTTATACACATTTCCTCAGTCAAAAATGCTGAGGGGCGTGTGTTGCTTTAAAAATGTGTATTGTATGGTGAAATCTAGAATTAAACTCCTAACTTAAGGTCGGATTTAATAAAAAGCAAGAGGAGCAGAGTGCCAGGCCCACTTGACTGTGTGTTAGAAAATTCTATTTTATTTGCTCTGCACTTCTCTGTCTTATGAAACCTGACTTTTTAAAAATTAAACTTAGATTCCCAACTCTGAGACTATATTCAGCATATTTTCTTCCTCGGCTTCTTTGCTTCTATTACTCCCTAGGGCCATCTTTGTCTCTTCCCCAGTAAGCCAACTTCCATTGCTGACCAAAATATGATACATCAACATTTACCATCTTTCCATGTTATTGCTTAGTTTCATTGCTCTATTCATTTTTACAATCTCCCAGCAAGCCCTCCCCTTTTCATGTTTTTATATTTCTCTTCTCTGGAGGCTATTTTTTCTCTTCTTATGTCTTGCACTACATTTCTATTTTGAAAAAACAAATACTTGTACTGCTTTTTTCTTAATCAAGAGTAAGGCTGAACTTTATTACATATTCTCAGGCATTGCCAATTGACTTTACTAATTCCTGAAAATCATCCATTGGTTGTTAATTCTGTACCATTATCTCCTGGACCGTGAGATCACTAACAAATGCCCTTACTGAGAACAGTTGGTATTGGATGGTTTAATCAGATTGTAACTTTTTTTTTTAGGTGTACCTAAAGAATCCCTAAGTCTTTCTTCTTGGCCTCAGAAGTTTAGAGTTTTAAGTTTTCTTGGATTTTATACCATTAGAGCTGGAGATCATTCTATATTTCCTTATCTAAAGTCTCTGTGATAACTCCTTTCCCTATATTCTTATTTTCTCATAATGCCTATAAAAATTCAGCTTATAATGCTTATAACCATAAGCATTATAACTGCTTTCCCTGTATTCTTATTTTCTCATATTGCTTGTAATCATAATAGATTCAGGTATAATCTATGCAACCTTAATATTCATTAGTTCTGATGGTTTTAGATATGAGGATGGTCCAAAATATTTGATGCCATATATCTGGAAACCTTGTAGTGAAGGTTATTAAATCCTAGGGAATCACAGGAAGAAGTATGGGGAGAAATTTCCAGGAAAAAGAACAGATGTTACAGGGGCAAGCTGATTTATTATTTCATATTCTATATCTCTCTTACAAATATTGCCCTCTCTCCCACCCAAGCTTGATAATATATACATATATTTATAATTTTTAAAGAGGGATAAATTGGTGATGACTGTAGACTTATTTACAAATGTGTACTAAATAACACTTGAATCAGTTCTTATGATTGACTCAAGCTATGACTTACTATAGAATGTCTGAGTTTCCTGGTTATTTCCCTCTTTCCCTCTTATGCAGATCAAACTCTAGGCCCCACACCTAACATTGCTGATTTAATGATTTAACATTGAACTTGGAAGTGTGTGTTTTACATTGGAGGAACCTGATTACAGTGCATAATGTCTTCACAGATAAGTGTTAATGTGGAAAATGGTGCCATATTTTGGAAGTCAACTGGAAAATGACACATGGCAAGCTTGGCAGCACAACAGTCGTGAAGCAGTTCATGATCAGCCTTGGAAAGTTGCAGAGAGATGGCAGGCAATGACAGTGATTCAGGCCTTCCCTGATTTATACAGGAAATTAACATCTAAGTGGTGTGTGTACAAATTTTTAAGAACAAGTGATCCTGATGGAAAAATAATATGGAAGGTAAAATTTAAAAAGAAAACTCTTAGACCTATAAATTGATCATTTTGTTTTCAGAGAACTTGAAAGTGAATTTGATGCTTAGTTTAATCAAATTAGAAGTTGAATAGGGCTGTATGATTAAATTCCATAATGGATCATAAGTTAGAAGTAAACCATCATTCCTATTAATGTTTCTATAAATCTAATCATAATTTTGTGGTACTCTGATTCATAATGTACATTAAAGTATAAAAACACAGAAAATATTTTTAAGGAAAAATTATTATCTCACTATTAATATGAAAAGGAGAATGCACAATCAATATTTGGAGGAAAAATTATCATTCTCTACATATTTTATGTGTTGCCTTAAGCTGGAAGACTTCCTTTGGAGAGAAGGATAAGGCAACTCCAAGTATGTGAAAAACAAAATAAAAAGAGCAGACAAACAAAAATGTCTGGGAGCAAAGAAACAAGAAACTTCTGGGATTTATCAAAGGATGATTCATTCTTGGTTTTATGGGGATGCAGGGTCTTTTCAGTTGGGCTGGCTTAGGAAATTAGAAGAAAGATCACTGCTGGCAAATTACGCTTTTCCATGAGACCAGATTTGCATATCCTTGTACAGGTAAACAAACACTGCAGCCTACAATAAAAGCTCAGGCCTGGAAAATAACTGTTACAAGATAAGAAGTCATTTAATGTTTAATGATTTAATATCTTCTGTGTAATTATTTTTATGCTCAATAAGTAAGCTCTAAATCCAAAAGTCACGAAAATTGGTCAAAAAAGGTTAATTCTAGAAACAAGACAATGAGAAGCAATTGATATTTTTGCAGGGAGAACGATGTCATCAATAATCGGTTTCATAATAATTTTGAGTGCAGAGAGCAGTTTTTAACATAATAATGCTGTCCTGATGGCAAGTCAAAAGTAATTTGTTATTAATAATAGATGAAGCAATAATATTTTCAAGTAATATTTTAATAAACTGGTAGAATCTAGAGAATTTTTAATTTTGATATTTATTGAGGGGGCAAAATCAGTGTAAAGTTATAGTTTTCATGCAATTAATTTCACAAAATTCCTATTCATGGGCTTGTGTAGTGCAGGTTAACATTACATGTCATTTGTTTTGTAGAAGAGGAAGATGAGAGATCATTAGTGAACAGGTTTAGGATATCCTGTGTTTAGGGAGAGGAGTGTGATTATTGCATGGGAAAATAACCCATGAGTGAGGTTTGGAGAGTTAAGGATAGGGAAACCTCAGTGAGAGTAAGGGAGAGAGGAAACATATTAAAGGGAAAATAGAGGTTTCGGTATTTCTTGAAGAGGTAGACTTCATAGTCCTCAAACATTACTTCTCCCCTTCTTCTGTAATGCTAGAAACCACCTGATTTCTAGCTACATATGTGATTGTCTAGTACAAACACTATGTTTCCCAGCTGTGTAGACAGTTAAGTGTGACCGTGTGACCATGTGTCCAAGAATTGTTCAAAGGATGGCAGATGAAGAGATGAATGCAAAGTAATGGTTGTACCCTTAATGGGAAATAAATTGCCCTCTCCTTTTTATCTTTGCTCTCTCCTGTGTGCTGCAGTGCAGACATGGTATTGCACAACCTTGAATCATGTGGATGACCCTAAATATTGCAGAACATCCCTAGGTAAAAAGGAACCAGGTTCCTTTGGTGACCTCATATGGCAGAACTGCTATGTTGCCCTGGTCTACATGCCTCAAACCGTATGCAGAGGAATGATAAACTTCTATCTAGTTTAAATCATGGTTAATTTGGGTTTTTGTTACACTAGTATCTGAACCTACACATTAACTAATGCAGCATTTATATATTAAGCAATTCTAGGATTTTGTCTCTTTCTAATAATTATGGCTTTCCTGAGGGCCTAGATTACAAAGAGAAGACTGGCATTCACATCTGTAGGCAGCCTTATTTTTTTTTTTTTGTATTGCAAGCTGTTACCATGCAAGAGTATAAAAGAAGGCCAGGGGAATGATAAAAAATATTGTTCAAAAATTCAACTCAATCTGCAAATTACTCTTTGGTAACCCTCTTTTGTATTATCATGGAAATTAATATCTAGTGATAAAAATTGGGGTATTTTTGAAACACGTAAGGATGGCTGTGGCAAATATAACATTTGAACCAAGTTAGGCATGAAAGAGGGCTCAACTGTCAGGCAAACTGGAGATAGAAGGAAGTCAATATTGTAGGTAAATTGTGAATCTATGAGACTGGCTAAACTTTTAGAGATTGACAGGAAAGAGAAAAGAACAGATAAGTAGGAAGGAGTATTTCATAATGTTCAGAATTTTCAAAAAGAAGAAATAAGGAAAGCAAATCCAAAAGTAAGAGGTGTACTAATGTCCTCTGGTATCACACAATCAGGGTAGAATATTGAGGAAGAATAGCTCAGAGACAAAGAAAGAAACAGAAAAGAACCATCAGGAAGCAAGTAAAGTTAACCAATTATCATGATTTTGTGAAAATGATTAGTCTTTCTAAAATTAAGCAGGAATGTGAATATGTACATCTAATACCCAAATTTCTAAATACTCAGATTTCTAAATAACATTCTGCAAGCAGAACTCCTTGGAGAATCGGGGTTGGGGGAGCAAAAATACAAGATGAATCTGGAGCGTCTTGTGATGAGTAAGCAACTCCTTAAAAAAGAAAAGAAAAAGGTAAGAAAAGGGAAAATAAAAATGGACCTGTCCATAGGACTTAAGAAACAACTGGAAGAGCTGTCAGTGGATTAATCTGGAACCACATGAATAATGAAATATTTATAGTATTTGCATTTTAACCCAAATAACACAATAAATATCCATAACCCTCTACTGGTATAAATTAATGTTGAATGAATAAATAAGTAAATAAATAGGGGAGAAGAGACATCTCCTTACACAAGAATTCCATTCAATAAATGTGAAAGTAAAAGGGGAATTAGAAAATCACTATTAGAGTACTACAGTAATAATTGCTGCAGGCAACTTCCATAATGAACACTGAACCGATTAGGCTAGGATAAGCAGGATATTTTTACAGCCTCAAAGTAATTTCCCCAAAATATTTATTAATTATTGTGATGGTTTTAAGATATTTCATAGATACTTTCATACACTTCTTTCCAGAAGAAGGAGCTTAATTCTTCACCCTGTGTATATGGGCTGGTCTTAGTGACCTGCTTCCAATGACTAGAGCCTGCAAAGAAGAAACAAATAGTAATTTAACAGTGGAACTTGCAGATACCACCTGTACCAAATGATGAAGATTAACATCACCAGTAATAAGATATATCGAGTTCATGTGCATCCTAATATCATGTGATAAGTAGGGCCCATCACTTCTCCGTCATTCCTTTCAGGAACTCTATAACCTTAGTCTCATCACTAGAAAAGAGCAGACAAATCCAAATTGAGGGGCATTTTACAAAATATGTGACCAGTATTCTTCAATGTCAAAGCTATGAAAGATGAGAAGACTCAGGAACTGTCACAGGTTGGTGAAGACCAAGAAAAAAAAGACAGATAAATGCAAGGTGATATCCTGGCTTGAATCCAGAAATATAAAAATTACATTAGTGGAAAATCTGGGGAAATTTGAACCAAGTCATTTGTTAAAAATGTTTTGTCAATGTTTATTTCTAACTTTTAATAATTATACCATGAATATAAGCTGTTACATTAGCAGGATATGAGTAAAGGGTATACAATAAAATTTTGAATCTATTATCTTTGCAACATTTTTGTAAGTCTATAATGATTTCACATTAAAAGTTTATAGAAATCAACATATTTTTTAAAAATACCTATAACATTAGGGTCAAGTGCACAGTTTCTTCACACTATCAGAATCTCTAATTTCTACCTATAAATTACATGTGGGGAAGTGATGGACTAGAATTGAAAAAAAGATCCAAATTATACACTGATAGCAAAGCACTTGAGTCTGGGACTCAAAATAGTACCTAATTAAATTATGAACAAAATATACAAGAAAAAGACAAAAGATGTGTAGAAAAGAAAAATACTATACCAAATGAATAGTAATGAGTGGTTAGAGGCCAAAATATAATTACACATAGGCAACATCAAATTTAATTAAATTCTCAATTTGGTAGATATTATGTTCTTGCCTTGCAAGGTAAAACATTGCTTTAACAGAAGAATTTATTAAATTTAAATGCAAGTTCTAAAGAAGTTGCTAGTATCATGTGGAAAGTAACATTTAAGAGAAACTGAGGAAATGGAACTCAAGATGAAAATTTAGCAAATTAATTTCGAAAATGAACGTTTTTATATTCATTTATGACAGCATCATGGGCAACTGTGCTGATAGTCATAGATTACCTTCATCTCTGAAATTATCTTCTGGTCTGAAGACAGCAGCCATGAATGTAGCAGCAATAACATTGAATACTGAATTGAAGCATGTGACTTTGTGATAACTTTCAGAGACAATACATGTGATAGGTTGAATTATTGCCATGATACTTTACTCCTCCCTTTCCACATGACTTTCCTGCTTCTTCAATCAGAGGTAGAGATATTATAATTTCCTGCTTAAAGCTTTGTTTGGCCAATTTAGTGTTAGAAAACTTGACAGGAGCAAACTCTTGAAATGTGTTTTGTACGTTAAGGATTGCTCTCTTGGACTTTGGGGATGCATGACAAGAATGTGGCCCCAGCTGGTTGCACTGGTCCCAAAAGGATGAGAGACACATGGTGCAGATGTGGTCTCTACTTGGAGCTTAGAGGGAAGCCCTGAGGAGCCCAGCTCACATCAACCAAACCCCAGCCAACTCTCATACACAAATGAGAACACTATTATTATATAAAGCTATAGAGAGAGTTTCATGGTGTTTGTAATGTAGGTTTATTATGGTAATAAGTGACTGGTAGTAAGTTAGAATTGGTGTCTTCTTGCTTTAGTTTTGACTTGGATTCAAATAAGAAAGAGATTAGACTCGAAACTGTATGAGGTAAAAATCACTGTAGGGAGATATTATTATAAAAATATGTCCTAGGACACTTGAACATCTGAACATATATGCTGTACTTGGTATATAGCATATTATATATATACATATATATATGTATAAAGTATACTGTATATATTAATCAAATAAGTAATTAAATATATCAAAATGGTACCTAATTAAATTATGAACAAAATATACAAGAAAAAGACAAAAATATGTAGAAAAGAAAAATAGTATCCTGAACGAAAAGTAATGAGTGGTTAGAAGCCAAAAATATATAGCATAATATATATATATATACTCTATATATTAATATAGAGTATACTTTTATATGTAAAATGGCGAAGAGTGAGGTTTGGAAGCAGATTTTCAGAGGAAGCTGTGCCGTGAACCCCGCTCCTCTGCTCCTTGCATGGCCCTCCCCAAGTCAGTGCAGTAGCTTTTCATGGGGTTAATGGAAGTAAAATACAACATATGCTGATGTCTAGGGTTTTGTGCAATAGGATCTCCTAAAAGGATAGGGATTAGAGGACCTGGGTGACACACTCAGGTTGAAGGCTGGATTGTGGAAGGCATGGAAAGACTTCTCGGCATGGAGTAGGGATGCGATCACTCAGGTCAAGGGGTCTTCAAGGGCCTGACTAGACCATAAGCTGGGAATAGGTGTGAGGAGGAGGAGAGACAAAGAGAGAAGATGACAAAGAGCTTCTTTCAGTCTCCAGGTTTTCAGACTGAAGCAGGACTGATTTTAGGAATGATTTTAGAGAAGATTTAAAGCTTTTATATATCAGTATGTTTATTATATGATGGAATGAACCTCTTAATTATTGAATAGAGGCTCTATTAATGACTGAAAGTGACCATAATACTTATTGTAGGATAATAGATCAAAATTGTATTATGTTGGACTAACTCAATAAATTGCTTCATTTCTTTTGTCACACAAAAGCTGATATTTCATTTTTTTATATTGAAAATTGATCATGGTATGCTTTCTTTAAAAACATCCGTTGTATATATTTCTGAAGGTGAAGTGGCTTCAGTCAGTCACATATATTCAATTTATTTTATTCTTTTCAAGTATATTAGATGACTTAGATTTAAAAATCTATTGATTTATATTTTAGCCATAAATTCAGTGCTTTAGCAAATATTGAATGAAAAGTTAAGTGGCTAAATATAATGATTGGTTATGAATTTCTATTGCGTATTAACACATTCTTTTCAATATAAAAATGTTTTAAATAACTTTTTTACAATGAGAAAATTTTATTCCATAGAGTCAGGGTACATGTTACTGAAGAACTATATGCATGCATAGATATCATTTAACACATTGAATACAAATTGTTATATTTTACATATTCTATTTATAAATCAAGAAACAATGGGAGATATGTAGAATATCCTTAAATAGATTAAAATGATGCAATGGAATAATGATATTTTTAGAAGATACCAAGAGAACATGGAGCTCATTTAGTCCGTTTTTAAATTTTAAATTGTATTGATGAGGATATTTGAGCCTCTAAAAAATAAAAGATAAAGCGGAAGAGATTTTTAAGGTCATATCAAGAGTATACATAATACTTGGCCTTCTAGTTCTCTCTTTTCATTATTCCTTGCAGTAGTGTCTAACTTACAAATTATTCTCAAAAAATTCTACAAATTTTTTTAAAAGGGATGCATATTCAAATGATAGTTTATAACACACTGGGGATAATGCTACACTAAAGTGAACAATTTACTATTATTAAAAATAATTGGATAGACATCAGTTTGAAACAACAGAACAGTTCTAAACATTATACTTAAGCTATATTACATAAAATAAATATGTAAATTGTCCATACATTCATACATAAATATTTGATAAAATATTCCACTCTTGCTTTTGCATTTATTGTTAAAATATCAACAATTATTTAAATTCATTACTAAATATTATCCATGAATTCTTGAGAAATGAAAAATCCATGTTGTTTTTTTTCTTCATAATAACAAGAAATAAAACTACTATTTCTGAAAAAATAATATCTATAATCTTGGTGATAGATTATTGAAAATTTATCTGAATTTGTTAGATTTGAGTTTTATAATAGATTACAGAGTGGCTGAAAATACAACTCAGTGTATTATAAGTCAACCTCAGTAAGAAGTAACTTTTTTTTCCCTTCTACTCTTGTGATATCATTATTTACTAATAACTGCAAATATATTTACCAGTTATAGGTCTTTACATTTTCAGTGGTCATTTTAAAGCAACATGCAAGAGACCTTGCTTGTGAAGCCAGTTTCAGAGAGGCGAATCTCAGAGACTCTTGTACTTATGACCCACCTCTGCCCTGCTTCATTGAGTTAGGAACTTACATTATATGCAGTTAATTGGGTCATGGAAAGAAAGACATGTCTTTTGTCTAAAACCTAAGTAAGTAAATCTTGAGCTGTGAAAAAAGAATTTTTGAATGGCTCCACTACATCACAAACTCCTCAGCACTCCTCCTGTGGCCTGTTAAGAAGAAAGAGAAAAGGACAAAAAGGAGAGAACAGCAAAAAAATTTAAAGAAAAAAGGAAAGGAAGAAAATATGTTCAGGAAAAGGGTAATCTCGTTCAAAAGAGGAACAGCACTTTCCAGAAGTAAATTAGAACCCACACCACCCTCCATTCCTACCCTGAAGTCATAAATTATAACAAACTAAACCAAAAAACAGTAGTTTTGGGTTAGTTTGCTTTTTATGGTTGATTCTGTGTTACTCAAAATTGGATTTTAAAAGATCTGTTAATATGTCCATGAATTTAAAAAGAATTTAGACATATTGGAAATAGATACATTGCTTTTAAACAAATGCATAATCATTTCTACAAGTAATTTTTATATGATTTAGGTAAAGTATGTCAATGTCATTTGGTACAGGTCAAATTATAATACCAGGTCACTCATTCCCCTGGTCTGGATTTCTGATCATTACCAATGATAAATTTAGGAAGGGTGTTGAGGAGTGTGATAGATGACGGGAAGCATTCTAGAAACTGTGATCTATCAAAATTTCCAAATAGACCATAGAACATCTCCACAGGTGTGCTTTAGGAAGAGGTAAAGGTGGTGAAATGTTTGGAGAATGACTGGTTTTAGGTGAAATTCTGCCAAAATACACAAGAAATAAAACAAGTGGATCCTGCCAAAATACACAAGAAATAAAACAAGTGGATCCTTGAGTATAGAGATTCATTTGGCATATTGCTGTGTGCATCATTGTATTTTTTTTGGATTGTTCCATTTGAGATTATTTTGAGGTCAGAGCCTAGGATGTGTTCCTTAGCATCGGTTTTCCTGGCATTTATACCAGCTGAGCCCACAAGGTAATAGAGTTGATGCTAAAACTTTTCCTGCATCCAAAATATTAACCCAACTTCTTTTTCTACAATTATTGCTTCATTCATTTGGATTATCAAGACAATAGCAGCTTCAAAATCTCCTGATTAAAATGCACTTTGGAGAGGTGTTTAGCCATCAACTAAATTGGTGGCTAACTGGAATAATTTATCCATGCCAAAAATACTTCCAGCATCTGTGTAAATAAGTGCTTTTTCGAGAGGGGTCTGGATAGCTTATCCACAGGTACCACCACAAGCATGAACTTTACTGGGCTTGTGTCTCAATGAGTAAAAGTATTGAACACATGTAAGCATTCAAAAATTATTAAAAATAATAATGAAAGAAAAGTAAGTATAAATAAATGTGTCTGGAAAATAGAGGGAGGAATCCAGAGAGAAATCCAAGATGGCAGACTACATTGGAAACTATCTAGGCCTGATGCCACAAGGATAAAATTCCACTGTGAGATGGTAAGGAGGCTGCTGTGGTAGTTTCTCTTTATAATTAAGCAAACTCTTCCCCTTCAAAGATTGATGATTTTTGCCTCATAGTCTAGTTTCTAAGTGACTCGTTTTCAATGTAAGCCCAGTTCCTATAACTCTGAACCTGGAATTCTGTCCCCTGGAAAGAACCATAATTAAATTTATGCAGCTATTCTTCTGATAGTAATTAAAGTTAGTCATACATATTCAATTCCATTTCCAAATGAATATCTTTCATCACTTTCATCTGTATTTTTCAGTTTTTTTATGATGAAAAAGTTAGTCTTAGTTTCTGATATGATAAATTATGACTCTTTCAGGAAAATTGTTCTTTGTAAAATACACTCTTTCCTAAAGCTACATTTGCAATTTAAAACTGGTTAAATAGTAGAAGTGTGTGTGTGTATGAGTGTGTGCATATGCACATGAGACTTCAAAAAAACTATCTTTTGTCAATTTTTTTTTTTTTGAGACGGAGTCTCACTCTGTCACCCAGGCTGGTTTTGTCAATTTTTAATGGGATTTTTTCTTCTTTTCCTTGTTCAGTTGTTTAACTTTCTCATAGATTCTGGATATTAGACCCATGTCAGATGCACAGCTTGTGAATACTTTCTCCCATTCTGTAGGTTGTCTGTTTACTCTGTTGAGTTTCTTTTCCTGTGCAGAAGCTCTTGTTTAGGTTTCCCTTGTCAATTTTTGTTTTTGTTGTAATTGCTTTTGAGAACTTAGTCATACATTCTTTTTAAAGGCCAATGTCCTGAATAGTGTTTCCTAGGTTTTCTTCCAGGATTCTTACAGTTTGAAGTCTTACATTTAAATATACATTCCATCTTAAGTTAATTTTTTTTATATAGTGAAAGATAGGGGTCCAGTTTTATTCTTCTGCATGTGGCTAGCCAGTTATCCCAGCATATTTGTTAACTAGGGACTCTTTTCTCTATTGTTTGTTTGTGTCAAATTTGTGGAAGATCAGATGGCTGTAGGTATGCAGCTTTATCTCTGGGTTCTTTATTCTGTTCCATTGGTGTATGTGTCTGTTTTTGTACCAGCACAATGCTGTTTTGGTTACTGTAGGCTTGCAGTATAGTTTGAAGCCAGGTAATGTGATGCCTCTGGATTTGTTATTTTTCCTTAGGATTACTTTGGCTATTTTGGTTATTTTTTGGTTCCATATAAGTTTTAGAATGTGTTTTTCTAGTTTTGTGAAAAAAAAAATGACTCTGGTACCTTGAAAGGAGTAGCGCTGAATCTTAAGATTGCCTTGGACCATATGGCCATTAAAAAAAATTGATTTTTTCCAATCCATGAGTATGGAAGGTTTTTCCATTTCTTTGTGTCATTTTTTATTTCTTTCAGCAGTAATTTGTAGTTCTCCTTGTAGAGATCTTTCACCTCCTTTGTTAGATGTATTCCTAAGTTGGTTTTTCGGGCAGGTTTTGTAAATGGGATTGCCTTCTTGGTTTGGCTCTTGGTTTGAACATCATTGATGTATAGAACTGAATTCCTTCCTTACACCTTATACAAAAATTAACTCAAGATGGATCGAAAACTTACACACATGATCTAAACCATAAAAACCCTAGGAGAAAACCTAGGCAACACCATTCAGGGCATAGGCATTGGCAAAGACTTCATGACTAAAACACCAAAAGCAATGGCAACAAAAACCAAAATTGACAAACGGGATCTAATTAAACTAAAAAGTTCTGCACAGCAAACTATCATCAGAGTGAACAGGCAACCTAGAGAATAGGAGAAAAATTTTGCAATCTACCCATCTGACAAAGGGCTAATATCCAAAATCTACAAGGAACTTAAACAAATTTACAAGAAAAAAACAAAAAACCTTATCAAAAAGTCGGCAAAGGATATGAACAGACACTTCTCAAAAGAAGACATTTATGTGGCCAACAAACATATGAAAGAAAGCTCATCATCACTGGTCATTAGAGAAATGCAAATCAAAACCACAATGAGATACCATCTCACACCAGTTAGAACGGTGATCATTAAAAAGTCAGGAAACAGCAGATGCTGGAGAAGATGTGAAGAAATAGGAATGCTTTTACACTATTGGTGGGAGTGTAAATTAGTTTAACCATGTGGAAGACAGTGTGGTGATTCCTCAAGGATCTAGAACTAGAAATACCATTTGACCCAGCAATCCCATTACTGGGTATATAGTCAAAGGATTAAAGATCATTCTACTATAAAGGCACATGCACATGTATGTTTACTGTAGCACTATTCACAATAGCAGAGACTTGGAACCAACACAAATGCCCATGAATGATAGACCGGATAAAGAAAATGTGGCACATATACACCATGGAATACTATGCAGCCATAAAAAGGGATGGGTTCATGTCCTTTGCAGGGACATGGATAAAGCTGGAAACCAGCTTTCTCAGCAAACTAACACAGGAACAGAAAACCAAACACCGTGTGTTCTCACTCATAAGTGGGAGTTGAACAATGAGAACACATGGACACAAGGAGGGGAACATCACACACTGGGGGCCTGTGGGAAGATGGGGGCTGGGGGAGGGATAGTATTAGGAGAAATACCTAATGTAGATGACGGGTTGATGGGTGCAGCAAACCACCGTGGCACTTGTAACAAACCTGCATGTTCTGCACATGCATCCCAGAACTTGAAGTATAGTTTTTTAAAAAAGAAATGCTGCTGGGTTTTGTACGTTGATTTTTGTATCCCGAAACTTTACTGAAGTCATTTATCAGTTCCATGGGCCTTTTGGTAGAGTCTTTAAAATTTTTTTTTAATTTTTAATTTTTGTGGGTACATAGTAGGTGTATATAGTGATGCAGTATATGAGATGTTTTGATACAGGTATGCATTGCATAACAATTACATTCTGGAAAATGAGGTATCCATCCCCTCAAGCATTTAGTCTTTGTGTTGCAAACCATCTAATTATACTTGTTATTTTAAAATGTACAATTAAATTATTATTGACTATAGTCACCCTGTCATGCAATCAAATACTAGGTCCTATCCATTCTTTCTAACTATATTTTCTGTACCCATTAACCTTCACCCTCCTTCCGTCACCTCCTGCACTACCCTTCTCAGCCTCTGGTAGCTGTTCTTCTACTCTCTATGGTCATGAGTTCAATTGATTTGATTTTTAGATCCCACAAACAAGTTAGAACATGATATTTGTCTTTCTGTGGTCTGGCTTATTTCACTTAACATAATGACCTTCATTTCCATTCATGTTGCAAATGACAGGATCTCATTCTTTTTTATGGCAGAGTCTTTAGGGTCTTCTAAGTACGGCATCATATCACCAGTGAAAAGAGATAATTTGACTTCTTTTCCTATTTGGATGCCTTTTATTTCTTTCCGTTGTCTGATTGTTCTGGCAAGGACTTTCAGTACTATGTTGAACAGGAGTAGTGATAGTGGCGATACTTGTCTCTTTCTGGTTCTCAAAGGAAATACTTCCAGTTTTTGCCCATTTAGTATAATGTTGGCTATTGCATTTTCATAGATGGCCCTTTCTATTTTGAGGTTTGTTCCTTCTATGCCTAGTTTCCTGAGGGATTTTATCATGAAAGGATGTTGGATCTTATCAAAACCTTCTTCTGTGTCTATTGAGATGATTATGTGTTTTTTTAATTCAGTTTATGTGGTGAATCATGCTTATTGATTTGCATATGTTGAAATGACCCTGTATCCCAGAAATGACACTTCTAGAAGGAAGACATACAAGTGGCCAACAAACATGAAAAAATGTTCAACATTACTAATCATTAGAGAAAAGCAAATCAAAGTCACAATGAGAGGTATCATTTCCATCTCATGTCAGTCAGAATGGCTACTATTAAAAAGTCAGAACAAAAAACAACACATGGTGGCAAGGCTGCAGAGAAAAGGGAACTCTTACACACCGTTAGTGGAAATGTAAATCAACTCAGCCACTGTGGAAAGTAGTTTGGAGATTTCTCAAAGATCTTAAAACAGAACTAGTATTCAACCCAACAATCCCATTACTGGGTTTATACCCAAAAGAAAATAACTTGTTCTACCAAAAAGACACGTGCACACATGTATTCATCACAGTACTATTCACAGTAGCAAAGACATGGAATCAACCTAGGTGCTCATCAGTAGTGGATTGGATAAAGAAAAGGTGGTACGTATACACTGAGGAATACTATGCAGCCATACAAAAGAACAGAATTGTGTCTTTTGCAGCAACATCGATGCAGCTGGGGGCCACTATCCTAAGCAAATTAATGTAGGAACAGAAAACCAAGTACTGCATGTTTTCACTTATAAGTGGGAGCTAAACAGTAGGTACTTAAGGACATAAAAATGGCAAAAATAGACACTGAGGACTACTAGAGGTGGGTAGGAGGGCAAGCGTTCATAAACTAACTATGGGGTACTATGCTCAGTACCTGTGTGATGGGATTAATAGTATCCCAAACCCCAGCATCAGACAATACACCCAGATGGCAAATCTGCACATGTACCCCCTGAATCTAAAATAAAAGTTGAAAAAAATCTGGCTGAATATTGTTTTTACATTTTAATCATTGGAATAAAAAGTGAAAGTTGCTGTATCAGTATTTGTTTACCCACTCATTTCTTCATGTCCTGCTTAGGATTTTGACACTGTGATCAATCAATATTGCTTCAAAGAAATAATAAAGGCCCGGCCCGGTGGCTCACACCTTTAACCCCAGCACTTTGGGAGGCCTAGGCGGGCGGATCACCTGGAGTTTGACCAGAATGGCCAACATGGCGAAATGCCATCTCTGCTAAAAGTAGAAAAATTAGCCATATGCGGTGGCAGGCGCTGTAATCCCAGCTACTCAGGAGGCTGAGGCACGAGAATTGTTTGAACCTGGGAGGCGGAGGTTGCAATGAGCCAATATCGCGCCACTGCACTCCAGCCTGGGCGACAAGAGCGAGACTCCGTCTCAAAAAAAAAAAAAAAAAAAAAAAGAAAAAGAAACAAATAATAAAAATGCACATTTAGTTTTATTTTAGGAATTATTATGTAAGCATGTTGCCTTATCTCATTCTTTGAAGTTATCCTTTGCTTAATCATTTTTATTTATATTCTTGGAAGGCAATATTGCTAAAAAGGTTTTTGGCAGGAAATTACTGAGTCAAAATTTCCAAAAAAGGATATTGCATCATTCATTTTATGAACTTTGCATTCTGAAGGTTCAGCATCATTTGGGGTTTCTTTGAAAACCATGTAAATACTTCTACTTCTTTTAAGGATTTATAAAATTAAGAATATGTTAAAATAACTGTTTAAATTTCAGAACTGGATGGTAAATAAACTGCAGTAATTTGCCAATGTCAGTTTTCCTTTAGCCATCTCTTTCATCTCTTGTCCTCATTTCACATGTTTTAAATATAGATGTTATTGCTAATCAGATGCACTCGGCATTTCAAAGTGATTTGTCTTTTCTAGATAAATACATATTTTCATTGATTTTTAAATTCCAGAATGGGATCAAATAGAAGCAAGGTGTGTTTATTTGTTTGTAAATTCCAGATTATACAATTTGGAGCCTGGAATAATGATTTCCTCCTGAAGTTAATATTGTGAATAATCACTTTACTTAAGAAGTCTCTGTGCTAAATTAGAATCAGAAAATGCATTGTTTACTGGTAAGAGAGCTGGTATTGCTCTTCTTTCTGCTCTTTCCCTTTCTTACTTGTTTTGGTTTTTGTTTGGTCCTGGTGAATTGGCTAATGTTTAGATGATGTCACGTAGATAGGTACTACCAGGGGTCTTTTTATAATAAATATTTTAAAATTACAGAATAATAAACTGGAAAATGCCCAGGTCAACTAAGGGTATTGCTGAAATGCAGATTCTGATTCAGCAGTTTTCAAGTAGGGCCGGAAGTTCTGTATTTCTACTACGTTCCCAGATGACGCAGATGCAGCTGATCACCATGTTGAGCAGGAAGGCCATAGAGGTTGGGAAGTAGAATTAGATCTCCTCTAAGACAGGGGTTCTTGATTTTTTTTACATAAGTCATGGATTTCTTTAACAGCCTCATGAAGCCCATAAGTCCTTTTCAAAATAAGGCAATAAAATTTATAAAAAATAAGATTAAAAAATGAGCAATCATATAGAAATACCAGTATCAAATTATTTTTAGAAAACTGTATGTCACATAGTAGTATACGTGCTTCACTATTAACATTAAATAACAAGACCTAACAAAGGGTCCACTGATTTCTGTAATTTCAAAGAGTAATATTTTGCCTAGGTGTGGTGGCTCATACCTGTAATCCCAGCACTTTGGGATGACAAGGCGGGTGGGCCACTTGCGGCCAGGAGTTCAAGACCAGCCTGGGCAACATGATGAAACCCGTCTCTACTAAAAATACAAAAATGAGCCAGGCATGGTGGCACATGCCTGTGATCTGAGAATCGCTTGAACTCAGGAGGCGGAGGATACAGTGAGCCGAGATCACACCACTGCACTCCAGCCTGGGGGACAGAGAGACTGTTGCATCTCCGTCCCCCCCACCCCCACCACACACACACACACAAAAGTGATATTTGATGATTTCTGAAGCTACCATATTAAGATATGACAATATCTGTTATTTCTATGTATGACAAGTGTCTAAAACCACTGTAGTTCATTGCTCACATTCATAATGGGAGGAAATGTCACATTTTAGTTAGTAGGTAATGAAAATAAAGATGCTAATATCTTTTAAGCAAGTGCTCTAATTTCCTTTGCATCAGTACATTTCACAGTTTGTAACCAACACAAACATCTGATTTTCTTTGTATAATTTGTGAATTACTAAATATAGAAGCGAAAGCTTGACCTATCTATACCATTTCATCGGTGACCCTTCACTCCTGTTGTTGTATCTTTTCATACTTTATTTTTTGTAAATATTTATAAAATATATGACTATATATTTTTAAATGTACATGTCACACTTGGGAAATCACAATATAAGAAATCAAAACACACATGACATTTTAAAATGTGTAGTGGTAATTCATGCTTAAAACAATATTATTTAAAAAACTTAGCCATATGTTGGCCGGGTGCGGTGGCTTATGCCTGTAATCCCAGCATTTTGGGAGGCCAAGCCTGGCATATCACGAGATCAGGAGTTCGAGGCCAGCCTGGCCAACATGGTGAAACTCACTCTCTATTAAAAATATGAAAATTAGCCAGGTATGGTGGCATGTGCCTGTAATCCCAGCTACTCGAGAGGCTGAGGCAGGAGAATCGCTTGAAACCAGGAGGCAGAGGTTGCAGTGAGCCGAGATCCTGCCACTGCACTCCAGCTTGGTTGACAGAGTGAGACTTCGTCTCAAAAACAAACAAAAAAAATTAGCCATATGTTAGGTTTTTTTTAACTTCTGGAGCATACATAATAATAAAAATAAAATCAATACTAAGAAAACTATAAAACAAAGTACAGGGATTACAATGGATAATACCCTGCTTCTGGGGAGTGGTTGTGGTCAGCAGCACACCTTCACACAGGATCTTATTCTGTTCTTGAAACCAGCTGGGACAGGGAGGACGTCAGGACCATTGATCCCATCTCACAAATGAGAAAATTGAAGTTTGGATATATTATAATTAACTCACATAACTGGTTGTGAAGTCAGGGCTCAAATTAAGGACTTTTTATAGATCTATATTATACATCTATGTATTTAGTACCTATTCTTTGCTATCCACAGTAATAAAAGAGAATTATGAAAGGGTTCTTGCTCTTAGCGGACCACTTTCTGCTGAGGAAGAGACATACCATGGTCGATATTGCATATATTGATATGTTTATAAGGTGCCAGGGCCCTGTCCCAGCCTGCAGGAGGAGGTGGAGTTACTGAATGCCATGCCTCTTAAAATCATCCAGGATATAGTAGAGTTTGTGTTTTGGAAATTAACTTTAGAGTTTATTTTTAAGTCATACTGTGCATCCTTGACTGAGCCTGTACCTTCTTTTAAATTCCTTTTGTTAATCTTTTCTCTCTTGGAATAAACAACTCTTTAGCAACAGCTGTGCAAAACGTCCTAGAATAAAAATCAGCTTGAATCCTTGGGATTCAAAAGCACTCCTTGTTTTATGCAAAGGATGGAAAGATTTTAAAAATTAGCTTTTTATTTATTTGAGTCTTTTTTGATGTCATTTTTTATGACATTCAATAAAATCTTCTATTCAGTATAGTTGTTGCCCATATTTTATTAAACTTATCCTTACCTCTTTTCTCTTTGCTGTTATTACATATAATATATGCTGTAATTTTTTTTTTAAATCAGTAGGACAGTTTCTTTCTATTTCTAGTTTCTAGAAGGTATTTTTGTTCTAATTGTGTTTTGGTTTTCATCATAAAAGGATTTCCACCCAGCAATTTTTGGGGTGAGAAGATAATGGAGAAATGTTTGAAATTCTAAGGGGAACAAAGTATGACCCCAAAATATTTTATCCAGCCAGGACAAAAATAAAGATGAAAAATTTTATTTTTATGCAAGCCAAGATGTTAGTTAAATATGCTTTGTGCACAAAGTAGATGCTTTAAAACATAAAGAAACTCAGACTATCAATGAACCTTCCTTGGCACAACAAACAGGAGCACTGAAAAAAACAGAAAGCAACATTAATAACAACAGCAAAGCTTTATTGACCACAGCATCCACCAACTAAAAATTGTTTCAAAAAATACAGTCAACAAAGCATAGTGAGAGCATTGCTAAATGTTTTATTAATTTAGCAGTCCATTTGGGCTGTCATAAAATACCATCAACTATGTAGCTTATAAACAGCATACATTTATTTCTCTCAGTTCTGGAGGCTGAGACATCCAAGATCCAGGTATCGCAGATTAAATATCTGGTGAGGACCCGCTTCCTGGTTCATTGTTGGTGCCTCTTGCTGTGTCTTCACTTGTTGGAAGGGGTGAGGGGTCTCTCCCAGACCTCTTTGCCTCTTTTATAATAGAAGAATCCCATTCTTGAGGGCTCTGCCCAATGATCTAAGCACCTCCCAAAGGCCCCATCTCCTGATAGCATTACCTTGGGGGTGAGGAATTCAACATGTGAATTTTGGGGGACATAAACATTTAGGCCATAATAAATGTATTTAAATATAGACAACAATTAAACAGCTATGAAAGTTATGGATTTAGAAGAGTATAAATGTAGCAAACCTTGATAATCATTTCATTTTATATAGTTGCATTTATTTCACTAATATTTATGTAGTACTTACTGTGTGCTGGCATAGGTTCTAATTGTTTTAGCATTTTAACTTTCATAATGTAAAAGAAAAGTAAAACATGAACAAATTTTGAGGTGAGAAGGGGTAATGGGAGTAAGCTTGACAGTGCTTTGAAGGCCGGTTATTTAAAAAAAAATTTTTTTCTCTAAACATAAAATGGGAATTTAAAAAGGAAAAAAAAAAACTCCAACCTAATTCCATACAGGAAATGTAGACACAATCTTTAGAAAACAGTATTTTCTTTAATAACAGAGCATTTATTAGAAGTTCTTTAATCTTTTAAATTTATTTTATGTCACAGTTAAGTTTAATGTACCTTATTACAATTGCATCTGTTTGTGTTTTTAAATAAAATGTATTTCTCACAAACTCTCTCTCTCTCTATATATATACATATATACTTATATACATATACATATATACATATGTACATATACATATATATATATATATATATATATATTTGACTATCCATCTGTATATATGCCTAAAAATATATTGGACTAAGCGTCTTACTGATGATATTGGTTTTTCCGATACAGAGATTTGATGTGATTTCTTTTTACATTTGTCCTCACATGTTTTTCATTGTATTAAATATCTATGAAAAGGTAGTGTTAGTTACCAAAACCTGATTTAAAAATCAAAAAAAGAACACTGAAAGCACTACACCAAAATGTTTATTGGTAATTCTAGTGTTAATTCCAGGGGTAAATTCTAGTATATGGCAATATAGATGCTTATTTTCTTGTTACGTCTTTGAATTTTTAATTTCCCACCAGAATGTGTACAAATGAATAGGCATAAGCCCATCCTTAGTTTAAAGGTGCAACTACAGCCAAAGAACGTAGAAGGAGGAAAAGGTAAATATCTTTAGAGATTTTTGCTTCGTAGAAAGGCATTTGGGTTGGGCAGCGGAGATCAAGAAAAATGGCAATTTCAAATGGAGCTGGGTGACAGATGAAAACTCAGCATCCTGAAACAGGGTATGCATAGTATTTTGGGGTACTTTCCTGTATCAACATAGAGAAGAGGAAGGGTGGCATGGTGGAAGCCTTCTGTTGCCCGTTCACCTCATGAGTCGTGGTTCACAGCAAGCCTGCTGAAGGTTTGCCAGGCTCATTGGGAACAGGACCCTTCCAGGGGCTGCACCTAGCCCTGTCAGGTGTCACCATTCCTTTCCTACTTGGGAGGAGAACTCCTGGCAGTTGCTTAAAACCACAGTGTGTGAATGATAATGGGGTGCAGATTCTTCCCCAGTCAGGAGGGAATTCTCAGTCCTTTCCTAACTTTCCATCAAACCCACTGCCTCTGGGCAAGTTTTGGCTGATCTTTACATTTCTCTTTGGTCCCTAAAAACCTAATGAAAGAGTATATCAAGACAGATTACTACTGAGGATGGGGGATTCAACATGTAAAAATACTGTGTACAAGGGGCACAGTACATGAGGCATATCTCGTGCATCTCACATAATGTACTCATGTGTAAACAGCCCAGTGATTTTTAAGCATATTGAGAATTCATCCCAAGGACAATCCCAATGTATTAATTCCTTTGTCTGTTCCAGCAACACTGTTATCCTGTGATCAGTTTTATTTACAACTTAAAAAGACTGAATGGAAATTATGTATTAAATTTCTACCTCATGCTAGCAAAAAAAGAGCAATGGCAAATAATCTAAAACAACCTAATAAATCAAAATTAGCAGAAATCTGTCAAACATCAATGAGCAAAACTAAAAGTCTGCGTGATTATAAAGGGCAACTGTGTTACAATTAGAGTTTTAAAATCAGCACAGAAAATTCTATCCTTTTTCTTTCTGATGAAAGTTATAGTGTTAGCATTTACTTTTTAGGCTTATCAGTACTATGAAAGTAAAATAACATGAAAGAAAAATGAAATGGTGTTTTTAAAAATGGGTAATATTATCATTTTATAATTTAAAGTTTGGACATCATTTAAAAGTCCCAGTTTCATTCAGTTCACTTCAGTTCACTCATTTGCAAAAGTACACACTTTTTCTCAGTTCAATGAGTGCTAATTCTAAAATGGACAATTCAATAAATAAAAAGATAAGGAAGCTCCTCTGGGTCTGAAAAATGTGAGCAATGATAGCATGCTTTTTATTCTGGTTTCTAAGAAATTAGCATCTTGAAATAGCTTTCAAAAATGTTATTACACAGCATTAAGCATTTTAAAATTTACCCTTAAAATATTCTAAATTAAAAATAATTCATATCAGGCAGATTTTACTATTTCTTAAAATAATAGCTTTATTGGGATACATTATGCATACCACAAAATTTAGCCTTTTAAAATGCACATTCCAGTGGTTTTTTATGATCTTCACAGACTTATGCAACAATTACCACTTTCTGATTTCAGAATGGTATCGCCCATTATACAGATTTACACAAATGTATAATGACATATGTCTACCATTATAGTATCATGCAGTGTATATTCACTGCCTTAAAAATCTTCTGCCTATTCATCTCTCCCTCCTCCTCAACCCCTGGCAACTACTGAACTATTTACTATCTCCATCATTTTACTTTTTCCAGAATATCATATGGTTGAGTCATACATTAAGTAACATTTCTGCTGGTTTCTTTCACTTAACAATATGCACTTCAGTTTCCTCTATGTCTATCATGGATTAACAATTAATTTTTTTCTAGTGCTAAATAGTATTCCATTGTCTGGATGTACCACAGCTTACTTACGCATTAACTTACGGAAGGACATTTTGGTTGCTTCTAATTTTTAAAGCTGCTATAATATCTACGTATAGGGTTTTGTGAGGTCATGTCTTTAACACTTTTGAGTAAATACTAAGGGGCTTGGTTGCTGGATCATATGTTTAGTTCTGTAAGAAACCAACACTAACTCATGTGGACGTACCATTATGGAATTAACCATAAATGGAATTACTTTCTTCATTAAAAAAATATTTTTATTGGTAGTGAATATAAATACACTGGATTTTTGCATATTGGTCTTATTTCCTGCAACCTTGTGGAACTCAATTATTGGTTCCAAAAGTTTGTGTGTATGTGTGAGCATTTGTTGTATTTTAAGTGTATTTTGTTTCATTCTTAACATATATGTTGTCATCCTTCATGAGATTTTTGGAAGTTTTGTTAACTTTTGTTACTGTTCTACATAGATTTTTGCAATTCATCCATATTAATATGTGTAATGACATTTATTTTTAGTTATATTTTATGTTCATACAATGAAAACCTTAAATCTATTTACAGTCTTTCTTGTTGATGGAACTTGGGTTTTATCCAGATTGTTAACATGACAAAAACGCTGCATTGAACATTCTTTTTTTTTTTTTTTTTTTTTTTTTGAGAGGTAGTCTCGCTCTGTCGCCCAGGCTGGAGTGCAATGGCGCAATCTTGGCTCACTGCAAACTCCACCTTCTGGGTTCATGTGATTATCCTGCCTCAGCCTCCAGAGTTGCTGGGATCACAGGCGCCCACCACCACACCTGGCTAATTTTTGTATTTTTAATAGAGACAGGGTTTCACCATGCTGGTCAAGTTGGTTTTGAATTCCTTACCTCAGGTGATCCACCCACCTCAGCCTCCTAAAGTGTTGGGATTACAGGTGTGAGCCACTGCGCCCAGCCTGAACATTCTTTTATATGTCATGCAGTACACAAGTGATCCTTCTTTCTTTCCTTCCTTCCTTCCTTCTTTCCTTCCTTCCCTCTCTCTCTCCCTCCCCCCTCCCTCCCTCCCTCCCTTCCTTCCTTCCTTCCTTTCTCTTTCTGTCTTCCTTCCTCACTCCCTTCCCCCTCTCCTGTCTTTCTCTCTCTCTCCCTCCCTCCCTTTTTAAAAAATAAGTATATAGTTATAAATCTCTGGGTCATAATATATGTAGTCCTTTATCTTTACACTTTAACCTATGCTGTAATAACAATTCCTTTTTTTTTTTTTTTGTTTGCCAATTTGGTCATTATAACATGCTATCTCACCGATGCTTAGTCTTTATTTTCTAAATTGCTAATGAATTTGAAGAAATTTTTAATATTATTTGTTAGGAATAAATGTTTGTTTTTGTTTCTAGCACAGTATGTTTCTGTCTTTTGCCCATTTTTTCTATTATTTGTTTTTCTCCATGATTTGCAATATTTTTATTTATTCTGGGTACTAATTTTAAGCAATTATCTTGTTGAAAATATCATCTCCCAGAGTATGTCTTCTTTTTATGTTTTTCCCCCTGGTGTTCCAAGTTGAAAACAGATTTTTTGTTTTTTACTAATGTAGTCAAAACACATTATCATTTTAATTTATGATTAATACTTTTCAGTATTATTTAAGTAATCTCAGCAGAACCCATGAACATAAAATACTCTTCTACATTCTCTTCAATAAAATCTCCATTTTTGGCTTTGCATATTTAAGGCTAATCAAACTTAATTGTTATGTGTGAGATGAGGAAGAAATCTTTGTTGACTTTTGCTATATAGAGGATCAAATGTCCTGGCACAGTATATTGTATACTATTTTATTTGCAATGCTGGATCTTTCTTTTATCAAGTTTCCAGTTCCCATATTTCCCACTTGATTTTTTTACTCTATGTATTAGTCCATTTTCATACTGCTATGAAGAAATATCTGAGACTGGGTCATTTATAAAGAAAAAGAAGTTTAATGGACTCACAGTTCCACATGAGTGGGAAGTCTTCACAGTCACGAAGCCCATGAAATCATTTTGCAGAAGGCAAAGGAGGAGCAAAGGAGGTGGCAGGCAAGAGAGCATGTGCAGGGAAACTGCCCATTATAAAACCAGCAGATCTCATGAGACTTATTCACTATCACGAGAACAGCATGGGAAAACCTGCCCTGATGATTCAATCACCTCCCACTGCTCCCTCCCATGACACGTGGGGATTATGGGAGCAACAATTCAAGATGAGATTCGGGTGGGGACACAGCCAAACCATATCATTTCGCCCCTCCCCACCCCAAATCTCATTTCCTCACATTTCAAAATCATGCCTTCCCAACAGCCCCCAAAGTCTTAACTCATTTCAGCATTAACTCAAAAGTCCACGTCCAAAGTCTCATCTGAGACAAAGCAAGTCCCTTCTCCCTATGAACCTGTAAAATTAAAAGCAAGTTAGTTACGTCCTAAATACAATGAGGGTACAGGCAATGGGTAAATACACCCATTCCAAATGGGAGAAATTGGCCAAAATGAAGAGGCTACAGGCCCCATGCAAGTCCAAAATCCAGGGAGGCAGTCAAATCTTAAATCTCCAAAATGATCTCCTTTGGCTCCATGTCTCACATCTAGGTCACTCTGATGCAAGAGGTGGGTTCCCATGGTCTTGGGTAGCTCTGCTTCTGTGGTTTTGCAGGGTACAGCCTCCCTCCTGGCTGCTTTCACAGGCTGGTGTTGAGTGTCTGTGGCTTTTTCAGGCACACAATGGAAGCTGTTGGTGGATCTACCATTCTGGGGTCTGGAGGATGGTGGCTCTCTTCTCATAGCTCTACTAGGCAGTGCCCCAGTGGGGACTGTGTGAGAGCTCCAACCCCACATTTCCCTTCTGCACTGCCCTAGTAGAGGTTCTCCATGAGGACTCTGCCCTGTAGTACACTTCTGCCTGGACATCCAGGCATTTCCATACATCCTATGAAATTTAGGTGGAGGTTCCCAAACCTCAATTCTTGACTTCTGTGCACCTGCAAGCTGAACACCATGTGTAAGCTGCCAAGGCTTTGGACTGCACCCTCTGAAGCCACAGCCTGAGCTGTATGTTGGCTCCTTTTAGCCATTGCTTGGATGCAGGGCATGAAGTCCTGAGACTGCACAAAGCAGCAAGGCCCTGGGCCCAGTCCACAAAACCATTTTTTTCCTCCTAGGTCTCTGGATATATAATGGGAGGGACTGCTGTGAAGACTTCCATCATGCCCTGAAGACATTTTCCTCATTGTCTTGGTGATTAACATTTGGCTCCCAGTTATTATACAAATTTCTGCAACTGGCTTGAATTTCTTCTCAGAAAATGGTCTTTTTATTTTTTATCACATTGTCAGGTTGCAAATTTTCTGAACTTTTTTGTTCTGTGTCCCTTTTAAACATAAGTTTCAATTCCAAACCATATATTCATGAACGAATAAAACTGAATGCTTTTAACGGCACCCAAGTCACATCTTGAAAGCTTTGCTGCTTAGAAATTTCTTCCACCAGTTACCCTAAATAATCTCTCAAGTTCAAAGTTCCACAGATCTCTAGGGCAGGGACAAAATGCTGCCAGTCTCTTTGCTAAAGCATAGCAAGAATCACCTTTGGTCCAATTCCCAATAAGTTCCTCATCTCCATCTGAGACCACCTCAGCCTGGACTTTTTGGTCAAAACTATTCAACAAGTCTCTAGGAAGCTCTAAACTTCCCCACATTGTCCTGTCATCTTCTGGGCCCTTCAATCTCTTCCAACCTCTGCCTGTTACTCAGTTCCAAAGTCACTTCCACATTTTTGAATCTTATTAGCAGTGCCCCACTCTACTGATACCAATTTACTATATTAGCCCATTTTCATACTGCTGTGAAGAAATATCTCTGACTGCTTAATTTATGAAGAAAAAACAGGTTTAATGGATTCACAGTTCCACATGGATGGGGAGGCCTCACAATCATGGCGGAAGGTGAAGGAGGAGCAAAGGCATGTCTTACATGGCAGCAGACACGACAGTGTGTGCAGGGGAACTGCCCATTTAAAACCATCAGATCTGGTGAAACTCATTCATTATCATTAGAACTGCAAGGGAAAATCCCACCCCAATGACTAAATTACTTCCCAAGGGGTCTCCCCATGACATTTGGGAATTATGAGATTTGGGTGGGGACACAGCCATACCATATCACTTTATGTTATTTGTTTATTCCTGCACTACAGATTTATAGGATATGGTATTGCTTGGCAGACAAATTCACCTGTCTTAATTTTCTTAAGAGTATCTAGGCCATTCATGGATTTTTGTACCTTTATGCTCATTTTAGAAATATGTATTCAAGTTTAGGTTCAGAGTTAAGTTGAAATCACTTTTTATCCACAGACTAGAATGGCTAACACATTTTTAGTCTTATTTAAAAAATCTCAATCTAACCTCTGATCATAAAGACCTTTACTTTTTTTGTCTTTTTAAAATTATTATATTGGGTTCTTGGCCAATTTCCATTTGATTTGTTCCTAAGAACACTGTATTTTTGTTGCCATGGTAAAAGGACATTATTAGTTAAATTTTCTGCTCCTTGCTTTGTAGAGAAATACCATTTTTTTCTGTTGATATTCTATCCAGCAACCATTATTTATAATACTTTTTGTTAGAGTTTCTTGAATTTTCTTTGTAGGGAGTCATTTTATTTGCAAATATGACAGTTTTGTTTTTCCTTTTCTAATCTGTGCCTTTTAATTTTTTTTTTCAAGTTTATTGGTTGGAAGAAATAAAATTGCTTGCACTAAAAAGTTTACCCAAATATGGATTTATCTGTAACATTGTATAGCCTGATCTTCTGTGCCCTTAATTTCCTATCCCCAGATTACTTTGTTAGATCTGGATGCTTGATTACATTTAGATTTCGTGTGTGTGTGTGTGTGTGTGTGTGTGTGTGTGTGTGTGCGTTATAATAGATGATATTTTATATTTCTACTATGAGTCTCATAATGTTTATTCATCTCATTTCTTGAGATGTTGCCAAACCCAATTATCATTGCCTAGAACTATTTGCTAGACTCCAAAAAGTGGCCACAAATTATTCTCTTCCCTCTTTTCTCTGCTGTCTTTGCAATAGACTTTTCCACTCCTCCCATGAAAAATGGAATTCACTTCTTGCCCTCTTGACTCTGGGCTGGTGTTGTGATCTGCTTTCATCAGCATAATCCAGGGCATATGAATTTGGAGGGCTTAAGCACAGGACTCAAGAGACCTTCTATTCTTGCCCTGTTGCTGCCCTGAAACTACTAGCCTTCTTTAATATAATATGTAGAGAGAAAGGTTGAGCTGAGAGTCAGTACCAACTGACAGATATGTGTGAAGTCTTTTCAGACAATCTGACTCGATTGACTCTAAATGTATGTTTTCTAGGGGAGACCAGCATATTGACAAGTTTAGCCCTTATATTCACAGAATTGCCTGTCCAAAGAACTGTAAGCTAATACGTGACTGTTGTTTGTAAATGACCGCATTTTAAGAATATGTATTATGTAATAACAGATACGTGATATAATTTTTGTATTTATTATGGGCTACTAAATGATGATATTCTAATTCTATCAATACTTATTATCTGGAATACTTGTGTGACACTGACCACTGACTAATTTCTTCCTTGGCCTCCTCCAGCCTGCGGATTTTCAGCGTCTCATTTTAAAAGAGTGTCATTTCTTCCTCTGGTCTCCTCTTCTAACATTTCTATTTCTATAAGTAAATGTCAATATATCTCCATCCCACAGATATCTTCAGTTTTTCCATTTTTGCTATCTACATGAGAATACCTGATTGAGTGAAAAATTTTGGATTTCAAAACTATATGCCCTGTTGGGGCTTCATAAACTGATTTATAAATGCCCTCATCCTCACATATTCACAAAATGTCCTGTTTCTGCTTTTAGGGGATTTTTGTTATTTTCGCAATGCATTCAAACAAGTAAAATGAACTCTTAGAAGCTAAAATATTACATTGCACAAAAGCCTAATGCATAATTGGTAATCATGTATTTTTGTATGATTAAAGCTAATATATTCACTATATGTAAACATGCCTAAGTAGATTTATTTGTTGTTAGAATTCATTTTATGTATTTCCAAGTACATTAATATACATACATGTTTTAAAGACTTAACCAGCTAAATATTCTGTAGTTGGGAAAAATAAAGTATTTACCCTTTGAATTTTGAAAAATGTGTTTTATTATATACAAGCAAGTCATATATAAAATATGTTTTGATTTCACACACTATAATTAAATTTCATAATATAAAACCAAGCTCAGTCAATTCTTTTATTTATCACTTTTTATTCAGGTTTAATTTAACATATCTTTGGGATTAAACTACAATAGTTTTCTACTTTATTCCTTTAGGTATTTTATGATAAACTATATAACATCTCTCTGATCTACTCAGGAGGGGCTGTTAGATAAATCTTTTGATTGCAGTAATAAACACAACCGTGTCTCAATTTCCTCTTTCCAAAAAGGGTGATTTGTGAGGTTTAACTAAAATATAGTATTTGAAATAGAAGGCAACAGGTAAGTAACAGGATTATTTACATAATATATTTTCACAAGTAAATATAATTCACAATTATACCTTTGTTGTTTTTGCTAGTAAAACAAACATGTTAATTAATGAGGATTTTTTTTCTTCTACTGGATGAGAGATCCTCTTGAGCTAGCTCACTGCAAGGATCCCATAGCAGTCTAAGTCATAGACATAAAAAAGTACATAGTTGTTGGACCTGGGAACTGGGAGTTTGGGACTTACAGCTGCTTTCTTTCACCATTAATGCACTGATAGTGTCTATCAGTTTTGCTTTTGTCTGTACATCTTTGCATGCTTGCTTTCTTTTCTTGTCTTTTTTTTTTTTTGCCCATATTTTTCTGATGTAAAACAATGTAGACACATCTCCCTGACTCTGGGAAAGTTGAATGAAGAAATGCTTGGAAGGGTGAGACTTCAGGCTGCTCACAGACTATTACTTGCTATCGTCAGAATGTTTGTGTCTCCTCAAAACTCATATGTTTAAATTCTAGCCCCTAAAGTAATGAGGAGGTGGTGGGGCTTTTGTGAGGTGACTAGATCATGAGGGTGGAACCATCATGAATACGATTAATGCCCTTATGAAAGGAACCCCAGGGAGATCCCTCTTCCCTTCCACCATGTGAGGGCACAGCCAGAAGTATGCAATCCACAACACAGATGAGGGCCCTCATCAGAAGCCAACCATGCCAGCACCCTGATCTTGGACTTGCCAGTCTCCAGAACCATGACAAATTAAATTCTGTTGTTTTTTAAGCCACCCAGTTTATGATATTTTGTTAAAGCAGCCCCAGCAAACTAAAATAGCAATTTTTATCTTCATTTCTTTTACTCATGATGTCTCCCTTTCTCTGTGCATCTGCTTCTCTTGGTCCCTCTCTCCTTAGCAGTTATGTCTGGATCTTTACATTCTCCACTTTCCTGTACCCACTGCTACAGAAAGCCTGTCTCATTCTCAAAGCTCCATGAACTACTTGCTCAAGTTCCCACCCCCCAACTACTCATCTTCTTTTTGGCCTCTGATTCACAAGACTGAGTACATATAAAATTGTCTCAGTGTAACTTTGTGAAATACGTCACATATCATAGGTTATGGCACTTTCTTGTCAGGAGCTCACTCCTAAACTAGTAGACTGAGGTTCACAGGTTGTGTCCCCTAACAAGACGAGGGAGGAACTCAGGAAAGGACAGGACAAGGTTAAGGAATGACGGGTAACCCTGGTAGAAAAAATATGGCTCTCACTTTCCAAAGGAAGTAATTGTGCTATCTTGGATAATTTTAAAAAATATTAACATGTAAAAGTCACTTAAAATGATATAGCAAATAAAATAGAGTTAACTATCAATGAACAGATTTGCTTAACTTACAGTCCAGTCTTCACCAAAGAGCACATCCTAGAGCTCTTTCTGTCCAGCATTATCATAGGATGATTTGAGAGAAGTTATAATTATGGATTAATATGAAAGACCAAGCTGAATCTCAATCCCTTGAGATTCCATCCATTAATTAAGTCAGGTCACCCAAGAATTACATCCTGGGACCATATGGTCCTGAAAGCTTGCAGAATTGCAGCTGCATTTTGGCAGCTTTTCCACTGACTCGCATGAAAGGCTTCTGCAGGAAACAGCATCAGGCAAGAACACACTGAATTATATGCAAGGAAGCACATCCTTCCCCTCAGTACATCCTATATGAAATCCACTGTCACAAGGTTATATTAGAGATAATCTATGGGGAAGTCTTACTCTTCCAGGATAATGTTTTATCTTCAATGACAATGAATGCTACATAGGTAACCATCTATGTAGCTCTCTTTCATTTTGCAGCTAGGAAATTCAGAGCCAAAATCTAGACTTTTCTATGACTGTCATCTTTTAAAATTCACTTATTTAACTTTTAACCTCTTCCTCCCCTCCCCTCAATATCATAGTTATAACTTCTTATTGTAATGCATACCTTCATTTTAATCTTTTAGTTAAAAAAAATCTTGCCTTTTAAATGTTTGTAACCTTAGCTCAGGTGGTTGCATGTATATAACATAAGGCTCCACTCTGACCCAAAGAGAATCATCATAGGATCCAAGCCAGATATATTTCTCTAGAATATTAGTTCCATTATATCTCTACTGGAAAAAAAAGTCTTTATATATCCCTTTGCTTACAGCAGAACGACAAAATTTACTGTTCAGATTGTCTCCTGTTGTGTGTATAAATTCTTACCTCCATGTGCTTCCTCATGTGGTTCCATTTCTCCAGGGTGACTTCATTTTTTACCTGACAATGAACGTTCATACAGAATATCACGTCAGTTTATGCTGCTTTGTACTTCCTTAAATTATTTTACCCTCCACCTACACTTTGAAATCCAAGTAAAAACCTAAGATTTAACCCTGCTGATCCAGATCACAATAATTCCTTACTTCTCTGACTTCTTCCGATAGTATTTATTAACTGCATCAGGAAGTCCAGGTTGACTTCATTGAAGTGAAAATCTGCCTTTTGAGCGGCTGCCTAGATAAAAGGTTTTTAGTTTTGTTCATACAATTGTGTCTTTGCACATGTTCATCTTCTTATCAGTGGTGAAGAAAGGAGTTAACATCATGGCACTATCTTCAAAAGGTCTTGCTCTCAGGGCTGGCCTTTGATTGACATCTGGGAGCTTGACTGTCACAATAGTTTCTCCACTCCTAGTTGATAAGTTTGTTTTGCTACGACAGGGTTGTTGGTACAAACAATGTGATTTATGGTGAAAACCTGGGCAGAGGGTATCTATGTGACCAGCTACCAGTAAAAATCTAACTAAATAATAAAACAGATAGTTATAGTAAGTAAGCCAAAAAAAGGAACACAATACAGAGGGACAAATACTCAAAAGGAAAATTAACAACATCACCAAAAACCTTAGACGTAAGTACAAAGGACACCAGATCTGTGAGTCCTTCTGTGAATCACCAAACATGTGGCTGGTCTTTGTGACTTCTGAAGACCACCTGAAATGCTGTTAAAAATGACAGTGGGCTGGGTGCAGTAGCTCATGCCTGTAATCCCAGCACTTTGGGAGGCCCAGGAGGTCACATCACCTGAGATCAGGAGTTTGAGACCAACTTAGCCAACATGGTGAAACCCTGTCTCTACTAAAAATACAAAAATTAGCCAGGCACAGTGGCGGGTGCCTGTAATCCCAGCTACTCAGGAGACTGAGGCAGAAGAACTGCTCGAACCCCCGAGGTGGAGGTTGCAGTGAGCCAAGATTGCGCCATTGCCCTCCAGCCTGGGCAATAGAGTGAGACTCTGTCTCAAAAATAAATAATAATAAAAAAAAGACAGTGAAGGTATAAAATAGGTATAATTTCACAACGACTAAAAAGGGGATTGGAGTGAGCAATAGTGAAAGAGCACATCACAGTTTGGCAGAAGAAAAGTGTGCAAATTTGTCCCTAAGAAAGTGTAGCGCAGAAAACAGAGAGGGGAAAAAAATGAGAGTTCAGGCCGGGTGCGGTGGCTCACGCCTGTAATCCCAGCACTTTGGGAGGCCGAGGCGGGCAGATCACGAGGTCAGGAGATCGAGACCATCCTGGCTAACACAGTGAAACCCTGTCTCTACTAAAAAATACAAAAAAATTAGCCGGGCGTAGTGGCGGGCGCCTGTAGTCCCAGCTACTCGGGAGGCTGAGGCAGGAGAATGGCGTGAACCCAGGAGATGGAGCTTGCAGTGAGCTGAGATGGCGCCACTGCACTCCAGCCTGGGCGGCAGAGACAGACTCCGTCTCAAAAAAAAAAAAAAAAAAATGAGAGTTGATACCAGTGTCAGTCCTTCCGCAACCCCCAAAAAGCTCAGGACTGAAAAGCCACGCACAAGGGAAGGCAGGAATCACACTGGTGCCTAAGGGGGTTATTGGAGTCAAAGAATTGGAGTCAAAATATTGGAGTCAAAGCCCTCTGGTCACCCACACTGGTACTTTTATAAGCTCCAGAGATTAGCTGCTTTCATTTTAGGAAAAAAAACGTCATTTTTAAAAATAAAAAAGAAATGACTCCAGGTTGATCTGCAATTTCTTAACTATCTCCCTACCAGTGTGGCACCTGACAAAGCCTACCCAGGTGCCACGAGTTTTCAAGCAACATCTGACACTTTCATTCTTGTATGTGATTTGACAATCCAGGCTTATCAGACATCTGAGCAGAATTGTACCGCATGTGAGAGCTATATAAAAACATCATTAAACAAAAAACTTGACAGTTTGTTTTGTATTAAATTCTTTACCTCTCCAATATAGCAGAGGCCTCAGGCAGCTGTTTTATGCACTGAACCCAGCCCTGTGTGGAGGTGACTCACCCAAGCTCAGCTGAGCGGAGTATATTCCTCATGCATTTGGTCCGTCTACATTTGTAAGTTTGGCAAGGGAGTGAGCATTTGTTTTTATCTTCCATATGGCAGGAAAAAAAAAAAAAAAGCAGCAGCAGCAAGCCTGATGAAAGAGGGGATTAAATAAAAGGAGCTGAGATGAGCTGAGATGAGAGGTGGAAAATTAGAAAGGATCCCAGTCCATGCTGATCCCTTCCATGGAGCGGCTGTCTGCCTCCTGCTGAGACCTCCGCCTCCCGCTGAGTCCTGGAGACACCTCTGTCTGCTCTCACAGTTTCCCTGTCCTGATTAGACTAGCTCCAGTGGGAGAACAGAGATCTTTATAGACTGCCCTGGTTGGATTTTCAATTGCATCATAATTAAATTCAATCTCAGACATATGCATTAGAAACGTAGGTTTTTGTTTTTTAAATGACCAGAACCTAGCACATTACTATATACAGGGCAGGCTCTCGCTTTCTCTCGAATATGCATAATATATTAAATATTATTATAGATATTATATTATTTTAATATGTTATGTTATGATAATAGATTATTATTATGAATATTGTATTATTTTCATATATTATAATAATGGAATAACATATATTATTATAGTAATATATTTGTATATGTAACTCAGTAAGTTAAGAATGAACATTTTTATTTTCATTGGCTTCTGTTTCTCGGCCTTCTGAGGGTATCATCAATCATTAACTCTATCCCTAAAGCTTGTAGCCAGGGCAACGTAAAGGGTTCTTTTCATCCTTTTACACTTGTGGCAGCCTTTGTCACACATCGCCTCATTACGTTCACTCTGACCTGTTCTACACCTAAAACCCGGAACTGCTGCCAGTCTCCACAATGGCTCTCCCACCCACAGCTCCCTCTTGCTCGTTGGCTTTGACACAGGGCATCTGTCCCTTGGTCCTACACAGGCTGCGCTCTGGTTTCAGCTCCATCGCCTGCTCTGAGCAAAGAACTCGCTCCTTAACGACTGATAACTGGAACTTAACTCTGAAGCTCCCTAAACTCAGCTGCAGCCAGCTAGCTTCATTTCAGCCCCACCACGAGAACCAGGACAACCTTCTCTTTTTCAAATGAAGTTGGCAAAACCAACACTACTCTACCCACAAGCATGTTGTCAAGATCAAACTGAACAAGTAACTCCATGTGAATATATTTGTTTTAGATAGCATAGCATGTGATATTGGCCTGTATTGTGATACAAGTTTTAATAACACATGCTACCCTGCACAAAGTCAATCCTTTGGTGAAATTTAGTAGAGAGTGATGATTAAATGAAAGTAATGGGTCCATTTAGATCAGAAAATATTAAAATTTTGCCAAAGAAAGAAAAATTTTGCCAAAAAATATGACTATTTTCAAAAAGTTAGATCATGTTTGAAAGTGTAAAAGGTGTTCCCACCACAAGATGTTAATTTTGGCTCCATTCACGGTGAGAAAAACAATGAATCTGACATAACTTTTCTTTCTTAGGTAGTGCTGTTTGTTTCACAGTACCCTGATCTCATCCAGGTGTTTTAAAACTGACATTTTATTTCTGATTTTTTTTTTGTGCATAAGTATAGAAATAAGTTGAGCTTCCTAGAGCATACAGTATCATCTGTTATTTCTTTTTCAACTAAAGTTACAGCACTGACTCATTTATAATTTCCCGGCATTTGGCCCATCTTTAAAATTCTTAAAATTATAGCTAAAAGCCTTGCAGAGACTTTTGCCAACACCTTAAGTATCTTATTAATTGGGTTTGAAAATTATGTCTAGACTGGACATTCAATTCATTCAATTAAAATTAATGAGAATGCATAAGGCTGCTGGTTCAGAGTTGAGTTCTTGCCAACCTATCTCTAACCAAAAGTAAAATATGCTAAATTTTGGACAAAGTCCCTGTCACAATCACCGAATGATCACAGAGTGCTTCATCATTGCCAGTGACTACTCAATACCCCTTTCCACTATTTCTAAAGTTCCCATTGTCCCATGGAATTGATGAAAATCAGTAAACAGTTCTTGGCTGTAGCTTTGACACATAGTGTGGTGTATTTCAGGGTACCATGAAGCCTACGGTTGTTTTGCAGGATTAAATAGTCCTGGGCTGGCTGGAAAGACTTATTTGAAGTTGTGGAAAATAAATGTTTGAAAAAATAATTTTTAAAACCAATATTTACAGAGAAGAATTTTGAAATATTTTTATTTGTCTTATTTGATTTTCTTTAGACTCAAGCTCCACCATTTAGAAATTATTCCTCTGGTTCTAGTTGAAGACATGATTGCATTGGAAAGAAACATATTGAAAGGAAATAATTTAATTCAGACCATTAGTAAACATACTTGTAATATTATTTTATTCTTAGCTATCCAAGTAATAATGATTTTCTACTCCTGTTTGTCATAGCAACAATGTCAATGTGGGTTTCAAGAGTGTATTACATGAATTTAAAATAAGGAAAAACTGTATACCACAATATTCTTCCTCACTGGACTATAAGAAGACTTAGACATTAGGATGGTGTCTTTATATATTTTGATTTCCCTCATAGCTCTATTTCCATACTTTGTATCTGGGTTTCGCCATTCAAATATTGCTCAAATAAATAAAATGAATGACTTGGATTTGAATTTACCATTTTACCTATCAATTAAAGCACACGGTGGTAACTGTATTCCCTTCCATGAAATTTTGAATGTCACAAACTTAAAGTGCATGAAGATAGACATTTAAGACTCTATCTAGTCTTGGAGCTGACTGTATAACCAAAATGGAATAGTATGGTTGCAGTTGGGGAAATGCCATTTATCACATTAGTCTAGAATTCCTTCTGTTCTGAAACAAATACCCAGGCATTATTTTTAGCTTATATATAACTTGCAAAGAGCTGTACTTGGATACCTACCAAATAAAAAATGTTAAGTATAACCATAGAGACATTCTTTCTTATTCTGAAGAATAAAGGCATATCATCAAGGTTAAATAGAATTATGTGGTTTTAAGTAATTATGATTTAATTAGTAGAAACCAGATTTTTAGAACTAGAGGATTTTATTTCTTGGTCCTTTAAAAAATGCTGAAAAAAAGGTATTCCAAATGCTAATCAGTCTTTGTAATGGTTGGTGTAAAATCTGGTGACATAAAAGTGACCTTTGTTCCAGTCCCACCCCCATCCTAATGCACCTGGGCACCTGGAACAAAACACTCAGCTTGTGGTTCTGAGTTTCTTATTGTGAGAAGTAGGAGCCAGATTCTCTAACTTTCTATGGATTGCATTCGATGACTTTTTTGTTCTTATCCAGTTATCATGCTTATTAGCATGATATCATTTTCAACCAGTTAAATTCATTAACAAATGAAGTAAGCATGTACACTTAGCTGGATGAGAAAATGCTCATGATCCACAGCAGTGAGGCTCTTCTATGAGCATTGTTTCATCATCCCCCTTTTAGAATCACCCTCTGCTTCCACCTCCTACAGTATGAATGGGTCATTTAATGCTACCAAATTATTTTCCACTCTCCAAGGATCTGCTTTCTAGCTACCTTCTGTTATCTTTTGAAAATTTTCCATGGAAGTTACCTTCTGTTTGCCACATCATTTTTTCTCCCTAAGTCACCATTCTCTTCTAGATTTCCATGGCATTTGACGCTGTTACACATACAATCCACTGTATGCTTTCCAATACTTCATTATGTTGCGGTTTATCTACCTCTTTCTACTGTTTTAGCAATAAAACAGTCCATAATACCTTTCGTTTTTTAAATGAGACACAATAACCTGAAACTCTTACACAAGTGAATATTTTCCATGATGCTTAAAATGTGTACACCTCCCAATTTTATTTACCCGGCAAAATTTACTGAGCACTTATTCTGAGCTTGCCACTGTACAAGAGATTCTAGACAGAATGATGAGAAAATAGGCACCATCCCTGCCTTTTATGTGGCTTCCAGTCTAGTGGGAAAGACAACAACTGATAAAGTAGGCATATGATAGGTGTTTACTGATAGGTCCTTCTAAGGGAAGAGTCTCAGTTCTATGCCAGCCATCTGAAAGAGCCTGACCTAGCTGTGGGGGGGGGTTCCATTTTAGGTTGAGCAGCAGGATGTGAAAAGGAACTGTGGCAGGAAATATTTAATAACATGGTGTGTTTTAAGAATTGAAAAAAATGTATTTATATATAAAAGAAAAAACCAATAAGTTATGTGTGTATTAAAAATATGATGCTCTGAGTAATTTACTATGTAGCTGAGGTTACCGTGGGATCTGACATCCACCCATCTGTCTGTTGAGAAGACACTTTATACAGATCTCTAAAAATACCCTTGTTGAGGCATTTTCTCATCAAAATAGACATTGTCTCTCTCATATCCCATTAGTTGTGTTGGAAAGAAACATATTGAAAGGACATATCCTAATATGGACCATTAGTAAATATATTTGTAATGTTATTTTACTCTTAGCTATCCAAGTTCTTACGAATATAGACCATTAGAGTAATGAGTTACCAATGGTAGAGCCTTTGGCCTTGCAATTCCACAAATTTCAAATATTTTTATCTATCTATCTATCATCTATCTATATCTATCTATCTATCTATCTATCTATCTATCTATCTATCTATCTATCATCTCAATCAATCATCTATTTATCATATATCATATCTATCTATCATCTCAATCAATCACCCATCTATCTATTTATCATATATCATATCTGTCTATCTATCTTCTATCTATCTATCTATCTGGATATAGTTAGTGTGCTCAATGTGTGTGTGTGTTTAGGAGATTGGAAATTCTAGCATAAACAAGTAGATACATGAACTGATGGACATATGAATTAGGTATGGCTAATATCCCTAGAGCTACTAATAATGTTTAAGCATAGAAGTAGTTCTTCCTCATCAGCTGTGGAAGGCCGTTTTGAACGGGCACTCTGAGGACACAGGAGGAGATGTGGTTGTCTGGGGGAAGAGGCAATGAAAAGAACACTTTTCTTCCTAGAAAGGGCTTCTGAGGAGCACTTTCTCTGAGGAGCACTTTTTCTTTTTCTCTTCCTGAGTCAGAGAGGACTTGGCTCTCAATAATACTCATTGTGGGATGACTCTTCAGAGGGATGCAAGATGCATTGCTTCCTTCAGAGACAACAGTTATGCCATCCATGACCTCTGTTCCTTACAGAACTCCCAGGTAGGAGCTACAACATATACTGTGATTCTGAATATAAATCTCTGTCATATTGGCCAGGGTTTCTCATCAGTAAATTGTTAGTAAAATTTTCCTTCTGCATGAAAATTTGAAACTCACCTATTTAGAAATAAAATTTATCTCAAAAAGAAAAATGTATCTTGGGAGTCTTGTACTTTACAAATATAGTCAACATTATTAGTTCTGACCCACTAAATCAATCCATCAGTATTCAGGCAAAACTCTGAAAAATGTAACCATGATTTTCACAAAGTAAATAAAAATTACAATGGTGTTATAAGTAATGATCTGCTCTCTACAACCTACTGTAAACTTTTCTTTCAAAATGATCTTTCTAAACAATGTCCCCAGATGACAAAGTATGCAATAGAGTTTTTCTTACGCCAGTTTTAATTTCTGTGTATATTCCCAATTAATTATATATCCTAATATTTATGCGGCCCTCTGTCACTTGCAAAGTGCTTTCACACTTTTACGTTTATTATTATCTCATCTCAAATTAACATCACTCTTTGGTAAAAACAAGTGGGTATTATAATTCCAATTTGAGTGGTGAAGAAGAGATTCAAAGAAGTTAATTATTTGCCCAACATCAAATAAAAAGTGATTTGCAGAGCTAATAAGAGTCGTAAGTATTTACTAGTCAACAAACACATCCTGGTCCTTATGACAGGTGTGTCATATACATTCCCCTATAATGCTTGCCTCAGCCTTCGAAGGAAGATAATATTACCTCCAATTAACTATGATCACCAAGTTAACCCAGGTGAGTAAGTAGCGGAATCTAAAATTACAGTGGTGTTACAAATTAAACTAGACTAAACTAAGAGCATTTCACTGTGTGTTATAATATAGTTTTCTCTCATTCAGATTAGCTTTGCTTTTTTCATCTAATAATTTATATCGAGACATTTGTTATCATAGAAAAATTTGGGTACATATTTTTCAAGTCAAAGAATGACATATAAAATAATTTATAGTGGAGACAGTATCTTTTTAAAAAGTAATTCTTTTGAATGGTAATTTTCTATCGGATTACCAAGTTCTTCTCCCTGAAGAGAGCTTTAATAGGAGAGTCGGCATATGGCAATGTTGACTTAGGTGTTGCAACATGAAATAACTGGAAATGTTTAACTCATGTTCATACTTATTTAATTCTTTTAGACATTCCTCTTAGTGAATATTTAGATAATGGAGTAGAGAAGAAATCCTATGGAAACTTTATCATCATCATCAAATATTTATTTCTAAGCACCTCACAAAATAAAGAAGATATAACTTCTTCCTAAACCTATAAATCCGAAAAAGGGGATCTAAAGACTACACATCCAGAACGAAGTATTTTTCAAATAATTAATTAAATTTATGCTTACAAATAAAAAATCAAATAGGTTTAAAGGAATAATTAAAATTAAGAAATATTGGGGAAATATTTGAAGGTAAACTTTCTATCTAAGAGGATATGGGTCAAACTGATGTAATTGACAAATTACCATAGTAATTTTTAGGAGCTGGTTTGATAAGTTTATAGAGTAGAAACAAATGAAGCTATCTATGGTAGAAAAGAGTAGATGTTGTCTTCCTCAAAAAATTACATATTACACATATTACAGTGCCTGCTTTTTTAAAGTAAAGTGCTCAGATGTTGGGGAAAAAAAACCCATTTTTGCTATTGTTTCAGTATCTCTGAAAAGAGATTACTTCAATTTTTGGTGCTAGGATATTGATATTATCATAAGATATAGCACAGTGAACTAAAACTGGCTCATGAATTTGGGATTTTTAATTAAAAGAATGAATCAATCACCGTGGAGATTCAACCAGAGTAAAAGCTTCAAGGAATGGAATTTACATCATCTTAAATTAGGTTATTTTTCAGAGCATTACTCTTTAGGGACGTTACCTACCTTAATTCTAGTAAGCAAGAAGACAATTAAAGGTAATTTATATGTTTTTCTAATATTACTTTTGAATATTAATCCTGAAGAATTATCTAGTCTCTGACTCTCATGTACATTGCTATTTGACTCATTACTTGAAAACACTTGTATAACTCATATTAAACAATATTAGTGTTATCAATGCGGCCACAGCTCTGTAGTTATTGCTTGGCTGTGCGGACATTTTACTTCTCCATATTTCTATTGCCACTTAGTTCCGTTGAATTTGATTGTCTATTTTAAGGAACAAAAATCAACTTACATTAGGTACAGGAGTTAATGGGGTCATTCATTCACAAACTCTCAAAGAACCAAGTAATAAGTTGGTTTCCATATGTAGCACTGCCCTCTACTGGGCAAAGAAAAGTCTGATGTTATTAATGGTTTTCTAATTTCAGTACTTAAAGGCAGCTTAGTAGAAAATACTGATAGAGATATTCGAATTGAACTACCCTGATAGTTTTTTAAGGTGAAGAGCCTGATTATTATTATAGAATATGAGAATCTTAACATTTTGTAAAGACATTTTACTTCCTTTTCCTCTTGTTTTGATTAAACATGATCTTTGATTTGACCTTAGATTCTTTCGAAGCTTCAACATATGAAAAATATGGTATATTGTACTATAAACTAGTAATGTAATAATGAAATTAAAGTCAATTTGGCATTAATTCAAGGGTTTTTTATTTGAATTTGCTCTTGGTAGACATAAACAAGTATCTTTATTTTTAAAATTGTTTATAATTTATTTTGTTTATAACTTTATATTGATAATCAGTTTATATTTGGATGATAATATTTGGATGTTTGCTTTAAGGTATACCTTATGTAGGATATCAACAAGAGACTGTGAAGTGTTATCTTTTCTCATTTTCTCCTTACTCTGTTACAACGTAGGGCAGGGGTTTTAGGAAATCACACCATAACCAGACTCTGTTAATTACCGTAAAAGACAAAAGTTCAATACAAGTTTTTAGTGTGCTCATAAACATAAAATCTAAGTAATGTTGAATAACATTGGAAAACATGATTAGTTACATCAGCAAATGTAAACAGTTTGGATCAAACTGGGTAATACAATCAGCATTAGATGTCAGAACTCACGGAGATGGCAAAAACACACACACAATATTTTTCCGCATTGTTTCCATGATTTGAAATCTAATGAAGCTCACATCTTTTAAAATTTTGCATGTCATATTAATATTTGTCTCAGCCAAACTTTTACAAGATACAGAATGACAGAAGACTCGATATTATTCCCTTACAGGTATCTGTAATGATATTACATGTATTTGTCGGGGAAGAAACAAACTTTTAAGAATCAGCTGAATTAAGGTAGAATTTACACCCATCTGTGAAAACAGAGGATACATTGAAGACATTTGCCAGTTAGGCCGGGTGTGGTGGCTCAAGCCTGTAATCCCAGCACTTTGGGAGGCAGAAGGATCACTTGAGGTCAGGAGTTTGAGACCAGCCTGGCCAACATGGTGAAACCTCATCTCATTCTCAAAAATTAGCTGTGTGTGGTGGCGCACACCTGTAATTCCAGCTACTTGGGAGACTGTGGCAGGAAAATCGCTTGAACCCTGGAGGCAGAGGTTGCAGTGAGCCGAGATTGTGCCACTGCACTCCAGCCTGGGCAACAGAACGAGACTCCATCTCAAAAAAATAAATAAATAAAGTAAAGATATTCACCAGGTGGGAGCAAAGGGGATATCAGATGGCAGGGCCAACATTCTTCTCTGAAAATACTTTTTGTTGACTCTTTTTGACTAAAATATTACTCTAACCTGAAAGTGGAAGGTAATAGACACCTTTCAGTGAGGATTTTTTTCAGAAAGATTTACCAACAATTTTTTGCATAATGATGATCCAAAAGCCATATTTTTCAGTAGAACTATATTTATAAGAATTCTAAAGAGAATGAAATATTAATGGTGTCTATTTCTTTTAAAAGTGATATGGCTGGTAGGGATGCAGTAAATGCCTTGAAGTTGTACCGCCCAAAATGCCTTAAATCCTATTACTGAGCATTCTTGGGGCTATTGTGAACACTTACCTGACTTTCAATGCACATTCTAAGAATAAAAGCATCCATCATGACATTACCCCATCCAATATCCTTGATGGTTTTCTGTCATATATTGGTTAAAATCTAAAATCCCCCTTATTGGCATGAGACCCTGCAGATCTTACCTCTCTTTTCTCCTAAGCTTGATATCCACTATGCATGGCAGGTGTACCTACACAGTCACTCACATCCAGTGAACAAACCATATCAAACTCTTCTATTTCTCTAAAACAGAAATTCTTCATAGTACACAGAGAAGACATGAAAAGAATCTCATTGATCTACAATATAATGAATAGAAGATACTTAAAATGTTGTCTTCACAATCACTAACTTAAATTTAGTGGTTCTTTCCTTTATGAATGTAAGCAGACAACCATCATAAGAAGTACTTGATTCGCACAGATCACACAACCAAAAAAAAAGAAGTCCTTGCGACTTTCTCACCAATAGAAATTATCTCTATTTTTATAATATTTTGTACTTGTTGCAGATACTCAAATTGTCATTAACTGATGATTACTTTAAAATTATAGTAGGTATAAGAGCTAACATTAGAGCTATCCTAATAATCAGTAATTAAGCATAAATTTCATTACACATTTTGTAATGATTAGATAATTGTGCTTATAACTTTTTTGTCATCATATTTTTAACGTTATGGCTTATTTAGTCAATTTATAATTAATGTAATTATCAATATATACATTTTATTCTTCTATTTGCTTTCTATTTAATTTTTTAAAAATCATTTTTCTAATTTCTTGCCTTCTTTGTATTAATCAAACATATTTTTGTCATTTTCCCTACAATTATGTCAATTAAACATGATTTTAGTATTCTTTTAATAGTTACCTTGGAGATTACAATTTATGTCATTGACTTACACAGTCTATGACAAATTATTTCTTTACATGTGAAAAAACTCTAAGGAACTAAATATCACATTGATAATAACATCTCAAAAAATAAATACAGAACAAATCCAAGTAAGTTTTGAACGGCCTGTGTCTTCAGTCATATATACCTTCAATGGAATACAAACTAAAGATAAAAAGAAACAAACAGAAAATGTGGACTTTATTTAGGGAATTTTTGTTGTTCGTGTCATGAAAGTTCTAATTCTAAAATGACTTGATGTGTACAGTAGAATTAAGCAAATGAATAACTGTGTAAATATTTGGGAACCAGAGTTTTTTTCTGTGAGAGAAGAGCTTATGTATATGGACTGAGGAAAAGAGAGGGAGATCCTGGTGATGAATTGCACCAAAGTTTTGTTTTTGTTGTTTAACCATAATTTTCTAATTGTTAGGGTGAAGTGACAGTCATCCTAGATTTGTTCATCCTATGTATTAGTTTGTTTTCACACTGCTATGAAGAACTATCTAAGACTGGGTAATTTATAAACTAAAGAGGTTTAATGACTCACAATTCCACATGGCCGGGGAGGCCTCAGGATACTTATAATCATGGCAGAAAGCAAAGGGTAAGCAAGGCATATCTTACATGCTGGTGAGCGGTGGGGGGAAGTGTCACACTTCTAAACCATCAGCTCTACTGAGAACTCACTCACTACATGAGAACAGCATGGGGGAAACTGGCCCCATGATCCAATCACCTCCCACCAGGTCCCTCCCTTGACACATGGAGATTACAATTTGAGATGAGATTTGGGTGGGGACACAGAGCCAAACTCTATAATTCTGTCCCTGGCCCCTCCCAAATCTCATTTTTTTTTCACATTTCAAAACTAATCATGCTTTCCCAGCAGTCTCCCAAAGTCTCAACTCATTCTAGCATTAACTCAAAAGGTCAAGTCCAAAGTCTTATCTGAGACAAGGCAAGTCCCTTCTGCCTATAAACCTGTGAAACAAAAAGCAAATTAGTTACTTCCAAGATTAAATGTGGGTACAGGCGTTAGGTAAATACTTCCATTCCAAATGGGAGAAATTGGCTGAAACAAAGGGGCCACAAGGCTTCATGCAAGCCCCAAACCTGACAGGGTAGTCATTTAATCTTAAAGCTCTAAAGTAACATCTTTTGACTCCATGTTTCACAACCAGGGCAAGAGATGGGTTTGAATGGCCTTAGGCAACATCACTGCTGTGGCTCTGCAGAGTACAGCTCCTGCAACGTCTTTTGGGGGCTGGCATTGAGTGCCTGAGGCTTTTCCAGGCACAAGGTCCAAGGTGTCAGTGGTTTTACCCATTCTGGGGTCTGGAGGATGGTGGCCCTCTTCTCACAGCTCCACTAGGCAGTGCCCCAGTGGAGACTTTTTGTGGGGGCTCCAACCCCACATTCCCCCTTTGCATTAAGGTTCTCCATGAGGGCTCCACTCCTGCAACAGACTTCTGCCTAGACATCCAGGCATTTTCATACATCCTCTGAAATACAGGCTGAGACTTCCAAAGCCCAACTCTTGTGTTCTGTGTACAGGCTCAACATCACATGGAAGCCATGAGTGCTTGGGGCTTGTACCCTCTGAAGCAATGGCCCAAGCTGTACCTTGGCCGCTTTTACCCGTGGCTGGAGCTGGAGCAGCTAGGAAACAGGGCACCATATTCCAAGGCTGCACAGAGCAGCAGGGCCCTGGGCCTAGCTCATGAAACCATTTTTCCCTTCTAGGTCTCTGGGCCTGTGATTGGAGGGGTTGCCATGAAGATGCCAGAAATGCCCTGGAGACATTTTCCCCATTATCTTGGCTATCAACATACATCTCCTCATTACTTATGCAAATTTCTGCAGCTGATAGTTTGAATTTCTCTTCAGAAAATGGGATTTTCTTTACTACTGCATGGTCAGGCTGCAAATTTTCCAAACTTTTTTATTATGCTTCCCTTTTAAACATAAGTTCCAATTTCAGATTATCTCTTTGTGAATGAATATGGCTGTACACTTTTAGAAAGAGCCAGGTCATCTATTGAATGCTTTGCTGCTTAGAAAGCTCTTCTGCCAGATACCCTAAATCATAACTCTCAAGTACAAAGTTCCACAGATCTCTAGGCAGGGGCAAAATGCCTTCAGTTTCTTTGCTAAAGCATGGCAAGAGTGACCTTTGCTCCAGTTCCCAAGAAGTTCCTCATCTCCATCTGATACTATCTCAGCCTGGAGTTCATTGTCCATATCACTATTAGCATTTTGGTCAAAATCATTCAACAAGTCTCTAGGAAGTTCCAAACTTTCCCACATCTTCCTATATTTTTCTGAACCCTGCAAATGATTTCAACCTCTGCCCATTGCCCAGTTCCAAAGTCACTTCCACATTTTTAGGTTATCTTATAGCCGTGGCCTACTCTGCTGGTACCAATTTTCTATATTAGTCCATTTTCACCCTGCTATAAAAAACTACCTGAGACTGAGTAACTGACAAACAAAAGAGGTTTAATTGACTCACAGTTCTTTATGGCTGGGGAGACCCCAGGACACTTATAATCATGGCAGAAGGTGAAGGGGAAGCAAGGTACATCTTACATGTCCATAGGAGAGAGAGAGAGAAAGAGAGAGGGGGAGTACCACACATTTAAACTATCAGATCTCATGAGAACTCACTGACTATCATGAGAACAGCATGGGGGAAACCAACCCCTAAATCCAATCACCTCCCACCAAGTGCCTCCCTTGACATGTGGGATTACAATTTGTGATGATATTTGGGTATGACACAGAGCCAAGCCATATCATTCTAGGCAGAAGAAGTTTCTCAAAAAGATGATGTTGAAAACCTTGTTGTCAACCTTGAATGAAAGAAAGTCCTAATGGGGCAGAAATGAAAAGGGAAGCTGCACACCAAGTGGGAGCTGCACCATGGCCATCATAAGGATTTTGTATCTAGGTAAAGCTCCTAGAGCTGCTGGCTGCGAAGTTATTATTCAAGAAGTACATGACAGAAAATCCTTGGTTGTGCACAAGGGAGGGAGCTTAAAATAAGATCCTTGCCTAATGGTGGGTGCGTCAAAGTGCTGTCCTGCTCCATAGATAAGAAGACAAGAGGAACTACATACTGACACTGGAAAGTGGTTGGGATGGCTGCCACCAAAAAAATTCTTGGATGAATGGATGGAAAAGCCAACTTCCAGAACTACAAAACTCTAGGTGTGAGTTGCTGTGCATAAAATTAACATAAAATAAGTGAAAAGACCAGTGAAACTTCATGGCTCTGAAATGGGGAAAACAGACCCTAGAAGAGACATATTTGCCTCCCCATAAACAAATTAACAAACAAATAAATGTATCTCTTTTTTTTAGATGGAGTCTAGCTCTGTCACCCAGGCTGGAGTGCAGTGGCACGATCTCGGCTCACTGCAACCTCTGCCTCCTGGGTTCAAGCGATTCTCCTGCCTCAGCCTCCCAAGTAGCTGAGATTACAGGTGCCCGCCACCATGCCCAGCTAATTTTTTCTTTTTATTTTTAGTAGAGATGGGGTTTCACTGTGTTGGCCAGGCTGGTCTTGAAATCCTGACCTCGTGATCCACCCACCTCGGCTTCCTAAAGTGCTGGGATTACAAGCGTGAGCCACTGCACATGACCAAATAAACATATCTTATATAGTTTGTATATGTTGGTCAAACCTCATGTTCATATATAATCCCCAATATTGGAAGTGGGGCCCGGAGGGAGGTGATTTGAACATGGTGGTGGATTTCTCATGAATGGTTTAGCACCATCCACCTTGGTTCTCTCCTTACAATAGTGAGTGACTTCTCATGAGATCTGGCTCTTTAAAAGTGTGGCACTCCCACTCTCCTGCTCCTGCTTTCACCATGTGAAATTTCTGCTCCTGTTTCACTTTCCAGCATGAGTGAAAGCTTCCTGAGGCTTTCTCAGAAGCAGATGCTGCTATGCTTCCTGTGCAGCCTGCAGAACCATGAGCCAATTAAACTTCTTTTCATATAAATTACCCAGTTTCAGATATTTCTTTATAGAAATGCAAGAATGGCCTGACACAGAAAATTGGTACTGAGGAGTAAGGCGTTAATATAAAGATACCTGAAAATGTGGAAACAGCTTTGGAACTTGGTAATGGGTAGAAGTTGAAAGAGTTTGGAGGGCTCAGAAGACTAGAAGATGAGGGAAAGTTTGGAACTTCTTAGAGACTGGTTAAATTGTTGTGACTATAATGCTGATAGTGATATAAACAGTGCAGTCCAGGCTGACAAGGTTTCAGATAGAAATGAGGAACTTTTTGGGAACTACAGCAAAGGTCACCCATGTTGTGCCTTAGCAAAGAGGTTGGCTGCATTCTGTTCATGCCCTGGGGCTCTGTGGAAGCTAGAACTAAAGAGTGTTAATTTAGTTCAGAGATGAGAGAAAGAAGGAGATAAGAGGAAATCATGTGGGAGTAAAGAAATGACCTAAGGTTCAAACTTATATTTAAAAGGGAAGTAGAGTGCAAACGTTTAGAGAATTTGCAGCCTTACAATGTGGCAGAGAAAGGAAAAACTTTTATAGGAGAGAAATTCAAGCAGGCTGTGGAGCAACCACTTGCTAGAGAAATTTGCATAACTCAAAGGGAGCCCAATGCTGATAGCCAAGAAAATGGGAGGAAGGCCTCAAAGGCATTTTAGAGACCTTCATGGCAGCCCCTTCCACCATAGGCCCAGAGGCCTAGGAGGAAAGAATGGTTTTATTGGCCAGGCCCAGGTCCCTACTACCCTGTGCAGCCTCTGGAAGCTGCTCCCCACATCCCAGCCACTTTGGCTCCAGCCTCAGCTCAAAGGGCCCCGGATACAGCTTGGGCTGCTGCTTCAGAGGGTGCAAGCCTTATATAAGCCTTGGCAGCTTCTATGTGGTGTTAAGCCTTAGGTGCACAGAGTGCAAGAGTGAAAAACGCTAGCAGCCCCTGCCTAGATTTCAGAGGATGTGTGAGAAAGCCTGAGTGCCCATGCGGAAGCTTGCTACAGGGGTGGAGTCATGACGTTGAACCTCTACTCAGGCAGTGCCAAGGGGAAATGTGGGGTTGGAACCTCCATGCATAGTCCCCACTGGGGTACAGCCTCATAGAGCTGTGGGAAGGGGGCCACCATTTTCCAGACCCTATAATGGTAGATTATACAGCTTGTTCCCTGTGCCTGGAAAAGCCACAGACACTCAACAACTTGTGAGAGCAGCTTCACGCACTAAAACTTGCAAAGTCAGAGGGATAGAGCTACCCAAGGCCTTGGGAGCCCACTAGTGTGCCCAGTATGTGGACATGAAGTCAAAGGAGATTATTTTGGAACTTTAAGTTTACTGACTGTCTTGCTGGGTTTTGAACTTGCATGAAGCCCATAGACCCCTTTTGGCCAATTTCTTCCTTTTTAAAATTTTAATTTAATTTAATTTAATTTTTTTTTTTTTGAGATGGAGTTTCACTCTTTCATTCAGGCTGGAGTACAGTGGCTCCATCTTGGCTCACTGCAACGTCTGCCTCCTGGGTTCAAGCAATTCTCCTGCCTCAGCTTCCTGAGTAGCTGGGATTACAGGCGCCCACCACCACACCCAGCTAATTTTTTTTTTTTTTTTTTTCATTTTTCAGTAGAGATGAGGTTTCACCATGTTGGCCAGGCTGGTCTCAAACTCCTGACCTCAAGTGATCCTCCCACCTCCCAAAGTGCTGGGATTACAAGTGTGAGCCACCATGCCTGGCCCAATTTCTCCCTTTTGTAATGGGAATATTTACACAATACCTATACCCCATTGTATATTGGCAGTAAATAACTTTTTAAAAAAATTTTACATACTCATAAGTGGAAGAAAGTCATTTCCAGATAAGACTTTGGATTTGGGACTTGGACATTTTGAGTTAATGCTGGAATGAGTTAAGACTTTGGGAGGACTATCGAGAAGGGATCATTGTATTTTGAAATGTGAGAAGGACATGAGAATGGTTGATATGGTTTGGCTGTGTCGCCTCCCAAATCTCATCCTGAATTGTAATCCCCATAATCCCCACGTGTTATGGGAGGGACCAGGTGGGAGGTAATTGGATCATGGGGGCAGTTTCCCTCATGCTGTTCTCATGATACTGAGTGAGTTCTCAAGAGATTTGGTGGTTTGGTAAATATCTGGCATTTCTCCTACTGGTACTCATTCTCTTTCCTGCTGCCCTAGGAGGAGGTACCTTCTGCCATGATTGTAAGTTTCCAGAGGCCTCCCCAGCCATACAGAACTGTGAGTCAATTAAACCTCTTTTCTTTATAAATTACCCAGTCTTGGGTATTTCCTTATAGCAATGTGAGAAGGAACTTATTCAATGGCCTTACACAAAATTCATCTTCCATTAAAAATGAGCTCCAACCAAAAAATTACAGAAAAAGAAGATTAACCTGAAAGAGAATCATCAGTCAAACAAGAATTGGAAATCATAGATAACATTGAAAGAAGCCCTAAAATAGCACTAAAGTGGATAAAGTGATAAAAGAAGGAGGGGCTATTGCATTTATAACAACTGCTAAGTAAAAGTCTACTCCTTCAAAATTAATATATCAAAATAGTCATTTTATTTTGTTCACACTTTTGAGAGTTGGAAATTTCAAAAAAATTCATGGTGGACAATATTTATCTCTGATTCACTTTGGAGACGGGAGCAGGAGGATCCACTCCCATCACAGCCCTGGACTGACATGTCTGGTTCACTGGGGCTGTTTGACTTCTCTGTCTCTCTCCATGGCACATGGTGTCTTATCTTCCAGAACTTTCAAGGGCAGGTGCTACATCCTGTGACATGGCATAGGGCTTTCAAGAGGGGGTTTCCCGAGACTGAGCTTCCCAAAAGGCTGTCTTTGGAAAATATAAACTGCCACAGTAGGTAAGACAGAAGATTCCCCACAGGAAAATAGAGAGTTTGTAAAGTGTGTGTAGTGCAAGCGCATAAGGAGTTGGAAAATGCAGAACTGGAAAGTGTTAAAGAAAAACAGACAAGAGATAAGCAGTGTTGCCTTCTGTCAACTGGGAATATCAAAAGGAGAATATACAAAAATTTTAGAAGATATAAAACTCTGGTTTTCTTCAGATATGAAAAAAACTCTTGATTCTCTCTATCAAAGGAATGCTTTGAATATTGAGTGAGATAAAAAATTCAAACCTAGGCACGTTGTGGTGAAACTGCAAAATATCAAATACAAAGAGAGACATTAAAAAATTCATTAAGTAGAAAAGCCAGATAATGTACAAAGAAAACTCAATATAATGTATGTCGTACTTTTAAGAGGTAGAGAAGTCAGTGGCTGCTGGAGTAGCCAAAATAGGTTTCCTAGAAGAACTGGGTGTAAACTAGTCTTTAAAGCCTGAGATTTGAAAAGTGGTAAAAAACCAAAGTTCTTTTCCTGGGCACACACACTCTGCAAGTATATGATTTGAACATGGTAGAATATATTATTTTAATAAAGGTAATGACAATGGCTAATGTTTATTCACTATTTATAAGTACAGAATGATTTTTAGGGATTTTTCAAACATTATACCATGTAATCTCTGAAATAATGTTGGGAGGTGGCTATTGTTTTTGTCATTTTATAGACAAAATTTAATTGCCAAAGGTAACTGATAGTAAGTAGAAGAATCAGCATCATACCCCAGATATGCTTCTTGCTAGATTCCAAGGTCTTAATGACCACATGATACCCTCTAAAGAGACCAAGAATTCTATCTATTCACAACACCTCTGCCATACTTACTTTCCATGTGATTAACCAGAGTTTACTGTAGGGGAATATGCATATGGGGAATGCGATTTCTCCCAAAATACAACTGTGTTTGTAGAACAGCAAGAAACATAATAGGGGTGGTAGTGGGGTTTTGCTTTTTTATCTTGATTTTCTAATAACAGCAACCCTTGAAAAAATAAATCTCAGATGAAATTTTCTTTATGGAACAAAAAGCACCTTGCCTTACTACATTAACGCTGGAAGAAGAAGATTAATGTTTCCTTACCTTTTCAGTTTATTCACTCTTCCTTCTATGCTGTTTAGAAAATAATGGATATCAAAAAATTGCTTCAACACTTCAGACAAACCCAAATTGTGGTCTTTGCAACCAGCCCTCCCTTCCCACCAATCATACACTTTGGAGTAACGACTGAAATTCTGCTATATCCTTCAGATTAACAATTTATGCAAACTCTTAAAAGTATTCTCATGGATTGGATTTTAAACTCTGACATAAGGGAAATGATTATTTTATTTGAAGTGTGTTAAACTTAAAAAATATGTGATCCTACTTATGATAAAATGATGTAACAGGTTTGTAGCCATGCTTTTTACATCCCACAGGGGCTGAAAAACATTCAGATATAGTATTTACCAATATTTCCCTTAACTTTCTCATAGATGGTCATAATCGTTAAAACTTATTTATAGACTTTTTTTCTCTTGACTGGCATGCCGGCCATATGAAATTGGGTCAGGAAAGAACATCAAAGTCTTTTAAAGCTTGTCTCCATCTATGCATTTTTCTTTTGTACATTTTTATCTTTTGGGGGTTTTAGATACATTCTGTCTCTACATTTACAGGCTGATTTACCAACATATTTGCTCTGTGTTTGGGCTGGGGATACTCATTCCTGGCTCTATTCTGGAAAGGTATGTGACAGAAACTTGTACTCTTCAGAAGGAAGAACCCATAAGAAAAACTAATAGTGATTTTCTGCAATACTGACCTTTTTACAATACTGATTCTGTCTTCTAGCATTATTTCATTTATTAGATTGCACCTCATCACTATTATAGCTTACCTGTATATTATCATTTGTCTTTTTCCCCTGGCAGACAGATACAAATCAATAAACAATTCTAAATTAGTGAGCATATTGTAGTGTAGGATGTGCATTTTACTTTTATATGTATGTTGAGTGGGGAAGAAATGTAATAATAATTCTGGAAACAACATTAGGTAAGGAAGAAAAGACATAGATTCTGGTTATAACTCTGACCCTGACTGGCTGGCTATGAGGTGGGGCAACTGAGTCATTTGGGGTTTTATGTTTCTCTTCTATGGAAGTGAAGTAAATAACAAAGTAGCCAGTATTACTGACCACTTATTATGTGCCAGGAACATTTCAGACTGTTGCATGCATAAACATATTTAACTGAAATTACAACTATGTGAGGTATTAATAATATTGCCTCTTTAATTTGAGAAACGCTAGGTAGGGAGAGTTAACTTCCCAAGTCACACAACATTTAGAGAAGGATTGAACCTAGGGAATCTATCCTAGTGTCTAACCTCTTAACCTCTATATTGCAACTATTTCCCTTAAAGTGGTAGGAGTGGGTGAACTATCTTCACAATCCTTAAATTCCTTCCAGTTCTAACATGACACAATTCTTAATCTCCTCCCCAGTGTTGGTAAGTAAAATACTTAGATAGAAAGTGGAATTTCTAGAAGATAAAATGCTTAAAACATCAGGAAATCTGGTGAAGGCAAACCTGAAAAAGAGATCTTGGTGAGATAGGACATTTTTCAAAATAAAAGCCATTTAGAGGGGATACCTGGGTGGATCATGGCGGACGGGAGGCAGGACTAGATTGAAGCTCCAACTCGGATGGGCAGAGCAGCATATGGAGGCTCACATCGTGAATTTTTGCTCCAGAATGACTGCAGGCATAAATCAAGAAACCTGAGAAGACCCACAGACCTTTTGAAGGAAGTGGATTGCTCCTGCAGGACCTGGGAGACACCCCAAATACTGAGTGCCCAAACTGTGGAAGTGGGAAAGGGAGAACATTTGCCCTCAAACACACACACGCATTGGGGAGACTGAAAGTCTATATTATGAGAAGATTCAGATCATAACTGGAGCTGAGTCAACTTAGCTGAGCAAAATACGGGGGTAGAGGAAGGAGGAGAAAAAGCCCTGTGAGATCACTGGGTCCCCTAGCAAGCCATTTTTGCCTGGCTTCACAGGGGTCCTTGGGGAGGGTGGCCACAGGCACTGGGAAAAGGCCACAGGAGAAGGATATCTCCAGCTAAACTTTGTAACAATTTGAAACTGATTGCATAGTCTCCTGGCCAACTTGAGGGAGGAGCCTGGGGCAAGTTCTCAGCCCTGCTCACCCAATGCCTGGAAATAGACTCGCTGCTGTTGGGGAGGCACGGTGGGAGTGAGACTGGCCCTTCAGGTTGTGTGGGAACTGGGTGAAGCCTGTGACTTCTGGCTTTCCCCTATTTCCCTGACACCCTGCATGACACAGTAGAGACAGCCATAATCCTCCTAGGAACATAATTCCATTGACTTGGGAATCTCACCTCCATACCCCACAGTAGTCACAGCAAGACCCACCCAAGAAGAGTCTGAGGTCAGACATGCCTAGCCCTGCGCCTACCCCCATGGTCTTTTCCTACCCATCCTGGTAACTCAAGAAAAAGGGCATATACTCTTGAGGTTTCTAGGGCCTTGCCCACTGCCTGTTCTTCCCCATACTACCACAGCTGATGCTCTCTGGAAAGTGCCACCTCCTGCCAGGAGGCCAACCAGCACAAAAATAGTGCATTAAATTACCAAAGCTAAGAACCCTCACAGAGTCCATTTCAACCCCCTGCCACCTCCACTGGAACAGATGCTGGTATCCACGGCTGAGAGATCACAGATGGTTCACATCACAGTACTCTGTGCAGACTACCCCCACTACCAGTGCAGAGCCTGGTAAATTTGCTGTGTAGCTAAATCCAGAAGAGAGATAACAATCACTATAACTTGGCTGTCAGGAAGCCACATCCCTAAAAAAAGGGGGAGAGTACTACATCAAAGGAACACCCCATGGGACAAAAGGCTCTGAACAACAGCCTTCAGTCCTAGACCTTCCCTCTGATAGAGCCTACCCAAATGAGAAGGAACCAGAAAACCAACTCTGGTAATATGACAAAACAAGGTTATTTAACAGCCCCCCAAAATCACATTAGCTTACCAGCAATGGACCCAAACCAGTAAGAAATCCCTGACTTACCTGAAAAAGAATTCAGAAGGTTAGTTATTAAGCTAATCAGGGAGGCACCAGAGAAAGGTGAAGCCCGATTTAAGGAAATTTAAAAAATGATACAAGAAGTGAAGGGGGAAATATTCAATGAAATAGATAGCATAAATTAAAAAAGTCAAAACTTCAGGAAATGATGGACACACTTACAGAAATGCAAAATGCTCTGGAAAGTCTCAGTCATAGAATTGAACAAATAGAATAAAAAAAATTCAGAGCTCGAAGACAAGGTCTTCAAATTAACCCAATCCAACAAAGACAAAGAAAAAAACAAGAAAATATGAACAAAGCAGCCAAGAAGTCTGAGATTATGTTAAATGACCAAAGCTAAGAATAATTGTTGTTCCTGAGGAAGAATTGAAATCTAAAAGTTTGGAAAACACACTTGAGGGAATAATCGAGGAAAACTTCCCCAGCCTTGCTAGAGGCATAGACGTCTAAATATTAGAAGCACAAAGAACACCTGGGAAATTCATTGCAAAAAGATTATCGCCTAAGCACATTGTCATCAGGCTATCTAAAGTTAAGAGGAAAGAAAGAATCTTAAGAGCTGTGAGGCAAAAGCACCAGGTAACCTATAAAGGAAAACCTATCAGATTAACAGCAGATTTCTCAGCAGAAATCCTACAAGCTAGAAGGGATCGGGGCCCTATCTTCAGCCTCCTCAAACAAAATGATTATCAGCCAAGAATTTTGTATCCAGCAAAATCAAGCTTCATATATGAAGGAAAGATACAGTATTTTTCAGAGAAGCAAATGCTGAGATAATTCACCATTACCAAGCCACCACTACAAGAACTGCTAAAAGGAGCTCTAAATCTTGAAACAAATCCTGGAAACACATCAAAACAGAACTTCTTTAAAGCATAAATCTCACAGGACCTATAAAATGAAATACAATTTAAAAAACAAAAGCAAAACTAAAAAAAAAAAAAGGACATACAGGCAACAAATAGCATGATGAATGGAATGGTACCTCACATCTCAATAATAATAAATGGCCAAAATGCTCCACTTAAAAGATACAGAATTGCAGAATGGATAAGAATTCACCAACCAACTATCTGCTGCCTTCAACAGACTCGGCTAATGCATAAAGACTTACATCAACTTAAAGTACAGGGGTGGGAAAAGACATATCATACAAATGGACACTGAAAGCGAGCAGGAGTAGCTATTCTTATATCAGACAAAACAAACTTTAAAGCAACAGCAGTTAAAAAAGACAAAGAGGGACATTATATAATGATAAAAGGCCTTGTCCAACAGGAAAATATCACAATCCTAAACATATATGCACATAACACGGGAGCTTCCAAATTTGTAAAACAATTACTAATAGATCTAAGAAACGAGATAGACAGCAACACAATAATAGTGGGAACTTCAATACTCCACTGACAGCACTAGACAAGTCATCAAGACAGAAAGTCAACAAAGAAACAATGGATTTAAACTATACCTTGGAACAAATGGACTTAACAGATATATACAGAACCTTCTACCCAACAACCACAGAATATACATTCAACAGTGCATGGAACATTCTCCAAGATAGACCATATGATAGGCAACAAAATGAGCCTCGATAAACTTGAGAAAATTGAAATGTTATCAAGCACTCTCTCAGACCACAGCAGAATAAAACTTGAAATCAACTCCAAAAGAAACCCTCAAAACCATGCAAATGCATGGAAATTAAATAACCTGCTCCTGAATGATCAATCGGTCAAAATGAAATCAAGATGGAAATTTAAAAATTCTTTGAATGAAACAACAATATTGACACAACCTATCAAAACTTCTGGGATACAGCAAAGGCGGTACCGAGAGAAAAGTTCATAGCCCTAGATGCCTACATCAAAATGTCTGGAAGAGCACAGACAGGCAATCTAAGTTCACACCTCAAGAAACTAGAGAAATAAGAACAAACCAAACCCAAACCCAGCAGAAGAAAGGAAATAGCCAATATCAGAGCAGAACTAAATAAAATTGAAACAAAAAAGTCCAAAAGATAAGTGAAGCAAAAAACTGGTTCTTTGAAAAGATAAATAAAACTGATAGTCCATTAGCAAGATAAACCAAGAAAAGAAGACAGAAAATCCAAATAAGCTCAATATGAAATAAAGCGGGAGACAGTACAACTGACAGCACAGAAATACAAAAGGTCATTCAAGGCTACTATGAACACCTTTTTGCATATAAACTAGAAAACCTAGAGGAGATGGATAAATTCTTAGAAAGATACAACCCTCCTAGCTTAAATCAGGAGGAATTAGATACCCTGAACAGACCAATAACAAGCAGTAAGATTGAAATGGTAGTTAAAAAATTACCAACAAAAAAATGTCCAGGACCACATGGATTTACAGCAGAATTCCACCAGACATTCAAAGAAGAATTGGTAGGAATCCTATTGACACTATTCCACAAGATAGAGAAAGAGGGAACTCTTCCTAAATCATTCTGTGAAGCCAGTACCACCCTAGTGCCAAAACCAGGAAAGAGCATAACCAAAAAAGAAAACTACAGACCAATATCCCTAATGAACATAGATGCTAAAAACCTTAACAAAATACTAGCTAACCAAATCCCACAATATATCAAAAAGATAATCCACCATGATCAAATGGGCTTCATACCAGGGATGCAGGGATAGTTTAACATATGCAAGTCAATAAATGTGATACACCACATAAACAGAATTAAAAACAAAAATCATATGATCATCTCAATAGATGCAGAAAAATTATTCCACAAAACCTGGCACCCCTTTATCATTAAAACTCTCAGCGAAATCGGCATACAAAGGACTTACCTCAATGTAATAAAAGCCATATATGACAAACCCACAGCCAACATAATACTGAGTGCAGATAAGTAGAAAGCATTCCCTCTGAGAACTGTAACGGGACAAGGATGCCCACTCTCCCCACTCCTCTTCACCATAATACTGGAAGTTCTAGCCAGTACAATCAGACAAGAGAAAGAAATAAAGGGCATTCAAGATGGTAAAGTGGAGGTCAAACTGTTGCTGTTTGCTGATAATATGATTGTTTACTTAGAAAACCCTAAAGACTCCTCTAGAAAGCTCCTAGGACTGATAAAATAATTCAGCAAGTTTCCAGATAAAAAATTAATCTTGTATTTGTACACAAATCAGTAGTTCTCCTATACACCAACAGTGACTAAGCTGAGAATCAAATCAAGAACTGCACCCTTTTACAATAGCTATGAAAAATACTTAGAAATATACCTAACCAAGGAGGTGAAAGACCTCTACAAGAAAGTCTACAAAACACTGCTGAAAGCAATCAGAGACAACACAAACAAGTGGAAACACATCCCATGCTCATGGATGAGTAGAATCAATATTGTGAAAATGACCATACTGTCAAAAGCAATCTACAAATTCAACGCAATTCCCATAAAAATACTACCATCATTCTTCACAGTATTAGAAAAAACAATTATAAAATCCATATGGAACAAAAAGTAAGGCAGCATAGTCAAAGCAAAACTAAGCCTAAAGAACAAATCTGGAGGCATCACATTACCTGATTTCCAACTATACTATGAGGCCATAGTCACCAAAACAGCAGGGTATTGGTATAAAAAATAGGCAAATAGACCAATGGAACAGAATAGAGAACCCAGAAATAAACCCAAATACTTACAGCCAACTGATCTTTGACAAAGCAAACAAAAACATGAAGTGGGGAAAGGACACCCTTTTCAATAAACGGTGCTGGGAAAACTGGCTAGCCACATGCAGGAGAATGAAACTGGATCCTCATCTCTCAACTTACACAAAAATCAACTCAAGATGGATGAAGGACTTAAATCTAAGACCTAAAACTATAAAAATTCTAGAAGATAACTTTGGAAAAAGTCTTGTAGACATTGGCTTAGCCAAGGACTTCATGACCAAAAACCCAAAAGCAAATGCAATAAAAACAAAGACAAATAGCTGGGACTTAATTAAAGAGCCCTTGCATGGCAAAAGAAACAGTCAGCAGAGTAAACAGACAACCCACACAGTGGGAGAAAATCTTCACAATCTACACATCTGACAAAGGACTAATATCCAGAATCCACAACAAACTCAAACAAATCAGCCAGAAAAAAACAAACAATTCCATCAAAAAGTGGTCTAAGGAAATGAATAGACAATTCTCAAAAGAAGATATACAAATGGCCCATAAACACATGAAAAAATGCTCAACATCTCTATCAGGGAAATGGAAATCAAAACCACAATATGATACCATTTTACTCCTCTAAGAATGGTCATAATAAAAAGATAGTAGATGTTGGCATGAATGCAGTGAACAGGGAACACTTCTACACTGGTGGTGGGAGTGTAAACTATTACAACCACTATGGAAAACAGTGTGGAGATTCTTTAAAGAACTAAAAGTAGAACTACCATTTGATCCAGCAATCCTACTACTGGCTGGGTATCTAACTAGAGGAAAAGAAGTCTTTATACAAAAAAGATACTTGCACATGCATGTCTATAACAGCACAATTCTCAATTGCAAAAGCATGGAACCTACCCAAATGCCCATCAATCAATGAGTGGATAAAGAAACTGTGGTATATATATATATGATGGAATACTACTCTGCCATAATAAGAAATGAATTAATGGCATTCACAGCGACCTGGATGAGATTGGAGACTATTATTTTAAGTGAAGTAATCAGGAATGGAAAACCAAACATCACATGTTTTCACTCGTAAGTGGCAGCTAAACTGTGAGGATGCAAAGGCATAAGAATGACACAATGGAGTTTGGGCACTCAGGGGGAAAGGGTGGGAAGGGAGTGAGGGATAAAAGGCTACAAATAGGGTGCAGTGTATAATACTTAGGTGGTGAGTGCACCAAAATCTCACAAATCGCCACTAAAGAACTTACTCATGTAACCAAACACCACCTGTTCTCCAATAACCTATGGAAATAAAAAAATTAAACATCATCAACAACAAAATAAAAGCCATTTAATTAACAAATAGTACTAGAATCTACAGTGCCAATAATTTGTTCTTCAATCTCATGTATTCAAGTAACATCCATTTTCTAAAATTCTTTTGTTTAAAACAGCAAGTATATCGAGTACAGGAACAGTTAAGAAATATAAATGAATCATATGATAACAGTTGGTATGCGTGCACACACACACTAATATAACCCATCAATTATATAGATAGATAGAAGGTGACATTAATAACAAAGTGAAATTAATAGCAGATATCTATATCTATATCTATATCTATATCTATATCTATATATCTCAACACATATATATTTGGTGGGTTAAAACCTAGTCTATTGCTGGCCTGAGTCATAAGGTGCTAGTTCTTGAGTAAGTAAAAGATCTTCTTTGAATCATTTTTGGTATTCTCTGTCTCTAATCATGACACTGTTTCTCATGTAGTTCTTCAAATAACGTTGAGGACATCCACCATACACTGCTTCCTATCATCAAACATAGCCAGCCACCCACTGTGTCTATTCTACTCCTAAATATCTATTGTGCCAATTTATCTACATCTGTACCACCACCTGCCTAGTACCAGCTACCTTACCCTGCACTTGGTTGATTTTTCTAATGGTTTCCTCACATTCACTCCTGGTCCTCACTAGGCAGTCATCATCATATTTTAAAACTGTAATTTTTCTTTAAGTTCCTCCAAGGGAGGAAAAACAAGTAGAAGTGAGTAATCTAGATAGGAAGATACATTATAAACTTTCCTAATTAAGACATTTGGCACTGGCCCAGCAATAGGCAGATTCATCAGAAAAATACAATAGAGAGGGTGAAAGTGGCACAGATATACAGAAATGTGATATATGACAGATTTGACCATGCAGATCAGAAGGGAAAAAATGGATTATTCGATAAGGCCTGCTGGAAAAATGAATAATCTATACGTAAATCAACAAAATTGGACCCTTCTTTTTGTATGCAAAAAATACATTTTAGGTCATTCAAAACTGAAATCAGAAAGCAAAGCTGAAACAATTTTAGATAAAATAGAATATATTTATGACTTCAGTTTTTGAGTCAGTCACAAAAAGCAAAACAATGAAGTAAATGTTGATTCATGTTGATTAGGTTAAAGTGAAGAAACAAAAAATAAAGCAAATGCTGTGGCTTGAATATTTGTGCTCCCCCACCCCCCTGCAAATTCATATGTTGAAACCTAATTCTCAGTGTGAGGGTATTTGGAAGTGGGGCCTCAGGGAAGTAATTAGGTCATGATGGTGAAAACCCTCATGAATGGGATTAGTTTCCTTGTAAAAAAGGCCCCAGAGAGATCTCTCACCCCTTCAGCTGTGTGAGGAGACAGTGAAAAGACAGGAGTCTATAAAGAGGACCTCTACCAACACCTTGATGTTGGACTTCCCAGTCCCCAGAACTGTGAGAAATAAATTTCTATTGTTTATGAGTCACCTGGTTTATGGTATTTTGTTATAGTAGGAAAATTGATGAGGACAAAATTCTTGTGATTTACTAAATAATATATACTTATATGTAAATTAAAATGTCAGAGCACAATTGGGAAAAGATATTTGAAAAACATCAAAGCAATGAACAACTCATATTTAGAATATAAAAAGCTCTAAGTATAAGTAAAATATAGAAATAACTCAATAGAAATCAGGAGATGTAAATGGACAACAATGTATAGGAGAGAATATCAGAATGACCAATGAATATCTGAAAGATTTTTAAATGCATATTTAGTCAGAGAGATGTAAAACCATAGGAAACTACAATTTCATATTTATCAGATTGGCAAAAGATAGAAAATGGGATAACACTAGGTATCAGTGAGAATATGGAATAGGGGATTTGCCTATGCAATGATTTTAGATGTATAAATTGGAATACACCCTTGGGAAAATAATTGGCCAAATCTAATCAATATGAAAATATGCATAGTTTCAAACCCTTTAATTATACTCCTAGGTACTTACAACAATGCCATGACATATACAATAAAAGGTGTATAAAATACTCATAGTGTAATTTTCTATGATGGGACAAAACAAGTAAAAAACCTCATTCTTCCACTCTCCCATCTGATCCCCCTTTCAGAGGAGAATCCTTCCTGGATACCCCAGAACAGATATGCCCCCTTTAATAAACCTTTGTGACCCAGTTACCTTTTCTTACTGGGAGTTACTGCAACATGCAATTTTTCATTTGCTTGGGTAATTTTTACTAATTTTTCTGAGTATTTATATAATAAGTTCATAAGTATCAAAAGTTTTGCTGTGATATTTTCCTTGTATGTTAACACAATTAAATCACTGACATGTTTTGGACTTTAAATCAGTGTGTCCTCGGTGTGTTTTTTTTTTTAACTTCTGCCTTTTCCCCCCAAAGCATTTATAATAGCTCTAGGAACTGGTATACTGCAGAGAACAGACGAAGAAATATTAACTTTGCCTGGCTTAATTTAGAAGAAAAGTAAATTATTCCAGTGAAAGCAACTTGAAAGTAAAATCAGAATAAAACTAGCAACTGAGTTTCAATTTCTGTACTTTATGCTGCCTTGCATTTTATGAGGTACAAGATGAAAAATCACAGGTACAGAAGCTTGTTTTCTTACTCTAATAATTATTATTTTTAAAGAGTACAGTTAACTGTAGAAAATGTTTTGCTTGCACAGTTACTTTCAACTTATTCTTTGTCCACTCTTTGGTTCAAACTCTTGGTGGAATGAACAATAGTAATAGTAAGAAAAACAACCAACCAAGCAAGAAACAAGCAAATGAGAAAACACAATGCTGTGAGGGAAGTCATAGGAAGTGTAGTTATTTTATGTCAGAGATTTATGTACTTTGCAGTCGATATTTGAAGAAAATATTCATCTTGTAGCTTCTGAAAGCATTTTACAAGTCACTCATTATAAATAACTAGACTGAAGAGCATTTTTTAAAACAAATACAGAGATATTCTCTTATAAGAAGGTGTGAAGAGTGTGATTACTAGGTGGAGAACCATGAGAAGCTGCTTTATATTCCTGCATTTTGAATTCTCATCACATGGCTTTCTGTTGTCATTGAGAAATGAAGGTGAATCCAAGCTTAAATATATTTGTGTAATTTTTTAATGGCAAGCATGTATTGATGTATTGATCTTTTCTCCTAAATTCTCAGTAAGCTTTTTACTCTCTATGTATTTAAACGTTCAGTGTTCATATCCAGCTGGATATTCTTACAAATTATCTTAGTACATAAGAAATATTCAGTAATATTCTTGAATAAATGGATATATACAACTACCACTATAATGTACTGACTTAGATGAGAAAATGAATACTGACTCAGTATTAACAAGAAATCTCATGAATAAACTCATAGTCTATGATTTAGCTCTCTAAATTTAAATTATATTTATGTGAATAATTATCTTCTGAAACTCTTTAGTTATATCAATTCTTTCAGAAGACAAATATCCTTATCATTAAAAAATATACTTAGAATAGTCTCTGGCAAAATTTTAATTTGTATTTTAGCTTGTTATATGAATCAAGAAGAGCAGAATTCATTCCATTCTTTGGAATCAAAAAATAAATAGTGTAAGCACCATAAGACATGATGTGTTAGGACACTACCAAATAGAGTATTACGATGTAGCTTGGATTCAGAAGCCAAGCAGTCTGGCAAACATAATAACTGTGTGACTTTGTGGAAACAAATTGAACTCTCTAAACTTCAGATTTTCATCTGAAACCATGGAATGGTAATATTAACTACTTCATAGGGTCATAGTAAAGTTGTATGTCAAGGGCTTAGACTAGAAGCTAGCAAATGGTGTACTGTTATCTATAACAACAGCAGCAGCAGCAACAACAGCAATAATAATGTCATAATCGTTACAGGTTCAACAAGCTGCCTTATCAATAATGGGAATTTAGCATCATATATACACACACACATATGTATATAAATGTATATATATAATGTATATAATATATAATGTATACATATAGGTCTACAATGTATATAATGTATACATATAGGTCTACACGTATATAATGTATACATATAGGTCTACACGTATATAATGTATACATATAGGTCTATACGTATATAATGTATACATATGTATAAAAAATATATATATATATATTTGAGATGGCATTTTGCTCTTGTTACCCAGGCTGGAGTGCAATGGCACAATCTCGTCTCACTGCAGCCTTTGCCTCTCAGGTTCAAGCGATTCTCCTATCTCAGCCTCTGGAATAGCTGAGATTACAGGCACCCGCCATCATTCCCGGCTAAATTTTGTATTTTTAGTAGAGACAAGGTTTTACCATGTTGGCCAGGCTGGTCTCAAACTCCTGACCTTGTGATCCGCCTGCGTCAGCCTCCCAAAGTGCTGGGACTACAGGCGTGAGCCACCACACCTGGCCCAGCATTAAATATATTGAGTGGCTTAATAGGCACTTGTTTGTGGCAGATGTATCCACCTGGTATAAATAATAGTGTACGCAGCATTATTATCCTATATATAAATTATGAAGAATACTTCTAAAACCTTTCTTTACAATATCATCCAAGTTTCTAATGAATGAAAGTTTGTTTTGTTTTCTTGTAATTTTGCACAGTCCTTTAAAGTATCTGAGCTTTTTTGGATATTTTCCCCTTTATTAAGTTTCTCTTTAGTGCGTTGCAAAATTTCTGAACTCTCAGTAATGGTGTTTCACTGACTCCCATTATGATGGAATTGTACAATGACAAATGAATTTAGAAGTACCAACTACTTGTCCTTCAATATTCTTTTTAAAAGAGGAAATTTTCCTGCAAACTTGTAAAGTACTATTGAATTAGTTCAAAATAATGATAAATGTAGATTTGGACAGAAATTGGAGAATGTGAATGTTAAGGTTGACACTGTATAAATAATTCATGTAGAACCATATGTTAAATTATATTTATTCAAGTAGTAATATGATTGGCAATATGCAGGGTTTTTTTTTTTTGGAATTATTAGCCCTCTTTCTTTCAAATGCATGTGTCCAGAATTGGTTCCTTCCAGTGGGTTCTTCGTCTCACTGACTTGAAGAACGTAGCCGCGGACCTTCCCAGGGCGTGTTACAGTTCTTAAAGATGGTGTGTCTGGAGTTTCTTCCTTCCGATGGGTTTGTGGTCTCGCTGACTTCAGAAGTGAAGCTGCAGACCTTCGCAGTGAGTGTTACAGCTCTTAAAGGTGGCGCGTCCAGAGCTGTTTCTTCCTCCCGGTGGGTTCACAGTTTCGCTGACTTCAGGAATGAAGCCACAGACCCTTGTGGTGAGTGTTACAGCTCATAAAGGTAGTGCTGACCCAAAGAGTGAGGAGCAGTAAGATTTACTTGGAAGAGCAAAAGAACAAAGCTTCCACAGCATGAAAAGGGACCCCAGCAGGTTGCGACTGCTGGCTCAGGTGGCCAGCTTTTATTCCCTTATTTGGCCCCGCCCATGTCCTGCTGATTGTTCCATTTTACAGAGTGCTGATGGGTCCATTTTACAGAATGCTGATTGGTCTGTTTTTACAGAGTGCTGACTGGTGCGTTTACAAACCTTTAGCTAGACACAGAGCACTGATTGGTGTGTTTACAATCCCTTAGCTAGACAGAGAAGTTCTACAAGTCCCCACTGGACCCAGGAAGTCCAGCTGGCTTCACCTTTCATGCATACTTCATTGATTCCAAAAAATAAAAGATTTCTCCAAACTAAGAAAATAACATCTCATTGTGCACACTTAGAGGAATCTGAAGAATGTCTCTCTGTCACATTAGCAGATATATTTTTAGATTTTTCTCATAAAGCCAAATAAATGTCAGTAGAGATCAGTATTCGAGTTTAATACAGAAATTGCAGAATTATCAGATTTTTACCCTAAAATTTCCTAAATTGTTTCCAAGGAAGATAGCATTCTGAATCCTTGAGGGAAGTAATATTTCCACTAAATGCTCCTGTAACAGTGCCATGTGTTTTATCAAAATTATTTTTATATCCCTTCCTGCCTCTAGACAATAAAACTTTTAAGAATAAGGATACTGCTTGATATTATTGGCTGTGTCCCCACCTAAATCTCACCTTGAATTGTAGCTCCCATAATTCCTACATGTTGTTGGAGGGACCTGGTGGGAGATAATTGAATCGTGGGCACAGTTTCCCCCACACTGTTCTTGGTAGTGAATAAGTCTCACAAGATCTGATGGCTTTATAAGGGGATTTCCCTTTGGCTTGGCTCTCATTCTCTCTTCTCTACCACCATGTAAGATATGCATTTTGCCTTCCGCCATGATTGTGAGGCCTCCCCAGCCTTGGGGAACTGTGGGTCTATTAAACTTCTTTTTCTTTCTTTCTTTCTTTCTTTTTTTTTTTGAGAGGCGGAGTTTAGCTCTTGTCACCCAAGCTGGAGTGCAGTGGCACGATCTCGGCTCACTGCAGCCTCCGCCTCCTGGGTTCAAGCGATTCTCCTGCCTCAGCCTCTGGAGCAGCTGGGATTACAGGCATGCCACTGTGCCTGGCTAATTTTTGTATTTTTAGTAGAGACGGGGTTTCACCATATTGGCCAGGCTAGTCTTGAACTCCTGACCTCAGGTGATCCACTCGCCTCAGCCTCCAAAATTGCTGGGATTACAGGTGTGAGCTACCCTGCTGGCATCACTTTTTCTTCATAAATTACCTAGTCTTGGGCATGTCTTTATCAGTAGCATGAAAACGGATGAATACACAGCTTTTTCTCACTTTCTTAACTCTGTCATATTTCAGAGGGGATAGTTTATACTCTATGTGTTGAATAAAGAACCTATATATTTCTGGTCATTTGTAAGTAAAAGTCAGTGTTAATTTAAATGAAAATATAAAGATTTCTTCATTTTTAAACATTCTATTGTGCTATGTGATATATGTAAAGAAAAATCCATAAAGCTTATATGCAGTTATATGTTTTAACAATATTTCTCTGTGAACCCACAGAGAACTTCATTTTCTAGTTATTATGGTCCTTACCAGAAGGTGTCAAGAAAGAGAAATTTATTTGTTCAATAAAAAACAATATCAACACTCCCCGCCCCCCCAAAAGAAAGCAAACACACTTAAAGAATTTCCAGTTGCACTTAGGATGCTGAAGACTCTCAACCTATATTGAGAACAACCCAGAAAATTGACAAAATCATATATTTTTGGGACCCAACAGAGAACAGAGTTTGCAAGATATACAGATGAACTGAATTCCAAATGATGATAAGCTAGTGTGACAATTTAGAAGCCTGAGACCCCAGGCACAAGGGCACTGGTTCCACCCACCAGCTTTTGCCACAGGCCTCCACCTAGTGTTTATGAGAAGGACTGGTGGGGGGTTGGGGGGAGAGCAAAAGATTCAAGAGAGATCTCCCTCTCCCTTAGTGAGCAGAGCCACTAAAACCTATCCCTTTCCTGAACAAGCACTTTTCTCATCTAAGCAAAAGTCACCTGCACTACAAGAACACCCTGGAAATCTCTGTTGCAGGCAGATGTCACCTGTGGCCAGGGGAGGAGTAGAAGCAAAAATCATCTGCTTATGAGAAGTGGCAGAGCACCTGTTGTACCTAATTCTGCAGTGATGCTAAACAAAGAGCTGCTGCCAGAGGAGAAATGGGAAACATGTCTACCCAAGACCTTTTCTCACTATGTAAGACAGATTTTAGGTGCCATGGAATGAGTGAGAAAGCTCCATCCATGAGACTAATTACTCAGGGCCTGCTTGTGTCTGAATCTGGAGCATAAGAACCTAAAAACTCCACCTTTTAACACCAAGAATCTGCACTAATAACAAATGATAGTAATTTGCTAGGGGAAAGGCAAAAGTATGGAGAGAGACTTCTGTGTGGAATGTCTGTGCAGGACCTGCTGAAAGCAGAGAAACAAATATTTAGAAAAAATGTTCAGATAATCCAGGCATCACACTAAGCACAAGGTAGCAGCAGCTCACAACTGGAGAAATTTTCAGTTTTCAATGCACTAAAGGTAAGTATAACAACAAAAAATCCAAAACACATCCTAACTCCTGAATAGATGGACTTATTCCCCTATGATGAGAGTTAAGAAAAGCAGAGGAATGACCACATTTGAGTGTATATACAATTTACCTCAATATCTAAATAATCACCACTTAATTTAAAAATTATGGCTCTCTAAAAAGCAAAAAAAAATAGTACCTATTTTCAAGAGCTAAAACAATCAACTGAACTAGACTTAGAGATAGTCTAGATAGGCACATTAAAATACCTATACCTAATATGTCAATGGCTCTATTTGGCAAGTTGGGCATCATGCAGCAATACATGGAAAACTTAAGCAAGAAGATGGAAATTATAAACAAAAGCTTTTTTTAAAATCCTACACTATCAGAGATAAAGAATTCTTTTCATGAGATTATCATTACACTTTACATAACTGATTCCAGAAGGGCTAAGCTTAAAGGTGGGTCAATAGAAATGGGTCAATCATTTCATGGCTAATAGAAATGGTTAGTCATTTCATGAAATAATCTTACATGAAACACAAAGTGAAAACTGAATGAAAAAAAAAATACAACAGAGCACCTATGAGCTGTGGAACACTGTTAAATTGATTAACTCATATTTACTTGTTGTTCCACCAGGAGAAAGGTGCAAAAATGTAAAAAGAATATTTTGAGCAAAGGCTAAGTACAAAGAAAAACAGACCTGAGCACACGAGAGTCAAACTAAAATCAACAACAACAACAAAAAACAAATATGGAGAAAAAAGTCTTGAAGGTAGCCGGGGAAGAAAAAAACATTACATGCAGGACAATAAGAACTACAATGAAAGCAGGTTTCTTGTCAGAAACACAGCTATGTAAACCAGAAAACAATGGAGTGATATCTTTAAAGTTCTGTAGGAATAAAGATGAAATACTGTCACTCTAGAAATTTATACCCAGAAGAAATACAAAATGCCAACACCACAGAAGTTATCACCTCCCTTCCCAGACCACATCACCTTTCCCTGCTAAGGTAATCACAATACTAACATTTATGAAAATATACTCTTAATTTTCTTCATAGTTGTGCACCTATGCATTCACCTAAAGTTTAAATCTAATCATTCTATTCTTGTTATATATTTTTGCTCAATATTATGTTTATAGGAATCATTGGCATCATAATGTGCAACTCTATCGATCTTCATTTTAATCTCTGTGTACCTTTCCATGACATTGTAATTTCTCACAATTTATTATACATTCTTAAATTAAGGGAGATCTCTTCTGTGGTTTCTCTAGCTAGGCCTCTGTGACAACTCTTTCTTGATTCACCACTTATTTTTCTGATGACTATGGCTGAGAAATTTGGTTACATGAAGACATTCTCAAAATTTGGCCTTCTTGACCTGTATATATATCCTGAAATAACTCATTTATTTCTATTGATTTAACAATCAAAGAAGGTGACTTCCTAATCTGCATCTATCTATTCATTGAGTATGTTGACTCTCAATTTCCAAAAAAACTCATGGGCTAAGCAAAGCCTACTGCTTGAAGGTAGCATACTATTTTGATAGACTCTTAGTAACGTCTTAGGAGAATGGATTCAGGGAAAGATATTTGTAGGAATCTAGACCTTGAACTGTGTGATTTTAGATCAATTCTTGCAAGGTGGGAATTAATTGTGATGGGATAGAGTTTATAACTTTGGATTGGTAGTTACAACAAAGAAAGGGTATTGAAATGAGTCTTAAAAAAGATATCAGTTTTGATAAGTAAGCAGTTTTTTAGAGTCTTATCATCTAGGACCAGCCATTTTCTGGAGCAAGACATGAAGTCATTTTTACTTGGGCCCAGCCTTGTTTAACACACAGATAGGAAAGTACATCTGGTACAAGTGTTATTCAACACAGGGAAAGCGGGTTATGTTAATGTGAATTCTCAGACGCTAGACATTTTAAGATAAACTGTTATTTACAATTAAAACTCAATGCATTTGTGTCAGGCAGACACTCAAATGGCCTCCTCTTGAGTGTGCGATGGGACCTATGACTTGCTTTTAATTACTAGACTATGACAAGGGTGATAAGAAGTCACTTTGGTGGTTATATGACATAAGATTGTAAGTTCCCTCTTGATACCAGACCCTCTGGCAATGAACTGAGAGTTCCCTCTAGGTAACAGCCAGCAAGCAACTCTGAGCAGCCTCCAGCTGACATCTAGAAAAGAACTGAGACCCTCAGTCTAGCAACTCATAAAGAGCTAAAACTTGACAACAGCCCTATGAGTCTGGAAGTGGATCCTTCCCCTACTGAGCTTTCAGATGAACCCCCACCCTGGTTGATACCTGGATTGCAGGCTTGTGACAGATCATGAAACAGAAGACCCAGCTAGGTTGTGGCAGATTTATGATCTATAGAAACTGTGAGATAATACAATAAGTCCTCGCTTAATGTTGTTCTGTCCATAGATTTTTGGAAACCATGTAAAGCTGGTCCCAGAATAACATAATTTTGATCAATATTGTTTTATTATAACTTTGATGAGAAAAAAATTGGTTTCATTATATGTTATCTTGCTTAGAACCTACTGATGACATTAAGTGAGGGCTTCCTGTATAGCGTTATCTATGTTGCTTAGGCCACTAAGTGTGGCAACATTATTAGACAATAACTAACACAGCATTGAAAACTAAATTCTCCATGTTGGGTACACAAAAAGGATTTTTAAAAATGCATTCTTTGTTTTTTGTTTTTTCTTTTCCTTCTCTTATTTCTCCCAATCTATTTATCCCAGTGTGTTTTCTCTCTTCCTTCCTCTTGACATTTTAAGTTCCTTCCTTTTCCATTCTTTCTCTCTGCTTCTTACTTTGTTTCTGGCAAATTACACAGTTATCTTCCTAGTCACATTGAAACTTTGGACATATTTTTGGTTTATTATATAAATGTCCACAAGAGGATGTTTCTTCAACATGCAGAGGCCAGGGAACTGGACATATGGCTGAAAGTCCTGTGCAGTGTTGTTTATTCACAGGAAACAGTCAATCAGCTTAATGCATTTTCAGCGTAATTGCAAGTTTAAGCCAGAAAGATGTTCTCATGCAAAGAAGATTCCTTTGCTGTTGTTGAAGCAGAATGGAATAATAGGAAAGGCATAGGTTCTTTATTTTTCTGATTTTTACCTTCACATTATTTAATTTTATACGTTGTTTTGAGGGACAGATATTGTAGATCGATTTGGGTTTTAGATCCCAAACATGGGACTTTTAGAGGAAAGTAGGTTGAGTATGTGGGGTCTGATATAAAGGAACGAAGGAACTTATGAGAAACCAAAATAGATCTTTATTTTTTTATTTTAATTTTTCATTTAAATTTTATAGACAGGGCCTTGCTCTGTCTCCCAGGCTGGAGTGCAGTGGTACTATCATTGCTCACTATAGCCTTGAACTCCTGGGCTCAAGCAATCCTCCTGCCTCAGCCTCCCAAGTATTATAGCTAGGACTACAGGCATGTGCCACCATGCCTGGCTAATTTTTTTTTTATTTTTGTTTTGTAGATACAGGGTCTCACTTTGTTGCCCAATCTCGTCTCAAACTCCCTGGCCTCAAGTGATCCTCTTGCCTCAGCCTCTCAAAATTACAGGGTTGGCAGATATGTTACCATGGCTGGCCTGAAATAGATCTAAAGATGAGTGCTTGAGTGTATTTTCCCAGCACTCATTCTGTAACAGCATCTAGATGAAAAAGTTCAGCAGTTTCTATCTCTAGACGGTAGTATCTATACTATTTCTTGCCCTCACAGTGTCTTAATTTACATGACTTTCTCTTGTCACCTGCACGGTCTTCCCACTCTGCTCGTGCCGTATCATTTCCACCAACTCCAGCCATTCCAGACCACTTATTAGCACACATTATACCATGCTGCCTTGCAAATTATTTTTGCTATTTTAAAATTTTATGTCAGAATGCACTGCTGCTTCATCTTCATCTTGACAGCAAGAGAAGCTCTGATCATGCTTCATCTCAAAATATACCCTCACCATTAAGTCATTTCTGATCCCAAAGTCAGAATTGCAATCTGTCTTCTATCCTGTAACAGCAAGCTTCCTGATACTCAATCCTACTTAGAAGCCCTTTTGCAAGTCATGATGTCTGCCTGCCTCACTAGAGTACTCGCTTTTTGATAGGCGATTACTCTGTTATTTCCTTCTCTCAAGGGCCTACCATTGTAGATTTCACAAAATATTGGCTCAATATTTTCTTGATACCAGTTCAACTGCAAAACTTAAAGTAAAATTCCAACCCCCCCCAAAAAAATGAAATAATGTATTTTAAAGTGGCAAATAAACATGTGGCTTTCTGAAGCTGTTACATAAATCAGTATTAATAAATCAAATACACCTATTGAAGTCATGTTCCCCAAGCAATTGAACAATAATTTCCCAACTCTATTTTTTCCAAGCCATTCTCTACTACACAGAATTGGAGAGCCTATAAAATTTAGGTCAATTTCCCTTCTGCTCAGCAGGAATACAACTGCAAAGTTCGGTAACTTGCAGAACAAAAACACTCTTAACTTTTCTTTAGAAGTCTTTAGATTATAAACTTTCATACTTTTCAATTATGGTTGAAATCTCATTTTCTTTTCGTATGGTTTAAATATTTCTCTTGTTTTACCATCTCATTCCTGAAATATATTATTGGAAACAAAAGTTAGTTAAGTTTTTATAAATAACATTATCAGTTTAAATGCTGTCTAATCAGGTAACTGCTGCTTATAAAAGTAATCAGAAAATAAAAATGTAAACTAAAAAAATCCCAAATATTTACTTCATTATTATTTAATCACTTTTATTTATTTAGATGTTTCACATTTTCATTCAACTACTTCCATACATTTTTTAATCATCACAATTATAGAAAATGGAATTATTTTTCTAGCTTATGATATTTTCACATAATAAAGTGGGAAACATATTTCAATGCATATTAGACACAGCCAATCAGTGTGTTTATTAATAAAATTAAACTATGTAAGTTAAAACCTTCATATGCTAAAATGGAATTGGACTTATTTTGCCTGGTAACAAAATGCAGGTACTCCGTAACGTTTTTATTAATAATGTTAACCATTTTATATTAAACACACTTTCTTATCTGAAAAAATAAGAACTCAGATGAAAGATAATAATGAAACGCTTAGTATTATATAGTGAGTGCTTGGGTATTTTAACTTCACAGCTGACTTTGAAAATATCAGTATGGAAAAGGTACAATATGCTACAGATACGGCTTTTAATTGTGAGCAAGGATGTGACAAATTGCATGAACAGCTATGCCGTGTATTTTGGAAGATCATCTATTACATAACATCAATAATTCTGACACCTTGAACATCAGCTTTTCTTGTGAAATTGGAAGCATGTTTAAAGATTTCTAATACATACATTTCAGGAAAGTTAGTATATGGTTATTTCATAAGAAAAGGTTGGTTGAAGGATTAATATATGGAAGACAAAATTTTAATTTTCAAAAAAATTGGGCAAGTATACATGTGCTCTAATTAGTATGTTCTGCAAATTCTCATTTATTTAGAGGACATATAATTATAAAACTGAGAGATCAGTGGATTTTATCAAACCACAGTAATTTTGATTTTGAATTATTGCCCTTTTTAACTTAGTGTTCTATTTAATAAATTTGATAATCTCAGTGAGTATCAAAGTTCCTCATTTAGTCTTAAGGAGTAACTTACCCAATCCTGTATGCTATTGACTTTTTGGGAAGAACTTGGAAATTTATTATGCATCTTAGTATACAAATTTCCAACACCAACTGAGTCTGGAATGTATTAATTAAGTGCAGATTCAAAATAATTGCTCACTATGAGAATCCTATAAATTATAAAGCATAAGAATAATTTCTTAAACGTTTAATTATATAAGATATCTCATTTTTAATGTATATTGTTTGCAGGAAAACATGCCAAGATTAGCAACCTGTACACAAACATTCTTTGAGCCTCTAGATACAGAGTCTCTGAGAGCAGTTTCCAGTTCCAACACAACAGCACCTCATCTTCTGCCTGCACTCCTGAACACACGACCAGGCTCACACCACTCGAGACCTCCGTATACACAAAATAGGACCCATAAGTCCTTCTGAAGGTGTGTGGGTGCATGATAAATGCTCCATAAATAGCTACTGATAGAAAACCTACATCACAGGTAATAGTTGCAAGAGGATCAGATTACAATGTGTGGAGTGTGAATAAAAATCAGATTACAATGTATGGAGTGTGAATAAAAATCAGATTACAATGTGTGGAGTGTGAATAAAAATCAGATTACAATGTGTGGAGTGTGAATAAAAATCAGATTACAATGTGTGGAGAGTGAATAAAAATCAGATTACAATGTGTGGAGTGTGAATAAAAATCAGATTACAATGTGTGGAGTGTGAATGAAAATCAGATTACAATGTGTGGAGGGTGAATAAAAATCAGATTACAATGTGTGGAGGGTGAATAAAAATCAGATTACAATGTGTGGAGGGTGAATAAAAATCAGATTACAATGTGTGGAGTATGAATAAAAATCAGTTTACAATGTGTGGAGTGTGAATAAAAATCAGATTACAATGTGTGGAGTGTGAATAAAAATCAGTTTACAATGTGTGGAGTGTGAATAAAAATCAGATTACAATGTGTGGAGTGTGAACAAAAATCAGATTACAATGTGTGGAGTGTGAATAAAAATCAGATTACAATGTCTGGAGGGTGAATAAAAATCAGATTACAATGTGTGGAGTGTGAATAAAAATCAGATTACAATGTGTGGAGTGTGAATAAAAATCAGATTACAATGTGTGGAGTGTGAATAAAAATCAGATTACAATGTGTGCAGTGTGAATAAAAATCAGATTACAATGTGTGGAGGGTGAATAAAAATCAGATTACAATGTGTGGAGGGTGAATAAAAATCACATTACAATGTGTGGAGTGTGAACAAAAATCAGATTACAATGTGTGGAGTGTGAATAAAAATCAGATTACAATGTGTGGAGGGTGAATAAAAATCAGATTACAATGTGTGGAGGGTGAATGAAAATCAGATTACAATGTGTGGAGTGTGAATAAAAATCAGATTACAATGTGTGGAGTGTGAATAAAAATCAGATTACAATGTGTGGAGTGTGAATAAAAATCAGATTACAATGTGTGGAGGGTGAATAAAAATCAGATTACAATGTGTGGAGGGTGAATAAAAATCAGATTACAATGTGTGGAGTGTGAATAAAAATCAGATTACAATGTGTGGAGGGTGAATAAAAATCAGATTACAATGTGTGGAGTGTGAATAAAAATCAGATTACAATGTGTGGAGGGTGAATTAAAATCAGATTACAATGTGTGGAGTGTGAATAAAAATTAGATTACAATGTGTGGAGTGTGAATAAAAATCAGATTACAATGTGTGGAGTGTGAATAAAAATCAGATTACAATGTATGGAGGGTGAATGGGAGTTAGCTGATGAGCATGAAACACTTTTTTTTTTTTGAGACAAAGTACCATGGTGGTAGAGAAAGGGGGATAGTTTGAAGATCAATAAAAATTAATATTTTGAAAAGATCAGGGTAGAGGATGTTAATAAAAGATCTCTGGAATGGTAAATACTGTAAGACATGAAGGGTATAACAGACTTTATTCATAACTAATTGATTTTTTATGACAAAGGATTATTTGTTTGGGGAAATAAGTAGTTAAGTGTTCCCTTCATGCCAAAGGCCTCAAAAGCTAAAAGCACTGGTAACACTTGTTTAAAGGTCCTCTCTGTATTTTATGCAGAGAGTAGGATTAATGTCCAACATGTCTGAAAAAATACTCATTCTAAAGGAATGACTCTGGATCCACATGTTACAAATGTGGATTTTATTATTTGTTTATATTATTTACCCCAAACCAAGCTTTGTTCTATGTACTATAAACTATTTAATCATGATTTTCCCCTCTAGGATATAATTTGTGAATAGTTTGCAGAAATGGGAGCATTATCTTTTAAAAAGTGACTTCTCTAGTTCTAGATCCCTGAGGAATCACCACACTGTCTTCCACAATGGTTGAGCTAGTTTACCTTCCCACCAACAGTGTAAAAGTGTTTCTATTTCTCCACCATTTGACCCAGCCATCCCATTACTGGGTATATAGCCAAAGGAATATAAATCATGCTGCTATAAAGACACATGCACATGTATGTTTACTGCGGCACTACTCACAATAGCAAAGACTTGGAATCAACCCAAATGTCCAACAATGATAGACTGGATTAAGAAAATGTGGCACATATACACCATGGAATACTATGCAGCCATAAAAAATGATGAGTTCATGTCCTTTGTAGGGACATGGATGAAGCTGGAAACCATCACTCTCAGCAAACTATCGCAAGGACAAAAAACCAAACACCGCATGTTCTCACTCATACGTGGAAATTGAACAATGAGAACACATGGACACAGGAAGGGGAACATCACATACCAGGGCCTGTTGTGGGGTGGGGGGAGGGGGGAGGGATAGCATTAGGAGATATACCTAATGTAAATGATGAGTTAATGGGTGCAGCACACCAACATGGCACATGTATACATATGTAACAAACCTGCACGTTGTGCACATGTACCCTAGAACTTAAAGTATTTTATATATATATATAAAGTGACTTTTCTGCATTTCAGAAAATCAGGTTTAAGTTAGATATGATAATGATTAAAACATTTACATATATTAAATGTACATTTAGCAATGTATATTTAATTATGTATAATTAAAAATGTATATTTAATGTAATAAATATACATTTAGCAATGTAATTTAAGAAAAAGTGCTTAAGAGCTAGCCATCCTACCTTGGTGAAGGTGGGCAGGCTTTTGTACCCTCTGTCAGTCATCAGTGGCAGAGTTTCAGTTGTAGTAACAGGCATGTTGCCTCCTAGGTGAGAGCAAGGGAACTCCTCAGAGAAGGCAGCTGCTATTTAGCCAACTCCAGCTAAGGGGTGGGGACACCTGCCAGAAGACGGGATGTGGTGGGCTGTCTTGGAATCCACCATAAGCCTCTTGGAGAAACCAAGAGGGTGAATGAGTTGCTGCCATCTTGGAGCCTACTATCTGGGGGGTAAGAAAACAAACAAATGCAAAAATAAATAATGGAATTCCAGACACTAATAATTACCATAGAAACCAGAGTAACAGAATAGTGATTGGGAGGAAGTTGGGGAAATATTTTTCATGGTGTTTATGAATAACTTACCTGTACAGGGAACATTTGAGCAGAGTTGAAGGATGAGAAACATACAGCTCTGGGGAGACTTGGGAGGAAGGGTAGATTGTAGAATCTGCAACCTGTAGCAGTTCTGTGGTGGAGATGGGCATGTCCTCTTGATTTATACTGAGAAAAGTTAAGAGTGACGGAAGATGGACCTGAGGGGTTACCAGGGATAAATGACATAGAAATTTCGTGGCCATGGATATGTGTTTAAGTTTTATTGGAAATCTGTTGTTGCAGATAATAATGAAAAGCCTTTCAAGAGTTACACACAGGAAGACTGCATAATATGAAATACAATTTACAGTTTAGAACGTTTCCTTTGTTGGTTATGTGGAGATTGGACTACAGTGAGTCAAAGAGGGAGAAAAGGAAAGATGAAGAGACTGTTGGACTTGGCCATGCGAAAGATCCTTGGCCTTGGACCAGTGTGGAACAGTTTGGCAAAGTGTGAGAAGTGATGAGGATATATTTTGAAGGTAGGAAATTCTGATGTTTTAGGTGCAGAAGATGAAGAGTTTAAAAAACAAGTTATTGGAATAATCAACTAGTTCAATTGCATTCCATTTAACAAGATACTGAAAATGAGTTGAGCAGATTTGGTGAGCAGGCATGGGGAGTGGAACACAGTATGTGTGACAGTGTACATAAACTCATATGTAAAAGTATGTACACTTAAGTTTAATAAATCTGATAATTATAAATAATACATACATGTAATTGAGAAAGAAATTATGGAAGTTCTCTTGTTTCCTAGGAAATAAAAAATAAAGCAGGTATTTTATATAATATTTCAGAGTTTAGACTTTGGATTATGTCAATGGTTTTTGTTTATATAATAAAAATCTTAGTGCTAACCCTTAACTCCAAGATACTGTATCCTGTAGGCAATGAACCTACATCCATTATAAGCGCCAGCTAAGATAAATATCAAAAAAACAGCACACTAAGATTTTACCACACCCACCTTCTCATACACGAAGTCAATTAGATTTGACAGCACAGAGACTTCAATGATGAATAATTCTACATTAGGAATTAGCTGCCTGTGTTTCTAGAATTTATTAAACAGAATGCAGTTTGGCAAATGGGAGAGACTACTTCATTTGAAGTTCAAAGAGCCGAGTTTGAACTCTGTTTCTGGGATTTATAACCTTGGCAAGTGAGTGAGCCTCAGTTTCTTCCTTGTTATTTAGAGGTAAGAATATCTGTATTGTCTTGTTTGATGTAAAATATGTTATAATAGTAAGTATGATAAAAATAATTTATCTACCCATGTAAATATGCCAGTTTATGATTCATCCCCTAAATAGAAGTAGGAGAGCCCGAGGAGACCTGGGCAAGTCTGACCTCTCACACGGCATGACATTTGCTTTACCTGTGTAACCAGCCTTCTTTGGGTTTCCAATCAGACTCCAAGACTGGCTGCTTCCCCAGGGATAGGGCTTTTGGAGATATCTGCTGATTCTTAAACGGTTTCCTCCATCTTCCTTGAGCACCTGATAAACTAACCTTTCTTGGGATCCTTCTTGTTAAGCAGCCCCAACGCATTCTTACTGGGTAGGATTTGTTTGCCTCGAGCTCTAGCCTCGGAGGGTTAAATATCAAACAGCATTCACAAATTAATATGTAAATATATCTGATAACATTCACAGTGAATTTTCCTTAATGGTATCCTGTAGTCTTTAAGAGGGAGGACTCTAGATTCGGACTGTCCAGTTCTAAATCCTGGATCCATTAATAATCAATGTTGCTGAAGCTTTTTGTGACTAATTGTGCTCTTCTGTAAAATATAAATATCATATATAAAGAAAAAACGTGATTATTTTTAAAAGTAGAAACAAAAGTATAGAAAATCTAAAATAAATATGGAAACTTTGGAAGAATGCTGAGTATATATCAGATCATTAGGAGCTCGTAGGAAATGCTGCGTTTTTTATACATGTATTTTTAATGACATGACTGAACATTTTATTTGAGTCTAATATTTGTTTGTTACTGAAGTACTGAGAAGTCATCTATTTCTTAGGTGTCTCAGGGAAAAGGCATTGAATTATGTTCTTTTTATTTTGTTTTAAATTGAAGTTATTACTAATTTTATTAGAGCTTCTGTTACTTAACCTAGATCAGATAACTATAACTTGTCAGTAATTACTTTGGTGTAACAATCAGTATTTTAAAAAGCTTTTGAGAAAAAACAGGTTGAAGATGAATATATGTATTTCCATGTCTCTATCTATCCATCTATCTATCATCTATCAATCATCTATCTATCTTTCCATAGACATAAAATAATTTTTACTCACATGTAATAATCTTGCTATTTACTCAACCTACATAACACTTATAATTCCTGGCATATAATTGGAGAATATACTTTTAAAATCCAAATATTTTACTTTTGTAAAACACGAATGTTTTCTTTACCAGTTCATTTCTGCATGCAAATTATTTGCCAGTCACGATTTTTTTCTTTTTTAAATTCAAGATGTAATTGAAATACAGTAAAATTCAACTGTTTTAGTTTAATTTTTGTGTTTTGATAGAGTTCGACAGAGTTTTGACAATCATGTAACCATACCATAATCAAAATATAGAACATTTCCATCAAACCAAAAATTTCACTTGTACCTTTTTAAGCGATTCCACTATATGTATTTTGGTATTACATTGTAGTTTTAATTTGCATTTTCCTCGTGACTAATGATGTTGAACATATTTTAATGTACTTTTACCCATTTTTTTAATTGTGTAGCTTATTTTCTGGTTATGGAATTTCAGTAGTTCTTTAGGTATTCTTAATACAAGTCCTTCATCAGTTATGTTATTGCTAATATTTTCTCTAATCTGTGGCTTCTCTGTACATTTTATTTACAGTGTCATTATCATTTTAAAACTGAATTTATAATTTTTCCTAGTTTGAATTGTTTTGTTGTATTGTATCTCAGAAAGCTTTGCCCACTCATGGTCACAATATTTTTGTGCATGTGTTTTACTTTAAAAGTTTTACAGATCTAGCTATTACATTTAGGTTTATAAACGAGTTTGTGCGAGTGTTTGTATAATATATGAGTTGGGTATTGATGTTAATTTTTTGTCATATGGATATTTAATTGTGTCAGCACCTTTTGTTGAAAACAGTATTCTTCTCCACTAAAAGACAGCTTTTAGTGTTTCCTTCCAGTCTAAGTGCATTTTATTTACTATTCTTATTACATTGGAGAAAATCTCCAAAACAGTGTTAAATAAGAGGGAGAAGAAGAACATTCTTTTATTTCTATTTGTAATTTGTGTTCTCCCCTCCATCCTACCTCATTTAGTCTGGCTATGTGTTTATCAAATTTGTCAATTGTTTCAAAGAATTGGCTTTTAGTTAAATTGATCTCATTCTTGGTGCTATTGTTGCCATAGACTTTATTTTTACTTATGTTGTAAAGATACAATTTGTTGGTACTATCTTTGCTTTATCTGCTCAGACATATTTTAGAGCAACAAAAAGGGGAAAAAGTACATTTTATAGCTATTGTTTACTTAATGCATACAATCCTTCTGTCTGAAAAACTTGCTGTAACATATCTTGTAGTGCGGGTCTATTGCTAATACCCTGCCTTTTTTTCTCACCTCTAATTCTCTTTCAGTTTTGAAGGATGTTCTTGCTGGCTATGAAATTCTGGGTTGACTTTTTCTTAGCACTTCAATGATGCCACTCCATCATATTTTGTATTGAACATTTTCTGATTAGTAGACATCTATAATTCTTATCTTTATCCTCCTGGATATAGTATGTCCTTTTTCTCTGGCAACCTTTATCTTTGACTTTCAGCACTTTTAATATCATGTGTCAGTGTGTCATGGTTCTTGTTTGTTTGTTGAGGTAAATAATTTTTATGCTTAAAAAGTCCACTTTTGTTCCTTTCCCAATTCCTTCCTCCCTCCCACCTTGCCTCTCTCTGTCTTCTCTCTCTCTCTGTCTCTGTCTCTCTCTTTTGAAACCTTTAGTCTGGGGGTTGAGCCAATCCATTTAGAACCTGATTTGGGATTGTTCATTTTATTGTTATTGATTCGCCTGTTACCCTTAGTGCAGCACAAACTTTAAATGCCTCCAGTGTGTTTAGGGTGAGGATAGGTTTGCCAGACTTTTCCCTCAATGTCTTCTCACCATCTGATTTCAGCCTTTCTTTTGTGCCTGCGTCTCAAAGGAGGTCTCTGTGAGCTTTGATTCTCCTTCAGTGGTGGATTCCTATTACTTCTTAACATTTCCTCCTCTGCAAATAGGCATGGGAAGGCGAAGGCTGTTCTCTTTTATTCTGTCGCAGCCCCAGTCTTTGGCAAGGGTTGTGTTGCTGGGTCTTGGGTGTGGGTTGTTCTCGGGGATCCTGCACCTCTTGTGTCACTAGGAGACAACTAATATTTTGGACCCCAGAGGTTTTCTTGTTCCTGCCCCAGAGATGGGGGGTTTCTTTGATAATCTAAAGAATCCTTTTCAGTTCTCTTCCGAGACCAGCTGGAATGGGTCTTTCCTGCATCCTGAGGGAGACAGGTTTTACTGCTTGTTTCCCCAGTGACTTGTGGCTGTTTTCCTCTAGGGAAGATGAAGAAGGGTGAGATTTTGTGTCTTTCCCAAAGCTGTTCTGTGCCCTTACTCCAGGCCTGTGTCATGAGAGACAATCTTGGGTCTCTCCTGGGTGCCTTGTGAGGGCCGTGGAGAGCCCAGATGTAGGTACAAATTCCCATGTATCTGTGGCTCCGAGGGTTTCACATTCTCTTGGTAGCCCAGTCAGTCATTAAGAGTTTGCTAAAAACTTCAGCTGACTTCTTACTAGCCCTGGTGCATCCAGCCTCTGCTTCAAAGATGAAAATATTTATGTCTTATTCCTCCTACCTGGTACCTGTTTTTCCTCAGATTTCAGGTTAGTGCTCTACAACCTTAGCTGACTTAGGAATTCAAGAAAAGTTAATATTTTACAAATTATTTAGCTATTTTTGGTTGTAGATATAAGGTTGCGTGGTGCAATGCTTTTTCCAAATTTCTGTGATGGACGTGGAAGAACCGAAATCTGTGAGCCATGATATTTGTATTTCTTTATTGATATATGAATGGAACTATTACTTTCCTTTAAAACAATATGATTAATGCTGAATTTGGCAGAACACGTATCATTCAAAGTTTTGGTGCCATTCGAGTCAAAAATAGTTGTATACTTTACAGAATTTTGTCCAATGGAAGTAATTAATATATTAGGGAATTATTTTAAGTTAAAGTAAAATTCGTTTCCACAGAATTTCCATCTGTACACAATTTATTAAATTTCAATTCAAATCTCTGATGGTAGACTCTGAATTCAATGTGGAAGTCTGATTTAATAATCATATATACATTGTCAACATTTAAAAGAAATAATGCTAAAATTCTTATCTTCCAATTATAAACTAAGAAATGGGAAATCTTTTTGTGTTATAAAAATGTGGTATTATGAAATGTCAAAAGAGTTAACTATGAAAAAATTGTTTGTCTATTACAATAATTGCATATCTTCTAAGTAATTATATACTTTATCAATGAGATCTTTAATATCAGTCCAACTTCACTTTCTTTAACTTTTATAAAGTTAAATATGTAATAATATACATTTTTTTCTGTTCCTCGGTGGATTATCTTGTAAATTTCATTCTGAAGAATATTCCTCTGAATAATTTACTTTTATTAATGAAACCTATATACTCATTAAATATTTTGGGAAAATACCTTTATGTTAACCATGTTTTAAAATGACTCAGGATGGCTTATGTTAATTATGGTTTAAAATGACTCAGTATTTTCATACTGCCACCAGCTTATTTATGTCCCTCAAGTTGGTAGGTTAGATAATAAAACGTTAACTGAAGAAAAGTCTTTGATTTAACCTTAGTAACCTCTTTTTAATAGATTTGACTGCTTATTTACAACTATCAAACTATTTTTGGATCTTGACTGTGTCATTCACCATTCGTGCTGTCCACCTCAACTTTGCCTCACCCATGTATTTTACAAAAGCAAAGGGCAAATGTCTATTTTCAGTAAAGAGATTGTTAAAATGGTTTTCAAGCTTAAATATTGCAAACCACAAAATGGTGGATGCTTTCATTAATGTGCACATTTAAAAATACATTTATATGTCTCATGCTTTAAAATATAATAAAAGAATTTATTAAATTATGTACATATAATTGTACTGGGAGATGTTTCATTAAAAGTAATATACCATTCAATCCCTTTGTGATACTGAAATTGATTATAAAAATACATATTTGATAATAAATCTGATTATCATGTGTACTGTAAGTACATATTTTAGAGTAATTATTAATATCCCCATTTTAACCACTTAGACTTTATTTTAACAAATACATAATTAGCATTTAAAATAACTCAGAAGTAATCCTAAGCTGAATAGAAGGTTTTATATGGTAAATATGATGGAAGAAAAGGGATTGTTGGCTTGATTCCTTCTTCTTTATAAACTTGGGCTAAGCTTTTTAATTTATTTTACTGAATGCACTTAAATTCTTCTTGAAACTAATTACTAAATTTTAAGCAAGATTACTGGCACAAAGAGAAGCTATGAAGGTCCTGGCAAAAAATTTTAATTGTGGTCTTCAAATCAATATAAAAAAATTGCCAACATAGCTGGAGATTTCAAGGATGAATTAGAAAATTTAAAATTATGTTATTGTGTGGACTTATCTTTAAGTCTAGGAAGGGAACTGAGCCCTATTTTATTTTAAAATAGAGAAATGTTAAGAGCTAAATCTGCATAAGCAGAGGAATAAAAGTAATACAAATATTCCAAACATTAAATATATAATACATTAAAATGTTTAATGGTTATTTCATGATTAAATTATGGATATCAGCAAACATAATGACTGAATGAAAAACCAAGAAAGAACACATTTCTGTATTAAAATATAAGAATAGAAAAATCCAATTTCATTAATGACATTCTTCATGTGATGGGAATGATCAGCTAATTGACTGAAACTATGTTAATAGGGGAGAAAGTCACTTTAATGAATATGCAATGGTAGACAATATGAATAGAATATTGATACAAATATTTGTTCAACCTATTATTTGGAAGGCTTTAGTGCTTAAAGCTATGGGAAATATAAAGATTTTAAAAAAACTTTCAGTATTTTCATGTAGTTTAGAATTTATTGTATGGCAGAGGTAGAAACAAGATGCCACATTGAAAGGCAAAATGATCTTTCAATAAAACATTGTACAAAATATAGAGGCACAAAGGAGGGGCATATTTTTAATTTCCATAAAGGAAGCCAGGGAAAGCACTTCACGGAGGAGATGCCTACTTAAGTGGACTTCCAAGATGAACCCATGTACTACTATCTGCTAACAAAGAATAAGGAGAAATATGTATTACTCAGAAGAATTAGGATGAACAAAAGCATTGAAACAACTAAAATTCTTGGAAGGAAGAGAGAAGAGGGAATGTAGATCACAGTTGGAGGGGATGCCCTTGGAAGAATCTAAGAAAATTATCCCAGTTTATGGAGAGAAGCCATAAGAGATAAAAACAGATACAGGAAGGTTAATCTAGTTGATTGAGTTTCCATCTGATGACATCCATTTTACCAATACCGTATGAAGTGAAGTCTCAGCTGAGAGGGTGTGGTGGGGAGAGTTGGGACCTCTGAGGAGAGAGGAAGGGGTATACAATTGTTGGTTTTGTTTTGTTTTAGAAAGGGACAAGGTAAACTTAGAAAGGACAGGTAGTAAGTTCTTTTGGCTAATGATGAGGGTCCATTCAAAGTCTGTGGTCGTGTATCACATGGTAGAGTAAGAATTTCCAGCAAACTTTACTTGCTAGGCTCAGATTAAAAGGCAGATATAGCTTTGCAGCCAGGGTTTGTGCTTTATCAGTTGATTGGACAAGGGAGAGTAAATCAAAGATGTTGCTATTCAGAGCAGTGATTATGAAGATGGCCAATGAGTTCTAATTTAGTAAACAAAGAAGCAAATGCTTGGAAAGTGTGATAGAAAACATGCTGAGGCCAAGGAATTAGTAGAGTAAAGGCTCTGGTTTCAGTAACACTGAAGGTTAAAATGACGAGTTAAATAGTGGAGTATTTGGAACTGAGAATTTTGGTGGTCATGTGGCTTTACTGGTGATTACTAAGGTCCAGTATGCGATCAAAGACAAGATGACCGAAATAGGATAAAGGAAAAGGTTGTAGGAAGTGAGGTGGCCAAAGAGCTGCCGATTCAAAATGTGGTACGGGCTTTACATGCTGGTTTTAAAATCACCGGGAATGACTACTAGAAAAGGGGGAAGGGAAAGACAGTGAACCAAGAACTAAGTTTTTCAGTGAACTCCACAGTGGAGAGTTTGTAGACATTTTGACACTGGTGTGTCACAACAATTTGGAGATTACAGCTAAGTGGTCTGAAGTTCAGAAGAGCAGTAACATTTTGAGGGAGGTAGAAGTGGAAATGGTTTGGCAATAATGACGGGGGTCGTGAAGGAACACGAAAAGATTAATAACCTCCACCTGTAAGCAGAGTCAGTGTCTGTCCGGGAGAGTGATGTTTGGGTAAAGGGAAGGGGAAGGGAGAGAAAAGAGAAGTTGATAATAGGAGAAAATTTTGTAATCCCAGAAGAAGAGTTCCAGATAGATTTCTTCAGGGGAAAAAATGGGAACTGTTTATGGTAGTTTGGAGGTTGTGTAAAGTACAGTGGGTGTCAGAAGTCTCAAGATAACGGATGACCTGGAGGCTGGGATATCCAGAAGAGTTGAGACAGAAAGAGAAATAACTAGCATTACATTCCTTAAAATGCCCTTCCTTTTTGATCAACACATACTTAAAAATCATCTGAGCAGGTTCTGCTTTATATATATGTTTAAAATTATTTATATTTGATGTATAGGTACAGCTTTACTAGCCTTTGAGGACTTTATAAATTATACATAAAATGGGTCAGACATGGTAGTTCACACCTATAATCCCAGCACTTTGGGAGGCCAAGGTGGCAGGATTGCTTGAAGCCAGAAGTTTGAAGCTAGCTTAGGCAATATAGTGAGACCCCATCTCCACACACACAAAAAAAATTAGTCAAGTGTGGTGGCATGTGCCTCTGGTCCCAGCTATTCAGGTGCCTGTGGTGGGAGGATCACTTGAGCCCAGGAGTTCAAGGTTACAGTGAGCTATGATCGTGATAATTCCACTGTTTCCCAGCCTGGGTGACAGTGAGATTCTGTTTCAAAATAATCAATCAATCAATCATACATATAATTGAATGAAAAGTGTTGAGAAAAAGATTAATTTTTAATGTATGAATTTAAAACAATTCTTTTTTTCTTTTGCACAATAAACTGAGGAATAGTACTACATTAAAGAAAGGTTTTAAAATTTATCCGGAACAATGAATTATTCTTCGGGCATAGGGAATGCTCAAGGAGTGAGAAAGTCAGGCTAAAGCTCTGCAGCTGCACTAAACATCAGCAGCAGGCCAACATCGGGAAGCCCTTCTCCAGGGATGCAAATGTAACTGCAGGAAAATTTGACATTACATCGTTTAGACAAAATATATTTAGAGGAAATGACTTTGAATTGTCTATTATGCCATCTTCAACTTGGCTTCTCAAGTAGAATAAATGTTGCTATTAGGACCAGAATTTTTTTAAAAAGTAGTTAATAAATGACTTGTAAAGTGTGCTTTCTGTTTTGATCTCCAGGTACCCTCAACTCAATCTCGTTCTTGCCTGGAGAAGCAATGTGATGAAGGATCTAGGTTTGAACCCTGGCATTTAGCTTTCTGAATAGTTGTCAGATGAGTTTTTTTTTTAACAAGAAGCTAAAGAAGATTGAAATGCAATGATGAAAAATTGACTCAGAGGTGGAAGATGTAATTGTTTTCAGTGGAATGCCTTCTGTCCACTGTATAGGATCTACTGAATGTTCACATGGCTGGCTCTAAGTGCCATTCTAGACTACATACTATGTGAAAAAAATCTTTCTTCTGTTCATTTTATATTTTCTCAGGTCCCTTCCAAGGATGGATGACCTAGAGGCTGGGATATCCAGAAGAGTTGAGACAGAAAGAGAAATAACTAGTATTATGTTCCTTAAAATGTCCTTCCTTTTTGATCAACACTAATACTTAAAAATCATCTGAGCAGGTTCTGCTATATATATATATATATATATATATATATATATATATATATATATATATATGTTTAAAATTATTTATATTCAATGTATATGTACAGCTTTACTAGCTTTTGTGGACTTTATAAATTATACATAAAATGGGTCAGACATGGTAGTTCGCACCTATAATCCCAGCACTTTGAGGGTCCCAGCACTTTCTCAGGTCCCTTGGAAGAGAAAATAATTATTTTTATTATTACTCAATAAATTAACATACATTTGGTTTGGAATTTAAAAAATTAAAGATATCTTGAAAAATTAAACATCATATTGTCTTCACTGGAATGGTTGTCTCACCCAGCGTCATCTCTTCTAGTGGCTGGATCCTGTTCTTCCTGAAAACCACTCATTTCTGATAACAGTAGAACTGTAGCTCAGAATGCAAGCCAAAACTGCCTTCCTTGAGTCTGGCCTTGGTCACAAGTGGGTCATCGCTTTATCCAGGACAATCATGATTCTTCCCTGGAATTTTCACACATGATCTTAGCCAAAAAGCTGAGAAGAAATTCTGGGATTTTCCAATGCACACTTGAGTTTTCTTTCCAGCAGCCAAGCTGTGTGAAGCTGAGCCTGGAGCTGCTGATGGCCATGATTCCTGAGTTAGAAAATGTCACAATATAAGATGCACACTAAATCAAGACCAAAAACATTTAGAAACTATGACAAATGAATGAAAATTAAGTGGTGAAATGACATTATGTTCTTCTATTTGATTCCACTTATGTGAATTTCTAGACTAGGAAAACTTATTTTGATTAAAAGTACATCTGTGGTTTCTTGGAGGCTTGATTTGCAGTAAACGTGCAGGAAAGTGTTAACATCAGCAGGCAGGAGACTCCGATCCTTAGAAGGGCCTGCTTGCGAGCTTGGTCTTCGCTGGCATCTAGAAACTTATGTTTCAAGAGAGTACCCACCATTCTCTGATAAGAATGATTCATTGTCCTAAACCATTTGTTCAAACAATTGGTTTATCCTGAATATCTGTTTTTCTTGAAGTCTAAAATTTTTATACAGAGTAGGCAGAGTGTGTCCTATGTAATCAACCCTAATAAAAACCATGGACTCTGAGTGTCTCAAGAGCTTCCCTGGTAGACAGCATTTCATACTTGCCATTACAAGTTGCTACTGGGTGAATTAAGATCAGCTGGTGTGACTCCAGTGGGATAAGATTCTTGGATGCTTGCACCTGGTTTCTTCCGGATATTGCTGGATGCACCTTTTCTCTTTGCTGATTTCGCTTTTTATCCGTTTTCCATAATAAATCACTGCCATGACTATGCCTATATGCTGAGTCGTGGGAGCACTCCTTACAAATCACCAAACCTGGGGATGGTCTTGGGACCCCTGGTACAGCAAAAAGAAACTTTTTATCTCAATAGAAGTGTGATTTATGTGGCTGCATTCAATTGTCAAAATTGATTGAACTGTGTACTTAAGATCTGTGTATTATACCTAATAAAATTATTTTGAGGAAAAAACGATTAATACATTTGTTAAAAAATAAGATTATGTGAAGTGTTATTCTTTAGTTGCATGACCTTTCAAAAGAAGACCTGAAATTCCATGACACAAAGGACAGTGTTCCAAAGACAGATGATTTCATCATCTGTTGAATGAAGTGCATAACCTCTGGAAGGGCCTCTGCAATTTCTCAACCCACTAAACCCATGGAAATGGTAACATTCACGTAGTCCTGACAGACTTCTTATTCCACTTGGCCATATGGTTAATTAGAGAAAAACTTGGCATTGCATTTAAATAATGTATATTTTCAACTTTTTTAAGGTAAGAGAGGTGAGGGATCAGGGCTTGAAAGACATGGAAAGACATGGCCAGATTTGATTCATGCCTTTTATACCAGTTTTCCAGCTGCCAGTTGATGGAGGCATTTCATGATTTCTCAAAAAACTATCCCAGGCATGGCAGCTCTTCAAGTGGACAGGACCTTGTTATCACATTAAGAGCTATTTAGACTTATTATATGAGATTCTTCTTTGCAAATTCTAAATGAAATTAAGATCAGTGAACATTCCAAGATATCTACATCATAGTTTATTCTTCTAATAGGTATTTCAGTGAAAAAGATTCTATCATCAAAAAACAGAAATCTTTAATGTAATAATTCTCAGAAGCATTAATATATTAGCACGAAATGTGATTATTCAAGATAGAGAAAAAATTTGGTGTTTACCAACTCTTGTTTTTCTCAGCTATAGAGCCCTGTGGGGCTCTTTTTGGAATCTATTTCTTGAGGAAGAGATAACATATTACCAAAGAGAAAAGTAGTTGTCTTTATTTCTAGGTTTTTTTAAATTAAAGTCTATAATAATGTAAATTTGAATTACATACTGAATTTAATAGTTACATGATAAAACTAGTATGCAAAATGCGGTATATTTTTGTACATTACAAATTAGAAAATGAAGTTAATACTAACTTTTAAAAGGAAAGCAAGACGGTCGGATGTCTGTGTTAAAACTGAGATTTCTCATTTCCCTGACTTTCATTAAGTTTAGGGTAGCAGCTGAGGCCTTGCTAATGCTCAAATCCTCTTCTCATTGGTATGTATAGTTGAATGAGGAATTTTCGGGTGTCAGATGGGTTAACAGTAAGAGGATCTTTTCGTGCTGTGTTTGCTTAATTAGAGTTGGTACTTCCAGATGTTATCTACCGGTATGCAAGAATTTCACATAACACTGAGGGAAAACACATTTTACACATTTTTTTAGCTCATGTATTTAATTTAAACTACCTTCTGTAATATCTTGCCCCCCTAAATTGTATACAGAATGCTGTGTTTCAGTATAAAATGCTGAAAACCAAATGGAAACTTCTAGAACCCAATAATTTTATATAACACACAGAAAAAAATTATTAGTCTAAAAATCAGCTCATCATTCACTGTACCAAAAGATGGTAGAAAGAAGCCTCATAAAAATTCAGAGTTAAGGTTGTATATTAGACAGAATAAATCTAGAGCAAAAATAATTTTTTTTTCCCAGAAAGCATCAAAAGTCAGTGAGAAGTGACAGGACTGATTAGAAATTTAAGAACCTGGAAGTGTCCTACAAAGTGGTAGCTATAAGCTGTCATGTCATGATGTCATATTTTTAAGTCTTAGGAACTTCTGTGAACACATGATAAAAGGAAATGGATCACATTACTTTTAAGTAAATCACTTATTTTATGATGCAGTATATATTTTGAGCATAGTAACATCACCAATCTATTTGAATAATCGTATTTGTAAAATCCCTAGAATTTTAAAGATATATAGGTTTCATGTTTTATAACTACCTCTTATATTCCAAAGGATAAGTTACATAAATTTTCATCCAGGCAAGAGCTGTGGAGTTCTAGGGATTTGTAGAATGATTAGTTCAGTGGATTTTAATGGTCACAAAAGGAGGAAATGATGCGTAAAATAACCAAAATGTACCAATTTGGAGCTTACAGAAAACCATGCAATCTGTAATACCAGATACCATGCTTTCCATCCAATTTACTAATTCTTTCCAGTGACATGCTGCTGCCCGTGTGACACAGCTGCTGGCCTCATCTTTAAGGCACTGAAATGCCTGGAACTGATGATGCAGATGCTTTGCCCACGCAATGCTTAGCTCCATTTAATAATTGTGCATTGACAAGTGAGTATGCAATCTAGCCATTATGAAAATTAAGCTATCTTATGAGACAGATGATGGATGATTTGGGGTGACAGAATCATGATACTACTGCCTATTTTATAACTGCCTACAGACAGGCACAAATTCTTAACATGATACTCATTAGCTTGCTTTGTTCAAGCAATGAAACTTGCACTAGACTTGCAGTTATTAGAAATATATTGAAGCCCATATGTGAAGGTAGACACAATCTCTCTTGGATACTTAATATGAAAATCAGATGGCACTACATTGTCTTTACTACCCCTCGGAAATGTAAATTTTGGAGGTAGTCACTGCACTGGCAAATTTACAAGATGATAACTCCCGAATAACTAAATCAAAATTCTATTCTGCCTGAATGGTACCTATGACAGATGTCAATTCACCTGTCATAGGTACCTTGTACAAGATCCCACCAAAGTACAGGAGCAATGTTTGTAATTACCTTATATCATATTAATTGGCTTCACTATATGATTATGGATACAAAAGATTTTTGCTTAAGAATGATGTACTTGAATAAGTGTTACATTTACATCATGAACATGAACATTACATGAACATTACATCAATCCTGTCAACATCAACAAATTGTATTATAGTGGTGAAAGAACATTTTAAATCAAAATCTATGTAGCTACCTTAACCAGGAAGAGTGACCCACTGATAAGTCCACAAAACTGTTCTTGTGCAGGCCAGGTGTGGTGGCTCACGCCTGTAATCCCAGCACTTTGGGAGGCCGAGGTGGGCAGATCACGAGGTCAGGATATTGAGACCATCCTGGCTAACACGGTGAAATCCTGTCTCTACTAAAAATACAAAAAATTAGCCGTGCGTGGTGGCGGGCACCTGTAGTCCCAGCTACTCGGGAGGCTGAGGCAGGAGAATGGTGTGAACCCAGGAGGCGGAGCTTGCAGTGAGCCGAGGTCGCGCCACTGCACTCCAGTCTGGGTGACAGAGACAGACTCCGTCTCAAAAAACAAAACAAAACAAAACAAAAAAACTGTTCTTGTGCACACGCGTACCTAGTTGAAACTTGGGGATTGTACAAGGTCAACTACACTGTAAACGTGCATTTTTCACTGTGCTCTCATATTACATGTTAGATAGCATAAAGTATGGCAATTATCACACCGATTTTTTTTTGAGACAAAGTCTCGCGCTGTCGCCCAGGCTGGAGTGGCAATGGCACTACCTCGTCTCACTGCAACCTCTGCCTCCTGAGTTCAAGTGATTCTCCCACTACTTAGCCTTCCGAGTAGCTCGGACTACAGGCTCACACCACTACGCTTGGCTACTTTTTTATATTTTTAGTAGAGACGGGGTTTCACCATGTTGGCCAGGCTGGTCTTGAACTCCTGACCCCTCTTGTGATCCTCCCGCCTTGGTATCCTAGAGTGCGGGGATTACAGGCGTGAGTCACCACGCCCGGCCGCACACCAAGTTTTGGCTTTTGGTTAGGCTGTTTTCCTCCACAACTACATTGAAAAATTACTTTAGAGAAAGACCAAGTTTTATTCTTTTTTTAAAAATGTGATTTCAGTAACCAGCAGAGTACCTTGTACATAGAAGATGACAATTTAATGTAAATGAGTAAAATGGATAAGAAAATGGATAAAAATTTTCATATATTCTTCAGAAAAATCCTACAGCTTTACTTTCTTTCATACAGTTAAAGGGCTACTTTACATTTTTTTTTGATTGGCTCAGGTAGCTCCTGACTTACGTGCTTCTGTCACACAACTGACACACCAAATAAACAAAAATGACCTGAAGCACAAAAGGGTAATAAAGAGCAGAGAGAAGAGGAAGGTCAACATTGGAAGAAGGAGAGGTATATGAGTTTCCTGTCTATATGGCTTTTAGCCAGAGAGCAGACTGCTGCGGCTTCCATGTAGTGTGGCAAATTCTCCAAGTAACTGGCAGCACTTTTGGCTTGAAGAATCAAAGGACGGAGTTTGGGGCAACTCACGGCCACTAGAAAGTGATTTTTTAAAATCCTAAAAGGAGAGACAACATATGGAGTTTCTCAAAATCTGTAAATAAATATTGACCATTTTTCAGGTTGACCCCAGAATCGGGTATATGCTGTTCAGACTTAAAGCAGTCCAGCTAAGTATAAAAGAACTATACTGAGATTGGAGATATTGCTGAAGAAACAGTTTATAGTTGAAATTCAAGCAGGTTAATTAACCTTATAACAAAAACTTAAACACTCTTTGGGGACAATAACAGAATTCACAATTTCAATAACATAATATTCACAACATCCAGCTTACTATCCAAACTTCCTTGATATAAGAATAAAAAACATATGATCCAGTATCATGTAATAAGATGATCAATAGAAAGCAACTCCCAAATGACACAGATATTAGACTTCATAGAGACGGATTTTAAAGCATCTATTTTAAAATGCTCAAAAAATAAAGAAAAATATATTTGCAATAAATGAACACAGAGCAAAATTCAGATGATAAATAAAAATATTTAAAAATTCTAAAATCAAATGATTAAGTACCTGAAATTTAAAATTCACAAGATGAACTTGATCACAAGTAGATGATAGAGGAGAGAAGACTAGTAAACCTGAAGATAAAAAAATAGAAATTATCCAAGTCAAAATGAGAGAGATAAGCTTGAGAAAAAGGAAGAATATTAAATATCTGTGAATATTAAAAATATTAAATATCATAGATATTTAAATATTAAATATTATTATTAGAATAGAATATTAAAAATCATAGATGCTTCAGTCCCTGATACAAAATGGGCAAAGTATTTGCATATAACCTATGCATATCCTCCTATACAGTTTAAATCATCTCTAGATGACTTATGATACCTAATAAAATATAAATCCTATGTAAATAGTTGTTGTATTTTTTAGGGAATAATTTTTTTAAAAGGCTGTACATGTTCAGTGGAGATGCAATTTTTTTCTGAATATTTTTGATCTGTAATTGGTTGAATCCATCAATGAGGAACACATGGTGGGCCTACTGTACAAAGAAATACATGCGTAGGCATACCATAATCAACTTATTGAAAAAAAATAAAGAGAAAATATTGGAATCAACCACAAAAAATAATATACTGGGGACTTGTGATTTGAAGAAATCCTGACTTAGAAACCATAGCTACCAGAAGACATTGCAACAGTATCATCAAGTGAAGAAAAAAGAGAGATATATCAATCCAGAATTCCATACACAAAGTATCCCTCAACACTGAAAGCAAAATAAAGATACAATCAGCTAAATTAAAATTAAGATAACTTATTGCCATAAATTTAAGTTCCAGGCACTACATGAAATTTTAAAAGAAAATTTTAAACTGAAGAAAAATAAAGCCTTAGAAAAAATTTGTTCTTCAGAAAGGAGGGAAAAACGTCAGAAATAGTAAATAATGAGGGTAATATAAAATATGATTTTTTAAAATTTCCTGAAAATGCATAGTCTGATCAAGCTAAACTTATTATCTTAGTTGTTTGTAATGTACATAGATATAATACATATGGCAATTATAACATAAAAGATAAAGATTAAGTTTACAAGATTTCTACATTTTTATGTGTGTGATAGAGTACTAATTCTAAGTATGTTTTGAAAAGTTAAGGATATATATTGTAATCTCTAGAGCACTAAGAAAGTACTCTACAATATATAGTTGTTTATTTAGAACACATATTCTAAATATATATTGTAATCTGAAGCACTAAAATATAATGCAAAACTTCAAGACACCGATCATTATCAAAGTAAAAATGAGCTATTTAATGACCAAAAGATCAACTTGTCAATAGCAATCATGAATTTGTAAGCACCTAATAATAGAGTTTCAAAAAAATCAGTGACAAAATTGGCAGGATTAAAGGAGGAAACAGATAATAGATTGGAAATGACTTAGTGTAATATAAGCAAATTGAATCCAGAAATGTGAAAAAAAAAGTTCATACATCATGACCAGTTAAGTAGGGTTTATCACAAGAATGCAAGTTTGATGTAATATTTAAAAATCAATCAATGAAATTTACCTCATTAGGAGAGTAAAGGAGAGAAACTGTAACATCATTTCAATAAGTGTACAAAAGCATTTGAAAATAATTCTATACCTATTCATGATGAAACTATCAGCAAACTAGAAATAGGAATAGTCTAAACGGCATCAAAAATAAAGCAGTTACAGGGGATACTAGCAAGCTGGTAACATAGGAATTTTCAGTCTTGACTCCATTCTATGAAATGTAGCAACAATCCACAGGATAGAATGTCTCTTAGAAGGTTCCAGTACTTAAGTACAAGCTTGAGACAACTGCATGGTGTCTATATTTATATTTATATAAAAATATATAAAACAAAAATTTAAAAATCTGATAGGAGAGATAGATTGTAATATAAAAATAGTAGGAATTTTCAACATGATACTTTCAACAATAGACAGATTATCCAGACCAAAAAAATTAATAAGAAAACATTGGAATTTAACAATACTTTAGACTGAATGGATCTAAAAGACATATATACTTACCATGCCATTCAACAGCAACAGTCTCACATCCAGGTCATGCTGATGCAAGAGGTGGGTTCCCATGGTCTTGGGCAGCTCTGCCCATGTGGCTCTGCAGGGTACAGCCTCTTTCCTGGCTGCCTTCATGGGTTGGCATTGAGTGTCTATGGTTTTCCAGGCGCATGGTGCAAGCTGTCAGTGGATCTACCATTCTGGGGTCTGGAGGATGATGGCCCTCTTCTCACAGCTCCACTAGGTGGTGCCCCAGTAGAAACTGTGTGGGGACTCTGACCCCACATTTCCCTTCCACACTGCCCTAGAAGAGGTTCTCCATGAGAGCCCTGCCCCTGCTGAAAACTTCTGCCTGAACATCCAGGCGTTCTATAAATCCTTTGAAATCTAGGCAGAGGTTCCCAAATCCCAACTTTTGACTTCGCTGCACTGCAGCAGTCTCAACACCATGTGGAAGCTGCCAAGACTTAAGGCTTGCACTCTTTGAAGCCCTAGCCCTACATTGACCCCTTTCAGCCAGGGCTGGAATGGCTGGGACACAGGGCACCAAGTCCCTAGGCTGCATACAGCATGTTGACACTGGGCCCAGCCCTGGAAACCACTTTTTCTTCCTAGGCCTCTGGGTCTGTAATGAGAGACGCTGCCATGAAGACCTCTGATATTCCCTGGAGATATTTTCCCTATTATCTTGGGGATTAACATTTGACTCCTCATTACTTATGCAAATTTCTGCAGCTGGGTTGAATTTCTCCTCAGAAAATGGGATTTTATTTTCTATTGCATTGTCAGGCTGCAAATTTTTCTGAACTTTTATGCTCTGCTTCCCTTATAAAACTGAATGCCTTGCTGGGTGCAGTGACTCAGGCCTGTAATCCCAGCACTTTGAGAGGCTGAGGTGGGTGGATCACAAGGTCAGGAGATCGAGACCATCCTGGCCAACATGGTGAAACCCCGTCTCTACTAAAAATACAAAAATAAGCTGGGTGTGGTGGTGCATGCCTGTAATCCCAGCTACTCAGGAGGCTGAGGCAGGAGAATCACTTGAACCCGGAGGCAGTGGTTGCAGTGAGCTAAGATCGTGGCACCGCACTCCAGCCTAGATGACAGAGCGAGACTCTATCTCAAAACAAACAAACAAACAACAAACCTGAATGCCTTTAACAGCACCCAAGTCACCTCTTAAATACTCTGCTGCTTAGAAATTCTTTCTGCCAGATACCCTAAATCATCTCTCTCAAGTTCAAAACTCCACATATCTCTAGGGCTGGGGCAAAATGCCACCAGTCTCTTTGCTAAAACATAACAAGAGACACTTCGCTCCAGTTCCCAACAAGTTCCTCATCTCCATCTAAGACCACCTCAGCCTGGATTTCTTTGTCCGTATCATTATGAACAGTTTAGTCAAAGCCATTCAACAAGGCTCTAGGGAGTTCCAAACTGTCCCACATTTTCCTGTCTTCTTCTGAGCCCTCCAAACTGTTCCAACCTCTGCCTGTTACCCAGTTCCAAGGTTGCTTCCACATTTTTGGATATCTTTTCTTTTCAGCAGTGCCCTACTCTACTGGTACCAATTTACTATATTAGTCCATTTATATGCTGCTGATAATGACATACTCGAGGCTGGGCAATTTACAAAAGAAAGAAGTTTATTGGACTTAGTTTCACATAGCTGGGGAGGCCTCACAATCATCGCAGAAGGCAAGGAGGAGCAAGTCACATCTTACATGGATGGTGGCAGGCAAAGAGAGTTTGTGCAGGGAAACTCCCCTTTTTAAAACCACCAGATCTTATGAGATTTATTTGCTATTATGAGAAAAGCACGGGAAAGACCTGCCCCCATGATTCAATTACCTGCTACTGGGTCCCTCCCACAACATTCAAGATGATATTTGGGTGGGGACACAACCAAACCATATCATTAACCATAGTTCCTGAGTTAACGCCCGCTTTTAAAAAGCTGCCTTTTCTCAAGTACTTTAAGATTTTTAGCTCCAATTTTAAAAACATAAAAAATTCATAATTCACACATTTTTTTACTGCAGTCATTGTAGATATTACTCCACTGTTACATACTATTAGATGATAGTGCACAGAGCCTGGGAGGAGCCTGGTTTTTGCCCTTTTGTACATTATCTAACTTTATTTCCTTTTCTTTTATTGCGTTGAGATTCATAATGATTTTTATTTTACTTTTCAAATCTGGTGAGTAGCATAAGAAGGCACTCATTATAGATAACTGTGCATCAATTTTGTGAGAGATATTGGAGTATTTTTCATTTGTAGACTTGAATCTTTTTTTTTAAGAAAGTTTCTTTGAGAAAGACCTTTAAGATGTCTGATTAGAAGCAACTGGTATTTCCCTCTTCTACAAAGAAGAACCAAAATTCTGAGTAGATAATCACACTTTGAATAGATTATCTAAGAGAGAACACTGGAGTTCAACAGAAAAATGACAGGAAACATTTAAAGCAAGGAAAGAGAGTGAAGCAAAACAGCCTGCTTTACTGGGACCAGTGGGGAGCCTGGAGAGGTTCTACATTGTGTGGAAAGGCTGAGTGACCTTCCCAGAATCCATATTCCCACCATGGACTCCCATGCTCCTAGCTACATGAGAGACTCTAGACCTTTGTGAACCCTGAGGCTAACATAGGGAGTCACCTAGACACTGCATGAAGGCACTGCTCCAGTGAGGGAGCTCGTGCTGGGTACCACACCCCCACAAGCCCTAAGCAGCTACAGCAAGGCACCATACAGACAGCCCAGTCCCCTCTAGACCATGTCCTGCCCAGAAGCCTAACAACCCCTGCATTTTCACATCCCTGGAGCCTCATTGACATCCCCTGCTCACAGCCACTGCCATGGCTGGCTGCTTCTGTCAAGGCTGAAGCACAATCCATTGGCAATAACCCCACTTCTTTAAGCAGCAAAGCTACCATGCATTTTCATACACCTTCAGGACAAACCCCTCCAGCAGCTGCAGGCTGCTGCCATTGAGATCAAAGCACAGTGAAATGCATGCACCTCCAACACCTGCATAAGGCTGTTGCCATTGAAAGCAACCCCACCCTCCACAGTATCTGGGCTGCAGTGCCATTGCTGTGGCCCCTACCTAAGCATTCTGCTGGGTTCCTAGGGGTCACCTCACCCATGTCTACCACAATCAGCACCTGTGTGCTCCACCAGGGGTCCTGAGGGCAGGTTTGCCCAGCCAGGACCTAACCACCCTGTAAGTGCCTGAGCATGCCCCCTGGCAGGCTGCAGACCAACCAGCCAAGTTCACCACCATTGGTCAATGAACTATCTTCCCAGGGGCCTGAGGTCAAGCCCACCCAGCTTGCCATTACCACAACGCTGGCACCCACAACAGCTGGTTACTATACATGTGCCACCTGTGGACCTGGAGACTGGCTCACTCAGCCTGTTGCAACCACTGCCAAGACCAAAGTGAACTTCTTGTGAGCCAGAAAATTGTCCCATCCCTGCTATTGACATTGTCCTTGTCACACCCACTGCCTAGGGCCCTGGGGACTTGTCCATCTGCCTAGCTATCTTCTGCCATTACTAGCACCCAAGCAAGTCACCTGGAGGCCCCAAAATTGACCCCCTTGGACCTACTAACAGTGGTAACAACTTATACCACCCTGAGGCTCAAGAATGGGCCTATTTCATGACCCCGTACCCACCAAAACTTTATCACAGCCTCCACTAGCAATTGTACCCTAGGCCAATGGGGAAATAACAGATATCACTGATGCTGTTTATAGCCAGATAAATTATATTCAGACTACAACTGTACACACTGAGAATCAAAATTAAAGTGTGTTACCCAATGAACACCATAAATACATCTTCAGAAATATGTCCTCCCCTTAAAAAGTAAATTCTAAAACTAAGAAGGGTGACTGTTATACCATATGAGCAGTTATCAACATAAGGACACAATAAACATGAAAAAGTAAGAAAACATTACACCTTGAAAGGGTCACAATAATTCTCCAGCAACAGAGTCCAATAAAACAATTATAAAATTCCAGAAAGAGAATTCAAAATAATGATATTAAAGAAGTTCAGGAAGATATAAGATATAAAACAATACAAAAAGACAACACAAATAAATCAGGAAAACAATTCAAGACAGGAATGGGAAATTTACCAAAGAGATGATATAAGAAGACCAAACAGAAATTCTGGAACTGAAGAGTTAATTAAATAAAATAATAAGACATTCAAAATCTTCAACAATAGATAAGATCAAGCAGAATAAAGAATTTCAGAACTGGAAGACAAGTCTTCTGAAATAACGCAGACAAAAAGTAAGCAAAAAGAATAAAAGAGAATGAACAAAACCCATGTGACATATAGGACACCATAAAGTGACCAAATATTTAGGGTCCCAGAAGGTGAAGGGAAAAATAAAAGAAATAGAAAACGTATTTAACAAAATTGTCCTCAAGTCTAGGAAGAACATTAGACTTTGAGATACAGGAAGCTCAGAGATTGGCAGATACAATTTTTTGAAAAAGGTCTTATCTTTTGTAAATTATAGTCAAACTGTCAAAAGTCAAAGAGAGATAATTCTAAAAACAGAAAGAGAAAAGTATCTGGGCATTTATAAGGTATCCCCCAGTAGGATAACTGTGATATTCTCAGGAGAAACCTTATAGGCCAGGAGAGAATTGGATGATAAATTTGAAGTATTAAAAGAAAAAACTTCCAGCCAAGGCTATCATACTCCATAAAGTTACATTTCTTAAATGAAGGAGAAATAAAGTCTTTCCCAGACAAGCAAAAGCTCTGGGAATTCATCACCACTAGACAGGCTCTTTAAGAAATGCTTAAGGAAGTTCTACACGTGGAAGTGAAAGAATGATATCTGCCACCATGAAAATGCATGAAAGTATAAAACCCATTGGCAGAGCAAACACACAAATGATAAAGAAAGGACTCAAAACAGAAAACCACCAAACCAAAATGGTAAATAGTAAGACAGAAAAAAGGGACAAAGGAGGTACATACAACCTGAAATCAATTAATAAAATGACAGGAATAAGCTCTTACATACCAATAATAACCTTGAAAGTAAATGGATTAAGCTTTCCACTTAAAATATGTAGACTGACAGGATGAATTTTATTTTAATTGGTTCAACTATATGCTGCCTACAAGAAGGCCATCTCACCTTTTTAAAGACATATAGACTGAAAGTAAAGGAATAGAAAAAGATTTTCCCTATAAACAGTAACAAAAGTGAGCAAGAGTATCTATACTTATATAAAACAGACTTTTTGTCAAAAAGAACAAAAAGGGACAAGGTTTTTATATAATGATAAAGGGATTAATTCAGCAAGAGGACATAATTTTAAACCTGTGTGCACCCAACACTGGAGTATCCACATATATAGAGCAAATGTTATTAGATCTATAGGAAGAGATCGACTCCAATACAGTAATAGTTGGGGACATCAATACCCCACTCTCAGCATTAGACAAATAATCCAGACAGAAAATTAACAAAGAAACATTGAATTTAAACTGCACGTTAGACCAAATGGACCTAACCAACATCTACAGAACATGTCATTCAATAGCTACAGAATACACATTCTTCTCATCAGTATATGGAACATTATCCAGTATAGAACATATTTTTGAATACAAAACAAATTCTTGGCAAATTTAGTGACTGGAAATCATATCAAGTATTATCTCAGACCACAGTGAAATAAAACCAGTAATCCATAACGAGTAATTTTGGAAACTGTACAAAAAGATGAAAGTTAAACAATATGCTCCTGAATAACCATCGGATCAAGAAAGAAATTAAGGAGGAAATACAAAAATTTATTGAAACAAATGAATATAATACCACAATAAGATATCATTTTACCCCAGTTAGAATGTCTATTATTAAAAAGAAAAAACGATGAATGCTGGCAAGGATGTGGAGAAAAGGGAACTTGTATACACTGTTGGTGAGAACGTAAATTAATATAGCTACTATGAAAAACAGTATGTAGATTTCTGAAAAAACTAAACATATAACTACCATGTAATTCAGAAATTTATCCAATGGAAAAGAAAATCAGTACATCAAAGGGATACTTGCTCTTGCAAGTTTATTGCAGCATTATTCACAATAGCAAAGACGTGAAATCAATTTAAGTGTCCATCCACAGACTAATAGATAAAAAAAAGTTCTATACATACACAGTGGAATATTATTCGGCCACAAAATAGAATGAAGTTATGTAATCTGCAGCAACAAGGATGAAACTGGACATCAACTAGGCATAGGAAGACAAATATTGCATGTTCTCACTCATATGTGGGAGCTAAAAATATCTTATGGAGGTAAACCGTAGAATTATAGATACCAGAGGATGTGAAGGGTGTGTTGGTATGTGTGCTGGGAGAAGGGGATAAAGAGAGGTTGTTTAATGGGTAAACACATTGCTAGATAGAAGGAATAAGTTCTAAGATTCAATAGTGTTACCATCGTCCAGTCCCCTCGTGAGGCCCATCATGAGGCCCCTCACGGGTCCATCTAGCCATAATTACCTCCCAAGGCCCTACCTACTAATAGCATCATGTTTGAGGTCAGTGTTTCAGCAGAAGAATTTTAGGGGGACACAAACATTTAGTCTACTACCAGAAGGTAAGCGCATAAAGGAGATTAGGAAAATGAAGATATTTTGAATTATTTCCAAGTTTTTGACCTTGATTACTAAAAACATAGTGGTACCACGAGCAGTTGTAATTATATGGGAGAAGGGGAGTAAACTCAGATTAGATATGTTAAGTTAGTGTTGCCCACACAAACTTATGGTGGAGCTCCACAATAACCAGGCAAATATACGAGACTGGGGCTCCCAGGAACTGGCAGGGATGATGGGGAGATGGCCTAGCTGTGAGCCAGCCAGAATCCAAGGAGACTGCGGAGAGTGAGAAGAAAAGGGTCTAATGAAGAAACTGATAGGAACCTAAATATCTTGAAGGGGGAAAAAAAGCTCTTAACTGATATGACTGTTTGTTAAAATAAAATTTCAAAAATATATCTACTATTTACTAAAATCTGATATCAAGTAGTATAAAATAAATAATGATGGCAAAGTTATTTTTTATGCATTCATAAATGTAATAGATTTTCAGAGAATGATTTGACATTTGGTTAGAGCCTGTCTGGCAAAAAGTGGGAAACAGAAAAGTATTTTTGGTGAGGAAAGGAGTAGGAGCAAATAAATACAGGGAGGAAGTTATGCAAAATTATCCTAGAATGATTAATATTTTGAATGTAGGTTTGTTAGAATATATAAAAGGGAAAAAAGATACTAATGGAAAAACAGATTTGGAAAAACCAATGGAATTTGAACTTCGTAGTTTAGATATTAGTTAAACAAGAAAAATTTTTGCTACATATTATAAATTTAGATAACTGCATGATCTGTCTTGATAATTAATTTAACCACTGCTTCATGTGATGGACTGGAAAATCCTTTTTAGCACACTGTTCACTTCCATGTTAATACCACTGCTTAAGAATCTTGGAAGTGAATTAAAATCTAAATTTAAAGATACAGAAATCTGATTTTGGCCAATAGTATCATGTTTATATTCAAAGGAGAATTATGAATAGTTTTATTCCCCAGAGATTGATTGATTTAGCATGACAGGTAATATTCTCAACATCACTGCTGCATCTCAAAAGTAATTTAGCATATTTAGTATGATGTTTCATAGCACAAAAAAATACATTTTGGCTAGCTTTTTATTCTTTTACATTAAAATGTGTATCACTTTTATGAATCCTTACACATTGTGCTTTAATCATGCAATGCTATATTTTAATAAATTCTTATGTATTTATAGAAGGAGTATCAGAATTAAAAAGGTGTAATATTTTTATTCTTGCAGCACTGAATTGAAAGACTTGAGAGCTTAAATGTTTAAGACTCAAAAGATTCTTTTTATCTATTTATTGTCACTGTAGTTCTATAACTAGGCCATGGGAAAAACCATGTCATTTTAGCACAAAATATTAGACTGGCAGTATGTTTGTTTGCACATTAAATCTTACATGCATCTGAAACAAAGCCTGAGGCACAACACCTTTGGGAAAATGTACAGTTTAACTAAACCAGTGAAATGTATTAAATGGATATTGACAAGCATTTTGAGTAGCATTAACATTCAATTTTAGATAACACCTATAAAATGAATGGTCAAAAGTGTAAAATACTTAGAATCTTTGATTGAGCAATATTATGTAAGATGTTTAAGCCAAGCTGCTTATTAAAGCCATATGCACCTGTATATGCAAAACAAAAAATACAAAAAAGGTAAATAATTCTGATGATTTTCAAACAAATTTTGACAAGATATTCTCAAAATGATACAGGGTTGTATAGGATATAATTGTATCTGTGTAACAATCAATTCATTTTCATAAAACAGTTGTTAATTGTACAGAAAAAATACAATATTTTCATTAAGGTCGGCAACAGGAAATTGTGCCTCATATGATGGCTAATTATTTAGCATTATTATTGGAAATTTTAGATAATATAATAATGTCAGACAAAGACATAAGAGCTAAAAGATTTAAATGGAATTATAAGTGAAATGAAATAAAGGAAATCACAAAAATCAGGAAAATGTATAAAATACTGCTAATAATGACAGAGTTCAATAAATGTATGGATACGTGATAACAAGCAAAAATAATTAGTATCTTTATACAAGAAATAAGTGCAATAATGTTTATCTTTTAAGCCTGTTCTGAAGAGCAACAAAAACTGGATGGTCACTAGGAATATGTGTAAAATATATGCACATGTGCATGGTGCCTAAAATATATGATGCCATTGAAAGCTTTAAAGAAGAAAGGGAAGATGTACTATTTAAAAAATGTAAATTCTCTACAGATGATAAATTAATGCAACTTTGAGCCAAAGCTCAATAGGACATTTTGTGGAATGTAAAAAATTGTTTCTAAAAGTTATTGAAAATCATCACAATATGCGGGGTATGTGGCAGGTTGTCATTTCAGGTTTCAGGGCATAATTTAAAGCTCTAATGGTTGAAGTTGAGCAAGGTATAGAAAGTGCATCATCCAATGGAAATCATAGAAAGAAATTCCTGCACAGTTCAAGGCAGATTACAGAAATACTAAATTTAGTAAAAATGAGTAAGTTGCAGAATAATACAAATACTAAGGCAGCATTTATGTAATGTAGAAATAAAAATGATAATAAGTATCTTTTTATTTTTCATGCTTCTGTGTGTGTAAGCATATATATTTAGATTGGGAAGTTTGTTTCTACAAAGTGTGCAGTAAAATAAAACTAATAATTGGGGATAAATGACCTTAACTTTATCTGTACTGTTTTCTATTAAAAAAAACTTTAAAAATTATTTCATTTCTAATAAAAGCGAATGCTTATACACTGATGGTAGGAATGTAAACTAGTACAATCTGTATGGAAAGCATTATAGAGATTTCTTAAAGAATTAAAAGTAGATCTACCATTTGATCCAGCGATCCCACTACTGGGTATCTATCCAAAGGAAAGTAAGTCATTATATCAAAAGGACACCTGTATGTGTATGTTTATTGCAACACAATTTTCAATTGCAAATATATGGAACCAACCTAAGTACCCATTATTCATTCATTAAACTGGGTGGATAAATACACACACAGACACACACACACACACACACATATTTTTATATATATAATGGAATCCTACAAAGCCATAAAAAAGAATGAAATAATGTCTTTTGCAGCAACTTGGATGAAGCTGGAGGCCACTATTTTAAGTGAAGTAACTCAGGAATGGAAAACCAAGTATGTTCTCACTTATAAGCGGGAGCTAGGCTGTGGATAGGCTAAGACATACAGGTGATATAATGGACTGTGGCAGCTCAGAAGTGGAGTGGTGAGGGATGAAAAACTACATGTTCAGTACAATGCACACTGCTCAGGTGATGAGTGAACTAAAATCTCAGACTTCACCACTATACAACTCATCCAGGTAACCAAAAACCACTTGTACCCCCAAAACTATTGAAATAAAAAATTAAAATTAAAAAATAATATAACATTAAGTGAACAAATATAAATTTGTGATTGTTGTAGAGTTTTTTTTGCTATGTTTGTGCTTTGTAGAATGTTTCTTAATTTTCTCAAAGCAAAATATCATATAGTTGTTAGAAATGATAGATGAATAAAGAGGTGTTGGTGATTCCTAGAGCAGGCTAGCTCTGTGTCCTGCTCTCAAGAATAAGAAATACACAACAGCAACAAGCATGCTCAGGTGAAACTCTCAGATCAGCTGACAACAAACAGTGCTAGTGTTGATAGATGAGAGGCCAAAAAATAACAAGAATACTGTCTCAGTCTATTTTCTGTTGCTATAACAGAAGACCATAAATTGGATAAATTATAAAGAAAATACTTTTATTTCTTACAGTTCTGTAGGCTGGGAAGTCCAAGAGCATGGTGCCCACATCTGTGGAGGCTTTCTTGTGATGTCATAACATGGCTGAGGTATCATGGCGAGAGGGCAAGAGTGTGAGGCATCATATGGTGAAAGGGCAAGAGCATGAGTCTCGGCTGAGGTTCCTCTTAGTTTTCTTATCAAGCCACCAGTTCCATCATAGGGGGCCCCACCTTCATGACCTTATGTAATCCTAATTACCTCCTAAAATTCCCACCTTCGCTCCTCATATGAATTTGATGATTAAGTTTCCAACACATGAAATTTGGGGGGCATATTTAAACATGGCATGCACCCACCCACACATACAGCGAGACACTTTTTGGTTACTTGTTAGGTCTTCCAGAAATTTGATACAAAGAGGAGAATCTAAATTGATTCAAGGTATGTCACCTCTACCATATGAGATAGAGATTAAAACAGAATTTAAGTTCTATTACAAGAAATTGTGAAATAGTATTTTTAGAGAAATGAATTTATGAACTGATATTCATATCCACTGCAATTTATAACTTCCCCACAATTTGAAATACAAGTTGATTTAGCCTTAGTTTGGCTAATTTATTATAGTCCTTAAATAATGTATAAAATGTTAATTATGATGCCTTAAATTTTATGTGTATCATACCATATGATATCATACATGTAGACTACACACATATATACGTATCACATGATATACATGTGATACATGTATGATATACATATGATATACACGTATAATCGTTCAGTTCTTAAGATGGAATGTATTTAGATAAAAAATTTTATCTTCACTCAATCTAAAATCTGATTTTTCACTGAAATTTATTTATATATGCTAAGTATAGCCAGCATTTAATTGTGTGAGCTACAGTTTTCAAGGTCACACTCATAATAGAAATACTAATTAATAGTTAGCACTTATGGGCTTTTTATCTCCCAAGTACTTTTCCAATAATTAATTTAATACTCTCAAGAACCATGTTACTTCTGTTAGATAAAAGGAAGGTTATACTAGACTCACTGGGAAGAAAATTATATCAGTTATGTCTTCACATACATTTGCAATATGTATCAACATGAGGTAGGAAAAATAAAAGGGAAATAAAGCACATATAATTCAGCTTATCTTTACTGTGAAGTTGCGGATTTCTAGAAACATATGCCCTTTTCCTAAGGTGTAATAAATTGAACTTTAACAAAGTGTAGAATTTAAATGTTCTTCTGGACAATTCACTAAAAGAAAGCCATAAATGCAGTCAAAATCTATGATAACACTAGAGGAGTTCATAATTACTTCTGATATGTACATTTTATTTCAACATAATTTATTCCAGATTTCGTTTGTTAAGCAGGAGACAAATGAGATATTTTGAAGCACAGTCTGTCATATATTTTTGGGGATGGCTGTTTTGAGCACTGGAACCATAGTCTTATCTTTGTTACAATATAAATTTTCCATAATTCTGTTGCAATTTAGAACATTCTGGCTATATGCTATTAAATCAAACCAAACATTTCATAATGTAGATGTAGGCCAAAAAAAGACTCACCATGGTTTGCCGTCATATTAATGTTGTGCCTATAAAATTTGGTAAATTGATGTGCTGGTGGAAAATGCTAATTGTTAAAACCTGTATTTATTATCTTTTTTGTTACCTTTAAGTGATCTCAATGAGTTGCCCTTTTACCTCTATTTATAAAATTGAAATATAATTCAATTTTATTCTTGTTAATAGAGCAAAATTTCATGTCATAAATGCACAAAAATGATTCACATCAATATTTTGAATGGATTTACCTCCAAAATTAATTCAACATTGGGTAATAAAAAAACTCGGTAGAGAGAGTTGTCTACCATTCTCATAGCAAAGGTCATTCTTCTTTGGTGAACTGGCTGTCTAAAGTCATCGAAGGTGTCATCATTTCCTTTAAAGAGTCAGGTGACTGTGTTCTTGGAGAATTTCAATTTAGTGAATTACATGCTACCAATTAGATCAAGAGCACCACTTTTTTCCTACTTCGTCTCTCCCTCCCTCCTGTTTCTCTCTCATATTCCTTCTACTTCCTGTTCTCTCTCTTCCTCTTCTTCTTCTTTATAAACAGCTGTCAGTGCCTAGTTGATTAGCCTCCGGTTTCACCCACACGCAGTTATTTTCCAGGTGCTAGCACTGCACCCTGCATGCATAGCTTTGTGATAAACTTTATACATTTAGTCTGCATCTGTAAATGTGAAAGCTTTCATTTAATTGGAGAAATGTTCAATACGTCTAGCTGACGCTGTGCCTAATGTAAGAAAGTGAAGAGTTGTAGCAAATTTAGGCAAAATAACTATTATTAAACAGAAAGTTATTTTTCTTTTGGAAGAATCATTTATATTTATTAAAAATCTCAATTTACTACACAATTTACCAACTATTCAAATACTCACTTTAAAGTATATAGAATAAACACCTTTTATTTCTCACTCATTCAAATATTATAACTAGTTGATACCTTAAAAAAACTGAGTTATAGTGGTTTTCTATTATTGGTCTATTTATTCAAAAGCCTAGTTTATCTCTCATTTCTTGTTATTATTTGTCTAATTTTGTCAGAATTTTGGAATTGTTTCAATAAGGAGATGGTTACATTCCAATAAGGAGTTAACTAATGAATAGTTCCAAATATCAATGTTAGTATTCTTTTAGTGGAGTTTAAGAATCCGTCCCAAGGGCTTGTCTAGAAAAGGATTTACAGGTAAGTAATCTACTATTTTCTGAAAAGTGTTGTTTCTAATGATGATACACATTTGGTAAATTATTGACATAAACCTAAAAAAAATTTTTTTCAACATTACCAATGTTATTGGCTGATGACAGGGTTCAACTACCTATTTGTTCAGATATTTTGGGAAATTCTAACTGCATTTTCTAATCTGTTTATCAGCAAAAATCCTAGCATTTCTATGGTAGGCTAAATAATGACCCTGAAGATATTCACACCCTAATCCCAGGAACAGGTACATGCTACCTTACTTGACAAAAGAGACTTTGTAGATGTGACTAAGTATCTTGAGATGGGGGATTACTTGTCTTATCTAGGTAGACCCTAAATGCAATCACAGTTACCCTTAAAAGAGAGAAGCAGAGATAGATTTGACTACAGTGAGGGAGAAGGCGATGGGACTATGGAAACAGAGAGTGGAGAGATGCAGCCAGGAGCCAAGGACTGTGGGCAGCCTCTAGAAATGGCAAAATCAATGACCATAATCCTCCGCAAAGCTAATAGACATAACCAGGCTTGTTAATACTTTGACTTTATCCCAGTGAAACTGTCAGACTTCTGGCCTTTGTAAGTGTTAAGAGAATAAATTTGTGCCATTTTAAGCCACCAAGTTTGCGGTAACTTGTTATAGCAGCAATAGGAAACTAGTCCAATATTCTTTAAAATCCCTTCCCCACTAAAAAGCTACACAGTCACTGTAAGCCAGTAAATAACTGATCACACATGTATAGAATATTTGCTGGTAATCATATGTCTGTGCTTTATATTTTAATAGTCAATTTTTGTTTTAGTATTTTGTTTAGTGAGCTTATACATATATATGTATATGTATATATTCTAACTTGCATTTATTTCCCTTTTAATTCTCACAAAGAAATCACCAACATTTCTCCGTCCATCTACCTGCAATGTAAACAACTCATCTGGTTTTTAAGCATAATTCATTTTGTAAGTGACCTTGTACAGTTAAAATGATTTTAATAAGGTATTCATCACGAAGACATTTGGCTACATAACAATAAAACATCTTCTGCTTTGCAGATAGAATATCTAAAAATTCAGAGAGGAGATGTCCCTGTCTTAAAATCTGCCTGACATTTCACAATCCATATTTGGTTGGGTAGAATTTATTTTAGCTAGTTGAAAGAAAATACATGCCTTGTAAACCCTGAGGTGCCATCTTAGTAGCAGATTGCACAGGAAGTCTCTCATCACGCTTGTTATAGAAAACTATTGTTTCATCACTTTGCTCTCAGATTCATAATCTTGAAGTGCATACACATTAAAAACATATTCATAAAACAATTTAATAATTATACTCAGCAGAAAGTGTGTATGAACCCGTCTCTACGTGTACTTAATCTTTTTTATAAACACTAATAACTAGTCATGAAAAAGGGGATCATCTCAGTCTTTGCATGTCAGTTTTTTGCCATAAAGGTGGAATATTGGGCTGCATTATCTCTCTTGTCTGTAAATATTCCCAGGATACTACTTTTTTATGGTTAAATCAATAAAAAGATTCTCTTTGTGACTGTTACCTCCAAACTGTGGTGCCCACCCTGTAAGCCTGGTTCAAATCAATGAGGAACTGATTTGATTCCACAAGCAAAAAATTACATCCAGTTAGTAATTCTCAGAGAGATGATTAACATTCTTTTTAAAAAAACATACAAGAAATAGAAGTAAATTCTTCCAAGTGAATATGCTTGTATAAACGATCTGCAGTTATGACTGTTAAGAAAATTGCACACACTTCTTAATGACCCATGAATGTCCTCATGAGGTTATGCAGACTCCTGTAACTTCCACATGTATAATTCAGAAATGGAAGATCAATAGTAAATTACCTGGAATTATGCAATTCTTAGCATTTTCACCCTCTAGGTAAAAGTCAAGCAAGTTTTGTGTGTGTACATGTGTGTCCACACGTGTGTGTGAGCACATGCAGGAGGTGAGAAGTAAAGGTGAGGATGGGTTGTTTATAAAATGATGTTTGGACCAGGGGCGGTGGCTCACTCCTATAATCCCAGCACTTTGGGAGGTCGAGGTGGGTGGATCACCTGAGGTCAGGAGCTCAAGACCAGCCTGACCAACATGGTAAAACCCCGTCTCTACTAAATATAAAAAATTAGCCAGGTGTGGTGGCGCGTGCCGGTAATCTCAGCTACTTGGAAGGCTGAGGCAGGAGAATCGCTTGAACCTGGGAGGCGGAGGTTGCAGTGAGCCAAGATCCCACCGTTGATCTCTAACCTGGGCAACAGAGTGAAACTCTGTTGGGAAATGATAATAAATAAATAAATAAATAAATAAATAAATAAATAAATAAATAAAATGATGTTTGGGAAACTTGCCTGATAACAAAAAGTTTATGCCAGGAACTGAGACCTATATTTTCTTTTAGAATTATTCACTGGATTTTATTTCTAATTAAATGAACATTTCAAGCCAAAGCATAATTTTTTTCTTGGGAATTTAATCATATAGTACAAGTCAATATTTGCACAGAATTTTTTTTTTTTTTTGAGACGGAGTCTCACTCTGTCACCAGCCTAGAGTGAAGTGGTCTGATTTCGACTCACTGCAACCTCCGCCCCCCGAGTTCAAGTGATTCTCCTGCCTCAGCCTCCTGAGTAGCTGGGACTACAGGCGCGCACCACCACTCCCAGCTAATTTTTGTGTTTTTAGTAGAGACGGGGGTTTCACCATGTTGGCCAGGATGGTCTTGATCTCTTGATCTCGTGATCTGCCTGCCTCAGATTTTAAGAGGTAGGTTGTTCAGAGTGCCACAAAATAAGGAAGGAAAAAAAAAGAACACTTACATGGAATTTGACTTCAATGCCTAAGGACCCCCCCAAAATAAGCTGCAGACAATTTTCCCCTGAAGCATCACATGAAAGTGGGCAATTAAGGTGGGCCCCCACCTTGGCGGCTGCCAATGCTGCCCCTGCATACTCGTTGTCCCTGGGAATCTAGTCCTCCAAAATGTTAAAAGGGTATGCTGTGCGCTCCACTCTCTTTATTCTCTTCCTCTCTAAACTGAACACTTCCTCCTTCATGCCACAGACCGCTGTGGCAGCCAAACTTGGCAACATTTCCATTAGGACGCCTAAAACTGTGTCATTACATTTTGGGTCCCATATTTTCCCCTTTTAAGTTGTTCTAACATAAAAGCCTCTTACTGAGATTAGGGAGAGGAACGTGGTAAATCATTACAGCTCAGTATTTGCTACATGCAAAATCAAAGGTATAGCCTTGGAGGCAGACGAGAAATACAAACCTGCATGAGAAAAATATTGTGCCCTTATGTTCCAGAACAGTCCATACAGTTCACTTATTTAGTGCCTATTATCTGAGAGTGTGGCCTATGACTTGGGGCAATTGGGGCATAGCATAAGTGGAGATGAGTAAACATGGCTGTTTTCAGTCACCTAGAGCCTCATACTGTGAATGTAAGCAGCATATTGAACAATTGAGATGAGAGATGCAACCTAAATGAAACTTATTTTTTAATTCAGTGGCGATATGCTTCACCCCCAAAAGGACGAAACCTTAAGTAGGTCTCCTCACTTGCCTGTTCCTTTATAGGAAATAAAATGTTTAATGGTCGCTTTACATTATAAATACAGTTGACCGTTGAACAACATGGGTTTGAACTGCATGGTCCACTACTAATATGCAAAAATTTTAAACCAAATGCTTACTAAAAATGCAGAATTTGTGGCATGCCAAATCCAAATATATGGAGGGCTGACTTTTCTTATCTGTGAGTTCTGCAGGGCTGACTGCCAGACTGGAGCTTGCACGAATTTGGGTATACACAGGGTCCTTGAACCAATTCCCCACATATAATGAAAGATGACTCTACTGTCACATGTTATGATTAGAATATTCATTCCAAACTGTTAAACGACACCAGGAACCTGATGTCAGGTTTGCCTTTATCTTTGCCAGCTCTGGCCTGCTGGAGTGTGGGCTCTAGCACTGGGAAGAGGCAGGGTTGGTCTCTTCTCTTATTCCTCTGGCCAGTTTTTTTTTCAACTTCCACTCATAACCCTCTTGGGCTGTTTTGGACTTTTTCAGGGAAAGAGAAAGGATGAGAAGTGTGGAAGGATTTTCTTGAACAGGCAGATATTGGAACTTTCTTCTGTCACTTTAGTGAACTCTTTGCTACTTCCAGCACCCTGGGTCTTTTTGCTGCCATTCACTTTGCCTGGATAGGTGCTTCTGTACTCTGGGTGCTGGCTTGCCAGCCATTCCCAGGCTCCAGTCTCTGACATTCACCTCCAGCCTTTTGTATCCTGTTGAGCAGAACCCAAGACAGCTCTCTCTTTCATACCTCACATCTGCTCCTTGGCTCATTTTCACTTTCTCCTGCTGGCTCTGATAGAAACCTAGCAGTTCTCTGCATTTCCCCACTGCAAAGAATGTGTGTCAAAGCATTACTGTGAGTAATCTCAGAGACTGTCTTAGCCCATGTTGTTGCTATAAAGGAATACCTGAGACTGATGAATTCATTTTGAAAAAAGGTTTATGTGGCTCATGATTCTGCTGGCTGGAAGTCTGGGCATCTGGTGAAAGCCTCAGGCTGCCTTTACTCATTGTGGGAGGCAAAAAAGAGCAGATGTGTGAAGAGATCACATGGTGACAGAGGAAGAATGAGAGGCAGTGGGGTGGTGCCACACTTTTTTTTTTTTAACTACCAGCTCTTGTGGGAACTAATAGAGTGAGAACTCAGGCATTACCACGAGGGTGGCATGGAGCCATTCATGAGGCATCTGCTCCCATGATCCAAACACCTTCCACTAGGCCCCACTTCTAAACTGGGGATCAAATTTCCTCATGAGGTCTGGAGGAGACAAACATCTAGACTATAGCAGAAACTGACCTCTGTCCCACATCCGCTTGTCTCATGTATGAGGCAGCCTGCAAATGCCTCTCCTTTTGGGTGAGGACACAAAGTTCAAAGACACCTTTCTCCAAAAACACATCTCTTCACTATCTATCTCCACTTTCTGCTTTCTTTTTTATAATTCTGATAGTACCATGAGGTCCTGGAGATAGAATCAATTCATAATTATTCCTGTATAGATTCCGCATTTGAGGATCTTTTCCCGCACTCAACTACCTATCTCATATCCATTGCATTCATACCTCAGTCTAAACAGAGACAACTCAGCTCTTAAAATCTTGATAGCAGGCCAGGTGCAGTGGCTCAAGTCTGTAATCCCAGCACTTTGGGAGGCCGAGGTGGGTGGATCATGAGGTCAGCAGATTGAGACCATCCTGGCTAACACGGTGAAACCCCGTCTCTACTAAAAATACAAAAAATTTAGCCGGGCGTGGTGGCACGTGCCTGTAGTCCTAGCTACTCGGGAGGCTGAATCAGCAGGAGAATCGCTTGAATCCAGGAGGCCGAGCTTGCAGTGAGGCGAGATCGTGCCACTACCCTCCAGCCTGGGAGGCAGAGCAAGACTTCATCTCAAAAAAAAAAAAAAAAAAGAAAAAAAGAAAAAAAAATCGTGATAACAAATACTCGCAATACAATGTGAAAAGTGAACCAATAGATACATCAGCAACTTATTAGGCTAGGAAAAGGTGGAAGACACTGGCCCTGTCTAGAAGTGAGTGGCTAGGGGGTGAAGAACAGGTCAATGTTGAAGACAACCAAACATTTGAGCAGGACCTTGGAGGAGGAGCTCTCTGGACTCAGAAGAAGGACTGTAAAGGTAAAGGCATAAAACAAAAGCTCTGAACTGGTGATCAGGACCTCAAGGTGGTAATGACTTTACGATTTGGGAATCTTTTTGGTGTGATTTGAAAGATTAAAAAACAGGATTCTTCTATCCTAACACTTCCTCTCTCTCCTTGCCACGTTAAGATGTGCAAACTCTCTGGTTCTCCAGAATCACTGTGGTTTCATGCATACTTTCTTAAGGCCAATATTAAATTTTATTTCAATCAATAACAAGGTATTGAATTATCAATATGTTTAAAAAACCATGTGAAAAACCTGAAGGCATTCAAACCTAAGTCCCTAAGAAGTGGACAATGAACGAGAGAAAGTAAGCCAGCTGCACAAAGAGAAAGAAACATTTCACTGAGCACTGAATTGGTGCCAAATACGTTCTGTACAATTCCAGGTTGGGTATTTATTATCTACATTTTAGAGATGAGGAAAAATGTAGACAGAAAGTGAAGTAATGGGCTAGATCTCAGAGACAGAAAGGGGAAGAATTTGAATTTGGATGTGCCTGCTCCAAGTCCCCTTTCCTTTCCATGACGTATTCTGTTGTCCTTAAATGTGACAAATGCAAGCTGTAATCAAGAACGAATCTTAAGAAAGAGATAAAGTATTATAAGCCTACAGAAAAGGATGGAGCTCATTTCAGTTTGAAGGACTAAAAGCAGTCCTTTTTTATTTTATTTTATTTAAGTTCCAGGGTACATGCTCAAGATGTGCAGATTTGTTACATAGGTAAGCGTGTGACATTGTGGTTTGCTGCACCTATTAACCCATCACCTAGGTATTAAGCCCCACATGCATTAGCCATTTTTTCTGATGCTCTCCCCAACCCCCTGTCTTCCTCTGACAGGCCCCAGTGTCAATGTGTGTTGTTCCCCTCCCTGCGTCCATGCCTTCTCATTGTTCAGCTCCCACTTACAAGTGAGAACATGCAGTGTTTGGTTTTCTGTTCCTGCATTAGTTTGCTGATGATAATGGCTTCCAGTTCCATCTATGTCCCTGCAATGGACATGATCTCATTCCTTTTTATGACTGCATAGTATTCCATGGTGTATATGTACCATATTTTCTTTATTCAGTCTACCATTGATGGCATTTGGGTTGATTCCATGTCTTTGCTATTGTGAATAGTGCTGCAATGAACATATGCATGCATGTATCTTTATAATAGAATAATTTATGTTACTTTGCCCACGTTTTAATAGGATTTTTTTCTTGTAAATTTGCTTAAGTTCCCTGTAGATTCTGTATATTAGACCTTTATCAGATGGATAGATTGCAAAAACTTTCTCCCATTCTGTAGGTTGTCTGTTCACTCTGATGATAGTTTCTTTTGCTGTGCACAAGCTCTTTAGCTTAATTAGATCCCATTTGTCAATTTTGGCTTTTTTTGCAATTGCTTTTGGCAATTTCATTATAAAATATTTGCCTGTGCCTATGTCCTGAATGGTATTGCCTCGATTTTCTTTTTGGGTTTTTATAGTTTTGGGTTTTACATTTAAGCCTTTAATCCATCTTGAGGTAATTTTTGTGTAAGGTGTAAGTAAGGAGCCCAGTTTCAATTTTCTGCATATGGCTAGCCAGTTCTCCCAGCACCATTTATTAAAGAGGGAATCCTTTTCCCATTGCTTGTTTTTGTCAGGTTTGCTGAAGGTCAGATGGTTGTAGGTGTGCAGTCTTATTTCTGAGTTATTTATTCTGTTTCATTGGTCTATGTGCCTGTTTTTGTACTAGTAGCATGCTGTTTTGCTTACTGTAGGCTGGTAATATAGTTTGAAGTAGGGCGGCATGATGGAAGACAGCCCTTCTTGTAGGAAGATGGTGTTTGAAGGATGTAAAACAGGCAGCCCAAGACTTAACAAAGAAGTCAGTTGTGGCAGGAAGAAGAGGAAGAGTTTTCAGCACATGTAGGGAGAGGGGGAAAGCTGAGGGCCATTCCAGAAAAAGAAGAGTCTAGTTTGAATGCCATATGTCATGAGGTTTGGTGTATCTAGGAGATTTGTAAAATTTGAGGCTCTAAGGTCAGAATACATGGTATTCACTTAATTCAATGGAAAACAAAGACTTACTAATGTTTTTAGTAAAGGCATATAATAATTAAATCCGTGTTTAATTGAATATAGATTCCCACACCTGCTGTGTGAAGCCTGAGTACAGGTACACACACTCACACACACACTCTCTCACACACACTCACACACACTGACACCCTCACACTTTCACACTCTCACACACACACTCCCACACACATTACACGCACACTCACACACTCTCACACACTCACACACACTCTCACATACACTTACACGCACACAGTCACACACAGTCACACACACACACTCACACACACTCACACACACACTCACACACTCTCTCTCGGCTACCAAGCTTTCTAAAGAGAAAAGATAATGTATTATTAAACTTTGTTTAACAAGAACTTTGTTTGCCTATGTGCACAGAGTTGGTATCAAAAATATTTTTAAAAATATTAAATAACTGACAGTGTAGATAGAGATATGAGGCCTTTCAACAAGCCAGTTAAAAACCATGTTATGGTAGTGCAGGGGAGACATAGTAAAATCTGGAAACAAGATAGATGAGTGAGATTTTAAATGCACACTTTTCATGAATTAACAGGTAAATACACATCAAGAAAAAGTAACAATGGTTCAGAATACTGTAACTTTGGACTATAATTAGAGTGGGCCAGGTTACTTTAACTTTGGACATTTACAATGGCATTATGAGGAAAGAGAAAGTCAGAAGGCAGGTTCTATTTAATTTGGAAAGGGTGAATTTTTTATCCCTGTTTATGAACTCACAAGATCAGTTTCTTGGCTTAGTTTGAGATCATGATAAAAAGAGAGTGGGTCTGGCAGGGTCAGACAACAGGCAAGTAAGACTAGACAAGGAGGAAAAAGAAGAGCATGTGACAGCAACGCGTTTCCCATGGAGGTGGGGTTTGGGTGGAGGTGACGGGATCTCAAAGGAAGGCCTTCTTTATACAGTTTATTGTCTTCACCAAGATTGGCACGAAGAATAGCAGTAAAAGGTGAGGCTGAAAGTGCTCCAGGCTCTTGTCAGGAAAAATCCATTATTTTTCCAAAGCAAGAAGGAACCAGGCATTGATATTTAAAATTGCCTTTAAACAAGAGTAAGCAATGATAGATGAAGAGAGACTTGAGTAGCAGAAAAAGAAAATGAATAGAACTAATGTTAGGTAGCAGGAAAATACTAAGTGATTAATTCTGAACACATTGTAGAGGAACAGGCATCATTATTTCCTCTGCTCTGATTGTGATGAAGGACGAGAGGAAGGCAGGCAAGGCTGGCAGTGCTATAATCCAGAAAGATGAGGATGCAGACTACCATGTTCTTAGTAGAAAGAGAAGGAATCCCTTTCATAAATGAGACAAAATCCCACCAAATGAAAACATTCTCAAAACTAGAGGGCACTTTAGTTTTATTTTAGATTATTGCAATACTGTAGACAATAATGTGCACCAAAACCTCAAGAAAACTCCCCCTGTGGGTCAGCATGAGGAGTTCTGGGCATAAGTTCTTGAGGCAGGCTGCCTGGACTTTCTTCTAGCAGGTGATATGATGTTTGACAGATACCCCAGCTCTCTGCTTCTCAGATTTTTAATCTTTAAAATGGGCATAGAGTAGTGCCTACCTCAGTAATGAGATACTCAAATTTGTTTTCATATGTAAAGTGCTTAGAATAGTCTTTGTTAAATAAACATAAATAAAGGTACTTGTGGGAAAAAGGTGATTCTAAATTCAAACTATAAATTTCAGTGTAAAGACGATACAACAAGGACCCTCCTTCTCACCTAGAAATAACTTTAGTTCTGAAAGCTCTCCAAACTTACTAACTTTTTTTAGACCTTCCAATTTCTTGAGAATTACTGAAGCCCAGAGAAATCAAAGTTGAAACTCAGGGACAGAATTGGTACCCTAGGTTAATTCCAATTTTTCCAAAATCCTTAAAATAGTACCTGGGGCTCTACTCCTGACAACAACAAAAGAAAGACTAGATAAGGAATTAAGAAGGAATGATGAATATAAAATGAAATAATATTTATGTATATATTATCGTGATTTCTCCACTCTTAAAACATTTTCCATATCTCTATTGCAAGCAAGAAGATTTCATTTTAAATTGGATCCTGAGGGTTAAGCAGAATCAATAAGGAACTTCAGAGTGCACAGAACTTAAATTATCAATATTCTCTGGGACAATAAAATTTATCATCATGCCTACCCTAGAGTGAAATTATTTTGCTTAGAAATCATCAGAAACATAAATAATGAAGATCCTCACCACAGAGATTTATATTTATATCATGTTCAAAACGTAAAAGATTTTTGGAGGTAAAAACCCAAGGCAAAAAGTTCTCAAAATACAGTTATGAAATGAGCTTGATGATTTTTGAAAGGTATATAATTTTGCAAGTGTTAAGGACTCAGTACTTCTACAAAGATAACCTTAAGAGAGCATTCAATCATGAAAAAATATAACAGGCTTAGTCACTTGTTTTCCCCTAGAGTCCACTATTCAGCACAGTTACATATTAAGTGTCCTTGATCTAACCCCAATACTCACACCTTAGTATTCATGCATACATATCCATTGATTGTTTTATTTGTGAGTGTGACCCAGAGCAAGTTTCACGATTCCAGGTTTACTATAGGGCAAAACGAGTTATAGTTAATAAAGCCTTTTATTACCTAAGTGCAATCCGCCACTAGCTACACCTGCAAAGAAACATTTTTGGCATGGTAGGTGTGGGAAAAGGACTGAAAAGGGAGGAAATGATGAGGAATTGAGCAAGACAAATAAGATGATACTAAATAATCATGACATGAAATTGTTATTATTTTAAAAGCTCTATGTAAGGTGAGTGCAAACACCTATCCAACTATTCACTGCTTTATCTGAGATTTGGCTCTCAGAAGATTATGTTTGATTTAACAGTATGCTAATATTGATAAGATAATCATTGTAGTATGCTTTAAAGTTCTCTTTTTTGAACACTTCTTTGACTTTATTTGCATAAATCTTACATATGCTTTGCATTCAACAGACCAAATGCTGTGTCTTGATCATAAGAATGGGAGGCAGATGGTCCAAAACATGGCTGAGATGTCTCTGGAACGCTTACCAACTTGGGGACATTAGGTTGGTAAATATATGTTTCTCTGTATATCAGACAGTGACAATATTTCCTCTCATAGTTGTTTAGGAATTAAATGAGACAAGTATGTAAAACATGTAGACAGAGCAGAGATGCTGTCAGTACCCGCAACGAGGAAATTGCACCTTGCCAAGATTAAATGACTTTTAATTTAGAAAGAAAGTCTCACAGGGGATGAGGGTCATAGCCAAGCTGAGTAATCAAGTTTGTCTTATCTCTGGCCATAGTTTTCTAAAAGCACTAGACATTATAAAACTTGGCTTTTTATTCTGATTTTGGGCACTTCACAACTTTTTGTCTGATTTCCTAACCTCAAATGTAATGATAGATTGAGGACTTGAAACTGACAAATTGGATTTGACTAATGCTGAAATAACTGATCTCCACTGCAGTTGCTGCAGAGCTTGTAGAAGTGACAGAAACATGTGAGACCATGACAACAAAAACTCCTCATCAGTGCGTAGCTACTGGACACTTAGTGGCAAACGCAAGTATCATGACATTGCACACATGTCTAGGATGGTGACGGTATGCATATTTCTTGAAATAATGTGTGTGCTTTATTTTGCAAAACACCATATTGAAGGATATGTGTGGAGTAAGATGGCGGTAATTCTCAACATAAAAATTGTTGAGATAATTTTTAGTGAATATTTTATTATTTATTAAAATTATTAAAATGCCAACAATACAGAAGTATATAATAATGGCAATAAAATTCATTAATAATTTTACCTACCCGAAACTATTATTTTGAATTCTTAGATTTTTTTTGTATTGTATATGTAGCTCCCCCACCCCTTTCTTTCTTCCCTAGTGGTAATTATTACCATAATACAGGTGCTAATCATTCCCAAGTGCCATTTTGTAATTTGTATTACTATTAACAATACATAGTATTGTTTTATGCTTTTAGAACTTACATAAGCTGTATGATAATGTACATATCCTTCTGCAACCTCTGAACTTTATATTACATTTTAGTTATTTATCCATGTTAGCACATATAGGCCCAATTTATTTCTTGCTACTGTTATGGAATATTCCATTGTTTGAAGCAATTATACTTACTTGTGTAATTCTTGCTGAGAAGGAAATAAGCAGGTCCCCTACTTTGCTACAACAAACAATGCTATGGTGCAGATGCCCGGATGTGTTTCCTTGGGCCAACGCGGGAGTGTTTCTTCAGGACACAACACTGAATTGCCAGGTCATAGGGTATTTGCATCTTTAATTTCACTAAATGTTTTCTAATTGCTCCTTGAGGAGGTTTTATCAATTAATATTTTCACTGGCTGCATATTAGTGTCCCCTTTTTCTCACCACCATCAACAAATGGTTGTAGAAAGTTGAGAGTGATGCAATAACTTACTTTCCTGTTAATTTGCATTTTCCTTATTATAAGTGATGGTCAAGAACTTTACACACAATAGTCAGTGATTCAAATTTCCGGTGATATTCATTTTAGTGGATGATATCACCATCAATTTGGTTGCACCTGCCAGAAATCTAGAGGTCATTCTTGGCCCTTCTGTCTCTCTCATTGACCATCAGGCTCTTTTGATTCTTCATCACATGTATGTTTCATTTCTTTTATTCATATCTCTGCCAGCATCCTGGCCCAAGCCACAATCCTTGGTCTACATACAACTACAGCAGGCTCCCAGCTGATACCCCACTCCCTAGTTTTGCCTCCTTACATTTCATTATCCATCTAAACCATCAACTAGGATGATTGCTTTTAGAGGAAATTATGATCTTATGTTGTTTTTTAGTTAAGTAGGTGAAATGAGCAGGCAACATAAAAATCTCTCTCTGTCTCTCATACACACACACATGCATGCACACACACACACAGACACACACACAGACACACACACATATTTGCCAATAGATGTAAAATAATAGTTTGGCTTTCTAGGCCTCGACTTTATTAATCCTCTTGTTCAAAATTTAACAGTATTTCTCTGTATCAATAAGTTATTAATATAAGGCTTGATGCTTTTGATATAAAATTTATTTAAATAAAATGAGATTCTTTTCTATAGAATTAAATATAATCACTTAGAAGACTGAATATTTTCTTTCTAGTCCTTACATATTATCTTAATATTACATATAACCAGCCACTTGCCTTGCAACAAATTAAAGTCTAACATTACCTAACCAGGGTTCTAAACACCAAATACATTTCTATAACTGAAAGTTATAAAATAATTTTGTAGTGATCATCCATTAAAAATTTTCATTTGCCTTAGCATTATCCTCAAATCAACATGATCTAAAATTATAGCGTGCAGTTTATCCTTTCACATAATTGTACTACGTTAAATCTTTGGTCAGATAGTCATTTAGTACCTATTATAAATCTCTGATCATGAGCCCATTAAATGTCTTTTCATAGAACTGCAAAGTGAGATAGTAATTTTCAGTTAAGTTTAGCCAAACTGTTTTGACAGTTCCTTTTACAAAAGGTTGTACTTTACATAATATTTTGGTGCATACTTAGAGTGTTTAAAAAATCTTTTTTAAAAAAGGTTATAATACTATTTTGTATGTCTAACTTAATGTATTGCAAGTCGAAAATATTTCCATGCAGACAATAAAGTAAGAATATATAACTTTGGTATACAGTGTGTACCATAGATTAAATTATTGGCCATTAAGTTAAACATATTGCCCGGCTCTTACAAAGCGGTATCTAGAGCAGTGCGTTATCTAAAAGATCCTGTGGATTGAAAATGCCAGAGCTACTAATTTGAGATCTATGTTTGAAATATTTTGGTTTAGGCTTGGGGATGACCTCTATTTAGGAACTTTTAAATTTTTCATTTGGTTACTGCCCTTAGGAAAATTCTCAAGATACTATACTTGATGTCTCTGCTATATATTTGCAAGGGAGAAGATGCTGACATCTCTGATGTTTCTAATCGCATTAATTTGTCAAATAATATTTTTTTCTCATAAACATCAGCAATGTAGTTGCCCAAATATATACCAAATTGCTTCATGTTCTTTGGTTACACAGCATCTCTAACCCAGTAAGTCCTAGCACTCTGAAGAGAAGATGATAGGTCACCCATTTTCTGCTCTCCCATGCCAATTGCTGTTGTCCTTCCAGGTTCCCAGGGATGCCAGAAATCTGTTTTGATCCCCTAAGGAAATGGACAGCTAGTTTATGGACAGCTATTCCTCTTCCTGATGGGAAGAAATGCATTGCGTGTTATCTTTTATCACTTAGTAAAAAGGCTTCATGAGCTTACTTGCAGGTGGTTTGTACTTCAGACTATAAACTGTCCGATATGATTAATCCACAGTTAAGAGCTAAGGGTTGTGATGTTTACGTTGATTTCATCATGCTAAGAAAATTCCCTTAACACATTACAATCTGTTGATTCAGTCAAGAAGTATCATTTTCCAATATTATTCTAGAAACTTCATTTTTAAAGAATGATTATTCTAAATATTAGTTCAGTGATGAATTATTTCGATGTTGAATTAGTTTCCTAGGACTTTCATAACAAAATACCACAGACTGGGTGGCTAAAATAAACAAAAATATATTCACTCAGAGTTCTGGAGCCACAAGTCCAAAATCAAGGTGTTGGCTAGACCTTATTTCTTCTCTAGCCTCTGGGGAAGGATCCTTCCTTGTATTTTTCAGGTTCTGATAGTCTCAGGCATTCCTCGGTTTGTGGCAGCATGACTCCAAAGCTTGATTTCTGTCTTCATATGGCTTTCTCCTCTGTGTGTGTGTCTTCACATACTGCTCTCTTGTGTGTGTGTGTGTGTCCAAATTTCCGTCTTATAAAAGGACACCAGTCATAGTGGATTAAAGGTCCATCACACTGTAGTTATCACTCAATTTAGCCAATTATATCTGCTATGACCCTTTTCCCAAACAATATCACGTTCTGAGGACTGGGGGTTAGGATTTCAACATATCCTTTTGGGGGACGCAATTCAACCATAACAGATGGTTATCTAAAACTATTAAATATTGATTGTGAATTGCAGGGTATAGGCATATGGAAGGTCTATTATAAAGCAAGTGTCATGAAGAGTAGAAATAAAATTGTTTATTTTTGTAAACTGGAAATTCATAATGTGTGAAAATGTTTGCTCAATTTAACCAAATAATTGTATGTTGTATACAATCTGCAAGTGAAGTCAGTCATGGTATTCATCAAGTCGGTCAAGGAAACACACCTGTAAAATTGCTCTCGCTCCTTGTTCAGCTAACCATCATTCCTCAATAATTTGTTGCTTATAATATTTCTTAGGTTGTTAAGATGAAAAATGGGTATCCACATCACAGTATTATTGTAATGTGTCATATAGAATACCCTACAGGTTAAAAGCAGAATTCTGGGGATAGGGTGCATTATTTGGAATTCAGGCTCTGTCACTTATCAGTAATTCAGCCTTGGGCAATTTACTTAGCTTCACTCTGCCATCGTTTCTTTACCTGTACAATAAGGATAATCATATTAGCTATGTGATGTGGTTGTTTTGAAATAAGGCAAATCTTCTAAAGTATGCACCAAAGAGTCTGACAAATAGAAATTTCTTAATAAATATTTTCTATTCTAGTTATTGTTAAAATGTCCATTATTCATTTGGTATACAAAATAATTACTATATTTTAGTCACATAACACATCAATTAATGACACTTCAAAAGCAACCTAGAAGAATTTAGATGCAGTGTATGTAATCTTTCACCCATGCTTGCACTAGTTGGAATTGCTGTTAGTTTGGGGATCTTCCAGATGTTCATGTTCTTCTATCTATTGTATATCTTTTGAAAATATATAGCTTGGTTTACTGAATATAGTAATTCCTTTGTTGAGATGGGACCATACTCTTTTAACTTGCTTTCATACCCTCTCACAACCACCACAGCAGATCAATGGCAGTATATTATAAAATTCTGACAGAACAGTCTACAGTATATATATAATTAAAGAGAATATTCAACAAAAGAAAGATGGTTGAATCTGTACTGAACATGTATAGACATTTTTCTTGTCATTATTCCCTGAACAATACATACAATTCCCTATACAATACATTATTCCCTAAACAATTCCCTAAACAACTATTTATGAGGAATTTACATTGTGTTAGGTATTATAAGATTTATAATATATTTATAATATATAGTATATTTATAATATAATGCCTAATAAAATGGTATTGAGTATACCAACTAGATTACTTATAATACTTAATACAATTAGTACAAAGTATCAGTACCAACTGATTACTTATAATACTTAATACAATTAGTAAAAAGAGAATGTGCAGAGGTTATATGCAAATACTATGCCATTTTATATAAACTTGAGCATCAGTGGGTTTTGGTATCTGTGGAAGGTCCCAGAAAATCCCCTATGGATACTGAGGGACAACTGTACTTACAACAGGGGAGTTTACTTCACTAATGTGGAATTTTCAGCAGATTGCTGATGCCCATTAGAGAAAGATTGATTGGTGTTCCCTGGGACACTAATTTTTGGAACAGGTGATTCCCAGGCAAGAAGGATTGAATAATCTTTACAGTTAGACATTTGTTGTAGCAAAGAAATGTGGTTTTTTTAAAATGCAGTTTAGCCCCTAGTTAAAGATACAGTATATCAAATATCTTAATATTAGGCAAGTTAATAAAATTTCAGCACATGGTAAGAATTTAGGAAACTTTTTTGACTTTTATCTAAAAACAATGTTTCTCAACCCAGGGCAATATTGCCTTCTAGGACACATTTGACAATGACTGGAGACATTCAATTTGTATGTAACTGGGAACTACTAGTGTCTTCCATCATTGGTGGAGGCCAAGGATGATACTGTTTCCTTAAGTTAAAAAATCCCCAGTTAAACACAAATTCTCTAATGTTGTATTATTTTTAATGAAACTGTTTTTGAGATCCTAGTGTTCACCAGTAACCTTTCTGAATATGTAATCACTATACCAAAAAGCTCTTAACATTTAGATAAAATATTCAGTAACTGCTTAATGGTGACCGCGCTCGTACTTATGTTTTTGACTCTGATTCATCATTTCCCGATCAGCAGTTTTTAACATAATTGAAGTATCAACATTCCTTTGAGTTTAATGTTAATTAATAATATGGTTCTGGTCTTTGAAAAATGTGCATGTCTGTAATCTCCTTTGACTTTCTGTAATATTGCTGGAAGTTCCTAGTGACTAAACTCAAGTACGTTAAATCATTTATACTTCTAAACTGATGTCCTAAACCCCAAACACTGATTGAGATTAATATAGTTTAATCATTTAATTGACTCAGGCACACAAGATCTAAAATGTGAGCATATATAGAAAAACAGGTTATTTCTAAATAATAAATAAATTGTACGATAAAATTTTACATTTACTACTTTGGACTAAATTTTGGAAATGAAGGTGAGATTTTTATGCTCTCTTAAAATAAATATTTATGGCATAAAGCACACTGTCTTTACATCTTGAAACAGTCCTGTCATGTTCAGAGGCCTAAATCTTTACTTTGCTAAGCACTGTATCAGTAAATTTTGGAAAATTTTTGTTTTAATCTAAGTGATAAATGACTAGTCATGAAAATGTTGTAACGTATGTGGTAAATTAGGAAGAATACGTTGAAAAAAATCATTCAGGTTTTATCAGTTTGGAATTGTGACCCAAATTATAGCTGTTGAGGCAGAAATAATTTGATAAAGGTTTATTGGAAGCCAAATGTGAGGACTGACCTGGGAAGACACACCGAAAAGGTTAGGAATTTCCAGAATCTGTTACAAGTTGGAAGGTGTGAATAGGAAACTTTAGGAGAGGGAGGAGAGGCTTCATACCAGAGTTGTCCCTTCTGGTTTGAGAGTGTGATACAGAGGTTACAATCATTGTATACAGATTGCAACATACAAGCTAAAATGTCTACCTGCAAGAGAGTCAGTAAAACTTCATGTTTCAGAAATAAATCAGGGTCCTTCTCAGTGTCCTTAGGTTATGCATTAATCTGTACATCAACAATTTGAGAAACTAATGATAAGATTCTTTACTCAGGGACAGAAGGTCACCATGAATCACAAGACTGTCACACGGCCAGTTATTTTGGAGGCCTATTTACTTTTAAAGTAAACTGTCCGGTATGACCTGACAGTGTGACCTAAGTTATCAGAATATAGACCTACAGCGACAGAGATAGAAAGCGAGATGGTTATTTCAAAGAGGAAGGCTATATGAAAATCAGAGTGTGGACAGCTCTCAGCAGGAGATTGATGCACCAAACATGATCATTGTTGTCACTGTTGTGAAATTAATGGCTAGAAAATAATCACTCTGGAAATTCTGGATGCTTCATAAACAGGCAACAAGTAACAGTAAGAGCCAGAGACTATCAAATACTATGAGCTATGAATTTAGAAGAAAACATGTCTAGGTTTAGATAGTAAGTATATGATGATATTATTATACATTAGTTTAATATTTGCTCATTGGACATATTATTCATGGTAGTGGAAATTGTAACATTGAACGTATATGTAGTAAATGGTGAATCTTTAAAATTTATGTTAGTCATCTCTGTAATCCTGTACTTCTGTGCATCTAATTATTTATTTTATATTTGACCTATATATATTTGAAATATATATGTATATATATATATTTGTTAGTACATTATCTTTAACGAATGTTTTCTCTTTACATTAAATCAAATGTTGAACTGACTATACTGTGCACTCACAGAAAAATATGGCTTTCAGAGGTCCTTCATAGCAGAGAAGCTAAAGCTTATAGTGGAGTTCTCAGTCAAACTTTAAAAAATTTAGAAGTAACTGACACACATCCACACATGTGCATGTGCACACATGCACAACACAAACATACTAGGGACAAAGAGAACAGCCAGGCCATCAGCGCATTCCAGAATCCCATTCCTGCCTTGTAAAGAACTTGGTGACAAGTCACTGGGAAGTTTCACACATTGTTTTGTAATTAGAGACTTTACTTACAATTACCTGGAAGGCACATATGGATGGCTAATATTTAATTAAAAATAATTTAATTATCAAACAGACCAACACTTTAAGTAAACATTATGAAGAAAGCATACTGTTTAATTTATTGACTGATTTTGAGAAGACATTCAATATATTTTATTTGAGAGAAGTTTTGAATGTGGATGATCATTTTTGACATGAATAATACAAGATTCTACTTAAATTCCCCTCATAAATAAGAGAGAAGAGAAAATGAGACCCTTCATGGTCTGGTGGCAAGAGAACAGTGAACTAAAGAGCTACTCGAAATAAGCTTGGTGGGACAAAAATGTCTTCCGTTTGTCAGTGTATTGTAACTATAACTCCTTTCTCAAATGTATTGAAAATGGGACAGAGAATTGCCAGAGATCGCTAAACAGCTTTTTTTTTTTTTTACTGTCCCCAAAGTTAATGATTAACTAGAAAGCATATACTCAAGATCAAGATTTGGAAAACATATTTGTTTTTAAAAATCTTAAAAGAAGTGAGAAAAAAAGGCACAATACCTTCAAAAGGATGACAGGAAGGCCACCCTGGACTTCCCCAGAGAGGCAGGGAGGCCAGAAGACAACAGAACAGGAGCTTCAAAGAGGGAAAAGCAGATGTCAGCTGATTTAGAATTTAAACCCATGAGAATATCTTTCAGAAAATAAAGATAGGCATTTTTAGAGAAATTAAGTGGCACAGGATTTGTCACTAGTAGAAGTACATTAAATAACTATATTTTTTAGGGAGAAGGGCAATGATGCTGGATAAAAGCTTGAAGATGCAAACTTGAAAGAAGAGCATTTGAAATGGCAAATATATTAATAAATATAAACAGATATTGTCTGTTAGAACTATGGTGATTATGACTTGTGGAGAAACCCCCAATAATGAGAAAAGAGAACTAAGTTAAAAGAATCAAATCACATGAGAGAGGTAGGCTGTAAGTCAGGAAGAAGACAAAAGAAATGAAGGTAGTTAAAGGAAATTGTCTGATATGAGAAGCAGTAAAGGTACTAAACTTTGATAACTCAAGGACATGTGCTATAATTGCTGGGTAATCATTAAAAAGCATAGTAAAACAAACTTGTAATCTTGCAAATCTTGTAAATCTACCAAGCCAACCAGAGTAAATAGAATACTGAAAAAACAACCCAAGAGAAGTTAAAAGAAAAAAGAAAAGGAAGAGTAAACGTCAAGAATAAGATAAATAGACGTGATTCCATACTCATCTAAGTAAGTTATTTAATTACAAATGGACCAAATTCTCAAATTAAAGAGCAACCTTATTATATTGGAGGAACACATCTAAAATGTAAAGAATAAGAAATCTGAAAATATTGGACAGTATGGATCTAGAATTTAAGACATGATTGCCTTTATAAAAATATATTCATAGCCCTGTAACTAAAGAATATGTACACAAAACTTCCTAAAATTTGTTCAGAAATTATTTGTAAGCTCTTACTATACACTTTCTTTAAATGTATAGCGTATCAACAGTTAGCTGTTACATTCTATATCAACAACATTTTTTGCAGAAACATTAACTTTCATTTTCCATTTGAATTCACAATTTTCGGGCTGAATTACTCTCCTCTCCCAATTTCTCCCCTGGCTTATTTGGTATTCTCCATATCATGTAATGGCATCATTCACCCAGTCACCAGGGCTAGCACCTGAGTGCTATACACAATATTTTATTTTCCCTCCAGTCTCTTGACTTCCTCAAAACCACTGATAGTGAATAGGCAGACTATTCATCTTGCTTGGAACTACTTCAGTTAAAGACTGTCACAATAGCTTTGAGTCTCTAAAGGAAAGGGCATGGGCTTTGTGATAGTCTGTTTGTGCTGCTCCGACAATGCACCAGAGGCTGGGTAGTCTATAAAGAATGGAAATTTATTTCTAGATTTGTTTCCACAGTTCTGGAAGCTAGGAAGTTCAAGATCAAGGTGTCAGTAGGTTCAGTGTCTGGAGAAGGCCTGTTCCTCAGAGACGGTGCTGTCTCAGTGTCCTCATGTGGTGAGAGAGATAGGGCAAAAAAGGACAAATTCTGTGTCCTCATATGGTGGAAGAGCAGAAGAGAACAAACCCATCCCCTCACAGTCCTGTGTAAAGGCTCTAATCCCAATCATGAGTGCTTCATCCTCATGGTTTAATTACCTCCTAAAGCCTCATCTATTAATACTATAATTTGAGAGACACATTGAGACCATAACAGGCCTCAACCTGCTGACTCCCTAGATAACATTTCCACCTGTTACTTGCAGTATTTGAAATCCACATGCCATAAAGTTTGGAGAGTTGGAAGACCTTTGTCAAGTTAAAAACTTGTCCCCAAATACTTGGTTTGGGCAGCTATGCTTCTCCTAATGAGAATTTAAAATTATATCAAGTGGAAATACAAAATACGACTACATTTCCTTGATTCTATAGTGACATCAATAATAAGGGGTACTGTATGTCTATGCACATAAATACATCTATGTATGTGTGTACAGTCTTATAAGAAAATTTCAAAGATGTCAAAGTGAATAAAAGGTGAGACTTGGAATCACAGAAATGTATTATTGTACCACAGTGAATTACTCCCCTCAAATCTAGGTCCAGTGTAAAGAAATTCTATGGAAAGTAATACCTTTATGACCTCATCAACTGATACTATTTCTAAGTCTGCTCGACAGGCCAGTCGAGGTTTTTATCTAATCCCCATTCCCATGCATGTAATTGTCTGCCTAATATTCCTACTTGGCCACTGGACAAATGAAAATCAGTTGAACAAGCCCAACATTAAATCAATATTCTCCTCCTTTCACCAAACAAGTTCTATGCCCAGATTGATTTGTAGGGATATCAGCATTGCTACATTCTCTCACTCACACTGTAGAAATGTATCTTCTAATCTCATGAGAAATGTTAAATTCTTCTTGGGAACACAGTTACTTTGTGTATCGGCTACAGTCACCAAATTAAAAGTGTTTGAGAATCTGATAGGACAAATTCATGTGATGTACATTGTAGGTTAGTGAAGCAGATTGAATAAAATATGTTATATGAGATTTGCAGATAATAAAATGGTTACTTTTGTGTACCATAAAATTATCTGCAGTCCTGTTATTTTCAGATCTACCCTCTAAATATGAAATATGAGATGATACCTTCATTGTATTGGCCTAATTCTTTGAACATTTATTATCTATGTCAACTCTTTTCTCCGACCCCTTCTGAGATAAGAATACACACATGTACACACACATGCAGAGACAGAGACTGAGAGAGAGACTGCAAGGAACTTTAATGAAGCAAATCTAACATATATGTATAATACCATAAAAAAGAAAATGATAGTCAAATAATACAATTTCCCCTCTCTTTGTCTCTCTCTCTCTCTCTCTGTGTGTGTGTATGTCTCTCTCTCTCTCCCTCCTTCTTTGTGCTTTCCAGTATAATTATATGTGAAGATGCCTATTATACTGATTCATTAGATTTAATGAAGTAGATAACTTTTTAATTTTAGAGAACAAATTATGCCATAAATATACCAAATTATATGTTTTTGTATAGCTGTATTTCATGCTCGTGAATGCAAAATTAATTCCTTTCATTGACGTTAGCAAGGAAAATACTAAGTGCGTAAATTGCAACTCCATTTTCTCCAATATTTTTTAGTTATTTGACTAACATATTTCTTATGTAACCTGTGCTTCAAGATTGACTGAAAGAAATTGTGTCTAAAAAAAGAATATATACAACAAACCCCTAGAGAAGTGAAATCTTCCTTTCTTTCTGTCTCTTTAAGCTTTGTTGATTAAAACATGGCTGCCTTTTCTGAATTAGACTGGCAAGGTGTCAGAGTCTTGATGAATTGTTTAAGTTCTGAATATGGTTGCAATGTAAGCAGGAGGAAACATAGAAAACCTTGGGAAAAGGAATGTCTTCTTAGAATACAAAATAAGTAATGCAACCATGTTACAAATAGATGTGGAAAGAGAAGACATGAAATATTAGACTTTAATAGAAGTAATTACTTGAAAAACCAATCACAGAGAAAACTGCTTAAAAATAGATACTTTATATGCAATAAACCATCCTCCAGATTATGTGTGTAGTCAACCAAAGACTGCTAAAAATGTTAACAGATTGAAATATATCTAACTCTGGAGTGGAATTGAGCCAGGATTTGATGCTAGTATATCAAATAAGTCTTGCAAGGTGAAGGAGGTAAATCTCTTTAGCTTTGGAAATTATTATAACAATTTAGTTTCCTTAAAGTTACTACTGGACTGAGCACCAGGGTAACTTACTCTACTCCCAGTTACACACTTCATTTTAGGAAAAAAATAAAGTAATTTACCACTTTAAATTTGGTTCCCTTAAAGTTATCAATTTCTTCCATAAAAATAGAATGCAACAATATATTAAGGAGTACTTTGTAAATACCAATGTGCAATACTAACATTTGATTGCAGTTATTATAATTAATTCTCAAACTCTGGAATATGAAAGATTTCTATTGCCAGAGAAAATTATTGCGACCATATGCAAATGTAAAAGATATCAAATGATTATACTTTATTAGTATTATTTATTATTCAAATAATACATTTTGGTGGCAGTTAAACATTATTTCACTTTTTCAGATTTAAGTATGCATGTGTAACTAATGATTCAGTTTTAGGAATCTCATGTGAGAAACTATACCCAGAACAGTGTAGTTGGCTCACTAAAATCTCTACTAAGATTCACAGAGGAAAATCCTTTCATATGAGGTCGATTGGGATCTTCCTTATTTTAAGAAATTCATAGTATTTAGGTTACATCATTTTCCGTAATTAATGCAAATATTTAAGCATATTTATATCAAAATGTTAATCAAAGTTTCTCCTTCAATGTTACCCTGTACCCCAGGCCCTTTGCCCCATTCAAAATTTGGGGTCCTCTACCTTTATCATCTCAGAGAAGGGGTGACATAGCAGAATATAGAGACAACTACTGTTGGCCTTTGTTTCCAAAATCTTGATGTTGAAGATGGGGGGCATTAAGAACAACTTTCTGGGCTTGAATAATATATTTTAGAGAATATTTAGTGAAGGCTTTCTGATCATGATTCAGGAAAATTATCCTAGTTGGCAGGATTAAGAGTTCTGGTGGACAGTTTTGAATATTGAAAATATATTTACAACTGTGAATATTTGGGAAGGAAATGTGTAATATTCAGTGCAGAGCACTGAGCTTTGTGCAAGAACCCTCTGACTCCAACAAGAGTGTGAAGTCCAGGTGTGTGGGAAAGGGGTAGTCAAATGCCTTGGCATGTTTAGAGAATCCCAGGGCAGAAGTAAAATGAAACACCTCTCCAAGGCAGAGGCTCAGCAGTGCAGAAAGACCCCAATGAAGGAATGGCTCGTGGTATATCCAAGCAGTTATGACTTCAAACATTCAAGGCTTGAGAAGTGAAGACAGCTTAGAAGTAGCAGAGAGACATGAAGAGATCTCATGATTCAAGAGGATCTACAGTAAGTTCTACAGTAAGTATAAATCAGTGGAAATTCATGAAGATGGCCTCCTTCCCATCTCTTCACTCTTATTATTCTTATACACAGTGCCGCCAAAACGCTTGCCCCTTGTAAGCCTCCTGGAACTTGACACAACTCTAGAGAAAGGGATAAAGGTGGGAATTAGAAAGTGACCTATTTTAAGTTTCTACTATCCCTCTAAATGGGGGAGAGAAATGGAAATAATGTTTAGTTATTGTAGAAGATAATTAAGAATGCTACTTGACTTTGTGTTCTAAGCTACAAATTTGTTAGTAATAATAAAAGTAATGGGTGCAGGAAACTGTCTCCGAGCCTGCCAGAGGGCCTTAAAGAACATGACTCCATCATTTAGATCAAGGTTGTGAACAATAGTCCAACACAGACTCTGGTATTGTGATTGACTCTGGCTCCTTCAGCAGCAAGCTCTCCTACTCCCTGATCTAGTGCTTCAACTACTTCAGCTAGTGACTCAGCTCTCCAATTTCTGCTCTGAAAGGTCTCAGAAATTACCACTGACTGTTATCTTTTTTCTGCCTCATGATCCTACTTATTATCTTGCTTATAGATCCCATTTTGCTACTTCTCTACTTTAATGTTTGTATTTTTCTCCACTCATCTGATATTTAATCTTACTTAGAAATTGGGTTAGCTAGGTTCCATCCAGTATCGATTTCATTCCTTTCAGGCCATATCTAAGCTAAATTACCCTCTTTGACTAATCACGCAGTGGCCTAGGCCCTTAACTCACATTACACCAAGGCAAGTACCTTCTGCATAGGTGATCTTCGGGCTGTACTGTGAGTAAGACAGAGGCTTCACAGACAAGGAGGGGTTAACTCTCAAATATCCATCATGGTCTACATACATATTCTAGTTCTTATCTGCCAGACAGCAAGGATCTTCATTGTAGATTAAACAGCCTCAAAGAAGGCTACCTAAAATAATCCAGTAACAGGGACACATCCTTACCCTTGTTCACCCTCACCTAAAAGGGTTAACAATCCAGACAAGGTACTGTACCCAGAGGTGAAGCAGAGAAGTCACTATATGAGGTGCTTTCCCTCAGCCAGCCTCTGCAATTTCAATGTTAATTCATTCATGCATCTGTTTATTTAACTCTTACAGGGCTTTGGGTACATCAATGATCTGAGACAAACATCCTGACCCATGAATTTCATTTTAGTATGAGAAGAGGTACATACCCAATAAGCACACTAAATAAGATAACATACAGTGCGTCAGAAGGCAATATATGCTACAGGATAAAAAGAAAGTAAGAAAAGGCAAAGGACATGGGAGTTGAAATGTATAAATAGGATGATTGGTGTGAGCCTCATTGAGAAGATGGCATTTGAGTTCTCCTCCAGTTCTATTTTGATTCTATCCAGTGACTTTTGCAGTGACTACTCTATTTAGGAGAGGACAAGGTGATGATAAACAAGAACCATCTATTCCTGATTTCTTGAGCAAATCAGCCTCGGCTTCAGAACATATATTACAAACTAAAAAAATAAAAGGCAGAACATCTTGGAAGGATGTGTGTGCTATCCTCCAACCTTCCCACTCTGGTAGATTCAGGGTGAGGCAAATCTGGCATGCGTTTAGTTTCTTGGGGCAAGAATGCTTCACTATGGCTCTAAAATATCACTGGAAATGTTGGGAAAAGTTGAAAATGTTTTTGACATCACTCCTTTCTTGGGGACGCTGTATGTTTTCATGTGATCGATTTTGACACCCTGAGGAGGTCAGGAGTCTCATTTGGTCTCACCTAGTGAGGTAAGAGTTCTCAAGTGATGCTATAATGCGTGGGGACAATTTCTTGCCTTTGACTTTTCCAGTTTCTGGACACCAGCAGTGGCATCACTGTGACATTTGTTTCCATCATTGCATCACCTCCTCTCACTCTGACACTCCTGCCTCCCTCTTATGAGGATCCTTGTGATTATATTGAGCACACTGGAATTCAGGAAAATCCATCCTCATCTTAAAATCCTTAACTTAGATATATCTTCAAAATCCCTTTTGCCATATAAGATAATGTAGTCACAGTTCTCTGGATTAGAACAGCTTTGGGTGCCATTGTTCAATCTACCATAGAGAGGAGGCCGATATCAAGAAATTCAGCTTACTTCCACCCCATGCCTTACTGAATGAATTACTCACTTCTCATTCTAAACAACTGTTGAACAATGTTTAAACATTTTGAAATATTGGTGTGAAAAAGCACCAAATTAATGGTCTCTTTGGGAAACCAACTATCTTAGTCCAGAGTAGGAGTAAAGAGCTTTTTGAACACGGGCTCAATGCCTGACATGTTTTTCCTACGTGGTCACCTACTTATCAGTCTACTCATATTGGTTTGAAAGAAGGGAGAACTTATGACCAGAGCTGGAAAACTACTACAAGAGAACTCTATTATGGTTGTATTTCTAATTTACAGCCCTTGAAATTCTTTGCATTATGCTCATGAATAGTCTGATTCTTCCCCGTCTTCCTTTAAAGGCCATGACCAACTGAATCTAATTTTTTTTATCAATGAATATCAAGCTAAAACCTCAATCAGTTGCCTATACTTAACTTTTATACATGCAAACTTACTGTCTCCCAACTACCACCAAAATGATTAATGTAGCATAATTTTAGCTTATACTACTTGGTAATTTTCTAGGAAGCTTTAAAATCTCAGTCCAGCCAACCTATTGATAGTTTTAAACTGACTTTTATTTGGTTTGATAATTGTGTAGTCTTATATTTTGTATAGTTGTTTATTAGACAAAATCATCAAACCAAATAATTTAAAAACGTTAGTGACAGAGGAAACGCGATTGTTCAGTTTAACTTAAATGAAGATTTTAAAATTAATTCCATTATCTTATTTCTCATTCATACATTGCTACTTTAAAACAGTACTTTACATATGATCACATTTGACAAAAGAGATCTCCATGTCTATTCACTTGTAATCATTTAAAAATTCATTTCTAGAAAAAGAATGTACAGTGTGGTGGTTTATTTTATGTGTCAACTTCACTGGACCACAAGGTATGCAGATATTTGGTCAAAACTTATGCTAGGTATTTCTGTGAGGTATTTTTGGGTGAGATTAATATTTAAATTGGTAGACTGAGTAAAGCAGATGCCCTCCATGATGTGGATGGGACTCATCCAATAAGTTGAAGGCCTGAATAGAACAAAATGCTGACTCTCTCCCAAGTAAGAGAATTCTCCTGCATGATGGCCTTGGAACTGGATGCTGGCTCTTCTGATTTTAGACTTGTTAGCCTCCATAATAGCATGAGCCAATTCTTTATAATAAATTTCTATCTATCTATTATCTATCTATCTATCTATCTATCTATCTATCTATCTATCTATCATCTATTTATCGTCTATCATCTATCTATCTATCTATCTATCTATCTATCTATCTATCTATCTATCTATCTATCTATCTGTCATCTCTATCATCTATCTCTTCATCTTCTTCATCGGTTTCTCTGGAGAACCCTGAGTAATACATAAAGTCTATTTGAGCAAAGCCTTAAGTAAGATGTTTTAAAGAATTTATTGCTGGTTTCCTGAGTTACTTGATGTAAGTCACAGAAGTTCAGTCAGGTGCCTTATCTGAAAGGAGTTCGCTTATAACTTAGCATTAGTTCTTTTGTCTCACCTATGCAACTCAAAATATTAGATACCTCTTGTGTGCCACCTAGTTTCCACTGCCTACTCACCTTTTGTTGTATCAACCAACTTCACAAAGGTAACCTAACAGATCTTGTTTCAGATGCACCACATGCCAGTGACTCTCAACCTGTGCCTTCTCTGATGCTGCAGCCTGGCTGTCCGTAGGAACCAGTCTGGCACTGACTTTGTGCATATCAAGAGGTGTGAGGAAGTTAATTCCTCGTGAGTCAGCCCTTAATCAACCCAACGAGGGACTGTGGTAGGCACTGGTAAGTACAAGCTCCCCTTTTTATCTCATGGCTAGTGAATTCTGTGATGCATTCTACCTGATTCCTCAAAGCATCCCAGTAGGGTCAAACCCCAGTTGCCCTCAGTGATTTCCAGCTTGAAAGACCCACCATTGTATTGGTTTTTCCACATCCTATTTCTTTGTCTTCCCAGTTTTCTGCTTCTATTACTTCTATTCAATTCTCAAAAGAAATTACTGATATAAAATTCCTTATCCTAGACTGTTTTCTGGGGGCAAACTAGGTGAAGACATCCATTATCTGTGTTTATTTCCCATTGTCTTCTTTTGTGTCTTACTAATTCTTTTTATACAGTCTTACCATTCTCAATTTCCTTATTTTTTTTTAATCTTCATTTTGACATTGTGCCTTTTGGAGATAGAAATGGGCTTTGCAGTTATTAAAGGTCAAGATGAGGGATGCTTGTGATGATGGAACTGTTCTTTACCTTGACTGTGGTGGTGGATATGGAAGCCTACCAATGTGATAAAAATGAATAGAAATCAACACACGTACACACACACACGCACACACACACACACAAATACAAGTAACATTTATGGATTGGATCAATGTCAGTATAATGTTTGTAATATTATAGTTCTGCAACTTATTATTAGAGAAAACTGGCCTAGGGTACATGAAAGCTCTCTGTATTGTTACTTAAAACTCATATAAATCTACAACTATCTCAAAAACAACTTTAAAGAAACAGCTATTTTACATTCTTTTGAGAATATCTCTTAAATTTACACACACATAGAAATTGCATTCATTTAGCAGGTTATTAGCCAGGTTAAACACTTATGTACACATTTGTAAGAGCACCTTATTTAAATTATGGACTAATATTCAAAAGCCCATTTGCTTTTAAATATAAGCCACCTATTATTTCTCTGTGCTTTGAATGAGCTGGAATTTAGTGGAAATAGTGACATATTCTATAAAGGATTAAGTCAGAAGAACATTCTCATTTGCTGCTTTCAATATTTAAGAATAAAATCATTCCTAAGCTATTATACCAGTACTAAGAGAGAATACTTGTTATAAAGGAGGCTTATAAAAGCATGTTAACTTAGAGGTTTTTATTTGCACTTTAAAAATTTTTATAAGAATATCTGTGCTCAGTTAAACCCTTGGTTTTTCAAATGAAAGATATCATTGACCATTTATATTAGAATAAAAAAATATATCATCTGGATGGAACAGCTACCTGCCTGCTTCCTAAAGCCCCAGTTAGAGACTGAATTTATATTATGTAAAAATTATGGGTTTTCTCCCTTTAAAAATTAGTTAAGCATATACTAAAACAAAAATGTTACATGCAACGCATTATAATTTTAAAGACTCATTTTCTTTGGAATTATTAGCAACCCAGGAGAAATTTAAGGAAGAAAAGAAATGACAAAAAATGATATGCTGCTTTCTTTTATTATCATTTGTTTAAAAGATGGCCCGTTACATTTTTCTGTAAATGGTCCATTCCCCACCCCCACCACATGTCTAATCCACAAAGTTTGCATCTGTGTACATCACTCTCCAATGCTCTCTTTCCCTGTTTTAGTTACCCTTGGCCTATACCTTGACACTCTGCTACCTGTCTCAATAAATTCAGAACACAAGCATTTACCTGCAACAAATGCGAATGGTTCCCCTAGAAATATAGCATCCTATAAAAACTAAAGCCGAAGAAACTGGAAGGGTGAGGTCAGGTATAATTTTCTCATCACAGCCTCCCTCGTCTTTTTCTTTTAGGCTCAGACACCGTGTTGACCTTTGTCTATTTTTATGGCTGGATTAATTCTGCTATTTAAACGAGTCGGAAGTTTCAGATCATGTCATTTAGATGACCTCAAGAAGTGCTGATCTCTACAAAGATGATGTGAAAAAATAATAGAAAGATGAAAAAAAAGTTGAGACTTGCAGACCAACAAGATACCTTAGAGATGATCTTACACAACCTTCCAATTTTATAAAGAGGGAGATGAGGAAGGGGCAGTTGAATGAGGGTATGTTAGGCTTGTATCCCTCTTAGGTTGGCTGACCTCAAGTCCAGGCTCAAGTCCTCTGAGCCTGTTTCAGCGGTAGTGCAGATTAAAGGCCAATCATATCCCATGTCAGGGAAGTAGGCAGGATTCCAGGCTAAGGGTTGAATAGTTCACATTAAAATCAGAATTTCTAATGCTTGAAGTTTGAATATCCATCCACCCATGTCTGAGTGTTAGGATTTTAACCTGTGGTCAAGGCCCTGCTTTGTGCCTCACAATTGTCCATGACTGGGTGACTTTTACTCTTGTCTCTCAAGTGTTCACTTCTTTCCCTGCCTCATGCCCTTTAGGACAACTGTGCTTCTGACTTGCCTCCTTGTCTTCTCACGAACTTTGCATGGCCTCTAAACAGACTCACGCTCATCCCAATGGATGAAACACCCCACCTGCACCCGACTCTTAGATGTTGATGATCTAACTAACTGCTTTGGGGTCTCTTATCTGAAAAGGTCTGTCTGCCTCTGTGGATCTATTTGGGGCCAGGATTAGCCCTCTTGAATGTGGCTTTCTACTACCAGCTAAGGCGATTCCATAAATGTCTTATAGTATGGAGACAATGGTCTTTCAAAAGTTTGTCTTTGGGTTTAGAGATCTACCTGAGACGTATTTTCTACTGTTGTCTTAACAGGTTACTTTCTACCCAAATCTTGGTCAAATTCAACCTTAAAATTCAATTTTGGGTTTATAAGGGAAGAGTAGGGAATGAGAAAAGCCCATATGTGAAAGTGATGCTATCAAAATGGTGAAAGAGAATTAAAGCTATGATAAAAACAGAACTATTGTATGTTCCCAATTTGATTACAGTCATGCACCCCATAACAACGTTTTGGTTGATGGACCACATGCACAACAGTGGTCCCATAAGATTATAATGGAGCTAAAAATTTCCTTTTCCTATCACCAGTGACATTATAGCTATTACAATGTAGTAGTACAACAAATTACTCACACGTTTGCAGTGATGCTGGTGTAAACAAACCTACCACACTGCCAGTTGTATAAAAGTGTAGCACATGCACTTATGTACAGTACATAATACTGGATGATGATAATAAACAATTATGTTACTTGTTTATATATTTACTATAGTATACTTTTTATTGTTATTTTAGAGCGTACTCATTTTACATTTTAAAAAAAGTTAGCTATGAAAGAGCCTCAAGCAAGCCTTTCAGGAGGTATTCCAGAAGACATTGTTATCATAGGAGATAACAGAGCTGATAGCTACATGTGTGTTATTGCCTTTGAAGTCCTTCTACTTGGACAAGATGTGGAGGTGGAAAATAGTAATATTGATGATGTTGACATTGTATAGGCCTAGGCTAACATGTGTGTTTTTGTATTCATTTTTAACAAAAAGTTTAAACAGAAAAAAAATAAAAATAGAGAAGACTTTACACCTTTATGCAATAAGAAAATAGAATATATTGTACAATTGTACAATGTGTTTGTTTTAAGCTACATGTAATTATAAAAGAGCCAAAAAGTTAAAAAAATAAAAGTTTATAAAAAAGTTACAGTAAACTAAGTTAATTTATTTTTGAAGAAAGAAAGTGGTCTTTACAAATTTATCATAGCTTGAGTGTCCAGTGTTTATAAAGTCCACAGTAATGTATAACAATGTTCAAAGCCTCCACATTCGCTTGTTACTGACTCACTGATTCACCCAGAGCAACATCCAGTCTTAGCAAGCTCCATTCATGGTCAGAGCCCTGTATAGATGTACCTTTTTTAACCTTTATACTGTATTTTTACTGTATCTTTTCTATGTTTAGATATGTTCAGATACACATGTACTTACCAGTGTGTTATAATTGCCTACGGTATTCAGAACAGTAACATGCTGTACAGTTTTGTAGCCTAGGAGCAATAGGCCATACCATGTAGTAGGCTGTTGCATTTAGGTTTGTATACTCTATGCTGTTCACGCAATGATAAAATCACCTAACCACACATTTCTCAGAACACATCCCCGTCATTAAGGGACATGTGACTGCACTTCTCCTACTCTTCTCTTCCAGGGGTGCCTTAATCATATTTGGCTCTGAAAACTATTTTCCTTAAACACAATAACTGTAATAGTAGGTACTGCACAAGACCCATAAGAGGCACTGAAGAAATAACCATCCTTCCTGAGTTTTATAGATTATTAATAAAAAATGCTTTATTATCTATCAAACATCATGTGAATGTGAGATATAAAACCTCTTTTTATTTTTTTTCTTTTTCAAAAACTGTATTTATTTATTTATTTATTTATTTATTTATTTATTTTTAAAATTTCAGGATACATGTGCAGGATGTGCAGGTTTTGTACATAGGTAATTGTGTGCCATGGTAGTTTGCTATCAACCCATCACCTATGTATTAAGCCTCGCGTGCTTCAGCTGTTTTCCCTAATGCTATCTCCATCCCACCCTCCCCTGACAGGCCCCAGTAAGTGTTGTTTCCCTCCCTGTGTCCATGCGTTCTCATTGTTCAGCTCCCACCTATAAGTGAGAACATGCGGTGCTTGGTTTGCTGTTCCTGCGTTAGTTTGACCCAGCAATCCCATTACTGAGTATATACCCAAAGGAATATAAATCATTCTATTATAAAGTTACGTGCACATGTATGTTCATTGCAGCACTATTCACAATAGCAAATACATGGAATCAACTCAAATGCCCATCAGTGATAGACTGGATAAAGAAAATGTGGTAAATATACAACATGGAATACTAGGCACCCATAAAAAGGAATGAGATTATGTCTTTTGCAGGGACTTGGATGAAGCTGAAAGCTATTATCCTCAGAAAACCTTTTTATACTGAAGAAAAAGACAAATTTGAAATATAATTATTTTGGATGTAGAAATTTTAATATTTACTGTAGAATTAGTTAACAGATATTTTAATTTTTTTCTTTTATGCTACATTTTCATCTATAATTCTCTTTAATAAAAAAGCCACAGAAAATCATAGTAACAAAATAGTTCTCCATAGTGGAAAATGCAATATGCTTTTATTTCTTATTTCAAAAGCTTGTCATTTGGCAGATATAGTCACACTGTCTTGAAACATACTTATATAGAATGAAATATATTTATTATATATAAACAAAAACTTTGCAAAATCCCAGAATTTTTATCTTGATTCTTAATAAAAGATATATCATGATTCATTTTAAAATAAAAAGACTCATACTGGGAATTCATCCAATTAATATTGATGGCCCCACATGGTACAAGCTAAATGTGATCTTTTCAGTTTGTGAGATAAAAAACATGACCCAAGTGGAATGTTGGCTCCTCGAGTTAGTAATATGCATGGTGACATTTATGTATAAAATAAACAGAATTTTTACACCTTAATTTATAGACAGCAGTATTTTTATAGAAGGATGATTAATCTTCAAATTGTTTAATGCTACAGATAATGAAATAGCTTTATAAATCACTGATATTGATCTGAATAAGTTACTTCACAAAGAGGTTAAAAAGATAAAATAGAATGAAGTACTAGAACAAAACTAATGTTTTAGTTTTTCACTTTCAGTGATGACAAAGCCAGACAATCAAATGAAGAAATACATTTTCAATCACTTTTATGAATCTAAATATAACTTTACAAGAAAATTGGAGGCCAGAGTACAATATTAAAAAGAGAGTATTGGTGGTCACTTCCAAGATGGCCAAATAGGAACAGCTCTGGTCTGCAGCTCCCAGCAAGATCAATGCAGAAGACGGGTGATTTCTGCATTTCCAACTGAGGTACCTGGTTCATCTCACTGGGACTAGTTGGACAGTGGATGCAGCCCATGGAGGGTGAGCTGAAGCAGGGCAGGGCATCACCTCACCCAGGAAGTAAGTGCAAGAGGTCAGGGGATTTCCCTTTCCTAGCCAAGGGCAGCTGTGACAGACTGCAGATGGAAAAATGGTACAATCCCACCTAAATACTGCACTTTTCCAATGGTCTTAGCAACCGGCAGACCAGAAGATTCCCTCCCGTGTCTGGCTGGGTGGGTCCCATGCCCGCAGAGCCTTGCTCACTGCTAGCACAAGAGTCTGAGATTGACCTGCGAGGCTGCGGCCTGGAGTGGGGAGGGGCATCCGCCATTGCTGAGGCTCGAGTAGGTAAACAAAGCAGCCAGGAAGCCCAAACTGGGTGGAGCCCACCACAGCTCAGCAAGGCCTACTGCCTCTACAGACTCCACCTCTGTGGGCAGGGCATAGCTGAACAAAAGGCAGCAGACAACTGCAGACTTAAACATCCCTGTCAGACAGATCTGAAGAGAGCAGGGCTTCTCTCAGCACAGTGTTCGACCTCTGAGAATGGTCAGACTGCCTCATCAAGTGGGTCCCTGACATCCTTGTAGCCTGACTGGGAGACACCTCCCAGTAGGGGCCAACAGACAGCTCATACAGGCAGGTGTCCCTCTGGGACGAAGTTTTCAGGGGAAGGATCTGGCAGTAATATTTGCTGTTTTATAATATTTGCTCTTCTGCAGCCTCCACTGGTGATACCCAGGCAAACAGGGTCTGGAGTGGACCTCCAGCAAAATCCAATAGACCTGCAGCAGAGGGGTCAGTTAGAAGGAAAACTAACAAACAGTAAGGAATAGCATGAACATCAACAAAAAGGACATCCACACCAAAACCCCATCTGTAGGTCACCAACATCAAAGACCAAAAGTATACAAAACCATAAAGATGGGGAGAAACCAGAGCAGAAAAGCTGAAAATTCCAAAAACCAGAGCACTTCTTTTCCTCCAAAGGATCACAGCTCCTCACCAGCAATGGAACAAATGTGGACAGACAATGACTTTGACGAGTTTATAGAAGTAGGCTTCAGAAGGCCAGTAATAACAAACTTCTTCGAGCTAAAAGAGCATGTTCTAACCGAGAGCAAGGAAGTTAAAAACCTTGAAAAAAGGTTAGACAAATTGCTAACTAGAATAAACAGTGTAGAGAAGACCTGAAATGACCTGATGGAGCTGAAAACCACAGCAAGAGAACGTCGTGACGCATGCACAAGCTTCAATAGCCTATGCAATCAGTGGAAGAAAGGATATCAGTGATTGAAGATAAAATTAATGAAATAAAGCATGAAGACAAGATTAGAGAAAAAAGAGTAAAAAGAAATGAACAAAACCTCCAAGAAATATGAGACTACGTGAAAAGACCAAATCTACATTTGATTGGTGTACCTAAAAGTGATGGGGAGAATGGAACCAAGTTAGAAAACACTCTTTAGGATATTATCCAGGAGAACTTCCCCAACCTAGCAAGGCAGGCCAACATTCAAATTCACGAAATACAGAGAACCCCACAAAGATACTCCTCGAGAAGAGCAACCCCAAGACACATAATGTTCAGACTCACCAACGCTGAAATGAAGGAAAAAATGTTAAGGGCAGCCAGAGAGAAAGGTACAGTTACTCGCAAAGGGAAGCCCATCAGACTAACAGCAGATCTCTCCGCAGAAACCCTAAAAGCCAGAAGAGAGTGGGGGCCAATATTCAACATTCTTAAAGAAAAGAATTTTCAATCCAGAATTTCATATCCAGCCAAACTAAGCTTCAAGTGAACAGAAATAAAATCCTTTACAGACAAGCAAATGCTGAGAGATTTGTCACCACCAGGCCTGCCTTACAAGAGCTCCTGAAGGAAGCACTAAACATGAAAAGGAACAACCAGTACCAGTCACTGCAAAAACATGCTGAATTGTAAAGACCATCGATGCTAGGAAGAAACTGCATCAATTAACGAACAAAATAACCAGCAAACATCATAATGACAGGATCAAATTCACACATAACAATATTAACCTTAAATGTAAATGGGCTAAATGTCCCAATTAAAAGACACAGACTTGCAAATTGGATAAACAGTCAAGACCCATCAGGTCAGGAATTCGAGACCAGCCTGGCCAGCATGGTGAAACCCTTTCTCTACTAAAAACATGCAAAAATTATCCGGGCATGGTGGCACATGCCTGTAATCCCAGCTACTCGGGAGGCTGAGGCAGGAGAACTGCTTGAACCCTGGGGCAGAGGTTGCAGTGAGCTGAGATCATGCCAGTGCACTCCAGCCTGGGTGACTGTGTAAGACTCTGTCTTAAAACAAACAAAGCAAACAAACAAACAAAAAACTACATATGCATTTACCTTTTGACTCAGCAATCCCACTTCTAATGATACACCTCTAACACTACAGAAACTCATGTACATGAATTTGTCTATACATGTTGTTGTATGTTTCTTCAAACCCATAGAATGTACAATATCAAGACTGAACCCTAAGGTAAACTATGGACTCTGGGTGATTATGTTGTGTCAATGTAGATTAATCAGTTATAACAATTGTACCACTTTGGTGGGGGATGTTGATAATGAGGGAGGCTATACATGTGTGGGAGTAGGAAGTATAGGGGAAATCTTAGTACCTTCCTTTTAGCTTTGCTGTGAACCTAAAAATACTCTAAAATTAATAAGTTAAGTAATAAAATATATGCATATGTGAAAAAATCTGCCTTCATTAAATAGCTTAGAAAGTCCATAATGGAACTTGGCATATGTTTTATCCAATATACTGTCTTTTAACCTTGCTATAATTTTGAAAGCCAATAGATTGTTTTCTTAGGAGGAAAAACTGTAGATAGGGTTTCACTTTAAAGTCTACTGGTGTATCTTGTATTTGGAATTCAAAAGATATTCAAAGAATCAACACTTAGAGTAACCACACTGTAGAGTTTCTTGGGAATAAAAAACTCACTACATTTACTTATTGTAATTTAAGAAGGACTATTTCTGGTAATAACTTAATCTGTTTCCCAAGCCTCTGTGAATAAATTCGGCTTCATATTTAAAAATGAGGTGGAATATACCCAGGTCTTGTCAATCTAGTCATAATTATGGTATAGAGGACATGCACAAATCAAAACCCTCACCCCTAAGCCAACACTTGGACACTTCACTCTCTCTTTCTGTGGCTCTGATTTAAGACTCATATGCTGATCAATCATAGAACCTCAAACAAACATTTAGATATGCTTTTTTTTTATCAGTTTTATACTTATTTTTCTCTTTTATCTGAAGTTATAAATGGCTTGCCTAAATTCCTTCTTCACTTTTCATATAAAAATTAGCTACATTTCTAAAATTGAATAAATAATTCAGCATGGTAATGCCAATTCCTCGATAAAATACTGGCAAACTGAATCCAGCAGCACATCAAACAGCTTATCCACCACGATCAAGTCAGCTTCATCCCCAGGTTGCAAGGCTGGTTCAATATATGCAAATCAACAAACATAATCCATCATATAAACAGAACCAATGCCAAAAACCACGATTATTTCAATAGATGCAGAAAAAGCTTTTGACATAATTCAATAGCCCTTCATACTAAAACTCTCAATAAACTAGGTATTGATGGAACATATCTCAGAATAATAAGAGCTATTTATGACAAACCCACAGCCAATATCATACTGAATGGGCAAAAGCTGGAAGCATTCCCTTTGAAAACCGGCACAAGACAAGGATGCCGTCTCTCACCATTCCTATTCAACATAGTACTGGAAGTTCTGGCTAGGGCAGTCAGGCAACAGAAATAAATAAAGGGTATTCAATTAGGAAGAGAGGAAGTCAAATCGTCTTTGTTTGCAGATGTCATGATTGTATATTTAGAAAACCCCATTGTCTCAGACCCAAATCTCCTTAAGCTGATAAGCAACTTCAGCAAAGTCTCAGGATACAAAATCAAGTGCAAAATCACAAGCATTCCTATACACCAATAACAGACAAACAGAGAGCCAAATCATGAGTGAACTCCCATTCACAATCACTACTAAGAAAATAAAATACCTAGGAATACAACTTACAAGGGATGTGAAGGACTTCTTCAAGGAGAAATACGAACCACTGCTCAATGAAATAAAAGAGGACACAAATAAATCGATGAAAATTCCATGCTAATGGATAGGAAGAATCGATATTGTGAAAATGGCCATACTGCCCAAGGTAATTTATAGATTCCATGCCATCCCCATCAAGCTACCTATGACTTTCTTCACAGAATTGGAAAAAACTACTTTAAAGTTCAGATGGAACCAAAAAAGCACCCGCATAGCCAAGACAATCTTAAGCAAAAAGAACAAAGCTGGAGGCATCATGCTACCTGACTTCAAACTATACTACAGCATGGTACTGGTACCAAAATAGATATATAGACCAAAGGAAAAGAACAGAGGCCTCAGAAATAACACTACACATCTACAACCATCTGATCTTTGACAAACCTGACAAAAACAAAAAATGGGGAAAGGATTCCCTATTTAATAAATAGTGCTGGGAAAACAGGCTAGCCATATGCAGAAAGCTGAAACTTGATCCCTTCCTTACACCTTATACAAAAATTAATTCAAGATGGATTAAAGACTTAAATGTAAGATCTAAAGTCACAAAAACCTTAGAAGAAAACCTAGGCAATACCATTCAGGACATAGGCATGGGCAAAGACTTCATGACTAAAACACCAAAAACAATGACAACAAAAGCCAAAATTGACAAATGGGATCTAATTAAACTAAAGAGCTTCTGCACAGCAAAATAAACTACCAACAGGGTGAACAGGCAACCTACAGAATGGGAGAAAATTTTTGCAATGTATCCATCTGACAAAGGGCTAATATCCAGAATCTACAAAGAACTTAAACAAATTTACAAGAAAAAAACAAATAACCCCATCAAAAAGTGGGCAAAGGATACAAACAGACACTTCTCAAAAGAAGACATTTATGCAGCCAACAGACACATGAAAAAATGCTCATCATCACTGGTCATCAGAGAAATGCAAATCAAAACCACAATGAAATACCATCTCATGCCAGTTAGAATGGTGATCATTAAAAAGTCAGGAAACAACAGATGCTGGAAAAGATGTGGACAAATAGGGATGCTTTTACACTGTTGGTGGGAGTGTAAATTAGTTCAACCATTGTGGAAGACTGTGTGGTCATTCCTCAGGGATCTAGAACTAGAAATACCATTTGACCCTGCAATCCCATTACTGGGTATATAGCCAAAGGATTATAAATCATGCTGCTATAAAGATACATGCACACGTATGTTTACTGCAGCACTATTCACAATAGCAAAGACTTGGAACCAACCCAAATGTCCATCAATGATAGACTGGATTAAGAAAATATGACACATATACATGATGGAATACTATGTAGCCATGAAAAAGGATGAGTTCATGTCCTTTGCAGGGACATGGATTAAGATACACCATGGAATACTTTTTTATGCAGCCATAAAAAAGGATGAGTTCATGTCCTTTGCAGGGACATGGATTAAGCTGGAAACCATCATTCTCAGCAAACTATCACAAGGACAGAAAACCAAACACCGCATGTTCTCACTCATAGGTGGGAATTGAACAATGAGAACACTTGGACACAGGGTGGGAACATCACACATTGGGGCCTGTCGGGGGTAGGGGGGATGGGGGAGGGATAGCATTAGGAGAAATACCTAATGTAAATGACAAGTCGATGGGTGCAGCAAACCAACATGGCACACGTATACCTATGTAATAAACCTGTACATTGTGCACATGTACCCTGGTACTTAAATATAATAAGAAAAATAATACAAATAAATAAATAAAAAGAGAGTATTAATATAAGTGTGTATGTTCTTACTAGTAAAGTTTTTTTAAAAAATTGACACTTATTTTCTGTAAACATAAAACTCAGGTAGCAGTAACTATTTTTCACAAAATAATCTGACAAAATTATTCTTATGAACAAGAATCATGGGTGCCAAGATGGCCTACAGGAAGTATCTCCTGTGTGCTGAAAAGAGCTAATGATACTGAATCTACAGGCCAATCATCTGAGAAAACACATTGGGATTCATCAAGGCAGCAGGGGAAGACAGAGTGCAGATAGAAATGAGGCTGGACCCCAACCTGTCCAGGCTCAGGGTAGAGCCAGGAGAACCTCTCCAACACCGGAAAGGGTGAGTGGCTGAGTAAGAGTGCCTGGGAGATTCACACTTTCCACAGGGACCTGTGCTGGACTGGGGATGAGAAAATCACTGCAGTTCTAGACTGAGGCAGGAAGATGCCAGATATTTTTTGGCAGCAACTCTCGAGTCCAAGGGGACCTCTATAATCCCTGGGTCCTGGAGCCAACCGGCATGGTTGCCACATCCCCAGTAGAGGTTGCTGTTGTGGTGCCTGGGAACGGTAGGATTGCTCCAACCCACCTTGTCAGAGAGGACTTGGCTCCAGCAGTCCCACCTGGGCCCAAATTTGGCCTGCCATGTTGCCCACCCTCACCATGGGTAGCTAGGTGAGCAACATCTGCTAGAGCCTCCAGCCCAGCAGTCTTATTTTGTGTGTACTCAGCTGGAGGGTGTAGCCTCCTGATCTTCTGAGAAACACCCTGACAGCAGGGCAAGTGACTGCACCCCAACTGCTCCCCACCCTCCAAGCCATGGATAGCCAGGAGGGCAATATTTGCTACAACTTCCCACCCAGTGGCCCACTTAGCCAAGGAACACAGCTTCCATTTGGGCCAGTCTTGATTCTGTGGGATCTCAGCTGATGGACACAGCCTTCTGTTGTCCCAGGAAGCATCTGGACTACAGGGTGAACATCCCCACCCACCCCTGACACTGGTAGCCAAAGGAGCCATGCCTGCTAGACTTTCTGGCTCAGAGGTCCTTCTTCTGCCTAAATTTGCTGAGGAATGCAGCCTCCTGTTGCCATGGAAACACATGGATGGTACGATGGGCAACCCTACCCATTCCTGCCTCCTGTAGCCAGAAGGGCCACACCCACTAGAGCTTCCAATCCAGTGTCCCACTTCCACTTGAACTCTGTGGACAGGTGCAATCCCATGTTTTCCCAGGAGGCACACAAACATCAGATTAGGGTTGACTTCTTAAGGATATGGCTTATCTGCCAACTGTGGCCCCTGCCTGAGGGAGACCTGTGGACCAGAACGCTCAACAAAAGAAACACAAGCATGGAGAGAATAATTGAAGGGGGCTCCTCCAAGACTCAGGAGATGACTAGAACCAAAGCCAGTCAACTGAATACATGTTATAACATAATCAAACCACCAAGGGTATCAAAGAAGAAAAAAGCAAAAAAAAAAAAAAAAAAAAAAAAAAAGAAAAAGAAAAAAGAAAAATCCATCTGCAGGACAGAAACTTCAAATATTAAAGGATAATCAGCCCACACAAATAAGAAAGAATCAGCAGAAGAACTCTTCTGATTCAACTCAAATATCCAGAGTGCCTTATTTTATCCAGACAACCACATTAGTTCCCCAGCAAAGTTTCTTAACCAGGATGAAATAACAGAAATAGAATTCAGAATATGGATAGCGATGAAGATCATCGAGATTCATGAGAACATTGAAACACAATTCAAGGAAGCTAAAACACAGTAAAACAACACAGGAGCTGATAGATGAAATAATCATTATAAAAAAGACAAAATGAGCTGATAAAGTTGAAATTCATACTACAAGAATTGCATAATGCAAATCACAAATATTAACAGCAAAATAGAACAAGCTGAGAAAAGAATCTCAGAGCTTGAAAACTGGCTCCTGAATTAATCTAGTCAGACAAAAATAAATAAAAATGAATTAAAAAGAACAAACAAAAATCCCCTGGAAATATGGGATTGTGTAAAGAGACCAAATCTATGACTCACTGGCATCCGTAAAACAGACAGGGAGAAAGCAAACAACCTGGAAGACAAGTTTCAGGATATCATCCATGAAAACTTCCTTGACCTCACTGGAGAGGCCAACATTTAAATTCAGTAAATGCAGAACACCCCTGTGAAATAATACACAAAATAGACCATTCCCAATACACATAATAATCAGATTCTCCAAGTTCAAAATGAAATTTAAAAATGTTAAAGGCAGCTAGAGGTAAGGGACAGGTCACCTACAAAGGGATCCCCATCAGACTAACAGTGTCCCTTTCAGTAGAAACCCTGCAAGCCACAAGAGACTGGGGCCTATATTCAACATTCTTAAAGAAAAGAATTTCCAACCAAAAATTTAATGTCCAGCCAAACTAAGCTTATAAGTGAAGGAGAAATAAACATCCTTTTCAGACAAGCTAATGCTAAGGGAATTTATTACCACCAGACCTGCCTAAATGAGGTCCTGAAAGGAGCACTAAACATGGAAAGAAAAGAGCATTACCAACCATTACAAAACATACTTAAGTACACAGAGTATAGATAATAATACAAAGCAACCACACAAACCAGTCTTTATAATAACCAGTTAACAACATGATGACAGGATCAAATCTGCACCTATCAATACTAATCTTGACTGTAAATCAGCTAAATGCCCCAATTAAAAGGCACAGAGTGGCAAGCGGGATAAAGAACAAGACCCAATGGTATGCTGTCTACAAAAGACCCATCTCACATGCAATGACATCCAGAAGCTCAAAATAAAGTAATGGAGAAAAATCTACCAAGCAAATGAAAGACAAAAGCAGGTGTTGAAATCCTAATTTTAGACAAAGTAGACTTTAAACCAACAAAGATAAAAAGAGATAAATAAGGACATCATATCACGGTAAAAGATTCAATTCAACAAGAATACATATCTATGCTAAATCTATATGCATCAAATAGAGGAGCACCCAGATTCATGGAGCAAGTTCTTAGACACTTACAAAGAGACTTAGATTCCCAAACAATAAAAGTGGGAGACTTCAACACACCACTGACACTGTTAGACAGATTATTGAGGCAGAAAATTAACAGATATTCAGGACCTGAACCAACACCTGATGACATGCATCTAATAGGCATCTATAGAACTCTCCAGCTAAAAACAATGGAATTGACATTCTTCTCATTGCCACATGGCATATACAGCAAAAATGAGCACATAATTAGACAAACAATCGTTAGCAAATTCAAAATGGCTGAAATCATACCAACCATACTCTTGGACCACAGTGAAATGAAAATAGAAATGAATACTCAGAAAATCACTTAAAACAATACAATCACATGGAAATTAAACAACCTGATCTTGGATGACTTTTGGGTGAACAATGAAATTAAGACAGAAATCAAGAAATTATTTGAAACTAATGAAAACATAGGTACAATATGCCAGCATCTCTAGGACACAGCTAAGGCAATGTTAAGAGAGAAATTTATAGCACTAAGCATCAAAAATGTAGAAAGGTCTCAAATTAACAACCTAACACCACAAGTAGAAGAACTAGAGAAGGAAGTAGAAACCAACCTCAAAGCTATCAGAAGATGAGAAACAACTGAAATCAGAGGTGAACTGAAGGAAACTGAGACAAGAAAAACTATACAAAAGATAAACAAATCCAGGAGCTGGCTATGTGAAAAAATTAATAAGATAGATTGCTAGCTAGACAGATAAAAAAGAGAATATTCAAATAAACATAATTGTAAATGACAAATGGGATGTTGCCCCTGAACCCACAGAAATACAAAAAGAAAAAACATCAGAGACTGCTATGAACACTTCTGTGCAGACAATCTAGAAAACCTAAAATATATGAATACATTCCTGAAACATACAACCTCCTAAGTCTGAAAGAGGAAGAAATTGGATTTGTGAACAGACAAATAACGAATTCTATAATTGAATCAGTAATGAAAATCCTACCAAGCAAACATCACCCAGGACCAGATGGATTCACAGCTGAATTTTACCAGATGTATAAAGAAAAGCTAGTGCCATAACTACTGAAAATATTATAAAAATTGAGCATAGACTTCTCTTCAACTCATTCTATGAGGCCAGCCTCATCCTGACACCAAAACCTGGCAGAGACACAAGAAAAAAAGAAAACTTCAGGCAAATATTATTGATGAACACAGAGGCAAAAATTATCAAAAAGAAAAATACTGACAAACTAAATCCAGCAACACCTCAAAAAGCTAATCCACCATGATGAAGTAAGTAGGGTTTATTCCTGTAATGCAAGTTTGGTTCAACATATGCAAATCAATAAATGTGATTCATCACACAAACAGAACTAAAAACAAAAGCCACATAATTATCTCAATTGATGCAGAAAAAGCTGTTGATAAAATTCAACATCCTTTCATGTTAAAAACCTTCAAAAAACTAGATATTGAAGGAAAAATCTTCAAAATAATAAGAGCCATCTATGACAAATCCACAGTCAACATCATGCTGAATGTATGAAAGCTAGAAACATTCCCTTGGAAACCAGCACAAAATAGGTATGCCCTCTCTCTCCACACCTATTCAGCATAATATTGGAAGTCTCGGACAGAGCAATCAAGCAAGAGAAAGAGAAAGAATTCAAAGGGATCCAAATAGGAAGAGTGGAGGTCAAATTATCCCTGTCTGCAGGGGTCATGATTCTATATCTAGGAAACCCCATAGTCTCAGCCCAATAGCCCCTTGATCTGATAAACAACCTCAGGAAAGTTTCAGGATACAAAATCAAGGTACAAAAATCAGTAGCATTCCTACACACCAACAACATCCAAACTGAGAGCCAAATTAGGAATGCAATCCCATTCACAATTTCTGCACACACAAAAAAACACTTAGAAATACAGCTAACCATGGAGGTGAAGGAGCTGTAAAACAAGAATTACAAAACACTGCACGAAGAAATCAGGAATGACACAAACAAATGGAAAAATATTCCATGCTCATGGATAGTAACAATCAATATTGTCTAAATGGCCGTGCTGGCCAAAGGAATTTACAGATCAAATGCTATTCCTATCAAACAACCAATGGCATTCTTCACAGAATTAGAAAAAACTATTTAAAAATTCATATGGAACCAAAATGAGCCCAAATAGTAAAGGCAATTCTAAGCAAAAAGAACAAAGCTAGAGGCAGCACGTTACCTGACTTCAAACTATATTACAGGGCTACAGTAACCAAAAGTGTATGGTACTGGTACAAAATGAACACATGGATTAATGCAACAGAATAGAGAGTCCAGAAATAATGTTGCACACCTACAACTGTACAATCTGCCACAAAATTGACAAAAATAAGCAATGGAGAAAGGACTCCCCATTCAATAAATGGTCCTGGGGTAAATGACTAGCCATAGGCAGAAGACCAAAACCAGAGCTCTACCTTATCCCATGTACAAAAATCACCTCAAAGTGGATTAAAAGACTTATATGTAAAACTTGAACCATAAATCTGGAAGATAACCTATGAAATACCATTCTAGACATAGGACTTGGCAAAGATTTCATGATGAAGACATCCAAAACAATTGCAACAAAACCAAAAATTGACAAACGAGATCTAATTAAACTAAAGAGCTGCTGCACAGCAAAAGAAACTATCAACAGAGTAAATAAACAACCTACAGAATGGAAGAAAATATTTGCAAACTATGCATTCCCCAAAGGTCTAATCTCCAGAATCTTTAAGAAACTTAAAAACAAATTTACAAGCAGAAAGCCAACAATCCCTTTTAGAAGTGGGTAAAGGGCATGAACAACACTTTTCAAAGGAAGACACACAAACAATCAACAAGCATATAAAAAACTGTTTGGAGTTACTAATCATTAGAGAAATGCAAATCAAAACCACAATGGGATACCATCTGACACCAGTCAAAATGGTTATTAATAAAAAAGTCAAAATATGACAGATACTGATGAGAAAAAGAAATGCTTATATACTGCTAGTGGGAATATAAATTACTTCAGTGATTTTGAAAAACAGTGCAGTGGTTCCTTAAATAACTTAAAACAGAATTACCATTTGAGCCAGCAATCCTATTATTGGGTATATAACCAAAGGAATATAAATTGTTCTACTGTAAGACACAGGTACACCTATGTTCATAGCAGCACTATTCACAATAGCAAAGACATGGAATCAACCTAAATGCCCATCAGTGGTAGACTTGATAAAGAAAATTGGTACATATACACCATGAAATACTACGCTGCCATAAAAAGGGATGAGATCATGTCCTCTCAGCAACATGGGTGGAGACAGAGGCCATTATCCTAAGCAAACTAATGCAGGGACAGAAAACCAAATACCACATGTTTTCACTTATAAGTGGGAGCTAAACAATGAAAACACACGGACACTAGGAGGGGAACAACAGACACAGGGGCCTACTTGAGAGTGGACAATAGGATTCAGGAGAGGATCAGAAAAAATACCTATTGGGTACTAGGCTTATTACCCAGGTGATGAAATTATCCTTATGCCAAATCCCCACAATGCACAATTCACCTGTATAACAAACCTGTTCATGATTCTCTTAACCTAAAAGTTAAAAGAGGATATAATATTTACTATCCTATTCATTGAAAAAAATACATTATTTTATTTTTAACCTTACATTAAAATAATAAAAATTAATAATTTGAATATAAAATAATAAAATACATTATTTTATTTTAGGTACTGACTCATACTGATTTTTGCTTCTGCTATTCTGTATAAAATATTTAAATATTTATAATTTTGATTCAATTTATTTGTCTTGTCAAATTCTAAGGCATTTTTTGCTCTTCTTTTATATTTTCTGTACTGTTGTGTTTTATGTCAGTTAATTATTGTTGAATAATAAGCCACCCTAAAACTTAGTGGCTTCTAATAAGAAGAAGTTATTATTTCACTCATATCAATGTTGATTTGATGGTTTTACAGATTGACCTGGACTTGGCTGGGCTGGGATCATGATCATTTAGTTATCTATGGTCATATGTTGGGTTAACTGGGAATGGGCTGGTCTGGGAAGACCTTGGCTGAGAGGCTTCTACTTCATTAACCTGAGTTTTTGTCTCATGGTGGTAGAGCTCCAAGCAAGATGGCACAAGTGAACATTCTAAGGGCTAAGGGAAGTCACAGTGTCAGTTCAGAGTCAAAGGAAGAATTGCAAAGTGATGTTGCTAAGGATGAGATGACACAGGAATGACTGGAGAAAAGGGGCCATTTTTTGACATCAGTTGAACACATATATTGTATACTTTTATTTAAATGATTACAAATCTTTCAGGTATTGAGAAGGGATTTTAAAATATGACAATAACTACTGGTTTTAAAGAAAACAAACCATTATTTTAATATTTTTTAATTATTGATTATTGTTGGCAGTTGCAAATTATACAATGTCTTAAGGTAAGACAGTTTTCAGGCACAAAGATGAAGCATCACCTACTTTACTTTCAGTGAGTTTAATTAATCACGAAGACGGTAGAGACACAAGGAAAAAACACATCATGGTTTTTAAAATGTGAAATAAAATTTATTTAGGAAGTCATGAATAAAGGAACAGTTAGGCCTTTCTGTGGGAGTTAGGGAACGTTTCCTATATATGGGAGAGCTGATCCTTAGCTGAAGAGATGAATAGGTGTTCATCACTGTGTGCGGTGGTGGGCAGGATGTGCCAGGGCAGGAAAGCATGAGGAAGGTGTTACAAATGTATGAGCACATGTAAGTCAGTGTAAAGAGCAGTTGGGAGGAGAGGGGCTGAGAGTACAGTTGGAAAATGAGGTCGGACTAGACTGTGAAGAGCCTTAGAAGCCCTAGCAAGGAATATGGACTTACGAGAATTGGCACCGCCTGTGAATGCAGATTCCTAGCAATATCCAGAAAGTAGATCTTTTCCAACCCCACTGGGCACTTTTTTTTCTCACAAAAAATTTGCTAATCATGATTTGGACTCTAAGCAAATGATTGAGCCATTTGCCTCTTTAAAAAAAGTTTTTTAATAAAAAAAAAAAGGTAGAAGTTTTGCGGATATCTGTGGCTTCTCTCTCCTCTGTCTGCCACAACCAGCCAAGCAGCAGGATGAGTCAGATGGACCCACTTATGGCCTGTGACTTCCTCAAGTCAGTCTTCTATGCCTGCCCCTGGGCAGAGGCAGTCAGACCCAAATTGGATTGGGGGTTTAGAAGTCAAGCAAAAGCCACTGTAAGCCTATAAACGTATTTTACATTCTACAATCCAGCTTCCGCCAGAGTATCACTGGGGTTTCAGCATTAGTTCCATTAATAGAAAGTGTTAACTTGTTTCAAGTTTTTCATTTCTTTAGTGTGACTAGCTCTGGGAAGCTTGTAGTGGAAAGCTGCCTGCACCAGTGCAGATCTGAGGCCCCCATGCAGCAGGATGCTATGCCTAATATCTCCCTCAACATCACCATTGCCCCAAACATATGAGGTAGCAGAATTTTAGAGCTGGAAGGGACATTATCCCTATATTGTGAGATCTCTGACACCAAAGGTAGAGTCTTGTTTACTTTACTATGATTATTTTAGCTCTAAATTTATTTTCTGGCGGGATAGTTTTCAATAAGTGACTATCTCATGAATCTAGTTCAACCTTCTTATCAAAAAGGAAAAATTGGTCACAATTTTACAATAGTGTCACGTGTTGAGTTGTGATTGCTGTAATATTTCCTAAATATTTTCCCTCAGATTCTTTTGTAACTTTATGCCTCTTTCCTCCACTATCATGAATAATATCTGTTGTTCTAAGCCTGGTCAGTGATATCATTTATATCTCACTATTTTCAAAAGCTTTTTATAATCCTAAAAAAAATAAGGCAATGTAATATAGTTAATCCACATGTATTTTCAGAATTGGAGTGTTTATCGTGGAGATTACAACACAGCCCCTTAAAACTGGCTTAGATTGGTAGACTGAGAATCTGTTTTCTAACCTAAATTTACCTTACTAATTTTTGTAGAGAAGCTAATAATTGCTTCCTTATTTATTCTCCCTTTATAGATAATTTGCAGCCAACCAAAGTTTCAACTATCTTTTATTTCTACCTCTTATGGTTTGTGGGGGTGTTTTCCCTCAAATACCATAACAAAAGTGGAATTTTGACCCCAGGAACTTTACCCATATGCTATGATGAGTGAGTCTTTCCGGCTCTATAAAAATTTGATATAGAAACCTTAGAGTCTAGGCTAACTAGATTCTGTTAGGTGTGAAGATTGAGTGGTTATTCAAATTTGAAGCCAGAGTGGATGCAAAACATTGGAGGACAGAACAGAATTCATCAGCAAACTTGTCTTTGGAGAAAAATAGGAGAGTGTTAGACATACAGTGAGAGGCAAAAGTGAAAACAATAAATGGTTTCAGCATCTAACTTTCCAATAACAGATCTATGTGCCATGGAAGTGCATTTTTTTCTAGTTCCACAAATATTTTTAAAATCATCTATGAGCTTTAACAAAAATAAACACCTATATGTATATCAGCTGGAATGCCTTCCTGTTCTTACAATTAAACAATAACTAATATGTTACAGCCTTTTGAAGTTTCTGAGTTAAATAAACCATTATAAACGCCCTTTCAGAAATGTTTGCCAAAAATATTTTTGTGTATGTTTCTCTATGTTCTTTTGTATCTAAGATTAGTACTACCGAAGATGACTTTCTTCAAGCAGTTCTCTTTTCCAGTTTTAACATGACCTTTGGTTATAAAGGGCACCTGTTCCATTAGACTCTGAAATATTGATAAAGAGCTCTGTTTAGCTGGTGAACCACCAAGCATTGTTAGGTCAGCGTTTGAAAGTGGGCTTCCTGCTCAATTTTCCATTCTGCGAATGTGCTTTGGCTTTAAAGGTCAAGAATGGTACCATAGGGACTTTTGATTGCATTATCCTGATTTCTCAGCTATGAATCACTTTCTTTCCAAAGCTGTAGAAGGAGAGGCTCTAAAATAAATTTAGTCATTACCCCTTATGATATTACCTCCACTTCTTTGCCTGTCTGGCAAAATGCCTGATATTGGCTGACACTGGAAATGAGCTTTTTAATTCTGCCTTGGAAGAAAGGGGAAGAAAAAATAAAATTAACAAGATACAAAACAGCTTCACAATCCTCATTTCAACCTTCTATTATTTGCCAGTGACTAATTTTCTAGAACATTGATTATACCTGCTTTTAAAGATCACATCATAGCTTCTATACAATTTATTCTGTTAATAAATCAATCCATTTATTCATTTATTAAGGGGTATATAACATTGCACTATTTCTTTATTTCTTCAGGGTAAATTACTTACTTGCTTTTAATAAATTTATATTTTGTTACATTAAATATATAAGCCTAACTTGAAAATAGTAAAATACGTGCTCTTAATATGCCTGTGTATACTACAAAATAGTTATTCAAAGTATTTGCATTGTTTAGTATGACTTTAAAGAAAATGGAAAACATGCAACCATGGTTAAGGTATAAGTAATTATCTCATTTTTTAATCCATAATAATGTGATTATTTATTTTGCTTAATGCAGTCATGACTCATGTAAAATCTGCATCTTTGATTGACTTCTTACAAAAACTTGTCTATTTGCAATTTTGTTTAAGTTTCTTTTGTGTTCAAATATTAAAACCTAATATTCTGGGATATCTTGTGTACACAGTCATGCTGGTCCCCCATAATATCTTTCTAGGCATATATATATATATATATGTATATTTTTTTATAAGCATTACTGTTCCTTTCCCTCATCTGATAATTTCCTGACTTTAATGCAATCTGTCATGGTCTGTAGCTCTCTTGTCAGGCCACTATCTCTTTCTCTTTGCCATTTATAGCTAATTTTTAGTATAATAAGATCTACACCCTTACAGAAACACTTCTTCCCCACTTTGTGTATTCCTAGTAGAAGAATCACCAATAATTGCTGTTTGCTGCCCATTGACCAAGGCGTAGACACCTAATCCAAGTTGGGACAATAGTTCACAAGCAGGAATTTGAAATGGACTTGGAGAAACAAAATGTCAGAGGTGGCAGCTCAGTTAAATCCCATACTATTTTAGTCATTTTCAGTCATTAGAAAACCCACTCCATTTCTGATTTAATTTTGATTTATTTTTATTCAACTCCCCATTCCACATTGCTGACAGTTTTGAGAGGCATGTGACCTCACTGGTTGAGTAGAGATTGTAGTAGAGATGAAGATATGGACAAATGCCTTCCTCTCCCTCAAATTCTCCTAGAGATGCATTTCAGGAAGAAGGAAAGCAAAAGGAGGGACTCTACACATGGATGTGAATTGAATATTCATCTGTTGGCTTTGTTCTGAATCATTGTTATCCTGTGAAAGAGAGAAAGTTTAACAGAAACCTACCCATTCCCCACCCACCCATGGAGCAGAATAGGGGAAAAGGGGAAGGGAACCCTAATACATTGTCAACCCTACATTCTCAAAGAAGAGGGTCCATATCTGCCACCTGCCTTCAGAACGTTATTTTAAAGGAGATAGGGATTTTGTTTCTAAACTCTAATGTGTGTTAAATACCTTGAGTGACTCTCTAAATTAAACAATATGCTAGATAAGAAACATTAAAAATGAATTTATTGATGGATGATTATGAAAATAAGAAATCTTTAGAATCCCCAGATAGAGTTAAAACAGAAGTCCTGAGAAGAAGGCAAGAGCCAGAATGGACTTACATTCAGAGGGTTTCTGCCATACTCTGGAAACCTTGAGTTTTTACTTGAATAACCAAGTACATGACATGCGGCAGGCAATAATACTTATGATTTCCTTACAGTAGTGATGGTAATAGGATGAATAAGAATTAGAATCAGCCTCCCAGCAGACAAACTAAACTTGACTATATCAAACTTATGGGTGGGTGAAGGAGCAAATATCTCACTTGAGAATTTATCACTTCAAACAGGCTGTCATATAGATGTTTGACCCAAATCCATGCCACCAGTAAGGTCCCTAGTCCCTGAAATAGAGAATTTAAAGTAGTCTAGATGGATAATGCCCCCAGAAACTGGTAGACGTAAACACAAATACTGAAAGAACACAACTTCAACATTGACCTCAATGCATTCTTACAAATAAAGTTCAAAGAGAACAATTGGCTCAAATTCAGAATTTAAAATTACAGGAGAGTGGTAACATTAGTAAGAATTAGCTGAAACAGAGATTAGAAAGAGATCTGCAATGATTTTAAATAATGAAATTGTCAGATAAAGCATAGAATATAACTATATTCATATGTTTGAAGATGCTAGAAAAAATGCAAAATATTTGAAGAAAATACAAGATTATAAAAAAAGAAAAGTTGCTGATATGGTTTGGCTGTGTCCCCACCCAAATCTCATCTTGAATTGTAACTCCTACAATTCCCACATGTCATGGAAGGAACCTGGTGGCAGGTGACTGAATTGTGGGGGTGGGTCTTTCCTGCACTGTTCTTTTGATAGTGAACGAGTCTCACGAGATCTGATAGTTTTAAAAATGGGAGTTTCCCTGCACAAGCTCTCTCTTGCCTGCCACCAACCACGTAAGACGTGACTTGCTCCTCCTTGTCTTCCACCATGATTGTGAGGCCTCCCCAACCATGTGGAACTGTAAGTCCATTAAACTTCTCTTTTTTGTAAATTGCCCAGTCTCGGGTATGCCTTTATCAGCAGCATGGAAATGAACTAATACAATGACTAAGCATATGTGAATGAAAAAAAATTCGAGAAATAGATTCAAAATTAATTTAATGCTAATTTAAATTTAATTGTTAAATTAAAAATGCAATGTACATCATTATTTAAGCACCACATTTACTCAATTGAAGAAGTAGTTTGATAGTTCTTATATAAATCTGATGATATTATCTCAAATGTAGTCCAGAGGCATAGAGATGTAAAACACTGAACTAAATCTTGGAAATTTGCATAATATTTGGATACATACAAAGAAGTTCCATAATGATCTAGATATTCAAGAGTATTAAGAAGCTAAGATTTCAGAAAATATACATAAAAAATATATCAGTCTTGACCCCTTTCAGAAAAACTGCAGAACACAAAAGCAAGAGAAGATCTTACAGGAAGTGGATGACGTTGGAGAGGTGGCCACCTTCAGGGTAAAAATAGAGTAACTGCAATTAGCAACAATGAAGATAGAACCTAATGGAATTCTATCTGTATTGAGTTAGAGAAAAATAGCCTAAAATTCCATTTCTGGCAAATTGTCTTTTAGAAAAGGAGGAAAATAAGGACATTTTCAGATGATAAAACCAGAATTTACCACCAACCACATTTCTCACAGGTGAAAATTGTCTCAAACAAATGGAGAAAGGGTAAGAAAAATGTTTGTGAAAATGAGAGTACAGCTTAGTAAACATTGATTGCATAAAAACAAGAAAAAATGATGACTAAAGCCATAATTTCCATGTAAGTTAAAATTTAAAAACATATCCTAAAATAGATAGTATATGCACTTAAAAACTAGAGCATGTAACACCCCAAAAAGTAGAGGGGAAAGGAGTGATGTTTGAAAACACAACAAACCAATTCTTAATGGAAATAGAAGTTGGGAAAGGTACAGAGGTTGGAGGGGAGGTTTTATCCTGGTCCTGCTGAAATGACAGATATCTGCAAGCCCCTAGAGCGCTGTGAGGTACCACATCAGCTGGTCCTTTGAAATTAGAATATGGTCTGATTAACACCTTAGAACTCAGAGGTTACTTCTTGCTGTCAATGCAAGAAAACTAAAATAATTTACACTACCATTCTTCACATTTAATTGGGAAGGGGTAGAGTTCATCTTGAAAATAAAAGTAGTTTTGTGAACACTATTTGATTAGCTGTAAATTTCATAATTATGAAACATGGAGGTTGAAATTTTTCTTCTTATTAAACACAGACTAAATGTTTTAAAATTAAAGACTTTTATATTACAATGATGCATAATAATGAGAGTATTCTCTTCTCTGTAGTATTTTATAAAATAAAAATTACTGAATTTTATTTTGTTATACAAGACAAATATTATCTTCTAATGCAAACCACATGACCTTTCAGTATGCTTCAACATTATTTTTCTTAAAATGAAGAAATACTGTAGAAATACTGTCCTCAGAATTTTTTCTTTGGTGTTACTATTTCTAAACGTGGATTCTCTAATATCAACAAAAAATTATCAGAATCAAGAACACAGTAAAGATTTCCTTCAAAAAATTTAGAATTAATATATAATTCTGCTCTTAGCAAACTTTCTAACATCCTCATTTGATGAACACATGATAATATCTTTAGTGAAATAAGCTTAGAAAACTGTTCTGTCATATTTATTTGCTTTTGTAGGCAGGTGACATTAATTGGTTAGATAATGAAAAAGCTACTTTATAATTGAATGATCTAATCAAAGTAATCAGATCTCTGAGTGATTCAGTTATTTCATTTGATTAATTTGATGCATTATAACATTTTTATTTATGGAAATCAAAAGCTTAAAAGGTAAAACTGTAACAGGTAAGGTAAAGGATATAGTAAAAGTAAAACATAGTTTTTAGGGAGGCGAAATTAAAACATTTGATATCTGGATATTACATTATATTTGTTTTTCAAATTTTCTTTTTTTAACAAGAATACTGATTTTATATTTTTCCAATTTTGAGGCATAATCGACAAATGAAATTATATATATTTATAGTATATCACATGATGTTTTCATAGATGTATACATTGTGAAATGATTACCACACTCAAGCTAATTAACATATCCATTACCTCACATACTTATCATTTTTTCTAATGACAGCATTTTAGATCTACTGTTAGCAATTTTCAAGTACACAATACATTATTATTATCTGTAGTCGACATGCTATGCAATTAATCTACAGAAATTACTCATTCTATCTAACTGAAATGCTCTACGCTTTGACCAATATTTCCCCACCCAACCTCCCCTGGGCCCCACATCCTGGCTGTATTAGTCTGTTCTCACACTGCTATAAAGAACTGCCTGAGACTGGGTAATTTATAAAGAAAAGAGGTTTAATTGACTTACAATTACACCAGCTGTACAGGAAGCATGGCTAGGAGGCCTCAGGAAACTTAAAATCATGGTGGAAGGGCGAAGGGGAAGCAAGCATGTCTTCACATGGTGGCGTGAGACAGAGAGAGAAGGGGTAAGATCTCATAATAACCCACTCACTATCACGAGAACAGCAAGAGGGAATCTGCCTGCATAAGCCAATCACCTCCCACCAGGTCCCTTCCTGAATGTTGGAAATTATGGTTCGATGTGAGATTTGGGTGGGGACACAGAGCCAAACCATATCACCAGCCATGGCAACTGCCATTCTACTCCCCCCTTTTATAAGTTTGACTTTTTAATTGTAGTTTTTAAAACATTTTGTTACATGGGTATGTTGTGTAGTGATGAAGTCTGGGCTTTTAGTGTAGCCATCATCCAATATTGCGCACTGTACCCATTAAGTAATTTATCATCTTTCACCAACCCCCACCCTTCTGAGTCTTCAATGTCTATTATTCCACATGGTATGTATACATGTACACATTATTTAGCTTCAAGTTATAAATGAGTGCATGTGGTATTTGACTTTCTGTTTCTGAGTGGTTTTAAGATAATGGCTTCCAGTTCCATCCATATTGCTGAAAAATACATGATTTCTTTCTGTTTTTATGGCTGAGTAGTATCCCAGTGTATATAAACCATACTATCTTCTTTCCTTTCTCTTTCTCTTTCTTTTTCTCTCTCCCTTCCTTTCCCTCCCTCCCTTTCTTCTTTTTTTCTTTTTTCTTTCTTTCTCTTTCTTTCTTCTATCTTTCCATTCTCTTCTCTCTTTCTCTCTCTTTTTCTCTTCCTTCCTCCCTTCCTCCTTCTCTCCCTCCCTCCCTTCCTCCTTCTCTCCCTCCCTCCCTTCCTCTCTTCCTCTTTCTTTCTCTTTTTCCTTCCTTCCTTCCATTCCTCCCTCCCTCCCTTCTTCCTTCCTTCTTTCCCTCCCTCCCTCCTTCCTTTCCTCCTTCCCTTCTTCCCTCTTTCTTTCCTTCCTTCCTTCCCCATACCCCCTCCCCCTCCCTCCTCCTCCATCCATCCTCCTCCTCCTCCTCCTTCTCCTTCTTCTTCTTTTTTCTCTCTCTCTATTTCCTTTCTTTTTGAGACAAGGTTTCTTTCTCTGTCACCCTAGGAGGGTGTGCAGTAGTGCAATCATAGCTCACTACAGCTTCACACTCCTGGGTTCAAGCAATCCTTTTGCCTTGGCCTCCCAAAGTGTTGTGATTACAGGCAAAAGCCATCTGCCTGACCCTAAACCACGTTTTCTTTATCCATTATCTGTTGATGGACACATAGGTTGATTCTAAATCTTTGCTAACATGAAGAGTGCTGACATAGACATACACGTACAGGTACCTTTTTCATATAATGATCTTTTTTTCTTTCGGTGAGTACCCACTAATGGGATTGCTGGTTTAAACGGTAATTTTATTTTTAGTTCTTTGAGTAATCTCTATACTGTTTTCCTAAAGGTTGTACTAATTTACATTCCCACCAAGAGTATATAAGCATTTTCTTTTTTAACACATCCACACCATCTATCATTTTTCAACTTTTTAAATAATGGTCATTCTGGCTGGAATAAGATGACGTTTCACTGTGGCCCAGTTTTACTCTTCTGCATATGGAAATCCAACTTTTCCTTTCTTTATTCTATTCCATTGATCTATATGTATATTTTGTTCTAGTATCCTACAATTTTTTCTGTTCCATTGGTCTCTATGTCTGTTTTTATGTCTGTACTATGCTGTTTTCATTACTATAGCTTTGTAATATATTTTGGGGTCAGGTAATGGGACACCTCTGGCTTTGTTACTTTTGCTGAAGACTTCTTTGGCTAGTTGGAGCATTTTGTAGTTCTATGTACATTTAAACTTTTTTTTTTTATTTGTGTGACAAATAACTTTGGAATTTTGAAAGGAATTTCATAGAACCTGTAGACTACTTTGGATAGTATGGACATTTTACCAACACAAATTCTTCTAATCCATGAACATGAGATATCTATTTATTTGTGTCTTCTTCAATTTATTTCTTCAATGTTTTACAGTTTTCAATGTGTAAATTGGTTAAATTTCATCTTGGTTAAATTTATTCCTAAATATTTTATAATTTTTTATGCTTTTGTGAATGGAATTACTTTTTAAATTTTTTTCGTGTGGGCATAGTGGGTGTATATATTTATGGATTACAGAGGATATTTCGATACCGATGTGTAATGTGTAATAATCACATTAGAGTAAATGAGGTATCTAACACTTCAAGCATTTATTCCTTGTGTTAAAAACAATCCAATTATACTCTTTTAGTTATTTTTAAATGTGCAACTAAATTTTTTTTACTGTATTCACCCTGCTGTGCTAGTAAATACCGGGTTTTATTCATTCTTTCTCTTTTTCGTAGGCATTAACCATCCCCACATCCTCCTCAACCCCCCACAACCCATCCCAGCCTCTAATAATCATTTTTTTAGTCTCTATATCCTTGAGTTCAATCTTTTAATTTTTAGCTCTCAAAGAATAAGAACATGCAAAATTTGTCTTTTTGTTCCTGGCTTACTTCACTGAATAATTAATGTCTTCCAGTTTCATCCATGTTGTTGAAAATGGTAGAATCTCATTTTTTTTTAATGGCTGAAAATACTCCATTGTGTATATGTACCATATTTGGATAAAAGCCATTTTAACTGAGGTGAGATTATATCGCATTGTAGTTTTGATTTTCATTTCTCTGATGACCTATGATGTTGAGCACCTTTTCAAATACCTGTTTGCCATTTGTATGTCTTCTTTTGAGAAATGTCTATTCAAAATTTTGCTCCTTTTTAAATTGGATTATTGCATTTTTTCCCTATGGAGTTAAAGTTGTTTAAGTTCCTTATATATTCCAGCCATTAATCCCCTGTAAGATGAGTAATTTGCAAATATTTTCTCTTATTCTATAAGTTGTTCTTTTTTTCACTTTGTTGATTGTTTCCTTTGCTGTGCAGAAGATTTTTTGACTTGTTGTGATCCCATTTGTCCATTTACACTTTGGTTGAAAATGATCCATGTGCAGAGGAAAATAAAGTGTGTTCTGCAGTCATTTTATGAAATGTGGGTAAACATTTATTAGATCCATAAATGGGATTTCTTAGCTTCATTTTGGGATAGTTTATTATTAGCATACGGAAACTATTGATTTTTTATGCTGATTTTGTATCCTGCAACTTTACTGAAGCTGTTTATTAATTGTAGCACTTTTTTGGTGGAGTCTTTAGGGTTTTCTGTATATAGGACCATGTCATCTGCAAACAGACAATTTTACTTCCATTTTTATTTAGATGACTTTTATTTCTTTTTCCTGTGTAATTGCTCCCACTAGGACTTCCAGTACCATGTTGAACAGAATTGGTGAAAGTGGACATTCTTGTCTTGTTCCTGATCGTATCAGAAAAGCTTTCAGTTTTTTTACTGTAGAGTGTGATATTAGCTGTGAGTTGTCATATATGGCTCTCATTATGCTGAGGTTCATTCCACTTCTATACATAATTTCTTGTGAATTTTTATCATAAATGGATGTTAAATTTTGTCAAATTCTTTCTCTACATCTATTGAGATGATCCTATAATTTTAATGCTTTATTTTGTTAATGTGTACTTCACATTTATTGATTTGCATATATTGACCCATCCTTGCATCCCAGGGATAAATCTTAACTTGGTCGTAGTGTATGATTCTTTAAATGTGCTGTTAAACTGAGCTTGCTAGTATTTTGTGTTTTTTGCATTTATGTCCATCATGGATATTGGCTGGTAATTCTCTTTTCTTGCAGTTTACTTGTCTGGGTTTGACACATGGTAATGTTGGGCTTATAACATGAATTTGGAAGTGTTTCCTAATCTTCAATATTTTGGAAGAAATTAAGAATGATTGGCATTAATTATTATCAAAAATATTTGGTAGAATTCACCAGTAAAGCCACCTAGTCTTGGATTTTCTTTGCATGTTTGTGATTACTGACGCAATCTCCTTACTCATTATTTATCTGTTCAGATTTTCTATTTCTTCATGATTCAGTCTTGGTAGGTTGCACATTTCTAGGAATGTATTTACTCCCTGTAGGTTACTTTTCACTTTCAAGTGTGCTTAATTATCTGAAATAAAAAATGAGGATTGTGTTTGTTGATATTTCTGAAATTAAATTAATTTCTTCTTTATAAACTGGATTTCTTTGGTAATTCTTCCAGTTTTTATATTATGCTTTATCAACAGTAATCGCTTTTTGATGATATTCAGTGTGAAACATTTTTCTCTACATATGAAGGCTCATGTGAAGAAATATATCTGATTAATTTTAGAGTGTTTAAGAAACATGTAATCACATACTGTTTTCCTCAGATTAATTTTCATTCTTTTCAAGCTTCTAATTCTCAGAATTATAACCATCATATAGACATGACTTCGATGAATAAATAGACAATAAAAATTTCCTTTTAACAAGTCATTTCTCAATTTATTGTTGATTCTAAATAGCCTTGGTCTAATTCAATGAGTAAGTGACTCATTTGCTTATTTCTGGCAAACAAGTCTGAAATTCTGTTTCTTTTTTTTTTTTTTTTTTTTTTTTTTTGAGACGGAGTCCCGCTGTTTAGCCCAGGCCGGATTGCAGTGGCGCAATCTCGGCTCACTGCAAGCTCCGCCTCCCAGGTTCACGCCATTCTCCTGCCTCAGCCTCCCGAGTAGCTGGGACTACAGGCACCCGCCACCGTGCCCGGCTAATTTTTTGTATTTTTAGTAGAGACGGGGTTTCACCGTGTTAGCCAAGATGGTCTCGATCTCCTGACCTTGTGATCCGCCCGCCTCGGCCTCCCAAAGTGCTGAGATTACAGGCGTGAGCCACCGTGCCCAGCCTCTGTTTCTTATTTGACTATAGGTGTCAGTGAAAAAAAAGGAGAGAAAAATGCTTTGTTACAATTAAAATAACAAATTACATTTTAGCCAGAACACTCAAAATAAAATGATCTGTGCTGGTTCAACTTATGATTTTTCAACTTTACAGTGGTGTGAAAGTGATGCACATCCAGTAGAAACTGTACTTTGAGTACCTATACAGCCATTCTGTTTATCACTTTCAGTACAGAATTTAATAAATTACATAAGAGATTCAACATTTTATTATAAAATAGGCTTAGGGTTAGATAATTTTGCTCAACTGTAGGCTAATGTGTTTTAAGCATGTTTAAGGTAGGCTAGGCTAAGGTATGATGTTGTCAAGGAGCATCTATATTACGATTTAATTAAAGATAGTACACAGAATTTTTCTTCCTCAACATAATTTTTATTTGATTAAGTTCTATTACCCAGTCTATGCAAATAAACTAGAAAATCTAGAAGATACAAATATCTAGAAGAAATGGATAAATTCCTGGACACATACATCCTCCCAAGACTAAACCAGGAAGAATTCAAACCCCTGAGTACACCAATAACAAGTTCTGAAGTTGGGGCGGTAATGAATAGCCTACCAACCAAAAAAAGCCCAGGACCAGAAGAATTCACAGCCAAATTCTACCAGAGGTAAAAAGAGGAGCTGGGGCCATTCCTTCTGAAACTATTCTGAATAGTAGAAAAAGAGGGACTCCCCCAGTCTATTTGCTTACCAGTTTAAAATGGTTTTATGCTTTCATTTTTTGGTATTTTATATATATATATATATAAAATTCTTGTCATTGGACTAGAAATCAGTAGTCATAAAATTATGCTAATAAGATCACTGAAATATTTACTGTATGGGATATACATTTGAAACATATGTAAGAATCTGAGTTCATAAATACTTCTAGTCCAGTTAAATCTTTGGGCAATGCTACATTAATAGTACTGGTTTAAAAATATCTATACGTCCTTTCCCTAATTTTGTCAACTCTGGAATAAAATGCAAGAATGGTATGTTAATTTTTGTAATGCTTAATTTTATTTTTCTTATAGAAAATCTCATTATTTTGAGCTTTCTAAATTTCCTATATTGTTTTTGAGGGGTCATATAGTCATCATTGTTTCCACAAATTATTTAAAATTATGACAATACAGTCAGATTTAGGATTCAATACTAATATTGTTTGGAAGTGTTGCCTTCTGTGACCATCAGTTAAAGTTGAATATCATGTGGAATCTTTTCCTCCACCTACGCTATTTGAGTGTTGTAGACTCTTGCCATTTCAGTCCATAAGTCACCTCAACTGCTAATTGTCAGGCCCTCTGTTTCTTTGCCTGAAGGTTTTCTCTTGTCACTGGAGCCTGTTTTGCCACACATGTAGCTGGCTGGAAGAGTCAGGGAATTGATGCTCTCTGGGAAAAGCCTTCATTCAATGTCTGACAGGAATTGACGAAAAAACATTCCTGGGCCCAACAGGAACAGCTCCGGTCTGCAGCTCCCAGCAAGACTAATGCAGAAGGTGGGTGATTTCTGCATTTTCAACTGAGGTACCTGGATCAACTCACTGGGACTGGTTAGACAGTGAGTGCAGCCCATGGAGGGCAAGCAGAAGCAGGGTTGGATGTCACCTCACCTGGGAAGCACAAGGGGTCAGGGAACTCCATCCCCTAGCCAAGGGAAGCCTTGAGGGACCCTGACTTGATGTCCGGCCCAGGTACTACACTTTTCCCATAGTCTTCACAACCCATAGACCAGGAGATTCCCTCAGATGCCTACACAACAAAGGCTCTGGGTTTCAAGCACAAAACTGGGCAGCCATTTTGGCAGACACTGAGCTAGCTGCAGGAGTTTTTTTTCATACCTCAGTGGCACCTGGAATGCCAGTGAGATAGAACCATTCACTCCCCTGGAAAGGGGGCTGAAGACAGGGAGCCAAGTGGTCTTGCTCAGCAGATCCCACCCCCAAGGAGCCCTGCAAGCTAAGATGCACTGGATTGAAATTCTTGCTGACAGCACAGCAGTCTGAAGTCAACCTGGGATGCTCCAGCTTGGTGGGGGAGGGGCATCCAACATTACTAAGACTTGTGTAGGCGATTTTCCCCTCACAGTGTAAACAAAGCCACCTGGAAGTTCAGGCTGGGTGGAGCCCCACCTCAGTGCCACAAAGCTGCTGTAGCCAGACTGACTCTCTAGATTCCTCCACTCTGGGCAGGGCACCTCTGAAAGAAGGGCAGCAGCCCTAGTCAGGGGCTTATAGATAAAACTCCTATCTCCCTGGGACAGAGCACCTGGGTGAAGGGGTGGCTGTTGGTGCAGCTTCAGCAGATGTAAATGTTCCTGCCTGCCTGCTCTGAAGAGAGCAGCAAACTCCCAGCACAGCTCTCAAGTTCTGCTAAGGGAGAGACTGCCTCCTCAAGTGGGTCACTGACCCCTGCTTCCTGATGGGGAGGCACCTCCCAGGAGGGGTCAACAGACACATCATACAGGAGAGCTTCAGCTGTCATCTCATGGGTGCCCCTCTGGGATAAAGCTTCCAGAAGAAGAAGCAGGAAGCAGTCTTTGCTGTTCTGCAGCCTCTGCTGGTGATACCCAGGCAAGCAGGGTCTGGAGTGGACCTCCAGCAAACTCCAGCAGTCCTGCAGAAGAGGGGCCTGACTGTTGGAAGGAAAACTAACAAATAGAAAGCAATAGCATCAACATCAACAAAAAGGACGACCATGCAAAAACTCCATCCAAAGGTCACCAACAGCAAAGAGCAAAGGTAGATAAATCCACAGAGATGAAGAAAAACCAGGGCAAAGAGGCTGAAAATTCCAAAATCCAGAATGCTTTTTCTCCAAATGATCACAACTCCTTGCCAACAAGGGAACAAAACTGGATGGAGAATGAATTTGACGAATTGACAGAAGTAGGCTTCAGAAGGTGGGTAATAACAAATTCCTCTGAGCTAAAGGAACATATTCTAACTCAATGGAAGAAAGCTAAGAACCTTGATAAAAGTTTAGAGGAAGTGCTAACTTCCTCTAAGTTTAGAGAAGAACATGAATGACCTGATGGAGCTGAAAAATACAGCACAAGAACTTCATGAAACATATACAAGTATCAATAGCTGAATCAATCAAGGGGAAGAAAGGATATCAGAGATTGAAGATCAACTTAATGAAATAAAGCATGAAGACAAGATTAGAGAAAAAAGAATAGAAAGGAATGAACAAAGCCTTCAAGAAATATGGGACTATGTGAAAAGAGGAAACCTATGTTTGATTACTGTACCTGAAAGTGACCGGGAGAATGGACCCAAGTTGGAAAACATGCTTCACGATATTATCCAGGAGAACTTCCCAGACCTAGCAAGATAGGCCAACATTCAAATTCAGGAAATACAGAGAACACCAGAAACATACTCCTCGAGAAGAGCAACCCCAAGACACATAATCATCAAATTCACCAAGGTTGAAATGAAGGAAAAAATGTAAAGGACAGCCAGAGAAAAAGGTCAGGATATCCACAAAGGGAAGCCCATCAGACTAATAGTGGATCTCTCTGTAGAAGCCCTGCAAGCCAGAAGAGAGTGAGGGCCAATATTCAACATTCTTAAAGAAAAAAATTTTCAACCCAGAATTTCATATCCAGCCAAACTAAGCTTCATAAGTGAAGGAGAAATAAAATCCTTTACAGAAAAGCAAATGCTGAGAGATTTTGTCACCACCAGGCCTGCCTTACAAGAGTTCCTGAAGGAAGCAGTAAATATGGAAGGGAAAAACTGGTACCAGCCACTGCAAAAACAAACCAAAATGTAAAGACCATCAACAGTATGAAGAAACTGGATCAACTAATGGGCAAAATAACCAGCTAGCATCATAATGACAAGATAAACTTCACACATAACAATATTAACCTTAAATGTAAATGGGCTAAATACCCCAATTAAAAGACACACTGACAAATTGGATAAAGAGTCAAGACCCATCAGTGTGCTGTATTCAGGAGACCCAGCTCACATGCAAAGATGCACATAGGCTCAAAATAAAGGGATGGAGGAAGATCTATCAAGCAAACGGAAAGCAAAAAAAAGCAGGGGTTGCAATTCTAGTCTCTGATAAAATAGACTTTAAACCAACAAAGATCAAAAAAGACAAAGAAGGACGTTACATAATGGTAAAGGGATGAATGTCACAAGAAGAGGTAACTACTGTAAACATATATGCACCCAATACAGGAGCACCCAGATTCATAAAGCAAGTTCTTAGAGACCTACATAGAGACTTAGACTCCCACACAATAACAGTGGGAGACTTTAAAACCTCACTGTCAATATTAGACAGATTGAGACAGAAAATTAGCAAGGATATTCAGGACTTGAACTCAGCTCTAGACCAAGTGGACCTAATAGACATCTAAAGAACTGTCCACTGCAAATCAACAGAATACACATTCTTCTCAGCACCACATAGCACTTATTCTAAAACTGACCACATAATTGCAAGTAATACACTCCTCAGCAAATGCAAGAGAACAGAAATCATAACAAACTATCTCTCAGACCACAGTGCAATCAAATTAGAACTCAGGATTAAGAAATTCACTCACAATCACACAACTACATGGAAACTGAACAACTTGCTCCTGAATGACTACTGGGTAAATAACAAAATTAAGACATAAATAAATAAGTTAGTTGAAACCAGGGAGAACAAAGACGCAATGTACCAGAATCTCTGGGACATAGCTAAAGGAGAGTTTAAAGGGAAATTTATAGCACTAAATGCCCACAGGAGAAAGCAGCAAAGATCGAAAATCAACACTGTAACATCACAATTAAAAGAACTAGCGAAGCAAGAGCAAACAAATTCAAAAGCTAGCAGAAGACAAGAAATAACTAAGATCAGAGCAGAACTGAAAGAGATAGAAACACAAAAAAACCTTCAAAAAAATCAGTGAATCCAGGATCTGGTTTTTTTTTTAAAAAAGATTAACAAAATAGATAAACTGCTAGCCAGACTAATAAAGAAGAAAATAGAGAAGAATCATATAGACACTACAAAAAATGATAAAGGGGAGATCACCACTGATCTCACAGAAATACAAACTACCATCAGAAAATACACGTCTATGCAAATAAACTAGAAAATCTAGAAGAAATGGATAAATTCCTGGACACATACATCCTCCCAAGACTAAACCAGGAAGAACTCAAACCCCTGAGTAGACCAATAACAAGTTCTGAAGTTGGGGCAGTAATGAATAGCCTACCAACCAAAAAAAGCCCAGGACCAGAAGAATTCACAGCCAAATTCTACCAGAGGTAAAAAGAGGAGCTGGGGCCATTCCTTCTGAAACTATTCCGAATAGTAGAAAAAGAGGGACTCCCCCTAACTCATTTTATGAGGCCAGCATCATCCTGATACCAAAACATGGCAGAGACACAACAAAAAAAGAAAATTTCTGGACAATATCCGTGATGAACATTGAGGTGAAAATCTTCAATAAAATACTGACAAACTGAATCCAGCAGCACATTAAAAAGCTTATCCACCACAACCAAGTTGGCTTCATCCCTGGGATGCAAGGCTGGTTTAACATACCCAAATCAGTAAATGTAATCCATCACATAAACAGAACCAATGACAAAAACCACATGATTATCTCAATAGATACAGAAAAGGCCTTCAATAAAATTCAACACCCATTCATGCTAAAAACACTCAATAAACTAGGTATTGGTGGAACATATTTCAAAATAATAAGAGCTATTTATTACAAACCCACAGCCAATATCATACTGAATGGGCAAAAGCTGGAAGCATTCCCTTTGAAAACTGGCACAAGACAAGGATGCCGTCTCTCACCACTCCTATTCAACATAGTATTGGAAGTTCTGACCAGGTCTATCAGGCAAGAGAAAGAAATAAAGTGTATTCAAATAGGAAAAGAGGAAGTAAAATTATTTCTGTTTGCAGATGACATGATTGTATATTTAGAAAACTCCGTCATCTCACCCCAAAATCTCCTTAAGCTGATAAGCAACTTCAGCAAAGTCTCAGGATACAAAATCAATGTGCAAAAATCACTAGCATTCCTAGACACCAATAACAGACAAACAGAGAGCCAAAACATGAGTGAACTCCCATTCACAATTGCTACAAAGAGAATAAAATACCTATGAATAAAATTTACAAGAGACGTGAAGGACCTCTTCAAGGAAAACTACAAACCACTGCTCAAGGAAATAAGAGAGGACACAAACAAATGGAAAAACGTTCTTGCTCATGGATAGGAAGAATCAATATCATGAAAATGGCCATACTGGCCAAAGTGATTTATAGATTCAATGCCATCCCCACCAAGCTACCATTGACTTTCTTCACAGAATTAGAAAAAACTACTTTAAATTTCATGTGAAACCAAAAAAGAGCCCCTATAGCCAAGCCAATCCTAAGCAAATAGAACAAAGCTGGAGGCATCATGCTACCCAACTTCAAACTACACTACAAGGCTACCATAACCAAAACAGCATGGTACTGGTACTAAAACAGATATATAGACCAATGGAACAGAACAGAGGCCTCAGAAATAACACCACACATCTACACGCAACTGATCTTTGACAAACCTGAGAAAAACAAGCAATGGGGAAAGAATTCCCTATTTAATAAATGGTGTTGGGAAAACTGGCTAGTCATATGTGGAAAACTGAAACTGGACCCTTTCCTTACACCTTACAAAAATTAACTCAAGATGGATTAAAGATTTAAATGTAAGACCTAAAACCATAAAAACCCTAGAAGAAAACCTAGGTAATACCATTCAGGACAAAGGCATGGGCAAATACTTCATGTCCAAAATACCAAAAGCAATTGTAACGAAAGCCAAAATTGACAAATGGAATCTAATTAAACCAAAGCACTTCTGCACAGCAAAACAAACTATCATCAGAGTGTACAGGCAACCTACAGAATGGGATAAAAGTTTTGCAATCTATTCATCTGACAAAGAGCTAATATCCAGAAATCTACAAGGAACTTAAACAAATTTACAGGAAAAAAACAATGCCATCAAAAAGTGGGTAAAGAACGTGAACAGACATTTTTCAAAAGAAGACATTTATGCACCAACAAACATGTGAAAAAAAGCTCATCATCATTGGTCATTAGAGAAATGCAAATCAAAACCACAATGAGATACCATCTCACGCCAGTTAGAATGGTGATCATTAGAAAGTCAGGAAACAACAGATGCTGGAGAGGATGTGGACAAATAGGGATGCTTTTACACTGTTGATGGGAGTGTAAATTAGTTTAACCATTGTGCGAGACAGTGTGGCAATTCCTCAGGGATCTAGAACTAGAAATACCATTTGAAATACCCAGCCATCCCATTATGGGGTATATACCCAAAGGATTATAAATCATTCTACTATAAAGACACATGCACACGTATGTTTATTGCAGCACTGTTCACAATAACAAAGACTTGGAACCAACCCAAATGCCTAGCAATGTAAGGCTGGATAAAGAAAATGTGGCCCGTATATGCCATGGAATATTGTGCAGTCATAAAAAAGAATGAGTTCATATCCTTTGCAGGGACATGGATGAAGCTGGAAACCAGCTTTCTCAGCAAACTAATGCAAGAATAGAAAACCAAACACCACATGTTCTCACTCATAAGTGGGAGTTGAACATTGAAAACATATAGGCACAGGGAGGGGAACATCACACACTGGGGCCAGGCAGGGGTTGGGGGGCCAGGGGAGGGATAGCATTAGGATAAATACCTAATGTAGATGATGAGTTGATGGGTGCAGGAAACCACCATGGCACATGTATACCTGTGTAACAAACCTGCAAGTTCTGCACATGTATCCCAGAAGTTAAAGTATAATAATAATTTAAGTTGGTTTTAAGTTGGTTTAAAAGTAATTTTTATTTGGATACTTTCTACAGGAGATGAAAATTCATAAAGAGAGAAAACTGAAGTATTCAATCAGTCACAAAGCAAAGATTTGCTTACATTTTCTTGTCTATACCAAAACATAGTAAATTATAAATGAGAGTGTGGATTCAGTGTGATACATGAGTTGCTTATAATATGATTAAAATTTGTATATTTTAAAGCTGATATTTTATGTTCACATATTTTAAGAAGCTGAAGGTAAAAGCATATTCTCATTTTTAATCAAAGTAATCTTATAAACAATGAAGAGAAAAAAATTAGCTCAGCATAAAATTGTTCTTTAACAGAAACAGTGTATACCAGTGCATTCTGCCTAGAGAACAGATGTTCATATCTCATTACAACATTCTCATTTCCTGAGAACTTTTTAACTTACTGTGTTTTTGATATGAATTTTTTCATGTTATTGAATCATCTTTAATAAAACTTCCTGGCTTCTGCAAAAGATAAAATTTGTAATAATTGTTTATTTTCTTCATTTGAAAACTATTGTCTGACAGATTAATTATGTAAACAAGACTGCAATCATTTCTGGTCCTGAGGCATCTACAACTTATATGTTGCTGTAATAACAAATCTCCTCTGATAACTTTTTGATATTGCCTTTTAAAAATCAGGCCTTGAACTGAAAAGAAAGCTGGGTAGCGCCAAAGGCTCAGTTAGTAACATGTACCTGTGAGACATGGCACTCATGAACAAGTAGGAATGGCAAAAAAAAAAAAGTAGATATGGAAAATATTTATATTATTGTTGAGGGCTGAATTGTGTCCTCCTCATATTTTTATTTTAAAGTCCTAACCACAGATGTCGTATTTGGAGATGGGGTTGTTGGGAGGTAATTGGGTTAGATGAGATCAGGAGTCTGGGGCCCTCATGATTGGTTAATGACCATGTGAAGACACAGGGAGAAGGTCTGCAACACAGAAAGAGGGCCCTTACTGGAACTGAATTGGCCAGCACCTTGATCTTTGACTTTCCATTTTCTAGAACCAGGAGATATAGGCGTTGCTTCCATCATCCAGTCTGTGGTATTTCGTTATAGCAGCTCAAGCTGACTAATCCAGATTTTGGTACTGAGATGTGCAGTGCTGCTTCAGCAAATACCCAATCACGGGGAAGTGGCTTTAGAACTGGGCCGTTGGTAGAGATTGGAAGAGTTTTGACGTGCATGGCAGAAATATGCATGTTAAAACTGATTCTGGTGAGTTCTCAGAAGAAAACGAGGAACAGGTTATTGAAAACTAGATAAAAGGTGACATTGTTATAAAGTGGCAAATAACTTGGCTGAACGGTGTTCTACAGTTTTATAAAAGCTAAGACTTGTGAGTGATGAAGTCAGATATTTAGCTAAGACTATTTCTAAACCAATTGTTGACGGAGTGACCTTGTTCCTTTTGAGTGCTGATAGTAAAATGGCAAAAGAGAGAGATAAATTGAAGAAGAAACTGTAAAGCAAAAAGGACTCAGAAGTTGAAGACTTGGAAAACTCTCAGCATGATGCAAAAAATAAGAACGTTTGTTCTGAAGAGAGCGGTAAGGGTATGGCTGAAGAAGGATTTGATAAAGAGATCATTAGTGTGACCCATGGATTAAATCAGCCATTTCAACAAAAGCCAAGAATAGAGATGGGGTCATACCAGCAAAGACACTACTAGTTTGAATTAAGGGGAAAAACAGAGACTAAATGAAATAAGAATGACAGACTTCTTCTATTCCATAGCCTACACCATAGAGCTCTTCGGCTGAGAACATGTGCTATTCTTAAAGAAAAGAAGTGTCCTAAAGGTGTAATACATTAGGGCTAATGCCATAGTTTCAACAAGCCAAACAGCCTCTAGCAGAAGCCTTGGAGATGAGGCTTCCCAGAGCTTTGGGAAAACAACCCTTGCCCTGCAGAGCTGTGGAGGTGAGACTGCTGGCTGCCTCAGTGGGTCCAGAGGTAGAGTATCCAAGCAAAGAAGATTGTTTTTGAACCTTAAGATATAGTGGGATTTATCTTGCTAAGATTTAGACTTGCTTGGGAATTATCAACCTTTTCTTTTTCCCTTTTTATCACTTTCGGAATGGGAACATCTAACTGCCCCTGCCCCACAATTATATTTGGAAAGCAGATAACTTGTCTGGTTTCACATGCTCCACACTGGAGAGAAGTTTTGCCTTAGGATGAATCATACCTAGAGTCTTACTCATATATGATTTGGATAATATTTAGGGAAAAAAAAAGGACTTTAAAAGAGTTGATGCTGGAATGGGTTAAGACTTTGAGGCTATTGGGATGGAATGAATGTACTTTGCATATAAGAAAAATATCAATTTTGAGGGGCTGGGACAGAATGCTAGAGACTGAATTGTGTGCCCCCCAAATTCATACACTGAGTCACTAATAACCAATAGAGCCTCTGGAAGTAATTAGGGTTAGAGGAGATCACGAGAATGAGGCCCTCATAATGGGATTTGTGGCATTATAAGAGACATACAGACAGATAACTCTCTTTTCTACCATCTGAGAACACAGTCAGAAGGCCATCTGCAAACCAGGAAGAGAGCCTTCACCAGGAGCCAAGTTAACTGGACCTTGACCTTGGAATTCCAAGCTCCCAATACTATGAGAAATAAATGTGTTGTTTAAACCATCTGGTCTATAAGTATTTTATTATAGCAGGCTGAGCAGGCTGATATAATTTTCCATATTTATCCATAAAGTAGCTCAACAAGGCAATGAAAAGTCTTTTTATCCAGACCATAATTATAATGTGGACATAATTAGACATAATTATGTTTAAGTTATAGTTTACAATTCATCATAACTCACTGCAGACTCTAGCAAAGTATTTGTCAGCATAAGTTTTAAGAAAGTTTTGTTTCTAGGAATAAAATACACTTGTCAGTGTTGAAAATCTTAACATGTGTTGTAAAATAGATTAGAAGGTCTGGGAAATTTGCAAATGCCCTCACTGGTCATAATATTTTCTGAATCTCAAGGTAACCATTGATTGATTACATATAATATAGTTGTGTATTACGCCACAAGTAGAGATTTTACTCCATCCTGACCCTGCATAGGTGGTTAGCATTATTCTCTTATTTATCTAAAGTTCCTGCCACAAGTTACAAAGCAGAGGTTGGATCTCCTAGGAGAAATAATAAATAAAGCTCGTTTCTCATAATCTTGGTAGAAAAGGTTGTAATGAGCACTCTTGATTGTTGATGCAGAGTTATGGAGAGTCATGAGCTCAGGTTCTCGGCACCAAGATGACATGGTCTATGAAAACAGATGTCTCTCATATATAACTGAGTCAGGATTTCCATGTTTATTGATGAAGCAGATGATTTCATGAAGCAAACTGCTGACTCAGGACCAAAACAAGAGTTAGTTATGTGGGCCCAAATGAAACTAAAGAGGGGAGATTAACTTCAATGATTTGTCTTGAAATATTGTTCTTTTAAATGTTCTATTTTCTGATAGACCTGGGTAAAAATTGCTTTTATCTTTTTTGTCTAATGATCAATTTTAAAAGACTTAAGGAGGAAAATTAGAATGACAGAACTTTTTAATGGCATCTTGCTCTAACTGATATATCAAAGTTCATGAAAAATATCTTGTGAAAAATCAAGTATGTTTTGTCAGTTAATAAATTAACAATACCTAAGGAAGATGGTTCTTTAAAAAATGACACATATTGATAAATATTGTCTGATAAATGGTCAAATATTAACCCAAGTGATTTTTTGGTCTAATTTTGCATCCTAATTGGATAGGTTAAAAAATATTTTTTCAACCATATCCATGACAGATATGTCAAATTTAAGGGAAAATACCACTTGATTAGGTAGGACAATCCATAATTAAAGACATAAAGGCTATGTTTTGCATATGGATATCATGACTCAAAACTCCTTCCATTTATGGAGGGAGGAATTTTGAGTCACAATCTCCATATACAAAACATAGTGGAATTCCATAATTTCCATATACGAAACATTTATGGAATTCCTCCTTATAGAAAGCATAGTCTGCTGCTGCTGTGAGGCTTCTGAAATCAGCCTTAGAAGTGGAATACAATGCCATTTCTTGGCAAGTACGTTGGTGAATTTGCAGATTCTGATTTTCAGACTTGGAATAGATGACAAGAAAAGGACAATGAACTTATGCTTCCCATGAGAGAGAGAGTAAGTAACTCTAGATGCTTTAAAAATCCTCCAGGCTTAGTATATTATAGTTCCAGTTTTGTTAAACATAATATGAGGATATTATTATACATTTGCCCACATCATCATCTGTTGCCCTTCTACAAATAAAATAGACAAAATAGAACATGTTATCAAATTAATGGTTCTGGTTCAGGAAAGTTGCTATTTAATTTAATACATACTGCAGTAGATGACTACTACAAGGTATTAGAAGGGCCAATCTGATATCTTGACCTTAGTCTCATAGTCTCATCACAGACTTTGGCTACAGGAACACAAAAAATAGGTCAGAAAAAGCTCATAATTCTCAGCGTCTGAGGTAACCAGTGAAACTTCCTGAAGGCCATGAAAATTAGAGCATTCCCAAAACCCTAAATTATGAGATGGGCCTTCTAAGAAGAAAGCACCTTTTTCATTAACATTGGCTCAAGCTTATCCTAATGGAATTATTGTTGATGATATAATAATTTGAACTATAAATACCACTTTCACTCTTTATTCTGGGAACCAGTTCTGAAAGCTGATTCCCTTGCATATGCCTTCCTGTAACTAGAAAACTCACTCATTGCTCAAAATTTATCTACAAACTGCTTTTTTGAACATATGTAATATGCTATCACATGTCAGAGAGTAGGATATTGGTAAATACCTGAGACAGATCACAGAATTTTCCAATCCAGGAAAAATCTCAAACATGCCAAGATCCTATGTATATGGAAGGTTTGTCATTTACAATCTTACTTTATGCTGGTTAGAGGATTAATTTCACTCAGTAGAGGTTAAATGGACACTGATTTTATTCCAATAATTTGTTATTCAGAGAAGGGTCAGAGGAAGAGACTCCTGTTTTACTAAGTAGGAAATTCAAAGGAAACACCACTTTTCCTCTTCATTCAGGAACGTCAATGAATATCTACATATTTGTATCTGACAGCAAATATCATTGACTTACTTTTTAATGGCTAGTGGCTTCATTAAACAGCATACAGACACAACTTGTTTCATTGTGCTTCATTTTATTGAACTTCACAGATATGACATTTTTTTATGATTTACAGGTTTGTGGAAACCCGCTGTTCAGCAAGACCATTTGCATCAATTTTCCACAAGCATGCACTTACTTCCTGTCTTTGAGGAACATTTTGGTAATTCTCATAATATTTGAACTTTTTCATTGTAATTACATCTGTTATAATGATCAGTGATGAGTGATGTTTGAAGTTACTAGTGTAAACTGTTTTTGGACACCATAAACTGTGCTCATGTAAGATGGCAAACCTAATCAATAGGGTGTGTGTTTTGACTACTCCGATCTACCTCTCCTTGGGCCTCCATATTCTCTCAGACACAAGAATATTGAAATTAGGCCAATTAGTAACCCTATGATGGTGTCTACATGTTCAAGTGAAAGGAAGAGTTGCATGTTTCTCACTTTAAAAGGTAGAAATGGTTAAGCTTAATGAGAAAGTCATGTCCAAAGCTGAGACAGGCTGAAATCTAGGCCTCTTGCACCAGTTAGAAAAATTTTGAATGCAAAGGAAAGCTTCCAAGGGAAATTAAAAGTGCTATTTCACACAAAAAAATTATAAGAAAGTGAAACATCATTATTGTTGATGTGGGGAAAGTTTTAGTGGTCTGGATAGAAGATCAAACCCACCACAACTTTCCCTTCAGCCAAAGTCTAATCCAGAGCAAGATCCTAACTCTATTCAATTCTATGAAGGCTGAGAGATGTGAGGAAGCTACAGAAGAAAAGCTAGCAGAGGTTGGTACATGATGTTTAAGAAAAGAAGTTGTCTCCATAATATTAAAGTGCAAGGTTGAAGCAACAAGTGCTGACGGTGAAGCTGTAGCATCAGAAGGTCTAGCTAAGATCATTGATGAAGGTGGCTGCACTAAAACAATAGATTTTCAATGTAGATGAAAAGTCTGGCTTCAAAGCTTCAAAGGACTGGCTGACTTCCTGGTTAGGGGCTAATGGAGAAGAAGACTTTAAGTTGAAGCCAATGCTCTTCAAACTAACATTTTGAAAAAATATTTAAAAGACGTGAGAGATTTAACCATATGGCTTCTAAGGTGCAAAATAATTCAGGCAAAAGAAATAGCTAGAGAAATGTCCTAAGTTAGGAACATGATACTAGTTTTCAGTAAACAGCAAGATTACTACTGTGGTGGGGATAGCTTCAGTAAGAGCGAGGCCACTAGGAGAGAGGGTCAAAGACTGCCCTGGAAATCAATCAGGCATTTATGGTGAAATGGACGGTCATAATTGGTTGATATCTTAAAGGGCTGATTCCAGCTGATACGTTAAGATAATACAATTAGGAGGCTGGGCCGGGTGGCTCACGCCTGTAATCCCGGCACTTTGGGAGGCCGAGGCGGGCGGATCACGAGTTTAGGAGATCAAGACCCTCCTGAGCAACATGGTGAAGCCCCGTCTCTACTAAAAAAGGAAAGTACAAAAATTAGCTGGGTGTAGTGGTGCATGCCTGTAATCCCAGCTACTCAGGAGGCTGAGGCAGGAGAATTGCTTGAACCAGGGAGTCGGAGTTTGCAGTGAGCTGAGATCGTGCCACTGCACTCCAGTCTGGAGACAGAGCGAGACTCCGTCTCACAAAAAAAAAAAAAAAAAAAAAAGAAGAAGAAGAAAAAAAAGAAAAGAAAAGAAAATACAATTAGGAATAAGGAAAGCAGGGAAAACTTTTAAGAGAAAATGACAATAATGCAGACAGGGGGTGATGTGAGATGAGTCATGAACCATGGTGGGGTTATTGCAAGCAGGAAAAGAAAAAAATACATATACATACTTTGAGTTCAAATCATATAAATATATTTTTAAACATTTCACATGGAACATTTATATAGTCAATATTTATATTAAAGTTTAATTGCACAAATTGCAAAATAAATTATTTAAAATATAAGTAATATTCAAGAATTTTGTTTAAAGAGGAAACATAATTAAAAATTTTGTTATGTTAAAATAAGTAGTGAAATGACAACATCTCCAAATTCAGTAAAAGCTCTTTTCCAGGAAAAGACTGCTATATTAATAAAAATAGTAAGCATAAATTTACTAAGTAAAACATTCAAACTTAAAATTCTAAAAAATGAATACCAGAGTAAGAAAAGAAAGCAGATAAAGGCAACTAATACAAATAAAACAATTTAACAAGTTGGAAAACAAAAAGTGTAAATAAGCCAATAGTAAGTTTTTTGAAGAACAGGCAAGATAACAGTTAAAGTAAAGGAAAGTTAAAGTAAAGGAAAGCAAAAAATCTAAACCCCAGAAGGTAACAAATTAGTTTCATATTAGTAATAGCAAAATAAGTTAATGCACAGAGAGAAAGTGATTACTGTGCTCTACCATAAAAACCCCTGGCCCAGAAAAATTCATGCAGGAAGAATACCAAAGCTCAGACAATCCTAAAGCAATATAAGTTGTCCCACAGTATAGACAAGGAAGGAAAATATTCAAATATGATTTATGAAACGAGAATAACTGGAATCCTTACCCCCAACAAAGATTGCACTGAACAGGAAAGCTAAAGGCCAACCTAATTTATGATTAGTAATGCATAAATCTTAAGAAAATGGTAGCAAACAGAATCACTTAGCTCATTTAAAAGTGAAGCCATCATGACAAAGTGGGATTAATTCCAGGGATGCAAGGATGATTTCAATATTAGGAAATCTAAAAGCATAATTCACTGTATTGATAGAACTAAGGAGAAAAATTATACGATCACATCATTGATGCAGGAAAGGCATATAACAAAGTGCAACAGTCTTTGGGGATTAAAGAATAAATTAAAAAAGAAAATCATAGACACTTTCTTAATACAAAGTTTGTGTATAGAGGCCAACGGGTAAAAATGAACTAGTATTAAGGAAATATATAGCTTCTACAGCTAGAGCTTACAGTGTGAATGTGATGAAATGAAATTAGTTAGGTAGTCAGAGAAAGATCATACCGGGCTTTGCATGATATGTGAGAACATTTGGTTTTATCTTGGTGGTATTAGGAAGCCATAAATTATGGTTAGCAGGAGATTTGAATGAACAATTTGGGATTTTGTAGAGCTCACTGTTTCTGTATGTAGACTAGACAGGAGTAAAAGTGAGGTAGATTGGGAGGCTGGTGCAATTGTGTTGACCTGAATAATAAGTATCTTTAGGCAATGGAGTGTGGGTAGAACTCCTGAGCACACAGTAGGACTTTGACAAATACAGTCTGGAATTCACAGGCATTTAAAAAAAATAACTGGAGAATAATTTAATGGTCTGATAATTTTAAAATCCTTAAAGATCTTACAATAACTTGAGGTCAATGTTTTTGATTACAAAAATATTTTGTAATTACAGAAATTAATATAACATTGAGCAATAGGGAATTCATCTTACAACTTCTGTCTCTTTTATATTCCACTAAGGTGTAAGATATGTTTTTTGTTTTTGTTGATAGTTTCTTATTTTTTAAAGATGTTTTATTTGCATAGAGGTGTTTATACTATTCTCTGATGGTTGTTTGTATTTCTGTGGGTCAGTGGTGATATACACTTTATCATTTTTTATAGTGTCTGTTCGATTCTTCTCTTTATTCTGCTTTATTAGTCTAGCTAGAAGTCTATTTTATTAACCTTTTAAAAAAGCCAGCTCCTGGATTCATTGATTTTTTGAAGGGTTTTTCTGTCTCTATCTCCTTCAGTTCTGCTCTGATCTTGGTTATTTCTGGTCTTCTGCTAGCTTTGGGGTTGGTTTGCTCTTGGCTCTCTAGTTCATTTAGCTGTGATATTAGGTTGTCTATTTGAGATCTTTCTAGCTTTTTAATGTAGGCATTTAGTGCCATAAATTCCCCTCTTAACATTGCTTTAGCTGCATCTCACAGATTCTGGTACATTAAACAAAGAGACAAGCTAGATACTATCTCACACCAGTCAGAATGATGATTATTAGAATGTCAAGAAACAAAAGAGGCTAGCCAGGCTGTGGAGAAATAGGAACGTTTTAAAACTGTTGTTGGGAATGTAAATTAGTTCAACCATTGTGGAAGACAGTGCAGTGATTCCTCACAGACCTAGAACCAGAAATACCATTTGACCCAGCAATCCCATTACTGGATATATACCCAAAGGAATATAAATCATTCTATCATAAAGACACATCCACACATATGTTCGTTGCAGCACTAGTCACAATAGCAAAGACATGGAATCAACCCAAATGCCCATCGATGATAGACTGGATCAAGAAAATGTGGCACACATACACTATGGAATACAATGCAGCTATAAAAAGAAATGAGATCATGTCCTTTGCAGGGACATGGATGGAGCTGGAAGCCATTATCTTCAGCAAACTAACACAGGAACAGAAAACCAAACACCACATGTTCTCACGTATAAGTGGGAGCTGAATGATGAGAACACACGGACACATCATGGGGAACAACATAGACTGGGGCCTGGTAGTGGTGGTAGGGGGAAGGAGAGCACCTAGACAAATGGCTAAGGGATACTGGGCTTAATACCTAGATGATGAGTTGATAGGTGCAGCAAACCACCATGGCACATGTTTACCTATGTAACAAACCTGCACATTCTGCACATGTATCCCAAAACTTAAAATATAATTAAAGTAAATTTAAAAATATATATATATTTTAATGTAATTTTTTATTTGTGTGGTTTAAATAGGGGCAGAAACAACATATGAAAGAAGCTCTTTTAACAGAGATTATTGCACTTAGATATGCAAAAAACAAAATTTATAATGTGTGGGAAAAATCTTCTCAGGGGCACAGATTGTGCAACATGATTTTTCTCTAGCATTTGTACAGTGTTATTTTCTACATCCTGTATTTAATGACATGAAAGAAAGAAATCACATATGCAGTCGCATATATTTACATTTTTAAACTGTTCTTACCAGAGTTAGCATGTTGTCACTCTCCACTAAATAAATGATCTCATTTTTCTTTGATTATGAGCAATGTACATAATTTAAACTTCAATTTTCTCACTCTCTTAGTGGTTTCTACTATCATCAAAGTCTTTAAAGAATGCAATTAGAGACAAATACAAGAATGCTATGTCTCTTTAAATGATAAATATAGTAAATATACTGGAATTTTAAGCAGGGAACCATTGGATGTATGGAAGTGAGGCAGTTATATTGCGTCTTGAAAGACATGAAGTATTTGTCTAAACAGAGATTAACTGAATTCCGATCCTTTCGTTCAAGTCCAGCTTAAGTTATTCCAAAGATAAGTAAGATTTATTTTAAATCAAGTGCAAGTAAGGATCCCATTTTCTAATTAATATTTCTGATATTGAAGGTTTTATTATTCACATAGTCTCAGCAGCACAAAATTAACTGTTTATGAATGCTTGGGGCTTGTTACTACTGAATTATATTTTATGTATCAAGGCTCACCTTTTGATCATCGTTCTTTTTCGATTAATGAAAGAAATAACTTAGAGATCACCTAGTACCTCCAGCTCATGTTTTGAGAGGAAACAAGTTTAGGAGAGAGCTGGTGGCTAAGGCAGAAGCTCACAGTTTATTGAATCAAAACTGAGGATAGAACTGAGACAATACCAGGGTCTCTGGATTCCTACCTAGAAGTTCTCTTACTCCCCTTTCTTTCAGCCATCCATTTACACAGACCTTTGGTACTTTCTCAGAGATTTTAAAATTTGAACACAACTGTCAAAGAAGGCTATCTGAAATAGTGCAAAAACAATTTTTTTTTTAATAAATAGCTATGAGTTAGCAGAGGTTCATATCTGGCACACTGTGGGGATTCAAAAATACACTTTGAAACTTAATTTTATTGTTTTTCTAAGTGTGACTTTTGTGGTAGATCTTGTTTCAGTGAAGAAATATTTTGTAATTGGCAAATTGAAATACAGGCTTAAGCAGTTTTTCTTGGCCAATATTAATAGGAATTTGTATGTGCATGCAAATTATTAAGAAGTTTGAAAATTTGGTGTCTAAATTGTAAATAATGGGTATCAGTAAACATTTAAAATACACTTTTAGGGGCTCTGTGTGGTGGCTCATGCCTGTAATCCCAACGTTTTGGGAGGCCAAGGCAGGAGGATGACTTGAGGCCAGGAGTTCAAGACCAGCCTGGGCAACTTAGCTAGAGCCTATCTCTACAATAACAAACAAACAAAGAAGTAAATGCATACATAAATAAATACATACATACATAAAATTAGCCAGGCATGGTGGCACATGCCTGAGGTCTTAGCTACTCAGGAGACTGAGGTGGGAGGAGAACTTGAGCCATAAGTTTGAGGTTGCAGTGAGGTATGATTGTACCACTGCACTCCAGCCTAGACAGCAGAGCAAAACCCTGGCTCCTAAATTTTTTTTAAAAATAAATAAAATGCACTTTTAATATAGAATCTTGTCAACACTTGAAAATTTCCTACAAAACCAATAATAGTAACCTTCAATTTTAAGATAAAGCAATTGAGGCCAGAGTAACCATGTAATTATCCAAGCTAATATAATCCAGTAGTGGTACATCTGGATTCTAAATTCATATGTTCTGGCTTTCAAGTAAATATTATGTGCATTAATATTTCTACAAATTAATGAAAACTCAATCAACTAGATTAATATTATTATTATTACTATTTATTTATTTTTTTTAGATGGAGTCTCGCTCTGTCACCCAGGCTGGAGTGCAGAGGCACAATCTCGGCTCACTGCAAGCTCTGCCTCCCAGTTTCATGCCATTCTCCTGCCTCAGCCTCCAGAGTAGCTGGGACTACAGGCACCTGCCACTATGCCTGGCTAATTTTTTTGTATTTTTAGTAGAGACAGGGTTTCACCGTGTTAGCCAGGATGGTCTTGATCTCCTGACCTCGTGATCCGCCCACCTCGGCCTCCCAAAGTGCTGCAATTACAGGCGTGAGCCACCGCGCCCAGCCCAACTAGATTATTTTTAATGTATATATTCTAACATTTTCAAATGAAGAGATTAGACGGTAGGGTACTTCATAATAGCAATAACGGGAAAAACTGTAATTATGTTTATTTACAAAACAATTGCCCTAAAATCTTAATCAGTTTGTTTTATTTTTCCCGTAGTTTACTCTGGAGTATAAAAAACTGTGTTCCTGGATTTCTCAACTTAGTTTCCCCTATGGAGCTAAAAATTTACTGTAATTTTTATTCTACCAAAACTTAGCATAATTTTACTACAGCAAAAGTTGAAACATTATCAGAACTAATAAAGAAAATATTAATATTTCCAATACACTCTAGGACTTGTCTGGATATATCTATCACCTGTATGGTTGACTGATTTTATACAGGAAGCTAAAAATTCATTTAGGTGCCTTCAATGAAACATCTGAGTGATTCACTCAGAAATGGAAAATTATTTTCTAACCCATAAAACTGCTAGAAGTTTTAATCAATCAACAGTTACTAGTTGAACTCCAATAAAAATAACCTCCACTTCTACAGAATTTGATAGATAAGATTCTCTTCTATAAATCCCACCTTGTTAAATTATCATCTCAACGACTGGAATTAGTGAGATAACTACATTTTATAGGTAGAAAATATTCTGCAAATGATCAAGATTACGTACCTTTGGTCTTTGCATTCTAAACCAATTTGGGCTTTTTCTCCCCCCACTTTTTACTGCATGGTATAAATGCACTAACTTTCACACTGTGATGAAAGTCAGTAACTTCAAGATGCTTTTTAACTAATGAGTTAGGTCTACCAAACAAGAAACAATAAAGTAAAAAGGAGATTTTCCTAGTGATTGCACTGCTTAGAGAAAGCTTAATATACAATGCAAACCTGTAGGCTAAGTCTTACATTTCCTCAAAGAAACTTTTGGAGATTCATTTAGCTCAGATTACTGTCACCCTCCACTGTACTGCTGCATCAATTTATTTAAATGGTAACATTTTATTCATTGTAACTTGCCCTCTGTCTGATACATATGATGTCATTTGCTCTCACTTGAAATTACTAAGGTTCCAGAAGGCCAGAACTATTATCTCTTTCACTTTTACATTTTTCTTAATACTTATCAGAGTGACTCTCAACAAATGTTTGTTGAATTAAAAAATATATGGAAGTTGGATAGGCAGGAGTGGTACTGATTTCAATGGAGGAGGAAAGATTTATGTGTTTGGGCACCTATTGTGTGTCAAGCAGTGGGCAAAGCACTTTTCAATCTTCTGTAGTCATAATCACTTAAGACAGATAGTCTAATCATTAGCATATTTAAAATTGAGTAAACTAATGGTCTGCACAATTAAGAAGATTTGCTGTAGGTTATAGGTGACAAAGTCAGGAAGTGGTCCAGTTTTATTTGTCATCAAAACACCTGCTGCTTTCTGCTCCCAAGTAATGTCCTCCATCTGAGGTATCCTTTAATAACAGACAATAACTCACAGCCCAAGTGGGCACATCACATTTGTGATTCTGGTTAGAAGTGTAAGAATCTTACTTAAACTGTTTTCACACAATTCTGGGCTTGACACTTCAGGTGGTTTGGCTCTGTGTCCTCACCCAAATCTCATGTTGAATTGTAATCCCAAGTGTTGGGGGAGGGACCTGGTGGGAGGTTATTGGCTCATGGGCCCGGATTTCCTCCTTGCTGTTCTCATGACAGTGAGTCAATTTTGACGTGATCTGTTTGTTCAAAAGTGTGTAGCACTTCCCTCTTTGTGCTCTCCTGCTACCATGTCAAGACGTGCCTGCTTCCCCTTCACCTTCTGCCATGATTCTAAGTTTCCTGAGGCTTTCCAGCCATGCTTCCTGTACGATCTATGGAACTGTGAGTGGATCAAACCTCTTTTCTGTATAAATTACCCAGTCTTAGGTAGTCCTTATAGCAGTGTGAGAAAGTACTAATACAATACACATTTCCACTTGTACTTTTTGAAATTTTTTTGGAGTTTCACAACAGCAAATCATTCTGCAGTCCAACAGCAAATCATTCTGCTTTTAAGAAATGAATTTCCCTCCATACATTTACCAAAGTCCAGTTCTGGCTCTTAATTTTGTTAGGTAAATGAATGAGATGTCTTGAGTGCCTTGGGCACAGTCTTCAAAAATGATTTGCATTAACCACTTATCTTGTTTTGTTGCCCAGGCTGATCTTGATCTCCTGGACCCAAGTGGTCCACCTGCCTCCGCCTCCCAAAGTGCTGGGATGCCACGTCATAACCAACAATGCCTGGCCAAATTTTTCTTTACAGTGAAAGATACAATTTCCCGACAGAGTCAGCATACCTAAGTGGTCCAAATGCACCAGAAAATCTTGAGAAATCAGTGAATTAGAAGGAACCTTGATTAAAGCAATAATTTAGAATGGCTTCCTGTGTATTCCTTCACAGTCATTTTTAAGTACTTCCTGTGAGCCAGGCAACTTGCTTAGACATTGAGATACAAAGCTCAGTGATGCTGACTGCTTCAGGCAGTTCACATTCTAGTAAAGCTGCAGTTATTTAAACAGGTTTTTATAACACAATGATAAAAACTCAAAGAAACCCAAAGAAGAGCAGAAGAATTATAGACTATCCAATGATGTGAGGCTTTGCTTGCTTAAAACATTCACCTCTCCAAACCACATGGAAAATATTTCCTCATCAATGCCTTTCAAGTGTCATATTACTATGTTTCTATTAACTTTTGCAATCAGAGATGTTTTTTGGCATGTGCCAGGTGATCAATAAATGTGTTCACCAGGCTTGCTAAAGATGACAAATGGGCTTGGAGGAGGTTGGTAGATTTGAAGAAAGCAGCTTAATTTGAATAAGAACAAATGGAGAGTGAGATGTAACTAGGGAAAACAGAGACAATTCTAGCTTTACTGAGCTTTATCAATGAATTTCTTATACAATGCAACCTACTAAATATCTACAAAATACTTTGCAAAGCCTTTGCATTTGTTAGTGATTCCAAGAAGTTCTAAACCAAAAGATGCAATGACAGTAATGCCTACAATTGCAAATATAAAATAGTTTCCCTAGTGAACTTGTGCTATTGTCATGGTAATAAAGATTAAGTACTCACTTAATGAGTGGAAGCAATGTGAAAAACTTTCATTTTATTTTAGTGGGGAATCCAAAAATAAATGATAGTTAAACGTAAAGACATTTTCAAGTTCTCTCGAGTGACAGCATAAGAAAGATAGGTGATATATAGGATTTCATCTCTAGAAGCTGGCATAAAAATAGGTGAGAAATAAAGTAAAACCTTTGGATTTAAGATTCTCAAGACTATGTTTTCTTTCTTTCTTTTTTTAAAATTCAAGTCATTTAATATACCTTCTTGTATATTGCAAACCCTCAAGGGGAAAGATACAGTTTGTGAAAACAAAAACGAATAAATAAAAAAGAAAGAAGGAAGAAAAAAAGAGAGAGAGTAAGAAGGAATACAATTTGAGAATAGTTTGGAGAGGCATCATGATGAAGCCAGTCCTCAACTGAGTCTTGAGAGGGCTCAAGACTCAAGTTGACATCTTGAATTTCAAAATAACAGATTATTGACTTTGGGAATACCATGCTGCCCCTCTTGAGATTTTTGAGAAACACAGCAATATTTCTTTTGCTGTTTGAATGGCACCATTCTTTATGTGTACATCTGTGCCTCTCATTGCAGGATATTTACTAGGCCTGGAACTTCTACAAACTCCAAACTCCATGACCTGAAATACTAAGTAACAATGGCAACTGCCCCCCATCACCACAATTTCATTAACAAGCAAAAATATTGCCCCCTCACCTCCCACCCCTCATTCACATATGCTTAGGAGCCTGGCTTTTCTCCTGATTGAAACTATTTACATATAGAAAGGGATTAGATGGAAAGAAAAAGACAGATTTCCATCTCAATTAAGGTTTTCTTTTGGTTGTTAGGTTATTTTTGTTTTGTTTTGTTTTTATATTCACGAAACAAAACTCAATTCTGGTTAATTGAGGAAAAACATAGTCAAAAGGTATTTATCAGAAGAACTAGGGAAGTCACCTGAAAATTGAAGGATGGTTAGAAATCAATGACTTCCTAGAGTTTTGGGACCTTTCTTACTATTTTTGCCGCTGCCTTATAGGATGATTTGTACCCAACACAGTGGATATCCGAGTATCTTTTATCAGATTTCAAATCTCCAGTAAGGAATGTTGTTGGTGCAGTTTGGATCATGATGCTTACATAGGAGTCTCTCAGATGGAGCCAAGGAGTGAGCCCAGGATGGGCCACTGGGTAAGTACTGCTGTGTAAATTGCCTTATGCAACTAGGCATATTCTATTAAGCCTTGACAATATTTTGAATTGTTTGACTTAGGTTTAAAAATCAGAATGTGCTGTGAAAACAGTTGAACATCCCTTTGAAATGTAATACTCAAGCCGTATTGAGACTTTATTTCCTCATCTCTACAAATGACTAAAAGCCAAGAGGTGTTGCCCTTTAGATGGGGTATACACTCCCTGAATGTCAGATAATGAATGTCAGTCTTTTAAGTCACCAAGCTGGCCCTTGCCAATTGAGTCTGTGAGTCCCACATATGTTAGTGAGGTGGTTCTTAGAAGTGTTATTCTCCTGGGATGGACCAAGAAGTACACGAAGAGAAATTCATTTTAAACTTCATATTCAGAGCAATACCAATTTAAAAAGTAAAAAATATGTGCAGATATGATGCATAAAATGTGTAGCTTTAATTTTTTCCTTGTTACTATTATTTTCCAAGACAGAAAAAAAAATCTAACAATTTCTTCTCAACGTAGAAGTGAAAGAAAAATATGTCAATTTTCAAGAAATAGCCATGTACTATTTATAATTCCTTTTAAAAAGCAAGTGAGTTCCTGGAACGTGCTGACTCTCCTGTTTTTGGAAACTTCTCTCCTGCTCATTAGCTATTTCACATAAAGCAACAGGACAGTTCCAGAGGTACCTATTAATTCAATAGAGAACTGATTGAATTTTCAACTTCACCTTTCTGTGATATCTCATGCATATTTATTCCTCATAAAAATGTCTTCACTTCTGTATTTCACTTTTGGCTTTTGTTTTTTGGCAAAAATACTGTTTTTCCCCTTTTAGCTACATTTTAACTTGCTATATGTTCCAATCAGCAAAGTATACTTTTTTTGTTCTTGTTTTCTATTTTTTAAATCAAGTTCAAAATAGTTGATAAAGACAAGTCTTTTGAGAAAGAAAACAATTTGTTTTGGGGATTTTTATTTCCAAGTAAAATAGAATTTCTATTTCCAAGTGAAGTAGAAACTCTTGAAAATTTACCCCTCAGTTAAAAACAATGGGGGTGATAATATTTCTAGCTCTATCTATAATAACTAGATTTTAAAAAGGTTTTTAAAAGATAGAATGGCTGCATTGATTTTCATTGTGAAGAAACATTACAATTAGGAATAAAAAAGGGAAATAAAGCTAACATCTAAACTTAGTATGTGTTTCTGAAAATCAGAGTACACTCAACATAAGAGAGATTTCTCATAGTGAATGCTTAGTCATAGTAGTCAGTCATAGTAGTTATTCATATACCTGGACACAGTTTTCAAATTGCAACAATATGCTGAACTTATGAAGTGTAGTTTAAGCCATACAGTTAGAAATATGGATGAAATAATAAAACAATTATAGTCATATGGTTAATTTGTGGGAATGAAATAATGGACAGTATGATTAGAATCTTTGTTTTCTTTGATATGCTGTATTGATACAGAATTAACTGCATCCACCAAGTTACTTTGCCCCTTTCTAACTAATATTAATAATTTACTTTATATCATATCAAACAGTTATTTCTTAGGGTAGTCTTAAATAGCTTAGTTAGCAAGAAAATACGTCCATCACACCAGGACCTGACACAGTGTTGAACTTGATTTCTGTTTGCTAACAATTACTTTTCTATGAAATCTTGCAATGAGTCTCAATTAATCCTTCACCTACTGAAATGATATAAATACAGTTTAGTAATCAGCATAAAAGTGAGTTTTCTGTTTGTATTAGTTAATGATTGCTATATAACACATCACTACAAATTTAGCAACTTTAAATTATTTACATTTTTGGATTAAAGTCCAGACAGAAAGCTGGGCACAGTGGCACATGCTTGTCATTCAAGCTACTCAGGACCTGAGGCAAGAGGGTCACATGAGCTCAGGAGTTTAGGGCTGCAGTTCAGTATGATCATGCCTGTGAATAGCCACTGCACTCCAGCCTGGGCAATAAAACAAGACCCTCATCTCCTTAAAAAAAAAAAAAAAAAAAAAAAAAAAAACTAAAAAAAGGCCAGGCCTGTCTTAGATTAGCCCACTTTTTAAAGTCTCTCATGAGGCTGTAGTCAAGGTATCAACCTGGGTTGAGGTATCATCTGAACACTCAGTTGGGGCAGGATCCAATTCCAAGTTCTCATGGTTGTAGGTAAAATTGATTTCTTCTTGGGCTGTTGGAATGAGGGCTACAGTTTCTAGCTGTCTGTTGTTCTCAGGCCACCTCAGTTCTTTGCCTCATTGCCATTCCCAAAATAAAAACTCACTATGGAGGTACAATTTTATGTAACATCTTCATGGAAGTGACATCTCACACCTTTGCCATATTCTATTGATTAAGAGTAAGTTGTAGATCCCACCCAAAGTCAAGGAAAGATAATATATAAAATATGAATAAAAAAGGTGGGGACCATTGGGGCCTGTTTTTGAGTTTATTTGCCATGCTGTTGTACATACTAAATGCTTTAGTCCTTTTTAGTTTCTACTGCACCATTCCAGATAAAAGATTAAAGCAGAGGTATTGCAAAAAGTATGTTTTCATATGTTATTAAAATTTAAACCAAATAAATAGAATAGTGCACTAGATAAAATTTGCTATTGTATTTGACCTTATGATTTATTTTAGTAATACCTCATTTGAACTACATGATATATGGAGAAGTGTGAGACTGGTAATTGTATCTCAAAGGCTATAAGAAGCAAAACTTACATGTAAACTTCTTTGTGACTATGCCCATAGTATCTGTGAGAAAAAATTTACAAGAGATTTTCCAGTTTAGGCACAGACTTATACATATTGGAATGGATAATTTTGATCAAAGAAGAAGGCTTCATTTTGATCAATGAAGGCTGCCCAACCTCCAGATTCAATGGGCATCTTCAGATAACTTGGGAATGTCGTCACAATGTAAGATAAACTTGAATGCCATATGGCATATTCTAAATATGTCTGGAGTGATATATTTAGAAATATATGTGCATTAAAAGAGGCACTTCTGATTCCCAAGGGGAATAGCTGTATTGTGAAGATTAAATTAAGTATCATCATTTGAGGGACAAATCAGCTACAGTTAAAGGAAGCAAATTAGAGAATTTTCTACCCAATGAACAACTTTCCTTAGTTGTCATGCTGTTTGGTATTAACACAGTGATATCAGCTGTAATCAAAAACAATAAGTCCTGCCTAGATAAATCAATCTTTCTAGAAAACATGTAATCTTGTTTTATATATTTTTACATTAGATACAGCATAAACCAAAAATCTCCCTATTTATGAAATTTCCTTTTTAAATAATGAGCTCTGCTAACCAACTGGTATCCACTTTTGGAGGCACTTCCAACAGAAATACCTCCTTATGTGAACTGGAATTTAAACATTTCAGTCCACTTGTTTCTTGATTCCTTTATTTGTAGTCACCTGAACTTATATAACTTACCCTATTCATAGGTTTATATTTTTGAGGCTTATCTATACAATTTTAAGCCCATGTTAAAGGTAAATGGGTGACTTAAAAGCAAATTTTCCCAGCCTTTTATCCAGGTTTATTGTCATTGTATCCAGTGTTGCTTATTGTCATTTAATCCATTGTGTTCAATTGTCGTCATATCTATTATATAGAGAAATTGCTAGGAAATTGAAATGCTGATACAATTCAATATAGTATCAGTAATTCAATTTTTGAATGTACCTTAGGACATTCCACTGCATCGACTTTGGACTTTTTTGAGTACCTTTCTACCAATAAGTTTTTTACCCTTAGTAAGAATTATTAATATAGTTTTTTATCCTTAGTAAAAATTATTAATTAATATATTAATATTAAGAATTATTATAATTCAATATAAACTATATTGAATATATCAGCTACATATTGAATTGTACTATATATTGAATTGTATGTCAGCTATATAGTGAATTGATACTATATTGAATTGTATCAGCATTTATACAATTTATGTAAGGAAGCTATTTATAGCTCTTAGAGTGGTAATATGTGATTTAAACAACACACATTCACACTTCTATATAAAATACAGAATGAGAAATTTCTGGAGGATGAGATGATTATAAACACATATCTAATTTTCTTTTCTTATTGTACTGCAGTGATTTTCATACCCAGCTTTAGGAATCTATATGGTAAGAGTATAATAATAATGACTGGTGCAAAGCAATGGTGAAAATGTTGGCATAAAGAGATATATTAAAAAAACAAAAATTGGTAATTAATAATTTTAATTCAACATAATGAAAAAACAAAGTGAAGTCAATTTATATTATCCCAAACCTATTGTTACTCAGTTGCTTTGAAAGTAATAATTAGAAAACAACCAGGGGAAAATTCAGTATTTTATATGCAACTGAAGAAAACTTTAAACCCATTTGAAATAAGTGACTAGACTTCATTGGTTTGTATGTTTCCAATAAGTGCATTATAGTATTTGGTATTTACTGAAATACAATTACTTAAGAAACAGGTCCAATCCAAGTACAAGAAAGCTAAACATTTACTTCAGAAGTTTTGCTGTATAAAATTTAAAGTTTAAAATACAAAATTCTGATTAACAAATCACAATAAAAGAGTTATTTCTTTTGGTAATAAATTTTAAGTTAAAAAAAGTGTTCTTATGTAAAAGATAAAGTGATTATTAAGAAAATTTAGCCAACTTCTATAAAAATATAAAAAGTATAGATTGGTTCATTTGCTATTCAGAAGAGAGGACACAAAACAGTATAGATATTTTCAATCATATTTGTGCAATTTAATACAGTTGGTCAACATGTTGAGTTAGTTGGCACATCTTTTGCTAAGGTCATTAATTTCAAGTTGTGCCTTATGTCCAACTTTGAAGCCTGTGCTTTATTTCTCCATATGAATACATTTGCATTAATCTAAAACTTCTTCATCTTAAAGCTCCAACAGAAGTTATTTGTTTTCCTTTAGGTCTTATCCTTCTTGTTTAAAATGCTTACTCTGCTCAATGTTACTGTCAGACATTTTGCCATTGAAATATGTGCTGCCTTGCTCTGAAATGTGTTTTCATAGGTTCATGCAGGAAACTTCTAGGGCTATAGGAAATACAATGTCATCTTTGGTTCATTGATTCTGGCCCTGTAAGACTTTGTCATATGAACGTCATTATATACATGATTATTATTACACTTCTGCTAAGTGAAATTGTAACTCTGGCATTTGCCTTACCAGAAGTAGAGACTTTGAGTAGGCAAGTACCATTCAAAGGCTTCCATGGACTTGACCTATGTCACTTGTTGGCCTACATATGACCATTTTCAATCAGAAACTCTTTACTGTTAAGTAAGAGTATATTTTTATGATGAAATGTAAAGATAATACTTCAAGATTATTGAATATTCATTTTGGGGATTACATTAGCTTGGCAAATTCTTTTTGGAGAGTGAATTTTGAAAACAGAGAGCTTGAGAGAGAGAGAACATTGCAATACGTATATGGGCTACAGTACTAGTTATCACTAGATATCACCAAAGTTTAAGAACAGGTCTGAAAAGGGGGAGACGAGCATGCAAAATATGTATTTTAAATGCAAACTCATCAACTTTTAAATGCTTAATATTCTTCCACTTAAAAATATTATATCACTTAGTAGCATAGAGTGATAGATGATTACATAACCACTCTCTGTGTAATTTGTATACTTCCTTTCTAAATAGAGTTCAATCCTTTCAATTTACTTGATCCTGAGCAAATCTGAGGGTTGATAATGGGTATAGATTAATCCAAATGCCCATGATTTTTGAAGCTATGTAAGTTACTTAGTCTATGTATTAGTAGTTGTCAAAAGGACATTGAGATGCCTAGTGCTAGATGATAGTCCACAAAACTGGTTTTCTTATCTAGTGAGTTTTAAACAGCAACTTTTGCTAGGGTATCTTTGTTATTTTGGAGAAGGAAAATAATTTCATTCAGGATAGTAAAGTTCTGGCTTTAAATGGCAATCCAAATTACCAGATGACCTTTAACTGAATCCAAAATTAAGTCAGAAGTAGGAGAATCATGGGTATTTGAATAATATTTCACATCAGTGACTATTAATTTATTCTTCAAACTTGGAAAATAAGACTTCTTAATTTTGGATTTTATAGATTATTTGCCTTCTCACAAAATCACTGACCTAAACATGGTGTGAAAATTTTAAAAACAAGTTTTGATGAACTAGGAAATTCACAATGTTTTTGCTATGTGATGATTTACTTCCTACAAAAACTGGCCTGTGTTTTATAATTTTATAAAACCAACATTCATTGTTATTTTAACTTTAAACTTTGGTCTATACAGGAACTGAAAAACTGTAAAAAGATATTCACATTTTTTAATACTAAGAATATATACCCCAGAGAAGGGGGCTTTCACTTCCGCACATAACTAAGTGCAATTTAAGCAGAATGTATGCTTTTAATTTAACACATATCTAACTTTGCAACTTAAATATCTGACTAAAATTTGTCTGATAAATACAAAGTAATACTTTTGTAGCATCATACTTGGGGTGGCTTACCCTGTGTGATAGGAATGATCTCCCTGTCCTAAACATGCAGTAATTCAGGGTCCTGATCCATATTTAATAAGACATTATTAATACAAGAGTTTACTCTTTATAATGCAGTTTATATGTTTAAGATTTGAGTCCTACAATCTAGATTACATGCAAACAAATTGTAGAATACATGTATTTGCTTTTCCAGACTTATCTGTGTAGTTTCAAAATGTCAGATACATCTAGTTTACTGTGATTCAGTGAACTATTCTTATAGGCTGAACAATGCAGTTAAAGAAAAATGCAGATAAAACACTGCCACTTAACACATCACTATACTGGTTAAAGTTTGAAACATTAATCAAAGCACACTAAACACTTAATTTGGAATGTGTGGAAGGACAAAAAGATCTCTAAAAATTGATTGAAGGACGAAGAGTCTAGCACCGGAGACCTATAATCATGATGGCTTGCGCTGCAAGATGCTGATCATTGCCATAGTAACAGACTGTGTTTTGTTACATCATGGAAATCAGGAAAATGTGAGTTATGAGTGCAACATCCCACCGAGGGGACAAATTCAAAGCTATTATAAGAAAGGGTAATATAAGATGTAGTCATAGGTAAAGATGAGCATTTTGAAAAGGGTAATTACAAAATCACACGAAGATAGATGAGCAGCTCATGAAAATTCGAGTCTACTTTTGTAAGTGAGGCTTTTATTTGTAACCATTCTTAATCATTGTTATCACTGGCTTATTTTCTTCTTCCTTTTGTGAAATAAGACACAAGAGCAAACAGCTTTGAAAAGAAATTTCAATTTTTTTACTTGTTTTAAATCCTAGGAGACTCTATTTTCTACTGTTATCAATTCAAAGAGAAATATAAAAGATTTTTAACTTTCATGTATTGTAAATATTGCACTCATCAAATATTCAACTGTACTTATACTGTGGGGTTATAGATGTCACATATGAAAGGTCCATGTTCCAAGCATATGTACATGTATTCCATTATTATGAAGCATGTTAGACTCAAATGTGTTGATACGTTACTAAGTACAGTGTTGATTTGTATAGGAAACCCACACTGAAAAAATAAAACCTTAGGATATTCAGAATTACATTTCTAATAGTGGTGGTATAATGTCAAAGTGGACTGATGTTGCCACAGATAGCAATAATAAAATCTAAACATAATACAATAAGCAGATGCCTGAAGGCACTGGGGAATGAAGAGAAGCAGGCAGGTGTGGAACACAAATTCTGGTGGAAGCTGTATGGTGTATTCCCCTGTAGTTTCAGTTTGAGGGACAGGAGCAATGAACACACATAGAGTTGGGATGGAGGTAGCAGGGGAAAGAGCACAGTTTGCCTGGCCTCAGGAGCCACAGTTAGAAGTCAGGGAAATTCAGCCTAATTGAAAATAGGGTGAGATACCTATGACAACATCTTGTATTACATCTTGTATTTTTTTTCCTGTAAAGGCCAGAGAAAAGATCTTAGATTTCTGCCTGGCCAAGTCTAGGGCTGATCCTTGAATCATGCATGAGTGGAACAGAATGAGAGAAACTCAGAGATAAAAGATCTGAATGGAACCAGGAGCTACTCTCCAAGAAACATTTTGCATTTTGTAGTTATTCAAATTAATTGCCTGCTAAAACAAAAGAAACATTTCTTACAGAAAATAACAGATTTCAGAAGTTCCAGTTGTTAATATTCATGATGTCTAAGATGCTGCCAATAGATAAGTTTCAAAAAATGGTAAAATCATGGGCTTCATAGAGATGAAAGTGAACACAAATGATTTTACTTATTCATTTATTCTATTAGTTAGATATTATATCTAGTTCAAAAATATATCAGGAATCTTGAAATAAATGTTCAAATGGAGGCAAAACAGATTTTTTCCCCCACAGCAGAGAGTGAAGTCAATTGAAATTTTACCAGACAGGGGAGAATTCACAGGTTTATAGATCACTTATGCTTTGCAGAGCTATGAAATAGCTCAAAGATGATGAAAGGTTAAAATCAGAAAACTATGCAAACTGGTTGTATTAGGCTACTCTCACATTGCTATAAAGATATACCTGACTGGGTAGTTTATGAAGAAAAGAGGTTTAATTAGCTCATGATTCTGCAGGCTGTATGGGAAACATGGTGCTGGCATCTGCTCAGCTTCTGGGGAGGCCTTGGGGAAACTTACAATTACTGCAGAAGGTGAAGTGGGGGCAGGCACATCACATGACCAGAGCAGGAGCAAGAGAGAGACAGCAGGGAGGTGCGACACACTTTCAAATGACCAGATCTTATGAGAACTCAGTCACTATTGTGAAGACAGTACCGAGGGGGATGGTGCTGAACTATTTATGAGGAATTTGCTCCCATGATCCAATCACTTCCCACCAGGTCCCACCTCCAACATTGGGGATTACAATTCAGCATGAGATTTGGGTGATGACACACATCCAAACTGTAGCAGTGGTTTAGCCAGTTTGGAAAGAAGTTTGCAAGGTTGTTTTCTGGAGACAGAGCCACCTAGGCTGGAGTTCAGTGGCATAGTCTCGGCTCACTGCAACGTCTGCCTCCCGGGTTCAAGTGATTCTCCTACCTCAGTCCCAGTAGCTAGGACTACAGGCACCCGCAACCACATCAGGCTAATTTTTGTATTTTTAGTAGACACAGGGTTTCACAATGTTGGCCAGGCTGGCCTCAAACTCATGACCTCATGATCCACCTGCCTTGGCCTCCCAAAGTGCTGGGATTACAGAGGTGAGCCACCACGCCTGGCCACAATTTTCTTTTATAAATTTAAATATATACTTACTTTATGACCTATGCATGTCATTCTGAGGTATTTATCCAAGAGAAATGAAAACACATGTTTACACAAAAACAGGCATATGAATGGCCATGTAAGTTTTATTTATAGTAGCCCCAAACTGGAGAGTACCCAAGTGTCCATCAACCAGTGAATAAATAAACCCTTCTGCATTCATACAGTGAAATGAAACTCAGTAATAGAAAGAATGAGCAATGGAAACATCAAACAGCACAGATGAATCTCAAAATTATTTCGCTAAATGAAACAATCTAGACACAGAAGACTAGATACTGTATAATACTATTTATCTCAAATTCTATAAGAATCAAAATTTGAGTTACTATAAACAGATTGGTGTTGCCAAGAATTGGGAATGGGAGAGTATTCATTGCAAAGAAGCATGAGAGAGTCTTCTTGGGAGATGTAAATGCTCTATATTTTATTGTGGTAGTGAATTCACAACCATATATACTTGACAAAATTCAACAAAGAGCACTGCTATGGTTTAATGTGCCCCTCCAATATTCATGTTAAAACTTAATCCCTACTGTGGTGGTATTGAGGTAGGGCCTTTGGGGAAGTGATGAAGTCATGAGGATTCTGGCCTCATGAATGGAATTAATGACTTTAAAAGATGCTTCAGAGAGCAGTTTGGCCCATGCATCTCATCGGCAATGTGAGGACACAATGTTTGGACCCTTATCCTTTGTAGAACTCAGCAACAAGCCACCATCTTGGAAGCAGAGAGCGAGTCCTCACTCAACACTGAATCTGATAGCACCTTGATCCAGGTCTTCCCTAGTCTGCAGAACTGTGAGAAATGTATTTCCATTATTTATAAATTACCCGGTCTGTAGTATTTTGTTCTCTTTTTTTTTTTTTTTTTTTTTTTTTGAGACGGAGTCTCGCTCTGTCGCCCAGGCTGGAGTGCAGTGGCGGGATCTCGGCTCACTGCAAGCTCCGCCTCCCGGGTTCACGCCATTCTCCTGCCTCAGCCTCCCAAGTAGCTGGGACTACAGGCGCCCGCCACTACGCCCGGCTAATTTTTTGTATTTTTAGTAGAGACGGGGTTTCACCGTTTTAGCCGGGATGGTCTCGATCTCCTGACCTCGTGATCCGCCCGCCTCGGCCTCCCAAAGTGCTGGGATTACAGGCGTGAAGTATTTTGTTCTTGCAGTAAGAATGAACTAAACAGAAATTAGTAGTGAGAAGTGGAATGCTGCTGTAACAAAATGCCTACAAATGTGGAAGCGGCTTGTCGTGGTGAATACTGAGTGTCAACTTGATTGGATTGATAATACTTCAATACAACTAGATTTTTAAAAATACTTGCATTTTTAGGTTGTTGATGTTGAAACAACATACAATTTAATTTTAACTTTAAATACACATAAATTGATGTACTGCATTTATGGAAATTATAGAGAAGATGAATTTGTACTGATTATAAATGAGATGATCTATAACATTACAAAATTGTTATTTAGTACATAAAAGCAGTTTTAATGTTCATCCCATCATTTCAGCAATGTTTGTCTGAAACTAAACATTCTGCATAAATTAGCAAGAAAACTACAAAGTTGTACTCATATGTTGTATAGGTAGCATTTTAATTCTACTAAATTCAGCCAGAAATTATTGAAACAAAAGTGTTATCTGAAGCCTCATTCATTTTAATCATTGAAACATACTGAAATTCATTTAATTGCTGTCTTGTATTTTACTTAAAATGAATAAAGTAATGCAGGAAACATTTTAGCAGCACATAGTCCAGTTTTCACACAATTGTCTTGAGAAAATAACTATCATAATTGAGCAAACCTAATAAAAATAGGCAGGGTTTATTGTCAGAAAAAGTCTAAGTTTGAATCCCGAATTTATTCCCATGTGATGTAAGAAGATTTATCTTAATGTATTAAATCCTAGTTTACAACATTTAAAAAGGGGGCTGCAAGGAATGCAGACGGCATTGTGAAGCTGGAAGAGACAGGTACCAGAATGTCCCTTGGAGCCTGCAAAAGAAACCAACCCTTTGGACATCTTGACTCTGGTACAGTGAGATAGTTTAAAATTTCTGATCTCCAGTCCTCCAGACTTACTGGCATATTATTTTTCAATTGCTTCTGTAACAAATACCACAAATATTGATGTAAAACAGCACAGATTTATTATCTGAGAGTCTAGAGGCCAGAAATTTAAAATCAGTTGCAATTTACAGCAGGTAGGTGTCCATAGGGCTGGTTTCTCCTGGAGGCTTCAGGAAAGAATCTAGTACCTGTTTATCCAGCTTCATGAGGCCACCTGCACTTCTTGGTGCCCTTGTTTCTACCTTCAAAGCCAGCAGTACAGCATAGTCAAATTTCTTTCTCTCTCATTCTGAATTTCCTGCTTCTCTCTTATCAGAAACATTGTGATTACACTGGGCCCAGTGGGATAATCCAGAATAATCTCTTCATTACCAAATCCTCAATTTAATCAGATTTGCAAATTTTGTTTTGCCATGTAAGGTAGCATATTCCCGTGTCTGGGAATTAGGACAGGAACATTTTGGAGGTGCAGTCTCAGCCTACCAACCACCCTGAATTGTGCTATCAGTTGAGCTTTCTGTGGTGACTACCAAAGACAAGGGCCTTGACCTCACGAACTTCACAGTAGGGCAGGAATTTTAATAAATCCTAGCAAGGTGATGTAGGACAATAAATAATGTATGGCAAGTGGTAGACACAAAACCCTTACCTAGTTAGTAATATTTAAAGAAAGAAAATGAGAAATGCAATGCTTTGCATAGTCCACATTAAAAAGTAATATTAATTTAAAAATGGAAAGTAATTAAAAATGTTTCTGTAAAACTTATATGGAGAGATGAGAACAATAGCAGAGAATGCCATTCCAGTAGTAATTTTTATAATTTTTTCTGGTTAAGATTAAAGCAGGAATGTGTTTATGTACAATAAAATTAAGGAAATATATGTAGCAGATTTTTTTGAATACGTTTTATTGGCAGAATCTATTATTTACCCAAACATTGGTATGTAAAAGATAGATCTACAATTTGGAGGATAAGCCCATGAGCCTGAGAGAGCCTACTCAAAATGGTTGGGAACCAGCACTCAGCATGAGTTGGGCCACAGTATAAGCTTTCTGGGGTACTGCTCTTTTAAGAGCAAAGTAGTTTGTGATGTTCTGGGTGAAGAACATGGAAGAAAATGTTAAGGCCCAATGAAACATCAATTAGCTGACAAATACATGTAATCAGGGGTGTCATGGTGACGGTGCTAACAAGAGGAAAACAAGAGTCTCCAGGAGTGCCACTGCCGTATTCAACATTTCAGTTAAGTCATGATTTGAACAGCTTTGCTGTTAACATTGAACAAAGTGATTTTCTTTACCAGAGATTTTTTTTGACAGAAATCTGTGTTTTCAGCCAATTTATTCAAATATATAGAGATAATTGCACCTGTACTTTTTAAGATATCTTGTGATTTCTTAAGAGTAAACTCCAAAAAAATTTTATTGCATTGAAGGGTCATCGTTTTAATGAGCTTTCAAATTATTCTGACACTTTTTTTTTCTTTTTAACAAATTAAGAATTTTACAAGTATCTTGGAAAATTTGATGATACATACATTTTATTCTGCTTTCCAGTTGGTTTTTGTGTGTTATGAAGCCTGGATAAATTGTCCTAAGATATTTAGTAGCCCTAGAAAGAATTTGAGTTTTTTTTATCTACAACTTATTATATTGAAAATTTCAGACATATAGAAACATTTAAGTGAATAGCTTGTGTCCATGAATGCTTTACCTACCACAGTTATTTATATTTTGTCGTATTTATTTAACCTTTTGAGATATTATTTAAGATAATCTTCTGAGGTATTTTGAGATAATCGTATTTTTCTTTGGCAAACGATTGGAGAAAAAGTAAGTTGTAGACATAATGACATTTCACCTCTTAATACTTTAGCAATAATTTTCTAAGAACTAGGATATTCTCTCTGATGTAGCCATAATACAATTATCACATTCAAGGAATTTAATGTTAATAACATATTCATGTTTGTTCAACTTTCTTTCTTTTTTTTTTTTTGAGACAGAGTCTCGCTCAGTCACCCAGGCTGGAGTGCAGTGGCTGGATCTCCGCTTACTGCAAGCTCCACCTCCTGGGTTCACGCCATTCTCCTGCCTCAGCCTCCCAAGTAGCTGGGACTACAGGTGCCCTCCACCACGCCCGGCTAATTTTTTTTGTATTTTTTTAGTAGAGACGGGGTTTCACCGTGTTAGCCAGGATAGTCTCGATCTCCTGACCTCGTGATCCGCTGTCCTTGGCCTCCTAAAGTGCTGGGATTACAGGCGTAAGCCACCGCGCCCGGCCTGTTCAACTTTATAATAAAATATTTTATAGTATTTTTGATACTGAATTCACTTAAAGAGTAAACGCTATCGTTAATTTTTACATTTATTTAACTTTCTTTAATTTAGAATAATTATCTAGGCTTATTTTGTTCATTGCATTGATAATTTGGAAGTACCGAGGTCACTCGCTGCACAACTGGATTTTTCTCTCCTCATTATTCAATTCATACAGTGTGAGTTTGTGCCATCATTAGCGATGTTAAGTCGGATCCCTTGGTTTTCTTCATTGTTAAAAGTGTCATTTTCTCTTTGTAATGACTAAGTCATCTATAGGATGATATTTTGAGATTGTGATTATCTTGTTTGCCAACAACATTTTTACTCAATGGTTTAGTATCCATTGCTGATTCTTCCCTCATTAATCATTACTTGGATATTTGGCATTTATCATGCTGCATCTTTCTGAAAAAAGAGAGAGCTTTACTGTTTCTCTTTTTTATAGTTTTTATTATAATTATGGATTCATGAATTTTTTAAAAAATGCATTGTAACCCACACTGTCATGACTTCTTTAGATCCTGGAATTTTCTCATATTTTGTGAGCGGGTACCCCTGTACAGTGGTTCTTGCGTTTTCTGAAATGCCTGCGTTAGTTTTTGAGTGCTTTCTTTTTTCCCAGCAAAACAGAATCTTTCAGATGCATCAGTGATTGTTACTGCCTTACATCTGGAACCTGTTATTTCTCCAAGGAACCCTTCTTGCTTTTATTGGGGAATGATATTACAGCCCAACATCTAGGCACTAGGTGTGCTCACTTGTACTGGGATATCAGTGCCTCTATGTCATTTCAGTCAACTGAGCTAGAAAAAAATACTAAAAATTGTTAAGTTCACACTGATACCGTCTTGGTCAATTTAACAACACAGGATTATTTATCTCCTCTTTTCAACATTTATATGATATTTCTCCCACAATAATCTCTCTACTTCCCCAAATGACAGTATGTTCATTAGTCAACATTATAATATAAACAATACATACAAAATCGTTTGAATTTAGTAAACTAATGTCACTAAAACAATTTTAAATTTAGTTCAAGGAGTTTTTTTTTTTTTTACAATTAGAATGTTTCTAACTGATATCATTTTGTAAGATCACTGTGTAAAAATTAATTTTTTCTTTGTTGTTCTCTTTTCAATTTTATGTACAATTAGATTTTTATTTTTATGGTTATATTTAATTGTATTCCTCCTATTCTTAATTTAATTTTGTTTTATGAATATGTAAAACAACAAAATCAAAATCAAAACCATAGTAAAACATATCCTTATAAAGGTTTTACTTCACTTTTTAGAATTAGATTGTGAATCTATTTCGGGTCACTTCATTATGATGTAAAGTAAGGATTAAAATTCACCTATTATCAATTAGCTATCCTTTTGTTCAAGTACCATTTATTGAAAAATCCAACTTTTTTTGATTGATTGCAAACTATTCATATACATGTTCATGTGACACTTTTCTGAATTGGTCCATATCTGTATACTACTAGTACAAACATGCTTAGTTTATTTTAACAGATGAGTAAAACCAATGTAAATTTATTGACATAACTGATATCTTTAATCTGAAACTAGTCTTTGTCTCTATATATATTTAAATATATATGTATAAATGTACAAATATTCTCCTTTGATTTCTCCATATTATACTTTTAAAAATGTTTCTATATTGTTTTGGTATTCAGAAAGGTTTCATGTTTTTTATTCTAATGCTTACCTTTATATTAAGACCTTATATAATACTGTAAGTCCCAGTTATTATTAACTAGTTTTCTACTCTATGGATTTCTGTTTTATCAGATATTCTTTGACACAAACCTATTAGCTATGGTGTAGTCAGTGAGGTTATCTTACTATACAATTTTTCTAAATTTTCTGCTCATATCTTGTATTTCTTTTCAGCTTGAGCATACAATATTTGTTATTATTCCACTTTATCTCCACTTTGTTTTAATCTTATATCTGCTAATAAATACATGAATTGCTTACTGTTAGTCTTTTTGCTAAAATTTTCCCCACTAACATTGGGGTGTCAAAGTTTGTTCTCTAGGAAATTTTTTAAAAAAAACGGTTTCAGAATATGGCATTTATGGAGTTACTGCATATATAAAACTCATTTGCTAAGACCTTGGTGCTTGAAGTACAGCTTTGTCTAATACATAGTTCTTGGCTTACCCTTTTCATGTTTTAATTTCTTGCAAATCTGCCTCATTTCATTCTTGCAAAAAGTCTGATACCAAGTTGATTTTTATTTTCTCCTCCTCTAATTTCATTTTTCTTGGTGGGGTGATAAATGACTTAGCATCTTTTTCCTGGTGGACCTGACAGTTTTTGTTTGCTTGTTTGTTGTTAGCTTTAAAGTCTGATCATTTTATTAGGGTAGGATATATCACTGAGATGACCATTTAAGATTAATTTCCCTAGATATACTAAGAACGCATTCTATATGGAGGTTCAAGTCTTAATTTATTTGCATAAAGCTTTCTTAGACAGTTTTAAATATATGTCCTATTCCATTATTTTGTTTTTAATGGACTCTATGCATATTACATAGCATATATTCTTAACTTGCATATCGATCAATAAATCTTTTCACTTCTTTGTTTCACATTTTTTTAACCTCGTTATTTCCTTCTCATTGTCTCAACTGTTGACTTTCTTCACTGACCCCCATAATTTAGTCATTATTTCTAAGATTATTTGGAGTTATTTAAAATTTCTTAATTTATTATAGACAGTTGTTAATTTATATCATCTTATTTCTTCTATTATCAGTTTTTGACACCGTAACGCAAGGCGTTCTATAGTATGCAAATTATTTGAGGAGTTTTTTTGTTACAATTTTCTTCTGCTTCATGCGGAAGACTTTTACCAGCTGAAATGTTATTTATCATTTTCTGTTTTTTCTCGCAATGCATTTGTACGAATGATTTTCATCAATAAAAGTGATGTGCGGTTATGGTGAGGATTTGGGTTAGTTTATTTCCCAGGTTATGCCTGAACAACAAACTCTGAAGTAGTTTCACCTGCAGAATATTTATTAAGGGGCACTCAAGATTAACATCTGGGAAGTAGTGAAAGAAAGCCGTAGTGGGTGGCAGAGAGAGAAAGAGATATGTAATTCAGGCTCAAGGACAGCTTTGGCTGTCCCCATGGGGAGATTTGGAGCTAGAATGGCCTTTCAGAGTTGCCCGAAGTTGAAGGAAATGGCCAGGTCTTTATACTCTTGCTTCAAAATGTCTTGGATGGGAGCCACTGGGAAAGAAGTGTGACCTTTCATGAGGAATCTCTCTGCCTCTGGACACTCCCGAGAAGCTGACACTTGAATCCATCTGCCAATAACATTGATATAGCCAAGTATAATTTTGTTGAACTGATTATGCTCACTGGAGAAGGGTGAAGTGTTTTAGTATGTCTATGGCTCAGCATTCTTTATTGTTTTTCATAAGAGATTCGACTTTGTCCATCTGCCTTTTTTTCCATTTACCACCACGTCTCCAAAGAGCAACTCACGTTACAACTTACATTCATCCCCTGAAGCACGTCTTCCTCCTATGAACTCATGAATTTCAAGTTTCTTTCTTTGAATTCCCCCAGAAGCTAGTTATTTTGGCTTGGATTCTCCAGAAAATATATATATGCACACACACGCGAGCACGCCCGCATACACGTATTCCCAAGGAAATTGGCAAGGAAGTTTAGAAAGCAGGACGGGAATAAAAAGGAAGCCAAGCAAACTTGTGATAACTGGCAAAGTCCCATGATACTCAGAAACGTCCTCATCATCAGCGGCAGGGCTGGGCTGGCACACTCCACAGTCTTCAATTCTTGGTGAAGGGCCACCTGTAGTTCTGTGTGCCCGCAAGCAAAGAGGGATCCAGAAGTCTGAGAGAGTCTCTGGCAAAGCATCTATAAAGATGTTGGCTGTTGGATGGAGTGAGATAGGGGTAGGAGCACATAAAAATGCCATCAGAAGGAAGCTAAGAGGATCTGGGAGGAGTGCTGCCATTATCCAATGACATTATTCACTAAGCTCAGCCAAGTCTGAGAACTGTTCTCAGATTTTCTGTACTCATTCTGGGATTTTCAATGTTTTGGGGTGACTGTGTTTTTTCTCTCGAAGGTGTCTCTCCCTTTTTGTGTTTTCTACAAAGTGCCTTAGTCCATTTTCTGTTGCTTGTAACAGAATATCAAAAACAGGGCAATTTATGAAGAAAAGAAGTTTATTTCTTACAGTTATGGAAGCAGAGAAATACAAGAGTGAGAGGAAGCATCTGGTGAGAGCATTCTTGCTGGGGAAAACTGTCTTCAGAGTCCTGGAGCAGCACAGGACATCCCGTGGCCAGGGGTCTGAGCATCTCATGTGTCAGCTCAGGTCTCCTTTTGTCTTCTTATAAAGCCACTAGTTTCACTCCAGTAATAACCCATTAATTCACTAACCCATTAATCCATGAATGAATTAATCTATTCATGAGGGCAGAGCCCTCATGACCCAATCACCTCTTAAAGGCCCCACCTCTCAATTCTGCTATATTGGGGATTGAATTTCAACATGAATTTTGGAAGGGACATTCAAACCATGCCAGGTTTGAATGAACTCCTACAACGGCTCTGCTGGATTAGTGTGTTTGATCCTTATTTACACATTATTAGAAGTTTGAATCTTCTCTGTCTCTTAGCTGTGGTATTTACCTTGATTAAATATGCCTTTTTGTTTTGCTTTGTTTTGTTAGGTGAGTGAATTTATAAAAGATAATCCGTATAAGTGTTTGGAGTTTGAAAGGAAAGACGTGGATTTAGGCTATTATCAGTATTTTAGAAGATTTGGGGAATTGTTTTCTTAGTGTCTTCATATAATAGTTATTATTTCTTACATAAATTTACTGCTTTATGTAATATGCAAACATTTAAAATTCATTATTTTCTTCAATACACATGAGCAAATTTTTATATTTTTATTAATCCTACATTTTTGAAATAAGGAACTTGTGGATCAATAAGCTTAAATTATTTGCTCTAGGAAGTATGAGTGAAACTCAATAATTCAGGATTTATTACCTAAGGGGTTATAGTAATCTACCACTGAGTTAAAACCTATGTAGGCAAACTCATATGTCATGAATCTAGAAGTTTAGCATTCTTATTAATGGCTCTAGTTTAAGCAAACATGTGAAAACCTCCAGTTAGTTTGAAACGGACATCAATAAATTCATCAATTCAAGCATTTATTGAATTTTTTATTAATTATAGTTTTTTATATTTCTAAATTTCTCAAGGATTTTTCTAGCCTTACATACTTCCAAAGTTTTACTAAAAATACTGCTATATATTTAGCTTAATTTTGAAACATCATTGGAGCTCTGGTTACATCATTTCTTCCTACATGGTCCTTGGATTTACCCTTGTAAGAATACCTTAGGGCCAAGTGTGGTAGCTCATGCCTTTTAATCTCAGCACTTTGTAAGGTAGAGGTGGGAGAATCACTTGAGGCCAGAAGTTCAGGACTAGTCTGGGCAACATAGTGAGACCCCATCTCTAAAAAAAAAAAAAAAAAAAAAAATTAGCTGGGTGTGGTCACGCACACCTGTGGTCTCTCAGGCGGCTGAGGCAGGAGGATCACTTGAGCCTGGGAGGTCAAGGCTGCAGTGAGCTGTGATCATGAGACTGCACTCCCACCTGGGCAATAGAGAAAGACCCTATCTTGAATATATATTAGTTTCATGAAGTATTTATAAGATTATTTCGCTTAAATAGAATCCATTATGTAACCAGTCTTTGAAATTGTTAGCATTAATAATCAAACTCGATATGTTATTATATTTTTGTATCATATGTTCTTATGATTTTTCCAGTAACCAAAAGATTTTAGTCCTCCCAATAAATCCATTATTTTAATGCAGCCAACATTTTTCTTATTGTAGACAAAAATTGAACTCAGCTTTAAATATAATCTTAGCTCTATTGAAGTTGGCAGATCCTCTGCTGGTTTCTAAAATTTAAAGGCCACATTTTGGGGGGGGGTTAAGTTTTCTGCTATAGATTTCAATAGGGTGGGTTTTATAAAAATGTAGGACAAAGCAATAATTATCTTGTTATATTCATTTTCCCTTTCCATTGAGTCTTCTCTCAGGTATTATAATTCCTACCACAGTTTTCTGGGATTGCTTCATTTCACAGATCCTTGATGAATCCCTGCTAAACTGTCAGGTGCTAACCACCAATAAAGACTTAAGTTATGCTCTCTCCGAAGTATGTGCAAAATAGGCAAATCCTAATGACTGAAAATTTTGAAAGCTCAAAGACCTAAATCATCATTATGAAGACTCCACGCTAGTAAAACTTTTCTTATGAAATGATGAATGCAAAAGGAGTGTTTTTATAGTACCATTGTACTATCAAAAGTGTGAATGTCTGCAGAGCAGAGACACTGAGTTACATTTTTGCATAAACCTGGGACTAATACAAGCCGGACTGGGTTGTTGAATAATTTATTGGATAAATAACTTCATTAATACATCCAGATTCTTTATTGAGTGAGCCCTGTCTTCCAATATTTCACGGGAAACTGATTTTTCTTCTGTTTTAATCAGTTTCAATAATATTAATGAGATCTAAAATCTGCCAATATTTCAAGTGGAGTTAAACATAAATTAATAGTAATGACTCCATTTTCATTTTATTCATTTATTAATGATCCTTTCAATCACATTTTTGAAAGGATTTTTTCTCTAATACCATATGGCTTAAACATCTGCAATTAACCATTTTATTATATCAAATGCACAGTGTGAAGTGAATATACTAACCAAATCTAAATGCAACTATTCAGGGGGGAAATGTATTATTTACAAATGTTTTAAGCAAATTTCCTCGAATATTATGCAAAGTATTCTGTTCAATTCAAAAACCTTCAGTTCTCTTTGACTTTTTAAATATGTATTGATATTTTCAAGATTCTAGAAATATGGTTTAGTTTTCCATCTCAAATCTCCATATATCTGAAAGAAAATTAATTTTATTTGTTGGGTATACATATAGCTGTTTCAACAAATATATTTTCATTTATTTAAGAAAATTAAATTCAATGGAATAATCTTATTTAATTTTTAGTCTTCTGGATTGATTTCAATTTCATCCATTATTTATTCCTAAGTCTTGGTCCTTCTGCTTCTGTGGCAATAACATTAAAATTCTTTAAAATATTAAATAGCAATCTAAGCTATTATGAGGAATTCAGCATATTGCATAAGAGACAGTTCCTAGAATTAGATCATTCTGCCATCAACAATCATCGCCAGGTGAACATTGGGATAAATCAAGTGACAGAGATCCAAAGCTTATGCTGTAAGTCTATTGTTCTTGAACATCTGATGTCTGTGTACATTCGAATCACCTGGAGTGCTTTTCTTTTTTTTTTTTTTCTCATCATCCAAATGTATTTTATTTTATTTTATTTTATTTTATTTTTTTTTATTATACTCTAAGTTTTAGGGTACATGTGCACATTGTGCAGGTTAGTTACATATGTATACATGTGCCATGCTGGTGCGCTGCACCCACTAATGTGTCATCTAGCATTAGGTATATCTCCCAATGCTATCCCTCCCCCCTCCCCCGACCCCACCACAGTCCCCAGAGTGTGATATTCCCCTTCCTGTGTCCATGTGATCTCATTGTTCAATTCCCACCTATGAGTGAGAATATGCGGTGTTTGGTTTTTTGTTCTTGCGATAGTTTACTGAGAATGATGGTTTCCAATTTCATCCATGTCCCTACAAAGGATATGAACTCATCATTTTTTATGGCTGCATAGTATTCCATGGTGTATATGTGCCACATTTTCTTAATCCAGTCTATCATTGTTGGACATTTGGGTTGGTTCCAAGTCTTTGCTATTGTGAATAGTGCCGCAATAAACATACGTGTGCATGTGTCTTTATAGCAGCATGATTTATACTCATTTGGGTATATACCCAGTAATGGGATGGCTGGGTCAAATGGTATTTCTAGTTCTAGATCCCTGAGGAATCGCCACACTGACTTCCACAATGGTTCAAAAGTACTTTTCACAGATGACAGCCTCAACTCCAGAGCTTCTGACTTGGTAGGTTTTGGTTGGAACTCAAAGCTTTATATTTATAGTATGTTTCCAGGTGTTGCTGCTGACGCCACCAGTCCAGGGACCACACCATGGGTAAAAACTCTAAATCCAGGTGCTCTAAATAAGCCCCCTTTTCACCTTTGCAGTAATTATTTGAAGGGGGCAAAGGGAGACTTTGGAACTCTGTGCTCCTGGCAAGTGTCCACTGCACACTCTTCACCAGTCAGTCATATGCTTACTATCTCGTCTGCCACAGAGAGACCACGAAGATTAGTCACATGAGTGTCACAATGATAAGGATGGCTCAGGACTCCAGGTCACCTGTTATTTCTTGCATTCCAGTTCCCCTGCACCTCTACGCTTTCCTGTTTCACTTTCCTTATTCTATCTTTCCCTAATTTCTGAAACCTTTCAAATGCATCCCCCGGAACCGAACTTTGAACATCAGAAAAGTACCCTCGGTTCTCAAGGGCTCCACTTTTACTTTTTGCTTTAACTAAAATTGGGCTTTTCGCTGAAGCCATTGGTTTCTCTGTAGTGCCTTCAAGTAATATCTGTTTTTTCTCCCATACCTCCCACTATGTGGCCTGGAGGTGGAATAGCTACCTTAGTTTCTCTTCATTGCCATTTCCAAATTATTTTGCCCTCCTTTTTCCTTAATTCCATTTCCACTTGTTTATGACACTGACATTACATTTTGTATATGGAAAACATTTGATGTGGCTTTTCTGTTGAGCCAGCGTAAGAATCAGGATGTGAAGGACTATGTAAAAACTTAAAAAAATAGATCATTATAACCTGTGTCACATCCAGAGTACTTCATACGAAGTGTGTTTGCATGTGAGCACACACACCCCTCTCTGGGTATGGGTATATGCCTGTGTGTGTACATATGGGTGGACATGGTGACAGTGATTATTTATCTCCAGTGACACAGAACATTATCCACAAAGTTTCTTGCCACCCAGTTTTTCTTTCCACAATGCCAAATCAATAGCCCAGTTTTACTTGTTTATTTATCGTGAAGTTGAAATATCTGTGTATCTGCACGTTTCCTATTCAGTTCCGGATACCTAGTCACTATTGTCAGTGGAGACCTTTTATGTTTATACACTGCTTTACCATTTAGCGTAATGCTCAGCAGATTAGGCCCACTATAAACATATAATAATTGAATAAATACACTTCCAAAAATTCTAAAATGTTGAAAAGTTAAGATAAAGCCAGAAGAATTTTGTAACTTTTCATAGCATACTTTACATACGTGCTTTCATTTCACCTAAATGTTTTCATTTGAAAACTAAAATTTTAAAAATATTTTTTAATTTAATTTTACAAATCCATGAAGTTATTGAAAGATGTTTAAGATACCTGGAATGTAGGATCAACTTTTTGGGACTTTCGGCTATTAATCTCATTCGATATATACTTGATACCATTTTCAGAATAAAACCAATCAGGCAAATGGAAGATATGTGTTATTCTATGTGGAATTTACAATATTCTTATAATTCCAAGGGATATGTAAACCAAATTGTTTAAGCTCTGTATTTATTGGCAGATATTTATATCTCATTGCTTCCGGAAAAATGTTTTTGCATTCTCTAGGAAATACCTCATATAGCATATTAAAGTACCATATTTAAATATACTCTCAAATTTATAGGATTTTTCTTACCAATCATGTATAATTATTTTCATACATTTTTCAATTAATGGGTAATAGATTTGTTCCTATAATTATGCCTATCTCATGGCAATAGCTGTTTGATCTGTATTCTGTTTTGCAGGTGTTTTATTGACAAACACTTTAAAATAGCTTCATCAAATATAAATTACAGTGATTAATTTAATGCAGCATCCAGAGTGAAATAGGAATTAGCATTTACATTAAAAAAAATTGTTGTAATTGAACACAAGGACAAAGTGGTTTCCTTGGCAACAAGAGATAGTAAAAATTTATTTGTGAATTTAAAATTATATTACCTCATAATTTGATGCACATTCTCATTGTTTTAGTTTTATTATAGGGAAATTCTTTTGTAATAAACAAAATAGATAAAATAACTCTGTCTTTATAAAAGAAAAAATGTTAAATTTACCCAGATCCAGAGACCACAAAAGAAATGTTGTTAAGCACAATAGGCTTGGTTCAATTTAAATAAAAACAGTCATAAAAATATTAACTGACTATTTTTGAAAGCACTCAACAGTTTTATATGAATAAGTATGTAATCAAATGAACCTGAGATTAAGATTATTTAAATTTGTTGGTCTCCAGACACATGCTAGATGGAGGTTCTTTCACCAAAGAAAAAATAAGACAATGAACTTTAATTATTTTGATTATCAGTTATCATTATTAACTTTCATTGGAAAATAATATTACTGGCAGCGTGCGGTGGCTCACGCCTGTAATCCTAACACTTTGGGAGGCCGAAGCGGGCGGATCACGAGGTCAGGAGATTGAGACCATTCTGGCTAACACGGTGAAACCCCGTCTCTACTAAAAAATACAAAAAAAAAAATTAGCCGGGAGTGGTGGTGGGCGCCTGTAGTCCCAGCTACTCGGGAGGCTGAGGCAGGAAAATGGCATGAACCCGGGAGGCAGAGGTTGCAGTGAGCCGAGATCACGCCACTGGTTGTAGTGAGCCAAGATCGCGCCACGCTGCACTCCAGCCTGGGCGACAGAGCGAGACTCCGTCTCAGAAAAAAAAAAAAAAAAAAAATTGCAAAATAGAACTACTGTATCTGTGAATTAGTCAAATTTCCTCAGAAAAACAGAACCAGTAGGATACATATACTTTAAAAGATTTATTTTAAGGAATTGGCTCACAGGATTGTGTGGACTGGCAAGTCCAAAAATCTGTAGGGCAAACTGGCAGGTTGGAGATTCAATTAAGAATTGGTGTTGTAGTCTTGAGTCTGAAGACTGGGAACTCAGGCAGAATTTCCACGTTTCAGTCTAGAGGCAGAATTTATTCTTCCTGGAGAAGCCTCAGTCGTTATTTTTGAGGCCTTTTCTGATTGAATGCAGCCCACTGACATTATGGAGGGTCATCTACTTTACTTAGAGTAAACTGATTGTAAATGTTAATTACATCTAAAAAAAATAAAATATTTTCACAGCAACATCCATCTAGATACGTGTCAAACAAGTAAATACTCACCAAAATCTAGTCAAGTTCATACATTAAATTAATCATCACATTAATAATAAGGATTTCAATTTCAAGTAACTGAAGCACAAACTCAAAGTGACTTGAATAGAAGGGATACTTACTATCTCTCATAAAAGTGAATCCAACATGACCCCGGTATTGGTATAACCAGATTCTTTCTTTCCTCCAAGGCTTGGATTTTTTTTGACTTCATCTTCAGACTTATGACAAGATAGCTAAAGCATTTTGAGGCTTCACAATCCAGAAGCAGAAGAAAAAGACTGTTTTTTTGTTCTTTGTTTTTCCTATATCTCTTTCTTAGGATTAAGAAATACTTTCCACTATCAGACTTCCTCCCACATCTCAATGGCCAGAATCAGGTCACATGCTGATTTCTGCTCAACACTGTCAAGAAGAATGACAAAACTCTGCATGGCTTAGACTGATCATCTGATGAGTAATAGGTATTTTGGAGTCATCCACAATGTCTTCCATAATCAATTATATTTTAATTTACACCTTCATACTTTTTGGTGGTACACCTATTTGCAGCTCTTGCTGTTGATCTAAAATAAATGCTGATAACTCATAGACACGAGTTGCAAATCTTGGACTTTCTTCTGTCTGCTAAGCATTTTTACCTGAATCTAACATACTTTCTGAAATTCAACATTTTGAAATAAGCTCTTAGTCTTCCTCTTTAATCTAGTATGACTTTTTGTTAGTGGGTAGGATCACTATCCTCTCAGTTACTTGACAGAGAAAGTTTAGAGTCAACCCAGACAACATATATTCTCACACACCTATACCTAACCATTTACTAAATCTAGTTGATTTTGCCCCAAACTATTGAGTCAGTCTTCTCCTCTCTATTCCCATTACTGCTTTCCTGGTCTAGACCATTTCATTCTAAATGCTGAAGAGGCATGGTATTTTCAAATGCCTCCCACCTCTGAGGCATATATATATATATATATATGTGTATATATATATGTGTATATGTGTATATATATATGTGTATATATATGTGTATATATGTGTATATATATATATATAACAAGAGGCTGTAAATAATATATACACACATATATAATGTATATAAACATAAAATGCATGTACACACAAATATGTGCATGTGTGTATTTTATGTGTATATATAACATGTGTGTATACATATATTCTTTGCAGCCTCTTATCTCATTACTGACTCTCATATAAAATAGTGCTTGAAACATATAAACTACTACTACTAATTCCTTAAGCGTAATTTGTGTCAGCTCTGGCTTCTTCTTATGTTAAGTTTCAGCTTACATGAAAATTCCCTTCTCTGGAATTGTCAATGTTCTTATTAGTAAATTTTATTTACACAATCCAAATAGATAATAGATAAGCTTCAGGTCACTTGCTAAATCTTCCTAGATTCTTTGCCTTGCTCCTCAGAGAATAAAGAACTACTATTTCTCTTTGTTATCTGTACATTTCTACTTCATCTAGTAGGCTGTGGCAAACCTGAGGGCAGAAACGAACATTCAACTTTGCATCTCAGAGGCTAACATAGCGTCTGCCACATGCATATGTTTTATTGTATCGTAACTTTTACTTAAGGTTCAGGGGTACATGTGCAGGTTTCTTATATAGGTAAACTGCATGTCATGGGGGTTTGGTGTACAGATTATTTCATCCCCCAAGTAATAAGCGTAGTACCCCATAGATATATTTTTTCTGATCCTCTCCCTTCATCCCTCTACTCTTGAGGATGCCCTGGTGTCTGTCCCTCCCCTCTTTGTGTCCATGTGTTCTTGTTGTTTAGCTCCCAACTCTTAAGTATAATTTAGAACATGCAGTATTGAGTTTTCTGTTCCTGCATTAGTTTGCTTAGGATTGTGGCCTCCAGTTCCATCCATGTTGCCCCAAAGAACTTGATCTCATTCTTATTTTATAGCTGTGTAGTATTCCAAATGTGGAATATGTACCACATTTCTTTACCCAGTCCACTCTGTGTATATGTAGCACATTTTCTTTATCCAATATACTCTGATGGGTATTTAGATTGACTCCATATCTTTGCTATTGTGAATAATGCTTCTATGAACATAGCATGCATGTGTCTTTATGGTAGAATAATTTATATTATTTTGGATATACACCCAATAATAGAATCACTGGGTTGAATGGTAGTTCTGTTTCGAGTTCTTTGAGGAATGATTACACTTCTTTCCAAAATGAATGAACGGATTTACAGTCCCACCAGCAGTGTATAAGCATTTCTTTTTCTCCACAACCTCACCAGCATCTGTTATTTCTTGCCATTTTAATAACAGCCATTCTGACTGGTGTGAGATGATATCTCATTGTGGTTTTTGACTTGGATTTCTCTATTGATTAGTAATGTTGAGCTTTTATCATATGCTTGTTGGCCACATGTATGTCCTCTTCTGAGAAGTGTCTGTTCACGTGCTTTAACCCACATTTTAATGCTTTTTTTTTCTTGTTAATTTGTTTAAGTTCCCTATAGGTTCAGGATATTAGACCTTTGTTTGATGCACAGTTTGAAAATATTTTCTCCAATTGTGTATGATGTCTGTTTTCTCTGTTGATAGTTTCTTTTGCTATGTAGGAGCTCTTTAGCTTAGTTAGGTCCCATGTCAATTTTTGCTTTTGTTGCAATTGTTTTTGGCATCTTCATCAAGAAATCTTTGTCAGATCTTATGTCCAGAATGGTATTTCCTAGGTTATCTTCCAGGGTCTTCATGGTTTTAGGTTTCAAATTTAAGTCTTTAATTCATCTTGAGTTGATTTTTGTATGTGGTGTAAGGTGGGGGGTCCAGTTTCAATCTTCTGCCTGTGACTTAACAGTTCTCCCAGCACCACTTATTCAATAGGGATTCCTTTCTCCATTGCTTGTTTTCACAGGCTTTTTTGAAGATCAGATGGTTGTAGGTGTGCACCCTTATTTCTGGATTCCCTATTCTGTTCCTTTGGTCTATGTTTCTATTTTTATACCACTACCATGCTGTTTGGGTTACTATAGCCTTGTAATATTCTTTGAAGTCAGGTAACAAGATGCCTCCAGCTTTGTTCTTTTTGCTTAGGATTGCCTTGGCTATATGAACTTTTTTGGTTCCATATGAATTTTTAAATAGTTTTTTCTAATTCTTTGAAGAATGTCTTTGATTTTTTGATAGGGATAGCATTGAATCTGTAAATTGCTTTAAGTAGTATGGCCATTTTAATGACATTGATGCTTCCTATCCATGAGGAGGGAATACTTTTTCATTTGTTTGTGTAATCTCTGATTTATTTGAGCAATGTTTGGTAATCATCATTGTAGAAACCTTTCACCTCCCTGGTTAGCTGTATTCCTGGTTATTTTATTCTTTTTGTGGCAATTGTGAATGGGATTGCATTGCTGATTTGGCTCTCAGCTTGGATATTGTTGCTGTATAGGAATGCTACTAATTTTTGTTGTTGATTTTGCATCCTGAAACTTTGCTAAAGCTGTTTATCAGCTAAAAGAGCTTTTGGGCAGAGACCATGGGATTTTCTAGATATAGAATTATGTCATCTGCAAACAGGTATCCTTTGACTTCCTCTCTTTCTATTTAAATGTCTTTTATTCATTTCTCTTATCTGATTGCTGTGGCCAGGACTTCCAGTTATATGTTGAATAAGCGGTGATAGAACTCTTCCTTGTTTTGCTCCTGTTTTAAAGGGGAATGCGTCCAGCTTTTGCCCATTGAATATAATGTTGGCTGTGGGTTTTTGATAGATGGCTCTTATTATTTTGAAGTAAGTTCCTTCAATGCCTAAACATGAAGTAATGTTGAATTTTATCAAAAGCCTTTTCTGCATCTGTTGAGATGATTATGTGGTTTTCATTTTTAGTTCTGTTTATATGATGAGTCATACTTATTGATTTGCATATGTTAAACCAACCTTACTTCCTAGGAATAAAGCCTACTTGATTGTGGAGGATTAGCTTTTTGATGTGCTGCTGGATTTGGTTTGCTTGTATTTTGTTGAGTATTTTTGCATCAATGTTCATCAAGGATATTGGCCTGAAGTTTTCTTTTGTTGTTGTGTCTCTCCAGGCTTTTGGTATCAGGATGATTTTGACCTCATAGAATGAGTTGGGGAATAGTTTCTCCCTTCCTTCCTTCCTTCCTTCCTTCTTTCCTCCCTCCCCGACTCCCTTCCTTCCTTCTTTTTTTTTTGACAGAGTCTTGCTTTGTCGCCCAAGCTGGAGTGCAGTGGGATGATCTCGGCTCACTGCAACCTCTGCCTCCCGGGTTCAAGCAATTCTCCTGCCTCAGCCTCCTGAGTAGCTGGGACTACAGGCATGTGCCACCATGCCTGGCTAATTTTTGTATTTTTAGTAGAGATGGGGGTTTCATCATATTGGCCAGGCTGGTCTCAAACTCCTGACCTCATGATCTGCCTGCCTCAGCCTCCCAAAGTGCTGGGATTACAGGCATGAGCCACCGCGCCCGGCCTAGTTTCATTTTTTGGGAATAGTTTCAGCAGGAATGGTATCAGTTCTTCTTTATAAATCTGGTAGAATTTGACTGCGAATTTGTCTGGTCCTAGGCTTTTGTTTTGTTGGTAGGCTTTTTATTACTAATTCAATTATGAAACTTGTTACTGGTCTGATCAGAGATTCAATTTATTTCTGTTTTAGCCTTGGGAGGTTGTATGTGTCCAGGAGTGTATCCACTTATTCTAGATTTTCTGGTTTGTATGCACAGAAGTGCTCATAGTAGTTTCTGAGGGTTATTTTTTCTATTTCTGTTGAGGTCAGTGGTAATGTCTCCATGTCATTTATAGTTGTGTTTCTTTATATGATGTCTCTTTTTTTCTTTATTAGTACACCTAGTGGTCTATCTTGTTAATTTTTTTCAAATAATCAACTCACAGATTAGATAATCTTTTGTATTTTTTTGTGTCTCAATTTCCTGCAGTTCATCTCTGATTTTGGTTATTTCTTATCTTCTGATAACTTTGAGGTTGGTTTCTTCTTGTTTCCATGGTTCCTCTAGTTGTGATGTTAACTTGAAATTTTTCTCTCTTTTTGATGTGAGTATTTAGTGCTATAAATTTCTCTCTCAACACTGCCTTAGCTGTATCCCAGAGATGCTGGTATGTTGTATCTTTGTTCTCATTAGTTTCAAAAAACTTTTTGATTTCTGCCTTAATTTATTATCTACCCAATAGTAATTCAGAGGCAGGTTGTTTAATTTCCATGTTATTGTATGGTTTTGAGTGACTTTCTTAGTATTGATTTCTATGTTTCTTGCACTGTGGTTTAAGAGTATGGTTGGTATGATTTCATCTTTTTAAAAAAATTTGCTGAGGATTGTTTTATGCCTGGTTGTGTGTTTGATTTTAGAGTATGTGTCACGTGGTGATGAGAAGACTGTGTATTCTGTTCTATTTGGGTGGAGAATTTTGTAGATGTCTATTAGGTCCAGTTGGTTCAGGGTTGAGTTCAGGTCCTAAAGATCTATGTTAATTTGCTGCATCAATGGTCTGATACTGCCAGTGGGGTGTTAAAGTCTCCCTTTATTATTGTTTGGGAATCTAAGTCTCTTCTTCATAGGTCTCTAAGAACTTGCTTCATGAATCAGGGTATTCCTGTGTTAAATGTGTATATATTTAGGAAGTTAGGTCTTGTTGCATTGAACCCTTTATCATTATGTAATACCCTTCTTTGTCTTCTTTGATCTTTGCTGGCATAAAATCTATTTTGTCTGAATTTAGAATATCAATCCCTGAATTTTACTGTTTTCCATTTTCTTGGTAGATTTTTCTCGATCCTTTTATTTTAAGACTATGTATGTCATTGCGTGTGAGATGGGTCTCTTGCAGAGAGCATAGCATTGGGTAGCACTTGTTTATCCAGTTTGTCACTGTGTTTTTATTAGGGTGCTTAGCCTGTTTCCATTCAAGATTAGTGTTGACAGATGCAGATTTGATCCTGTAATGATATTACTGGGTTATCATGCAGACTTGTTTGTATGGTTGCTTTATATTATTACTGGTCTGTGTTCTTAAGTATGTTTTTGAAGTGGTCTTTCCTTTCATATTTAGTACTCCTTTGAAGACCTCTTGTAAGGCAGGTCTGGTGGTAATGAATTTCCTTAGCATTTGCTTGTGTGAAAAGAATGTTATTTCTCCTTCACTTATGAAGCTTAGTTTGGCTGGATATAAAATGCTTGGTTAGAAATTATTTTCTTTAAGAATGTTGAATATGGGTCCCTAGTCTCTTCTGGTTTGCAGGGTTTCTGCTGAGAGATTTGCTATTAGCCAGATGGGATTCCTGTTGTAGATAATCTGACCCTTCTCTCTAGCTGCTTTAACATTTTTAATTTCATTTCAACCTTGGAGAATCTGATAATTATGTGTCTTGGGGATGGTCTTCTTCTGTAGTATCTCACAAGGATTCTCTGCATTTTCTGAATTTAAATGTTGGCCTCTCTAGTGAGGTTGAGAAAGTTTTCATGGATGATATCCAGAAATATGTTTTCCAAGTTGCTTTCTTTCTCCTTGACTCCTTCAGGGATGTCAATGAGTTGTACATGTGGTCTCTTTATGTAATCCCATATTTCCAGGGGGTTTTGTTCATTCCATTTAATTCTTTTTCTTTATTTTTTTCTGACTGATTTATTTCAGAGAGCCAGTCTTTGAGCTCTGAAACATTTTACTCAGCTTGGTCTATTTGCTGTTCATACTTCCAATTTTGCTTATAAAACTCTTGCAGTGTGTTTTTCAGCTCTGTCAGATCAGTTTTTTTTATAATAGCTATTTTGTCCATCAGCTCCTGTATGATTTTATTGTACTCCTTAGATTCCTTGGATTAGGTATTGACACTCTCCTGGATCCTGATGTTTTTCTTTATTATTCATTTTCTGAATTCTTTTTTCTGTCATTTCAGCCCAATTAACAACCCTTTCTGAGGGACTAGTGCAGTTGATTGGAGAAAAAAAGCTGCTCTGGCTTTTTGAGTTGCCAAAGTTCTTGTACTTGTTCTTTCTCATCTGTGTGGACTGGCATTCCTTTAACTGTAGCATAATTTGAGTACAGTCAGTAGACCTCTTTTCTGGATGTTTTCAGAGGAACAAGGCTTTGTGCTGGGTCATTATTTGCAGCTGAATTCTTATTCTGGATTTCCCGGTGGTCAGGTGGTATATTTGCAAAGTGTTTTTGATGTTGACGTTTTGGTCTGTGATGCAGTACATGGTACTTAAGCATAATGGCCAGTAGGCAAGTAGTATCTTACTCAGCCACTTTGCTCCTCTGTATTTCTGATCGTTGCAGCCAAGCTCCCACTTAGTGCTCCATGTTCTGAGAGTGTGGGCTCCTCTCCCACTCAAGGGCTGGCTGTAGATTTCATCTTGGCACTCCCAGGCTGTACACTGAGGCTCTGGGGTGAGCTCAGGCTTTATGTTCCCTCCCCAGTTTGGAGGCAGCAGGGGAAGGGACCTTAGCAATGGTTGTGGCAGAGAGTCTTTCACTTGTCTCTTGTAGTCCTTGTAGTCCACAATGTGCTTGTACCGTAGACTTTTAAAGTCATTTCAGAGTAGCCATTTAGTATCTCTCCAAGGTTTTACTATTGCAAACAACAACATAGGGAATGTGGCTGTACAGGTCTCTGTGCACATTGCAAGTAGTTGCTTTGGATATATGCCTAGAAGATTTGCTAAATCAAATGACACATATACTCAACTTTTGCTAGAGATGTGACATTGCCAACCAGAAGAAATTCAGTATCAACTTAAGCCTTTTGCCAACAATGTATGAAATTATGCACTTTCCATCACCATGTTCCATAATGAATTTTATCACATTAAAAAATTTTGAAAGAAAAATGATGAAAGAAAATTATATACCATATTTTCTTGAAATGCACACTTTCTTTATAAATACTGAGGTTGAATATCTTTTTATACACGTATTGGCCATAAACACATCTTGTGTATTTAATCTGTAAATTTGTTTTCATATTCCTTGCTTGTTGTTTTTACTTATCATTAATTAATTACTTAAAATTTTAGGCAATTAAAATACCAAAAAAGAGGTAAAAATCAACCCAAATCCCACAAGGAAAGATAAAATGATTTTCATCTTGATTTTAAATGTCATTTTTATGCAATTGCATAAATTAAAAAGGATCTTATTATGCATGTAATTTTTCAAGAGCCTTTTATTTTATTCAAATGTAAGATGTGGTCCTTTATTATATGAATTACCATATAAATTCAACTATTTTAAAATGGTAAACTATTCACCCTTTGTATGGATGTACTTAATTTCTTTAACGAATGTCCTATGGATGAACATTTCAAATGTCGACATTTATTTGATAATATGGGCAGCATTTCATTGACAATCCTTAAGTGTGTGTGTATTTGTGTGTATACAAGCACACACACACACCCTTTCTACATTATCATCTTAGGATATGTTCACTGACCAGAAGCAGCTGAAGCAAATGATATGCACATTTTTAAATCGGCATATATTATAGAACTGCCTTTTATAAAGCTTGCAAAAATTTTCAAATTACTACAGAACTGGTTTTCACGTCGAAATAAAAAATTTCCAAACTACAGAGTTACTTTTTCTCATTCAATGATCAGTTACAAAGCTAAAGTATTTCATTATTGCTTTTGCTTGAACTGATTTGTTAATGTAGTTAATATATGTTGAATATTTATTGGACAATTGAGTTATATTTATTTCTTTATGAGTTATTTATTCATGTTCTTTGGCTACATTTCTCTTTAGAATTGATCTTTTTAATACATATTTATGAGAGTGCTTAAAATTTTACCAGTGATAAGACTGGATAGATATTTCTCAGTTTATCATTTTTAAAACATATTTGCACCATATAGAATTTGGAATATTTACATATTTTCATCTAGAGTAGCATTACTAATAGGTCCAATTAGTATTTTCATTACTTGGACAACTAATTTTTCTGGCTCAGCATTTTAAAATTAAATAGCAATTATTTGTTGCTATATTTCCAGATTAATTACATCTATAGGTCTTGCACTAGTACACTATTATTTAATTAAATTTATTGTAATGCATTTTGAGAACTGGGTAAAAACCTTTATTAGTGTTTCAGACTTATTTTTATTAGTCTATATTTTATCTCTACTTTTGTCTTCTTATATTAGTCTTTATTAGCCATATTATTTAATGAAATTTATTAAAATGTATTTTGATAAATGGATAAATATCTCCCTATATTAGTCATTGTTTTAGAAATTTGAGGCTATTTTATATATTTTGCTTTCAAAGATGAATGTTAAAATCATTTATGATTGAAAAATGGACAAAGGATCTGAACAGACATTTCTGAAAAGAAGACAGGCAAATGGCCAATACATATATGAAAAAATGCTCAACATCACTAATCATCAGGGAGCTGCAAGTCAAAGCCACAATTGAGTATCATCTCACTCCAGTTAGGATGGTTATTATGAGAAGCAAAAAATATTATCAGAAGCAAATGGTAGTGAGAATACGGAGAAAAGGGAACTCATATGCTTTCAGTGGGAATGTAAAGTAGTATGGGCACTTTGGAGAACAGTATGGACATTCCTCAGAAAACTACAGATAGAATTACCATATGGGTCCAGCAATCCCACTCCTGGGCATTCATCCAAAGGAAAGGAAATTAGTGCATCTAAGAGGCATCTGCACCCCCATGTTTATTGGAGCACTATTCACAGTAGCCAAGATATGGAAATGAACCTAGGTATCCAACAGCAGATGAGTGGGTAAAGAAAATGTGGTATATGTACACAATGGAGTACTGTTCAGCCATAAAAAGTAATGAAATCCTGTCATTTGTGGCAACATGGATGGAACTGGAGGATGTTATGTTAAGTGAAATAAGCCAGGAACAGAAAGTTAAACACTACATGTTCTCACTCAGATGTGAAAGCTCAAACAAGTTGATCTCATAGAAGTGAAAAGTACAGCAGAGGATACGAGGGGCTGGGAAGGGTAGGGGGAAGGGAGAGGATAGGGGGAGATTTGTTAAAGGATACAAAATTACAACGAGATGGAAGGAATAAGTTCCAGTGTTCTATACCACTGTTGGATGAGTACAGTTAACAATAATTTATTGTTTTAAATAGCTAGAAGGAGGATATTTAATGTTCCTAACACAAACAAATGACAAATGGTTGAGATGGTGGATATGCTAATTATCCTGATCTAATCACTATACACTATATGTATGGAAGCATCACCATGTACCCTACAAATATGTACAATTATTATGTGTCAATTTAAAAAAATAAAATTAAAAAAACGTATTTGTAAAGTAATCAAGCAAATCTAAAACTCATGAAAGCATTTTAATGTAGAAAAGTATTATTGGGCCAGGGGTGATGTAATCCTAGCACTTTGGGAGGCAGGCAGATCACATGAGATCAGGAGTTTCAGATGAGCCTGGCCAACATGGCAAAACCCCATCTCTACCAAAAATACAAAAAAATTAGGTGGGCGTGGTGGTGGGCACCTGTAATCCCAGCTACTTGAGAGGCTGAGGCATGAGAATTGCTTGAACCTGGGAGGCAGAGGTTGCAGTGAGCCACGATTGTGCCACTGCACTCCAGCCTGGTTGACAAAGTGAGACTGTCTCAAAACAACAACAACAAAAATATTATTAACAAATTCAATGAAATCTCAATGAAACTACAACAGATTTTCTGGATAGAAATCCACAAACAAATTCAAAACTTATGTGAAAATGCAAAGTACCTGGAAGAGCAGAAACGATTTTGTAAAAAAAACAAAACAGGAAGGCTTATGCTTCATTAACTTGTCTTAATAATGCTAAGACTTGTTATAAAACAAAATCATTGTGGCATTAGTGTAAAATAGACAAGTAGAGCGATAGACAGAATATATTGTCTAGATTGGTTCATGCCTATATGGTAAACTGATTTTTGACAAAAGTGCAAAGATAATTCTATGGTGAAAATGTAATATTTTCAATAAATGATTTTATTTATTAATAAATGTTTATTAAAATAAAATACAGGGATGCTGGATCATCCACTGAATATCCTTTAGGAAAAAAATAAAATTTTACCCTTACTTCACAGCATGCACAAAAATTAACTTTTAATGTGTCTTATGATGATCCTTGGACATACACTTAGAAGCATAAAACTTTCCAAAGATTATATTTGCAAATTTAGGGTGGCCAAAGATTTCTTGACAAAACATAAAAAGCTCAAGCAGAAAAAAAAAAATGATAAGTTAAACTTGATCACAATTAGAAACTTCTGTTTTTCAAGAGCTACTGTTAAGAAAGCAAACAGGGGGCCGGGTGCGGTGGCTCAAGCCTGTAATCCCAGCACTTTGGGAGGCCGAGGCGGGCAGATCACGAGGTCAGGAGATCGAGACCATCTTGGCTAACACGCTGAAACCCTGTCTCTACTAAAAATACAAAAAATTAGCCGGCGTGGTGGTGGGCGCCTGTAGTCCCAGCTACTTGGGAGGCTGAGGCAGGAGAATGGCGTGAACCTGGGAGGTGGAGCTTGCAGTGAGCCGAGATCGTGCCAGTGCACTCCAGCCTGGGCGACAGAGCGAGACTCCATCTCAAAAAAAAAAAAAAAAAAAAAAGGCAAACAGGGAAGCCCTAGACTTGGAGACAATATTTGTTACACATGTATCTGACCAAGGGTTTGTATCCATAATACATAAATAATTATTTTTTAAAATAAAGAATTCTTACCAGTCAGGAAGTGAAATTTTAAAAATTGGGTAAAATATCTGAACAGAAATTTCACAAAACGAGATATAGAAGTTGCCAATAAGCACTTATTATTCTCCAGGAAAATGAAAATTAACATAATGAAATAATACTGCACAGTGATTAGAATGATTAAAATGAAAATGACTGGTGAAATGTTGTGATTGGTAGATCTTAGATGACCCCTAAGTGTTCTCACATTTTCACGTAAATGCTCTTGCGTAAACTCCTACTCTTGAATAACTTCCTTCTAATCAATAGAATACGGCAATGGGGAAGCAATACAACTTTCAAGTTGTGAGGAGAAGGGCTTATACCATTGTAGTCTTTGTATTAGTTGCCTAGGGCTGCCATAACAAATGATCACAAACTAGGTCATTTGAAATAACAGGAATGTATGTTCTCACGGTTCTGGAGGCGAGAAGCCTAAAATCCCAGTGTCGCAGGGCCCCGCACCCCCTGAAGGCCCTAGGGGAGAAACCTTCCTTGCCTCTCCCAGCTTCGGTGGTTGCTGGTCACTCTTGATGCCCCCTGGCTTACAGCAGCATCATCCAATCCTGGTGTCTGCCATCATATGATGTTCCCCCTTTTGGGGATGTGTATATGGCTAAATTTTCCTCTACTTATAAGAACACCATTTTTTGAATTTAGAGTCTACTCTAATTCAGTGTGACCTCATCTTAACTGACAACAAAGACCCTGCCAGGACCCTATTTGTGAGTAAAGATCCAACTCACAGGTTCCAGTTGAATGTGAATTTTGCTAGGATTCTATTCAGCCTGTTAGAATCTCCTTTCAATAAACCTATGATCCCAGTTTAATAATGAGAAAAACATCAGGCAAACTAAAACTGAGGGACATTCCACAAAATATGTCACCAGTACTCCTCCAAACTGCTAAAATTGTGAAAAACAAGACAAAATAAATAAATAAATAAATAAAAATAAAAAATAAAAAAGCTGTCACAGTTCAGAGGAAGGAAAGAAAACATAATGACTAAATATAGTATGGTAACCTGGTTCGAATCCTGGTACAGAGAAAAAGGATATTAGTGGGGAAATTGACAGACTCTCAATAAACCCTGGAGTTTAGCTGATAGTAAGTTTTTAAAGTGTTTGATAGGGAGCCGCAGTGGCTCAGGCCTGTTGTCTTGGGACATAAGGAGGAGAGGCTAGGCGTTTGAGGCCAGCCTGGGCAATATAGAAACCTCTCATCTATATAACCAAAAGTTTTTGATAAATATATTATGGGTATGGTGAGGGTTATATGGGAACAATCTTATTCTTTCTTTTAAACACATCTAAAATGATTCCAAAAGAAATGACTTATTTTTTTAAATGCAAGCTATAGGATAGACTTGAGAAATTTAATTTAGATTGGACAGTTTCAGACAGCTTTTTTGTGAGAAGTTTGAGCTGCAAATAGAAATACAAATCCAGCCAATCCTACCAGTAGTGGGGGATGAAGTCTCCTGGGCAGAACACATGGCCAGTGAACAGGTACTGTGAGTGAAATATGCTTGCAGTATTGGAGAGGATGAAAAAAACTCAGAGTGACAGAAGACAAGTAGGTGAGACGGAGCCTGGCATAAAATTAAACTGAGCAGCAGGCTTCAAACAGGCCACATAAAAAATTAGAATTAAAAAGAAAGAAAGAAAGAAAGACATTGCTATAGCACTTCCTATGTGCCAAAACTATTTTAAGCATTTTTCACACACTAGCACTTTTCATTCTTGCCACAACTATATATGGTGTGTACTCTTATTATCTTCCATTTCTCTGGTAGAAAAACTGGTTCAGAGAGTTAGTCACTTGTCTGAAGTCATTCCATTACTAAAAGGCAGAGCTGTGGCCATCTGGCTCCACAGTTTGCATTTATCCACTACACCCTTGCCCTGAATATAATGGAAGCCATGCTGACTCATTCTTCCTTAAAAGACTGACCTATCAATTCAGAGGAGAGATGATGGTGATTGGGGTGAGATGGAGAGAAGCAGATGGGCTCGAGGAAACTTCCAGGTAAAATCAAATGCAACTGATGATATATTAGAGGCAGGTAATGAGAGAGAAGACCATATCAAGAATGACCACCCAACTTCTGGCTTGATTGGGTATTTACTAAAGTAGGAAATGGCAAAAGAAGATGTTTGCTGAGGGACATTATGTTGGCAGTGGCAAATCCATATGGGTCTGCAGCAACCTCAATTCTTGACTCTCAGAGGAAAGAATTTGACCAAGGGGGCATAAAGCAGAGGGGGAGACTGGAACAAGTTTTAGAGTAGGAATGAAAGTTTATTAACAAGTTTTAGAGTAGGAATGAAAGGAAGTAAAGCACACTTGGATGAGGGCCAAGCAGGCAACTTGAGAGAATCAAGTGCCTGGTTTGACCTTTGACTTGGGGTTTTATACACTGGCATTCTGCATGTGTGGTGGCATGCCAGCACTTAGGAGAGGCTGCATGTGCATTGTGTTTACTGAAGTTACCTGTATGCTCACTTGAGGTGTTCTCCCCTTACCAGTTGAGCATTCCTAGAGGAAGTTCACATACCAGTCAAACTCCACCATCTTGCCTCTTAGTGTACATGCTTGAGTCTGCTTGCCCAAATTCTGAGATCTTATCATCTTATCAAGAAGCTACTGATCATCAGTTTCAGGTGTTTTCTAGTGGGAGACTGCCTTTCTGTTGCACAGGTTGCAACCAATTATTATTTTGGAGAGAAAGTTTAACCAACCACCTGACCATCGCCTGATGGTCACCTGACATTCCTTGAAGCAGGGTGGGGAGTTGGGGGGGCTCTCTCTTGCCCAATAAAACTTATATTTGACAACCTACCTATTCTAACAATTACAGATTTCTTTTCCATTAAGTTTGAGATGCTAAAGAAACATCAAGATAGATGTGTCTCAAGCCCAAGTATTGGATCATTTTCACCCTACTTTCCCAACAGGAAGTAGAAGTAGGTGAGAAGTGTTGTCTGACTGCCCAGAGGATGGGAAGGCAGCCACAGTCCCATGGACAGGTGCTCAGACTGCTCTCCAGGTCACCACAAGTCACTGTCTCTGGTAGCTCCTCAGGTGTATTCTCTGAGAGCTCTGTCTATAGTGGATATAGTGAATTCTTTGCCTTGAGGCTGGGTTGCTTTTTCTCTCTGACTAGGTCACATCTCCCTTATTGTTTGGGATGCAGTTCCTCATGAATACATTGCAAGTATGTTGATTTATGCATGAGGTCCTCCTGTGCCCTATTTAGGAAAGAGCATCCCTTTCTTGGATGTAGGAGTAGAGAGAGGTTCCATATACATAAGAATTTTCCAGACAAACAGAACCAGGCCAGGTGCGGTGGCTCACACCTGTAATCCCAGCACTTTGGGAGGCTGAGGCGGGTGGATCATGAGGTCAGGAGATCGACACCATCCCGGCTAACACGGTGAAACCCCCACCCCGTCTCTACTAAAAATACCAAAAATTAGCTGGCCGTGGTGGTGGGCACCTGTAGTGCCAGCTACTCGGGAGGCTGAGGCAGGACAATGGCGTGAACCTGGGAGGCGGAGCTTGCAGTGAGCCGAGATTGCACCACTGCATTCCAGCCTGGGCGACAGAGCAGGACTCCGTCTCAAAAAACAAAAACAAAAACAAAAACCAACCAAAAAAAGCAGAACCGATAGGAGATAGATATGGATTGATAGATCACTAGATCGGTAGAGAATAGATCGTTGGGGCTGAGCGTGGTGGCTCACGCTTGTAATCTCAGCACTTTGGGAGGCTGAGGCAAGCAGATTACCTGAGGTCAGGAGTTCGAGACCAGCCTGGCCAACATGGTGAAACCCTGTCCCTACCAATAATACAAACATTTAGCTGGGCATGGTGGTGTGCCCCTGTAGTCCCAGTTACCTCAGGGAGGCAGGAGAATTGCTTGAACTCGGGAGGAGGTTGCTGCAGTGAGCCGAGATAAGCCACTGCACTCCAGCCTGGGTGACACTCCATCTCAAAAAAAAAAAAAAAAAAAATGTTGGACAGATAGATAGATTCATTTTAAAGAATTGACTCATGTAATTATGGAGGCTGAGATGTTCTAAAATCTGCCATCTGAAAGCAGGAAACTCAGAAAAGCTGGTGCAATTGTCTGATCTTGAAAACCAGGGAAGACTATGGCGTAAATCCCAGTCTGATGGCAGAAGATGACATGACCTGTCTTAGTTAAAGCTGTGAGGGAGGAAAAAAGGGATAAAGGTCTCTTTTCTCTGTCTTTTGTTCTATTCAGGCCCTCAAAGGATTGGATGACGCCCAACTGCATTGAGGAAGGCATTCTACTTTACTGAATTTACTCATTCTAATGCTAATCTCAAAGGTGGCTGGTTCTCAGGATGGGAGGGGAAATGATGGGGAAAGAGAAAATATTGATAAAAGGGTATAAAGTTAGAATTAGTGTGGAGGAATGAGTTTTAGTGATTGATTGCACTGCATGGTGACCACAATTAATTTAATAATATATTGTATATTTTTAAATTGCTGAAAGAATAGATTTTTAATGTTCTCAACACAAAAAAGTTAAATTGGTGAGGTTATGGACATGTTAATTAGCTTCATTGACTCTATAATGTATATGTAGATCAAAACATTACTTTGTGTCCCATAATATACACAATTATTATTTGTCAATTAAAACAACAACCACAATAACAAATGCTAATCTCACCTGGAAACATCCTCACAGACATACCCAGAAACAATGTGTACTCTGGGCACCCTTTGGCCAGTCAAGTTAACACATAAAATTAACCTTCACAGGTTCAGAGTTGCTTAATCAGGTCCTCCCATTAGACACAAGGCCATTATTAAACTGTGATGCAGGCAACCCATGTGCAGAGAGCCAGGGAATGAGACCATTTGTTGTCAGCTGTGCGCTCAACCTATTTTCACTCTGAAGGGGGAAGTCAGAACACATAGTGAACTGCCTGACTTCCCTTCCTCTTTACTCTGGAATCAGAGAGAATTTGTTTCTCATTCCTTAATGCCTGGGACTTCACTGTACCTTATGTTCTTTTCTTCAAAGCTCATAACCCTCATCCCTTCTCTCTGGGTTACTGAATGCTGAAATATCTTTAGGAGAACATGAATTACTGGGAGAATGAAAATACACATCTCTAAAAATACAGTTTAGGCTGGGCGCGGTGGTTCACACCTGTAATCCCAGCACTTTGGGAATCCGAAGCAGGTGGATCACCTGAGGTCAGGAGTTCAAGAACAGCCTGGCCAATGTGGTGAAACCCCGTCTCTACTAAAAATACAAAAATTAGCTGGACATGGTGGTGGGCGCTTGTAATCCTAGCTACTCAGGAGGCTGAGGCAGGAAAATCACTTGAACCCAGGAGGTGGAGTTTGCAGTGAGCCGAGATCGTGCCATTTCACTCCAGCCTGGGCAACAAGAGCAAAACTCAATCTCAAAAAACAAACAACAAACAAACAAACAAACAAACAAAATTAAAAAAAGTTTAATTATTTCAAAATAATTTTTTCATTGCACTGATTATTCACAAATGAGTTTTCATTATCATACCTTCATACTCAGCAGGAATTTAGATGTTATATTAGAAAGATGGTTTCTAGCCATTGTTACTACTGCTCAATTTTAGGTACAAATTAGAAAATTGGATGAGTCTTTTAACTTCCCAAATGAGAGAATGTTTAAAGGAGTCCAGTGAATTTAGAGAGTGGATGTACTTGAGTAAAAAGGTCTGTAGTTTACAGACTGAAGATGAGATGAAACAAATGGTATATATCTTGGGATATTGAGAAGTTAAATTTATTCAACACAACTTTTTGATGTTTGACGATTGCTATATTTAACTCAGCATCCCACTGTGCTTTGATTGAGATACCCTGTAAGAACTGCTGTTTCAAACCATAAAATACAAATATAAAATTTATTTTGTTAGTTTGTGAAACTTCAAATCATGCGTTGAATTTCTGTAATTTGATATGTTTTCAGATTTCTCTGTCAATAAGGTATCCTAGAAATCTCTACAGACAGACTGATTCAATCTTGGCTTATTCAACACAAATTATATTTTATTTCTATTGAATTATGTTTTACACCCAAACAGTAGGATATAAGGCACCTTTGTAAATAATCTCCTAAATTCTGTTTTCATGAATCTATTAAAATCTGACAAACTTCCTGAGATCAACATTCACGGGTGTCTGCCTATCCTCTAGTTTTGCATTATTTTCATTATGTTTTTTGGCTTCAGCCTCCTTCCTCATTTTTAGTAAAAAAGAAATCTTCCTTAGGCTCATCATGCTACATTATCTTTTTTGAGGAAAGAAAACTATATTTATTTTACTGAGGAGACAAATAGAAGCTAGTGAAGTAATTTGTTTACAGTCATAGGTTTTTCATGCTAGGAATATTATTTCTTAGTTCCTCTGGTAAGTAAATTCCATTATTCTTTCTTCGTCAAGTTTTTCTAAATCTAAAACAACTCTCATGCTCCTTTACCTTCCTTTTAAAAAATATTTTTAATTTTTAATTTTTGTGGGTACATACTAAGTGTATATATTTATGGGGTATGTTAGATATTTTGATACAGGAATACAATGCATAATAATCACATCAGGATAAACAGGGAATTCATTACCTCTACCATTTATTCTTTCTTTGTGTTACAAACAATACAATTGTACTCTTAGAGTTATTTAAAATATACAATAAATTATTGTTAACTGTAGTCACTCTGTTATGCTATCAAATACTAGGTCTTATTCATTCGTTCTAACTATATTTTTTTCTAACTATATTTTTGCACCCATTAACCATCTCCACTTCCCCCCACCATTACCCTTCCCTGCCTCTGATAAACAGCCTTCCTATCACCATGTGTTCTATTATTTTAGTGTTTAGCTCTCACAGATAAGTGAGACCATGTGATGTTTCTCTTTCTGTGCCTGGCTTATTTTATTTAACATAATGATCTCCAGTTCCATCCATGTTGTTGCAAATGACATTCTTTGTTATGGCTGACTAGTACTCCATTGTGTATGTTACCACATTTTCTTTATCCATTCCTCTGTTCATGGACGCTTAGGGTTACTTCCAAATGGAGGCTATTGTGAATAGTGCCACAATAAAATGGGAATGCAGACTTTTGGGGGTATATGAGTGGGATTGCTGAATCATATGGTAGTTCTATTTTTAGAGTTTGAGGAACCTTCAAACTGTTCTGCAAAGTGGTTGTACTAATTTACACATTCACCAACAGTGTAGGCAGGTTCCCTTTCCTCTATATCCTCACCAGCATTCGTTATTGCCTGTCTTTTGGATAAAAGCCATGTTAACTGGCGTGAGATGATATTTCATTATAGTTTCAATTTGCATTTCTCTAATAATCAGTGACATTGAGCACATTTTCATATACCTGTTTGCCATTTATATATCCTCTTTGGAGTAATATCTATTTAGGTATTTTGCCTATGTTTTAATTGGATTATTAGATTTTTTTCTATAGAGTTGTTTGAGAGCTATATGTGTGTGTATATATATATCCTTGTATATATTAATATATATATATATCCTTGTATATATTAATACAACGTTATTAATCCCTTGTCAGATAGATTGTTTGCAAATATTTTCTCCGATTCTGTTAATTGTCTCTTCACTTTGTTGACTGTTTCCTTTGCTGTGCAGAAGCTTTCAAATGATGTTATTTCATTTGTTCATTTTTGCTTTGGTTGTGTGTGCTTGTGAAACATTACTCAAGAAATCTTTGTCCAGTCTGACATCTTGGAGAGTTTCCCCAATGGTCTCTTTTACTAGTTTCAGAGTTTGAGGTGTTAGACTTATTCTTTAACCCATTTTGATTTAATGTTTCTATATGACAAGAGATACGGGTTTAGTTTCAGTCTTTTGCATATGGATATCCAGTTTTCCCAGCATGATTTATTGAAGAGACTGTCCTTTTCCCAATGTATATTCTTGGCAACTTTGTTAAAAATGGTCTCACTGTAGACCTGTGGATTTGTTTCTGGGTTCTCTATTCTGTTCCATCAGTCTATGTCTCGGTTTTGTACCAGTACCATGCTGGTTTGTTTACTATAGTTCTGTAGTATAATTTGAGGTCAGGTATGTGATTCATCCAGTTTTGTTCTTTTTGCTCACAATAGCTTTGACTATTCTGGGTCTGTTGTGGTTTTGTATAAATTTTAGGATTAGTTTTCCTATTTTTGTGAAGAATGTCATTGGTATTTTAATATGGATTGCATTCAAACTGTAGATTGCTTTGAGTAGTATGAAAATTCTAACAATGTTGATTCTTCTGATCCATAAATATGGAATATCTTTCCATGTTGTGTGTCCTCTTCAATTTCTTTCATCAGTGTTTTACAGTTTTCATTGTAGATGTCTTTTGTCAGTTAACTCTTAGATATTTAATTTTATTTACAGCTATTTAAATGTGATTACTTTCTTGATATCTTCTTCAGATTGTTCACTGTTAGCATATAGAAATGCTACTAATTTTTGTATGTTGATTTTGTATCCTGCAACTTTACTACATTTGTTCTAATAGTTTTTTGGTAGGGTCTTTAGGTTTTTTCAAATATAAGATCATATCATCTGTAAACAAAGATAATATGACTTATTGTCTTCCAATTTGGATGCCTTTCATTTCTTTCTCTTGTCTGATTACTGTAGCAAAGGCATTCAGTCTATGTTGCATAACAGTGGTGAAAGTGGGCATCCTTGTTGTGCTCCAGATCTTAGAAAGAAGGCTTTTAGTTTTTCCTCATTCAGCATGATACTAGCTGTGGTTCTGTCGTATATGGCTTTTACTGTGTTCAGGTATATTCCTTCTATAACCAGGTTTTTGTGGGTTATTATCACGAAGGGATGTTAAATTTTATCAAATGGTTTCTCAGCCTTCAGTTGAAATGACTGTATGATTTTTGTCCTTCATTCTATTGATATGGTGTATCACATTGATTTATTTGTGTATGTTGGATCATCTGCATCCCTGGGATAACTCCCATTTGGTCAAGATGTGTTTTTAATTGTTTTGTGGAATTTAGTTTGCTAGCATGAGAATATTTGCATCAATCTTCATCAGGGATATTGGTATATAGTTTTCTTTTTTGGATATGTCTTTGGTTTTGTTATCAGGTAATACTGGCCTCGTAGACTGAGTTTGGAAGTATTTCCTCCTCTATTTTTCAGAATAGTTTGCATAAGGTTGGTATTAGTCCTTCTCTAAATGTTTGGCAGAATTTAACAGTGAAACCATTGGGTCCTGGGCTTTTCTTTGCTGGGAGACTTTTTATCACACTTTCAATCTCATTATTTGTTATTGGTCTGTTTGGGTTATTGATTTTTTTCATGCTTCAATCTTGATTAGTTTTATGTGTCCAGGAAATTATCAATTTCTTCCAGGATTTCTAATTTATTGGTACACAGTTGCTCATAGTAGCCACTAATGATCCTCTGAATGGTTGTAATATTTCATTTTTCATCTCTGATCTTATTTACTTGGGTCTTCTCTATTTTTTTTATTATTTAATGGCAAAAACCACAATTACTTTTGCACCAGCCTAATAGTCTGGCTACAGGTTTGTCAAGTTTGTTTATCTTTTCAAAAAAGCAACTTATCTGTTCCTTGATCTTTTGTATTGCTTTCTTCATTCCAGTTTCATTTATTTCTGCTCTGATTTTTATTATTTATTTTCTTCTTCTACCAGTTTAGGTTTTGGTTTGCTCTTGCTTTCCTGATTCTTTAAGATCCATCATTAGGTGGTTTATTTGAAGTTTTTCTACTTTTTCGGTATATGCACGTATAGCTATAAACTTCCCACTTCGTACTGCTTTTGCTGTATCCCATAGGTTTCCATTATCACTTGGTTCAAAATTTTTTTAAATTTCTGCTTAATTTCTTCATTGATTCAGTAGTCATTCAGGGGCATATTGTTTAATTCCCATGTGTTTGCATAGTTTCCAAAATTCCTCTTGTTATTGATTTCTAGTTGTATTCCTTTGTGGTCAGAGAAGATACTTGATATAATTTTAATTTCTTTTGAATTTGTAAAGATTTTTATGTGGCTTAATGTATAGTTTACCCTTGAGAATGACCCATGTGCTGAGGAGAACAATGTGTATTCTGTAGCCATTGGATGAAATGTTTTATAAATATCTATCAGTTCCATTTGATCTGTAGTGCAGATTAAGTCCAATGTTTCTTGGTTGATTTTCTGGGTCATCTGTCTCATGCTGAAAATGGGATGTTGAAGTCTCTAGCCATTATTGGATTGGAGTCTATCTCCTTAGCTCAAATAATATTTGTGTTATATACCTGGTTGTTTTATCCTCTTGTTGAATTGAACCCTTTATTATAATATAATGACCTTTTTGTCTCTTTTTATGTTTTGTCTTGAAATCTATTTTGTCTGATACAAGTATACTACTCCTACTTTTTTCTGGTTTCCATTGACATGGACTATCTTTTTCCATCCCTTTATTTTTAGTCTATGTGTATCTTTATAGCTGAAGTGTGTTTCTTGCATGCAACAGATTGTTGAGTCTTGTTTTTTATTCATTTAGCCACCTATCTTTTGATTCTGGAGTTTAATTCACTTACTCTCAATGTTATAATTAATAAGTAATGAGTTATTCACACCAGTTTGCTATTTGTTTACTGGTTATTTTGTTGTCTGTCTTCATTCCTTCCTTCCTCTGTTCTGTGTAGTGAAGGTCATTTTCTCTAGTAGTATGTTTTAATTTCTTGCTTTTTATTTTTTGTGTATTTGCTGTATGTTTTTTATTTGATATTACCATGAATCTTGCAAATAATATTTTATTTTTTTTGCAAATAATATTTTATAACCCATTATTTTAAACTTATTTTAACACTTATTGCATAAGCAAACAAATTACCACACAAACAAAGAAAAAACTAATAAAACTCTCACTTTATCCCTGGCTTTTTAACTTTTTGTGGTTTTTATTTATATCTTATTACATTGCCTATGTCTTGAAAAGTTGTTGTAATTTTTTGATATGTTCATCTTTTAGTCTTTCTACTCAAGATATGAATAGTTTATATATAACAATTACAGTATAATAATATTCTGTTTTTCATGTGCTTACTGCTACCAGTGAGTTTTATAACTTTAGATGATTTTTTTGCTCATTAACATTCTTTTCCTTGAGATTAAAGAACTCCTTATAGCATTTCTTGTAAGAAAAATTTGGTGTTGATGAAATCCCTCAGCTTCTGTTTCTCTGGGAAGTCTTTATTTCTCTTTCATGTTTCAAGGATATTTTCACTGGATATATTATTCTAGGATGAAAGGCTTTTTATTTCCTTCATCACTTTAAATATGCCGTACCCCTCTTTCCTGGACTCTAAGGTTTCCACTGAGAAGTCTGCTGCTGGACATACTAGAGCTCTATTGTATGTTATTTGTTTCTTTTCTCTTGCTGCTTTTAGAATCCTTTCTTTTTTCTTGACTTTTGGGAATTTACTTATTAAATGTCTTGAGATAGTCTTATTTGAGTTAACTTTTCTTGGTGTTCTATAAACTTCTTGTGCCTAAATATTGATCTCTTTCTTTAGGTTTGAGAACTTCTCTGTTATTATTCCTTTGAATGCACTTTTTATCAATATCTCTTTCTCTACCTCCTCTTTAAGGCCAATAACTTTTAGATTTGCTCTTTTGGGGCTATTTTCTAGATTTTGTAGATATGTTTCATTATTTTACAATTTTTTTTTCTTTTTTCTCCTCTGACTGTGTATTTTCAATTAGCCTATCTTCAAATTTACTAATATTTATTTCCTTTGTCAATTCTGCCATTAAAATAACTCTGATGCATTCTTTAGAATGTCATTTGCATTTGTCATCTCTAGAATTTATACTTGATTCTTTTTAGTTATTTTAATCTCTTTGTTAAATTTATCTTATAGAATTCTAAATTTCTTCTCTGTGCTATCTTGAATTTTATTGAGTTTCGTCAAAACAGTTATTTTGAATTCTCTGAAAGGTTACATATCTTTGTTTCTCCAGGATTGGTCCCTGGTGTCTTATTTGGCCTGTTTGGTGAGGTCATGTTTTCCTGGATGTTTTTGGTGCTTGTGGATGTTCACTGATGTCTGAGCATTGAAGAGTTGGGTATTTATCATAGTCTTCATGTCTGGGCTTTTTATACTTGTTCTTCTTGAGAAGGCTTTTAACTGCTTGAAGGGATTTGGGAGTTGTGATATAAACTTTTGGTAATTACAGCCATATCTACATTAGGGGGAACCCCAAGACCAGTAATGCTATGGCTCTTTCATACTCATAGGGATACCACCTTGGTGGTCTTGGATAAGATATGGAAGAATTATCTGGATTACCAGGCAGAGACTCTTGTTCTCTTCTCTTACTTTCTCCCAAACAAATGGAGTTTCTCTCTGCAGTGGGCTGCCTGGAGCTGGGGGAGGGATGACACAAACACTGCAGTGGCCACTGCCACTGGGACTATGTTGGGTTAGGCCTGAAGCCAGCACAGCACTGGTTCTCACCAACGCCTGCATTAACCACTGCTGTCTACCACCTATGTTTGTTCTAGAACCTAGGGCTCTACAGTCAGCATATGGTGAATGAAGCTAGCCAGGCTTGGGTCCTCCTCTTCAGGGTGGTAAACTCCCCCTGGTCCTGGGTAGATCCAGATATGCTATGCAGGAGTCAGGGCCTGGAGTTGGAAACCTTTGGAGTCTACCTGATTTTCTATTCTATTGTGGCTGATGTGGCAACGAAACCACAGAAGGAGCTCCTTCCCAGTTTTCTATATCCTTTCCACAAGAAGAGTCCACCACCATCCCAGGCCTGTGGCAAATACTGCCTGGAGATGACCGATGTTCACCCATGGCCCAAGGGCTCTTCGGTCATCTTGTGGCGAATGCCGCCAGACCTAGGACTCTCCCTTCAGGGAAGTGGGCTCCCCTCTGGCCCAGGGTAGGTTCAGAAATACTATCCAGGAGGCAAGACCTGGAATCAGGGATTCCAATTGCCTGTTTGGTGCTCCATCCTACTGTGGCCAAGCTGGTACCTATACTGCAAAACCAAGTTCTCTTTACTCTTTCCTCTCCATTTCTCAAGCAGAAGGAGTTTTTCCCCATAGTTACTATAGCTGGGAATGTGTTGGGTCAACCCAAAGCTAACACATATCTGAGTCCCACACAAAGCCCTTATTAGTACCATCTGGCTACTGCTGCTTCTTATTCATGGCCCAATTGCTCCTTAGTCAGCAGGTAATAAATCCTGCAAGGACTAGGCTCTTCCCTCCAAGGCAACAGATCACATTTTGGCCCAGGGTGTGTCTAGAAATATCATCCACAAGCTATGGCCTGGAATGGAGTCCCCAGGACTCAGCCTGTTGTCCTATCCTACTGTGGCTAAAGGGCTATCTAAGTTGCAAGACCAAGTCCTCTTTACTCTTCCATCTCCTCTCCTTAAGCAGAGGAAAGGGGTCTAGCCTGGAGCGGCGAGCTGTGCTGCCTTGGGTTGTAGGAGTGGTGGTGCAAGCACTCCCTTGGCTTCCCCGGCTATTGTATCACTAGTTTGTGTGCCCCCCAGGTTGACTGGCTCTCAGTCTGATACAGCACTAGGACTTGCCAAGGCATCAAAGTTCTTGCTCTCTAGACTGCCTCTCAAGATTATCTGGGACTCCAGAACACTTTGGTTCTCAGCTGAGTTCTTCCTGGTGTTTTTTCCACTGTGACAGGCAGCACTAAGTACCAATGCAAAGTCTCACAATCACTGTGCTCTCCCTCCCTCAAGCATACAGATTCTCTCTGCATGCCACACAGCTACTCCCAGGGAACTGGTGGGGTTGGCAATTGAAGACTTTCTTTCGTGTCTTCTTCAGTGCCTCTTTTTCATATATATACAAATATTTCCATTAAAAAAAACAAAAAGGATAGAAATATAGAATAGGTATTTAATTTATATTTATTCGATTGCTGTTAGTCTCAATTGCTTTCCCTGGCTCCTTAATGCTGATGGGACTGATATCTACCTCCTCCTATGTGGCAACATGCTTAAAACAATCTTAGTTCCTGAGGCAGCCTCAAATGATGTAGAACCTGTGTCAATGGGCTTGCTGACCCTGACTCCCTCTCAAAATACAACAAAAACAAAGAGAACAGGGACCTAAGATCAATTCATTGTGTCTGGATATAGATTAATGAAATTGCTATAGGTTTGTTTCTATATTGCTTCTTGTGTCTACTTTGCATTCAATCATTCCAAGTTCCCTCTTAATCTCCTTTTCCCCTTTGTGATGGTCAAATGAAAATATGTAGTTCTAGAATAGTTTTTACTCTGAAGACTGTCAACCCACTCTGTATGAATAGGCAATAACATTCATTTGAGGCAATTTTATTCTCTATTAAATACTTTTTATATAAAAGAGAAATATCTCATTTTTGTTTGGATGGCTATGATTATGAATGAGAGTATATTTTAAGCAGTTTGAATGCCCTTAGAAAATTATCTCTCTGACTTTCATCCATCCAACCCTAGCCATTTCTGGGAACTTTTCCAAAGGGTTTCACTGTACTGTGCTCTTCACATTAGAGGACGTTTTGCTCCAAGTGATAATTGCTTGGCTTTCTTCAAGCTTGCATTGTCTTGATGTCCAAGCCTGTGATAGATGCATCTGAATGGCTAACTCTAGCAATTAGGGTCTCAGAGGTGCTTAAAAAAAATGAGTGGTTGATAATTTCAGGTAAAGCTTCTTTTTCTCTTCAGCTTGCAGGTGATTTTTTTTCCAACATTAAACAAATATAAATAAAGTTCCTTATTTAATTTCAAGCAGAAAGTCACTTGTTTTAATCAAATATACAGCACTACAATATAAACAGATAAATACAGAATGAATATTTGGGGACACAGTGAGTACTCTAGATGGATGTCTGAAAAGAGAATACATAATTCTTAAATAAGTGATTTACGTGGTAATTTGGAATATATACTCAAGAGGAGAAAATGGACACATCTATTATAGAGCTATTAGTTTCTCAATATGGCCAATTTTACTTGAAAATCACTTTTTGTCTTCATTGATCTGTGCCTGTGGCTATTAATTGGATATAGAATTCTTTGAGAAACACAGATATCTAAACTGTGTGATTGTTCATAAAATTAATACATTTTTTGCAAAGATATTTTATATACTCTTCCACTATTTTATAGTTAAATTAGATCCTTACATGAGAAAATTGGTTAAATGGCACAGCAAAGTCTTTTCATTGTTAAGTCAGGGGAATCGACAACATATGCTTTTTATGATTTGACCAGAATGTGGTTTTTTAAAGTTTTAATTCATGCTCTTTCTGCTTTGAAAACAGAATTGTAATCTGTGCTTTTGCTGAGTATATACAATTCTTGCTTACTGTAAAAATTTTAAATGCCCTAAAATGTATTCTGTTGTTTATCCTCTAGAAATAACAAGTGTTATTTTATTATTTACAATGCTCAGACTTTGGCAATTATGTGTATAACATACACAAGACCATGCTAAATATTCTTTAGTGTTTTACATTTTTCTTTAAATAAGGGGCAATTTTAAGTGCCAACACAAATATTTCTACCTTATAATTTCAATGGCTACTAAGTATTCCATTGAAAAATCAATCATAGGAAAACAGCATGTCATAGTTTGTTATTTTTTTCTTCTTAATGCTACATCAAAGAATGTGACCTTGTAAAATGTATGACATGTTATATTAGGTGAATTATCATATTGCCATCTACTCTTTCAAGTTATTTATGCTTTTCAGTGCCTTGTATATTTCCCCATCTTCCTTCCTCCAGGTTCAATTTGGGTTGGTGTCTTAGCAAAGAAATGTGAGCTCTCCATCTGGGAATGAGAAAATATATCTATTTTCTAGATACAGGTCATTTAGCAAGTTGAGGACTGTCTACAAACAGCATTTATGGAGTGAGAAATTCGGGCAAATGGAAAACCTAGTAACAATCATTCCAATTTGCTACTTTTCTGAATTCACCTGCCCATTTTTTTTGTGTGATTCTTTTGGCTACTATGGCAACCTTCTCTCTCTGACTTCTTCAACTATATGTCAGTTGTTTTCTGTAGTATTTATAACTGCAAGGGATAAAATTTCACATTTGGAGGCTTATATTTTTCAGAGGCATTTTGAGTTCAGTGTTGCTAATTTCTCTACTCTTTTACAACAGATCTCATGATTTTTCTCCTCATGTTGAATTACAGAATTTGCACTTCCCATGTGGTCTGAATAGCTGGTAACAATTCTCCAAGAAAGGTTTTTCCTTTTGCTTACCTGTGTTCAGGGCAGTGTGGTCATCATGTGACCCCACCACGTTTTTAGCTTGAACTTAAGTCGTGCAAGGAGTCTTCACTTGCTGAACTCTACACAAAACTCTATACATTAGAAAGCATTTGCATTTTTAGTGGGTGATTCTTGTTGATTGAAGAAATTGACAGATCAATCCAGAAATTATGTTTCAGAGAATTTCTTAAGCCAAAAATATTTTTCATATATTGGGCTTCATTATTGCTGTTTGGTGAATATTTTGTAATACAGTGTATTTTGACCTTTAATATATGCTGATGGATGCCTTTTATTTTATCCCCAAACTTTAAAATTGATCTACACATCGTATACAGTGTTGAGGTAGGTAGGGAAGAGGGAGAAAAGATGAAGATAAATTACATTTCTGTTTATCCTTTCCCCCTGGGAAGTCTAATGTAGGTGAAATTTTTCATACTATGATGTCTTATTTTGAGGAATTCTGCATAATCTTGATATTATGTATTAGTCTGAGTCATAATAAATTGCTGTTTTGTAGGTCACAGATGATCAGAAATGGTCATTTCAAATGGTTCAACATAACACAAAGGAAGAAAAGTTAAATTCTGCAAAAATGTAATAAAGAAAAATGATAAATACCAATGTTTTAATTATTATGATAGAGAACTAGAAATTAAGAGACTATTTGTTATTCATGTGGATATAATTTTTTCTCTTGTTATGTGTGTGTGTGTGTGTGTGTGTGTGTGTGTGTGTGTGTGTGTGTGTAATTAGCAATTAGGTTAATACCTCTAAAGTAAAGAAATATATTTATATAGCTAAGTAATTACTGTCAGAGTTGAATATCTATAACATTGGAAAATTCACTTAACTCTGCAGAGCTTGTTTTCCATTTTTAGTAAAATGATGAAAATAAAACTCTACTTTCCTACTGTTGATAGTAGATGATAAAAGGAAATAAATCGAAGACATACATAACTCAATAGATAATTAGAATTGTGTCCTCCCTAACAGTTTATTTAAAGAAGTAAGATAAATTTGTGAACTTTTTGTTGCTGTTACTTGGAGAAAACATTTGAAGCTGGCTAAGATTTATTTATCACTATTCATGTGTCAGATTTTGCTATAGATGATTCATTTAATTTAGCCCTCACGATAACTCCATGATCATTATGATTCTGGTGCTATTAAGATTCCCCTTTTATAGATGAGTAAACTGAGTCTCAGAGTAGTAAGCAAATTTCTTAAGACTACACAGCTAGGAAGGCCCAGACTGTCGTCAAGCCTGGACGGTCTAACTCAGGAGATAGGCCCTTTAATCCCATGTCAGACAGATGTCCTTCCTGCCTTGCAATGCTATTGCCCTCCATCCCTTATAATTTTCCTTTACAATTTTAAGTTATTTTTCTGTTCTTAACGTTTCCTTCCCTTCCCATATACCCTAATTCACGCAGAAATATTTGAATTCAGTTATCACCAGACCGAATGTGGGATACCGGGTTGAAGTTTTGCCTGTGTCACCACCCCAGCGCATCTGCTGAGATTGTTGCGACGGGCGGAGCTTTTGCCCACGTGACTGCTTTCCCTGTGGTCAAAAGTCAACACAGAGATTTAGACCCCAGACTAAAGAAAATGGTGGGAGAGATACAGCATATAGAAAGAATTAGAGGTTAGAAGGACTGCTTGTGATACAAGCTACTCCCCTCTATACTTGTACAAGACAAGTAACCCTTAGGGGAAAGGTAAACTGACATTGGAATGTATGTATGTAAAGAAGAACCTTTCCATGGCTTGAAAGCTTTAGTGAAAAAACATTTCAAGAAAGACGAAGTGGCAAACTTCCAAAAATAAAATCAAACATGTTCTGTGAATTTTTCTTTCTCATTTTAGATGATTCGATAGCTGATCCACTAAACTGATGTATAATGTATTTTTAATACTTAAAAATCATTTTTTTCACTACTTCATAATTATCAGGCTAAATATAACAGAATAATTTACTTTATTGTTAAATTTCGTATCTTGTAACTCATGGTCTTTTCCACCAGCAGCCTCGCAAGAGATTTTCATAGCTTCCTTCTGCATGTGAAGCTTATTCAGTATAACAAAAGCTACTTCTTTAAACTTGACAATCACAAAAGGGCATTGCAAGGTTGAGATCCTGGGTGTGAGAGTGTCTTTGACTTGTTATGAAAGAAGAATTAATGTCTTGGCTGAGATCGTCATTCTCAGATACTCTTACTTTTCTTGGCTTTTGAAAGTCTATAGCTGATTTGTGTTTCCAAGTGTAAGCCATCCAAAGCCATAACAAAGATCACAGGACATTGCAAGCTTAATTAGAATATTTTCTCTCTCCACTCTGGAGGCAATCTCATTTGTGCCTCACTCTTGTGATGCAATGTTTTCAGCAACCCCCAGTGCCAACCCAGCATACACTAAGTGAGGTCACAGGATTTCATTTTACTTTTTATATAATTTTCAGCTGGAAAAATGTCTATTCCTAATCTGCAGACCCTCAAAAATGTTACCTTAAATTGCATTTTAGTTGGGTTTTTTTTTTTCCACTTGGACTCTTTGTAACCAGTGTTGGGTGCTCTTTTATTTACTGTGTAGCTTTTAGATAATAAGAACACTTTTTTATAGGCACTGCTTCCTGCATTAATTAATGTCTATACTCACTCTCTTATTGCTTTTTCTCTACTATGGTGCACTTAATTTGTGGTGGTGAGATTGCCTAGATTCATATTAGGTGTTACATGAGTATTACCTAGTTAAGGACGTTAAACTTCCTTTCAGTTTGTCTCCAATGATAAGGGTGTCTGTGTTAAACCTCCTTTATGTCATCACCTAAGAATATTATAAAGGTAAAATAGTTATTAATCCAACTCAGGTATTGTATATAGATACAGGCAAGGTCAACAGTCTTTTCAATAAAATGGAAAAAAAAATGATGGTGCATACACCTCTTGTGATTACATTCAAATATTTATTCAACTTTCCAAAAATAATTGGTGAGCAGCTTCTATGCCCCAGTCACCTGCCTGGGGAATCAGGATTCAATCATAGACACTAGAGATTAAAATCAGTCCCTTGACAGAGATTAGTGACATAGGAGTTCACTGTCCTAGAAGTCAAAGAACTGTGTTAGATGTTTCCTATATACCTTCTCTAACCATAGGCAAATATTAAGTAATAATATTACTAAAATTTTGGAGGAAAACATAAAAATAAACCTGAATATTATAAAAGGTATCAAAGAGTGATATTATTTATCCAATATCATCATAATGTGACAGATGTATGCCCATTTATATTTTAAAATAATTTATATTTGGTTAAAAATTAATTTTAATTATAAATGGATGTATGCCATTTTTAAAAACTGTAATAAAATAGAGAAATATAGTTGCTGGATAATATTTTGAAATAATATTCCATGGTTTTGCATTCTCAGTAATTAATTTTAGCTTATAAAACTTCCATTATTATGATTGGATTATGGAGTTGTAAGCTTCTTTAGGAAAATGTTGACTCCCTAAATCTTGTGTCAAATTTGTGGCAGAGCATGTACATGTCTTTCAGTTTATCTAGTTGCAATACTGCCACCTGAATGTATTTAGTTAAAATAATTAAGTTACGTTAACTGGTATCTAGATATCAGAATTATTAACTATGACAAAATTGATACCTTGGTGGCTATAATATGAGGCTAAAGAATGGAAGGTGTAGCTTGAAATCATCTCTTGCCATCAGTGGCATCCCATGTGGTTGTTGGTGGAGGACAGAGTTTAGAGCTTATACCTGATATTTTTCAAGAGCTTCTGAGGCATCTGCTTTTGGTTGTGTGTTCTTTTGTCTGCTTCGTATCTTTTACAGTTAAATAAACTAATGTCTGGAATATATTATGTCATATAAATTTTTTTGTGTCATATAAAAAATTTTGATAATTTCAAACCAAGGACTGAAGGATAGCAGGTCAGTGGTCATGTAACTTGTAAGTAAATTTTCCAAAACATTCACTTCATCCATATATAATAATTGTATCTAATCCAAGAAAATAAGATATTACAAAAAAATAGGAAATAAGTGTCTACAATAAGAAGAAAATAGGATATGAAAATTAAAATACAGTAGATGATAAAAATTCTCCATAAATGTAAATCACAAAGAAGAAAAAAAACTTTACCATCTCTGAAACCAAATTACATAATTTTAAATAAGCAGTTGCAGATATGATAAAATTACTTATTCATTACTACAAAAACAAAAACAAAACCACTGGAAGCATATATGAACAAAATCAAAATAAATAAGCAAATTAAAAGAAATGAAATGAAAAATTAAACAACCCAAGACATAAATTGGAAAAGAAGGCCAAATCATTATATTGTGCTAAATTACAAAATAACCAAAGGAGAAATAAATTTGACCAAAAATGTGATAAAGTCACTGAAAAAAAAATAAGTGGAATAAATTATCTTAAATGATATAAAATGTATCAGAAAGATAATTTTCTATGTAGAAGATGAGTTCAAAAATCCATTATATTTTAAAAGAAACTTTGAAGGAAAAAAATGCTTCATCAACATTTAATACTTTAATCAAATAATTACTTAGGGAAGCAAAAGATGTGAATCTACATTTTATTTTATTTTTAATTTAAATTTTTGAGACAAGCTCTTTGTCTTGTTCTGTCGCCCAGGATGGAGTGCAGTGACTTGATCATAGCTTACTGCAGCCTTGAACTCCTGGGATCAAGGGATTCTCCTACCTCAGCTTGCCAAGTAGCTAGGACTACAAGCTTATGCCACCACCCCCAGCTAATTTTTAAAATTTTTTGTAGAGACGGGGTCTTGCTATATTCCCAAGCTGGTCTTCAACTCGTGTTCTCAAGTGACCCTCCCATCTCAGTCTTCCAAAGTCCTATTACAGGCATGAATCACTGCACTCAGCCAGAATCTACATTTTTAGAAGACTATCCAGTACCTTCAAAAATGTGTCCAGAGTTTTACAGTCAAGACATATATTTATAAAATTATTGGATGTTAATAATAGATAGAAATAAATTATCAGGGCCCTACACAAAAAGACCACATTTTCCTCAATGGAAAGAAAATCAAGTTGGCATTACACTCTAATGAAATCAGCTCTTTCAATAAGATCAAGGGAAAATTTTGAAGAAAACTTTTATATCCTGCTAAGATGTCCTTCAAAGTTTAAGTCTATAAAATAGTTTTCAGTGTGCACAAATTAAGGGAATATGAACTCATGAAAGATGCCAAGAATTCCACTAAGAGACCTCGCTCATTCAATCAGGAGTTGATGGGAGAAATTTTCAAAGGAACTGATGGAGGGAAGTGAATATATGTAATTGCAGATATAATACTAAAACAAATGTGGGAAAATAATATATAAAAGTGATATAACAACACAGAAACACTGCAATGTAAAAACTGAAAATGTGTAGGGTAAACAAAAAGAGAAAGTAATGTAATTCTTACTCATTGTCACATAGTTAAGAGGTAGGAGTCAAGTAAGTCACATAAAACTGAAACCAAATTTTAGATGCATAATAAGAAAAAGGGATTGAAAGCACTATAAAACACATTAGTCCATATAGAGAAAACAACATAAAAATGCAAGCATCTGTAATGACTCAAAATAAAGCTAAATAACTAAATGAATTAATTGAAGCCTGCATGGAGAAAAAAATCACACAAACAAAATAATTTGATGGAGTGAGAACAATAAAATCATTTATGTAAATAAATGCCAACCGATTTCATTCATTTATTAAGAAACAGAGATGTTCAAATCGGCTTACAAAACACAACCCCAAAAATGCTATACACCAGAAACACCCCTAAAATGAAGGAAATCAGAAAGCTAAAAATTAGAGAATAGGTTAAAAAAAAATAAAGTGGAGTTGAGGGAGATAATAGGAAGGCAGAAATTATAATCCTCATGTCAGGAAAAAGATCAGTATTCAGAACACAAAGTATTAAATATGACAAAGAAGAAGAGTGTTATGCTAAATATTATAATCAAAATGAAGCTATAAAATGATTGATATCTGTGCAAAAGTAGCACAGAAGCCAACTTATTTAAAGTTGTGGTTCCTGACATTATAAGAAATATTAACATGGCCTCTACATTCAAAATAAAGAAATAAGGGTATGATACAATCAACATAACTAATAATTGCTTTCTGTGATATATGTAATATATCAATTTGCTGTAAAATTGATATGGTTTGGCTCTGTGTCCCCAGGGAAATCTCATCTCAAATTCTAATCCTCATAATCCCCATGTGTGGAGGGGGTCCTGGTGGGAGGTGATTGGATCATGGGGGTGGTTTCCCCCATGCTGTTCTTGTGAAAGTGAGTGAGGTCTCACAAGATCTGATGACTTTATGAGTTTGACAGTTCCTCCTTAACACACTCGTCTCTCTCCTGTCACCATGTGAAGAAAGTCTTCACTCCCTCTTCTCCTTCTGACATGATTGTAAGTTTCCTGAAGTCTCACCAGCCATGTGGAACTGTGGGTCCATTTAACCTCTTTTCTTTATAAATTACCCAGTCTCTGATATTTCTTTATAGCAGTGTGAAAACAGACTAACACAAAAATTTAGCTTATATATGAAATGTATATCTTTTGGATATATTTATATTTTATATTATTCAATAAAGAATATATTCTCAAATGTAAAACAATTACTTACAAATCAAGTAATAGTTTACATGGAAAAAAATAGTGGAATAAAATAAAGCTCTTAGAGCACAGTTAAATTATAAGTTAAGGACAAAAAAAGTTCTTCCATCTGGAAATTTTAAAATTCTCTAACAAATTTTTGGAGAATATGGACATGAAAATTAAAATTATTTTAAAAAATTAAAAACACTATGTATCCAAATTATAGGATTTATTTTAAACTATGAAAAAAGAAAAACTCATAGTCAGAAGCATGTATTTCAATAAAAATGAGAGAGTTAAATTAGTTTAAATAAATTTCTAACTTGAAAAGCTAGGAAAAGAAAAATGTGAAAGCAAACATAATACCAAAAAATAAATAAAAATTATAATATTATTTAGATAGGAATCAGAGAACAATATAATTAATCACTAAATAAAATTTGTGTTTTATATAATTAGGAAAATTTAAACTACTAACTAACCTACCCAATAAGAAAAAAGAAAGCAAAAACAAAATGTGAAAATGATAAGGAAATAACCATTTAAATAAAAAAATTTTTTTTAATTGAGATATTATTTTAAACATCTCTATGGAGGTAAATAGAATAAATAGATAGTTTCTTTTTAATGTGTAATAAACTGAAAGTGAGATGACTAGAAGTGGAAACAAATTTTCAAGAAAATTGTAGACTAATTCCAAACATGAATATCAACACAAAACTTCTAAATAAAATAGCAAATGAAGCAAAAAGTCAGGGTACATTGTAGATAAATAGGCTTATTTCAGAAAGGTAAGCATGTTCATTATGAAAATCATTGATAAAGTTCTCTAAATGATTAAATCAAAGGAGAGAAGCCATTCTCCTTTTAAATGCTGAAAAGACCTTCAGTAAAATACTAACATGTAGATAAAATGCTAATACCCCCAATATATTTTTTAAAACACATAAAAACATGGAAAGATCGCAAGAACAAATAATGAATCTGACCAAAGTAAAGAAATATGGTCACTTCAGTCATAATAATTAAAATGCAGGTTGAAACTATACATAAAAATAGCATTGCTCCTTTTGTACATTGAAAAAAATTGTAAAAGCTGGATAACATAACTCTGCTGGCATTGCCGTGGAGATACCTGCCTTCTCATTCATTGCTGGTGTTAGTGCCAGATGGTATGCCTTATGAAGAGGAATTGTGTGATATCTCATCAATGTCCATTGCCAATTTGCCCTTTGCAGTAGCAACTTCATTTCTAAGATTTAACATCAAAGTAGAAGGTGGGGAGAAATATGTTCAAATGATTATTCATTGTGACATTATTGCTAGCTGTGAAATATTAGAAACTACATAAATGCACTGTAGTCTGATTGAATTAACTATGGTATATACATGTAATGGAATGCTATATGTCTCTTAAAAACAAAAGAGATCTATGTAGTATAGAGTGAGTTCCTGGATACACTGTCAAGGGTTAACATCGTAGATACAGTGTGCTACCTGTCCTACCTAGTTATTTGTGTTCCTCTCTCCCTGCAAAAACCACAGGAAGAATAAGCCAGAAATAGTGACGTGCAGAAGAAATCTGGCAACATGGTACATGGTGTAGGGAAAAGAAGACAACTCCTCTGAGCATAATACTTTTGACTTTTGAAGTGTATTCCAAATCTTCAAAAAATCAAATTGAATAAACAGATAAGGAATCTTAACACTGTTAAAGAGGAAAGTCGCACTGGACAAGATGAGGAGACAGAGATTGATTTTATTCTGATATTACGTCCAGCAATAGGGTAGTGGGGACAGACCAACTCGATACCAGCAAGAGCTGGAACGTTTTTAAGATCTGGGGTTGGAGGGAACCTTAAGCCAATTTTGTCTGCCAGTTGGCCTTAACCAAAGGAAAAGTAAACTTTTTATTTTCATGATAGGAGGTAGCTTTACAACTTAGAGCAAGGTGCCCCACTGCAGCTAGGCTCCTACCCTCCCACAGAGAGAGGGAGAGGGGTTACATCTTCCTTGATGATTACCTTTCAAAAGCATGGCTCCTAGGTCTATTCTTGGGTTGTGAAAGTGGAAAGAGGCTCTTAAAAAGATTTGCATTTCAAAAGTGCAGAGAGAGGATTTACCATGAGAAGTTTTCTAAAGTAAACGCTTTAAGATCCTGGAGGCAGGAAGAAACCTGCCTAATGTTTACTCAAGCTGAGGGGAATGGTAAGGCTTTCTTGGCGACTAATTAGCTCTATGTCAAATTGATTAATTGATTAAGATAAAGAAGGTATATTAGTCAAGGTTCTCCAGAAAGACAATACAGGCTACATAGATACGTAGAAAGAGATTGCACGTGAGGGATTGGCTCGCATGATTACAGAGGCTGAAAAGTCTATGATCTGCCATCTGCAAGCTGAAGGCCCAGGAAAGCCAGTGGTGTAGTTTCAGATCCAGCCCAAAGATTTGGAAACCGAGAAGTTGATAAGTCCCAGTCTGAGGCTGAAGGTGATGTGAAAATCCCCATCTGTTACCTAAAGAAAATTATATTTTTCTTTCACCCTCTCACCAGAAATAGTCACCATTAGTTTTATGAGAACTTTCTTCTACTTGTTGGAATAATAAAAATAAAAGTCTTACCTATGTGCATCAAATAGATAGTGCTTGAGTAATATGGATTGCCTGTTTGTCTAAGTGTTGGGGATACTGTGGTAACAAAATAAGACAAAACCCCTGTGCTCTGTTCTAGTAGAATTGTTAATAAACCTTCAAGATTACTAGTTTAATTGAGGTCAGTTGTTAAACAGGTTTTGGCAGATGAAGGGCAGCATATATCTAAAAATCATGGAACCCCTTAGTCCTGGACCTTTTCTTGCAAATATTGAGACTACTGTATACTGCTTTTCCTGAAGTAGAATAATAATGCGCATCTTCATTACTTTCTCCTCCCTCCTTAAAAGGAAAAAAAAAGAAAGCTTAGAATGTTCATGTTCTGCTCCCATCAGTGGTTCCTAAAGAAAGGCTGGGGTGAGGTAGTGGCATGGAATTGGTAGGCCAAGACTTGGCTCACTGGACAATGAGTTTTCAGTTCAATACCATGTTTAACGACATTACTGCTCTGGTTACCCATGAACTTGTAATGCTGTGATTTGTTGGAGTTTTATTTATCTATGTATTTACTTATTTTACATTTAAAAATTGCATTTGATTATACTTTTATTTTAAGTTTACTGCTTTTAATTTACATGTAATTTTCTCAATGTTTGGGCCTATGTCAAAAAATAATGGAATAATAATATTAGGTTTAAATAATTCTGAATTGTCTAGTCATTAGCAAAATAAATTTAAACATAGGAGGCTTTTTGAAAACTCTATAATAAAGCTTCCGATTTCTATAAGCTGAAGTTGAAGAATCCAATTCAAATAAATACATATTTAAATAGAGATTGTGTTGACTATTCAAGGAAAACCTTTCCCTTATATTTCTATAAATGGGCCATCTTGATCATTTCAAATAAGGCTTATTTAAGACAACAATATAATATGAAAAGGAGAAAAATGACCAAATGCACGTAGATCACCTATTTTTTTTCTCATGGAGGAATTATGTTCTCTATTGGAATCTAGCAAGTTCTAAATGTCTGTCACTTCCAGGCAGAAATTGCCCCCTGGCTCTTAACAGCCCTTTGGAGACCTGTCAAATGAATTCAAAGGAATTTTTATATTATGTCAGTTCAAGTTCCTTTCAAATTTGTCTATTCTATTCTATTCTTTGCTGTTTCTAATTTATTTTATAGATTTTTAATGTCAATTAACTATTTTTCCTTGGGAAATAACTTTATTTTGCCCACATTCTACTAATATATCACAATTTTAAGCTCTTGATTGATTTATATATTTTTATTAATTTCATGGGGTTTTTTGTTTGCTTTTGTCTTAGTTTTTGAGACAGGGTCTCACTCTGTCACCCAGGCTGGAGTACAGTGGTGAGATCACAGTTCACTGTAGCCTCAACCTCATGAGCTCTAGTGATCTTCCCATCTTAGTGTCCCAAGTAACTGGGACTACAGGTGCAAGCCACCACACCTGGCTAATTTTTGTATTGTTTGTAGAGACAGGGTTTCGTCATGTTGCCCAGGCTGGTCTCAAACTCCTGGTCTCAAGCCATCCACCGGCCTCAGGCTCTGAAAGGGCTGGGATTACAGGGGTGAGCCACCGCACCAAGCATTAATTTCAATTTAGAAAATACTCAAGAAAATTTCTTCTGCTTCTTGAAGTATCTTCTTCACTTTCTTATCAGATGTTTGCATTTTACGTTTCTTTTAAAAATGCATGCCCATGCACTGTTCGATGAAGAGCATGTATTTGAGCACACCCTGCTCTGTGTGCCATGCATTGTGCTTGACTCTAGAGAACCAGTGAGGACCAAAGCTGACCAGGTCCATTCATCATGGTGCTTACATTTTACTGGGAAGACAGACAATTTAAAAAAGATGAATGAAATACATAACGTATCAGATAGTGAAAAGATCAAAGGAGAAAAATTAAGACAGATTTAAAGTGTTGTGACTGTTGTTAAAATTTTAGAGAGTGGCCAGGAAAGGCATTACTGAGGATGTGACTTGTGAATGCGAACCTCATACCTCTCAGCTACAGTGGGTGGGCTTGAAGTGGCTTCCCACTTGTGGTAAAAGAGTGCCGCTGAGTTAGGACTGTCTTGTCTGGGGATATGGGCTTGGTTCGCTCTTTGGAGAGCCTCTGTGAAGGCCTTTCCACCAGCCAGCAGTTTATCACGGGCATGCCACTTCAGCACAATTCCCTACCTTATTGAGCATAGGCCTCTCGAAAATGGTCTTAGGTAGGCACTCACCCAGTAGAGTGCAAGTTAGAGATTTCCCCTTGTGGTGCTATTTTTTCCCTTTAGTTTTAAGAAAGAATTTTAAAATTTAAATCTTTATCTATCTGGAATTTATTATTGAATGAAGGAATAGAACTCAAACTAGGTAATATTCTTAACTATACTAAAATGAAAAGAAAAAAAATATGCAAACAGAAGAAATTCTTAAAAATCCCCAAACCTATTGACCAAATAATGATTATTTGCAACATTATTGGAGACAAAAAGCTTTTTGAAACCATGTAGATAATTCCTATATGTTAATACAAAAAAAAATGCAAGGGAAACCAATTAACATACGGTAAAGTAGGTGTCCATGAAGTTTACAAATATTAAATAAAAATATCTACTTCATTTAAGTACGTGAAAAGATGCTAAAACTCACATATTGTAAGAAAATGAGAAAAACTACGGTGAGAGAGCATTTACTTTCAGCTCCGATTTGCAACAATAAACAAAATTCTGGTAATACACTTGGAGAGCATGCGGAGTATGAGGCTCTCTCCCATGTTTGGTAGGATTCTAAACTGATACATCTCTGTGGCAGACACACTCATGATCTCTGTCTCTGGGAAACTAGGCCCTTGAGTAATCTGCTTGAATGTGGAGATGACCTGTCACATCCATCTAACCAAGAGAATACAACAATATACAGGACATACTTGATTATGTGTATATGATTACACTACATAAGATGTAACTTCTTTTGGGCTGAGAGATTCTCATGCTTGCTTGTTTCGTGACACAGGTGGTCATATGTATGTGGGGGTTTGGGGGTGGTTCACAATATAAAGAGCTGAGGATGACCCCTAGGAGCTGAGGATGATTTTCAGCCAACTCTGCAAGAAAATTAGGCTTGCAGTCCTTAGGTGCAAGATAATGAATTCAGCCCACAAACCCAGTGATCTTGGAAGAGGATCCTTTCCCAGTTGGGCATTCAGTTGAGATTCTAGCCTCAGCTGATACCCCAACTGCAGCCTTGCAGATAACTCGGCTAAGTCAAGCCTGGACTGCTGTTTCATAGAAGCAGTGAGAAAATAAATGTATATAGCTTTACTCTCATAAGTTTGTGATTTTTTGGTATGCAAAAATAAAAATCTAGTAAAGCATCTATGCAGATAAATTCAATGATATTTATAGAAAGAAATATTAATAAACAATTTGAGCCAATAATACCTGTTTATGGAATGTGTCTTCCAGTTGTAGTATAGATATGTGCAAACATATATGTACAAAATCATTTATTGTGGCAAGTTTTGTAATAACAGTAGTATGGAAAAAAATCCTCCATACACATAAATAAGCATCTAGTCATATATGGATAGATTATGGTATAAACACTAAGGAACATTATAAGCAATAAGGATAGTACGAACATTTAAAACAACCTCCAAGATTATTTTTGAGTGAAAAATGGTTTTCAGAATAGTGTGTATGAGTATGCTGACAGCTGTAAAATGGCAAAATAATGCACAACATTAAGTCTGTATATATGTAGATTATCCCTGGAAAAAATACTTTTAATTGCAAAAACCACAATAACTTTTGCACCAACCGAATAGCATAGAATTGGTAAAATGGGTTGCCTCTTTGAAAGGGTATGGGAGACTGAAGGATAAGGTTTAGAGTACAGTTTTTACTTCATTTTGTAACTTTTATATTTTTATTATGTGCATGCATTTTATATTGAAATAAATTATTGTTTTTAAATGATATGAACTAGAAATAGATTTTATAAAATAATGGTCTTAAACTTCTTCAAGAAACTATAGCTAACTAATGTTTTCTAGACTGTATGACTATAGGGATAGTAAATTATTTGATGATTAATGTATTTCTGAAATTCTTGATGTTGTCAATGTTGTTTCATTTACTTTTTATGTATGTGCTGCATTATTTATTTACTCAACAAATAAATATTTGAGTGTTTGCAAGATGTTCTGCAACTTTAGGTTCTGTGAGAAATTCATACATGAATAAAATAAGATCCCTAGTCCCAGGACTTTATAATCTAGCAGGGGACATTAGAGCAGCAGCAACTAACTATAATCAAGAAAATATGTGGTCAGAAACATAAATGAAGCGTGAGAGGTTTGTAGGCTTTTACAGAAATTTCTATCTCCTTTCTCGTGTTTTAGACCCAGGAAGGAGAATACATTGAATCTGACGCTAAAGTATAGACGAAATATCAAAAATTTATGTGCATTAAAAAGGCATTTCGAACAGATGGCATGAGTCAAGCCACAGGTCTGTGGAAAACTGTCAGACATTCCTGGGAAGATGGCACATGGGCTTTCTGGCTAGAAGGCAGAGTTCTTGTAGATGTTCTTGTAGTGAAAAGCAGGAATAATGGCAAGTAAGAATTTTTTAGTAATGACTTGCGAGGTTCCTTGAAAGAAAGAAATTTTGTTTAATGTAAAGAAATAATGAGCAATACAAGATTTCCGAGCACAGTCATGGAACAGTCAGAACTGTGAATCAGCAATATTATTGTGACAGTGGTATTGAAGAGGCTTAGAGTGAGATCAGTTTTGGTTGCCTTGAATTTTGTTGTTGTTGCTGTTGTTGTTATATATGACTTGTAACTGGAGCAATCATATGAACATATGAAAGTGTAACTAAGTATTGTTGAGTTATTCTAGCTGAAGATTTTGGAATAGATATGATTTTCAGAAAAGGGGGGGAAGGGGAAAAGAGCATTTTGCAATCAGTCAATCATTTATTTGTTAAGTAAGTGAATAATGCAGCAAGTACATAGAAAGAAAAAAGGTAGGGACCAACGAATCATGTTTGTGAAACATAATTTGAGGGACAAAATGAGTCATAAAAGCCTCTGGGGGAAATATGAGGAAGAACCTGAAATCTTACAGCATTAAAGTGAGGTGAGGAATTCACAAAGAAACACTCACACGTCATAATGAATTAACATCTTGTTGTCTGTGGTACAATTTTAATTTAAAATTAAATGTGGATATGAGCAATATGAACAAAAACTTATATTTCTGAAAAAATACCACAGTTTTAGCAATAGGAAAACTTCTATTAGGTTAATTATTACTATTTTGTAAATGATCAGTTTCCTATATTACACTGGAAAATATCTAACATCAATTCAATTTTATGTTGAAAATTATTTCAGCACAAAGTTTTCAATGTATAAACACATCTCTCTTTAGGGATTCACGTAGCCAAATGCATTTTTTTAAAAATTTCAAATGTAAGACTACATGGTAGTCCCAAAAACTTCCTTGCAGAGCTGATTTTTCTATTTCATAATTCAAAATACAAATATAAATTACTTGAATAGTTTATCAATCATATTATGAGAGAAATAAAATAAAGAATTATCAATTGTTAGGTAATTTTAGAGCTTCTTTTAACAGTAAAGGGAAAAAAGGAAAAGATTAAAAAGAATCCCTCAGCAGCCTTCATTAACATTCAAATAGATTACAGTTGAACTTCCAATGAATTTCATACATTCATTTGCATGTCAAGTTTTCACAGCATAACTTCTTTTTTAACAAAAGATAAGCTGTGCTTCAACCTCTATTACTGTTATCAGCGTGTCCTATCACAGTGCCAACGCTTTTCTCTCAAGGCAAAATGCCACTGTACTCTAGTTTTTTTTAGAAATTATTTCCTGTCCAATCAGCTTTGCAATCAGTCTAAATTCCTACTATGTGAAAGAAAATCTGGTAGGCATTTATTTAGGAAAGGAGAATGTAGAGAGCATCTTTTAATGTGAAACATTATGATGGGTGTTGGAAATACCATGCTATAGAAAGCAGACATAGTTCCTGCTTTCTATTAGAATTAAATTAGAGTGTTTTTTGGTAGACAGACACTTCGCAAATAACTCCTGACAAACTAAGGACTATGAGAATTAAGAATGCTAGCAAGGGGTTGAGGAATACTAAGATAAGACCCATTCCTGAACTCAACCGTAACATCAATTGTTGGAAATAAGTTTAGAAGAAGAATTGTTTATATAAATGTTAGTGTCATTTAGAGAGGTAGAAAATACATGAGAAGACATTTGTGGTGGAGGATGTTTTAGGAAAAATTATCCCAGTAGCCTCCCAAGTATAGCATTAAGCAAGCTATTTTAGACATTATGAAAAATAAATGTTCATGGACCATTTAGATTAAGATACTAATGTTACATCCTTGTTTAATTCATTCATGACACACAAAGCCAGACAAGAAGAAAAAGATGGGGTGAGATAACTTTATGATAGGGTACAAGAGGAGGGAAGGATTATGCTACCAGAATCCTGTGTTTTCCAATGTTCATAAGTCCTAACTTTATGATAGGGTACAAGAGGAGAGAAGGACTATGGAATCCTGTGTTTTGCAATGTTCATCAGTCCTATATCTCTGAGATACACCAATCTCCACTGGTGGGGTAACTATAAGGAGAAAACTGAGGTTAAACTAAGGAATTCAGCAGTCAAATTATGCCTGGAACCAACCAATACAGTATTGATCAAGTATGTCGACCATGGCTGTTACTTGCTTACCAATGAGCTTGATGAATAGCTCTAAGTCTCATATTAGTTTCTAGTAGAGCACGGGGACAAAATAGGACTATCATGTCATCAAACAGTGGCCAATTTGGGAATGACATAGCTGTTTCTCTGGAGTTGGCATGATCCCGAACTCACAATTGGGCCTTTTCATCCTTTCTGTCTACAAGTAACACTTGCATTTGCCCTACCTATGTTTTTTCAATCACATATTGCATTCCGCTATGGATTTTTAACATGTCTTAGAGATTACTAAGCTGCTATTCATACCTACTGTATGTCTCATAAGATGCTTACTTGCTTACTCTCTCTCTAATTAACATGTCTTATAAATTTGCCTACATCTCAGACTACTCATGTGTTTATTCTCTATAGTTAGCCATTCTTATGAGTTTTATTTATAGTATTTGTTTTTCTTTTCTTTAAAAATATAGTATTTTTACAGAAATAGAACAAAAATCTGGACAGCGGGAAAAGAATATTGGGTTGATTTGGGATGTTTCATTTTGAGGTATCCATGTGAAAATTCAGAGAAGGCAGCTGGGTTTATGAGTAGTTTAAGAGGAAGACATAAATAAGGAGGTTTGCTTGGGGGAAAAAATTGGAGACACGAGGATTATTATGAAGTCCCAGGAAGAGAATGTAGAGAGAGAGATAAAGTAGCCTATGGCCAATTCCTGATGAACCTCAAGTTTTATTGCCAAATAAAAGATAAGCAATGGCTAAAGAATCAGAAAGAAAGTCAGGAATTTAGTTCTATAAAGACTAGCAGAAGAAACAGAAAATGTGATCAACCTCCACACGAGGAAAGTGGTCACTTCTGGCAAATGAGTAAACAATGGGTAATGACGAGGCTCCAACATTGTCCATTAGTTTCGTTGTCATGGCATTCATGTTTATGCCTGGGTAAAGCTCTCCAGCATAATGGCAAGGGAACGGAGACACAGTGAAGATTCCTGATCAATAAATGTGTGGTGACAAAGTGGAAACAGCAGCTACTCTAGACGACTCTTGCAAAAAGTTGAAAATAGAAGAAATACCTGGAGGAGTATGTGGGATTAATAGAAAATTTTTTTTTTTCACATGAGAGAATAAGGAAGGATTAGATAATGTGAAGGCAAGAGATGGGAAAACAGAAGACAGATGGCAGAGGTGGCTTTTGTACTAGATGGACAAAATGTTACTCCATTGGCATAGGGAGTCAGAAAGAAAGGACAGGGCTGATGTGCTTCAGTTTTTACATTTGCTGATTGAAAGTTGAGAAAATTACAATCTGATGATTTATGTTTTCTCTGAAGTAGAATGCCAATTTTAAAAATGTATGCCTATGAGTGTGTTTAATGGTGTTGAGGATCCCGTCAGGTTAGGAACCATAATTTAGGTCTTACCAATTATCCCAATTGTGTGAATTTATTTTTTTAATTGAGCAATCTTATTAGGTGCAAGCATAGAGTAGACTAGTGGCTTGTCTAGAATGGGAATATAGGCAGATGACATGAAGACAGATGAATGATAATTTAAATTATCCTCAATAGAGTGGTTGAAATGATAGACTTTGGAATCTAAGTTAGAAAGAAAATGAAGAAAAATGGGCTGATATTCAGAAAAACTTTGTAGGTTAATTGGCTGGTGGTCTTAAACATTTCAAACCCAAAATAGTTCCAGACGACGACAAATTTCAGAAAGGGACTATAAATAGACACTGAATTGAGTGAAGTAGACATTAGAAATTAGGATGATTTGAAATTGAGAAGTCAGCATGCTGGGAGTCATACAGGTGAACAGAGAATTCATGCAGAATACAGTGTGCATTATACTGGAGGTGAATTTCTAAATGTGAGAACCTTGAATTCTTTAGAATTACCTATTAGGTCATGATGTAACATGCTTTTAAAATGTTTCTCCTTTTTATGTGCTAATACTGTGTTGTGCTTTTTAACATTAATTTCATAGGGGTTATTTGTTGGATATTGTATATAATTGGTGCATAATTTATTTTTCTTTTGGGATTTCTAGTATTAGATTTATATTGGCTTTGTAAAACGGTTCAGAAAGGTTTTTTCCTCTCTTCTAGACATTTCACATAAAAATGGTCTTATTTCTTCCTTAAATGATTGACAATTGAAACTGTACGGGCCTAGAGTTTTATTTGTAAGATTTTTTTGTTTTTGTTTTTGAGACGGAGTCTTGCTCTGTTGCCCAGGCTGGAGTGCAGTGGCGCAATCTCAGCTCACTGCAAGCTCTGCCTCCTGGGTTCACGCCATTCTCCTGCCTCAGCCTCCCGAGTAGCTGGGACTACAGGCGCCCGCCACCGCGCCTGGCTAATTTTTTTGTATTTTTAATAGAGACGGGGTTTCACCGTGTTAGCCAGGATGGTCTCGATTTCCTGACCTCATGATCCACCCGCCTCGGCCTTCCAAAGTGCTGGGATTACAGGTATGAGCCACTGCGCCTGGCCTATTTGTAAGATTTTTTAAAAAATCAAATTACAAATATTTATAGGCTATTCTGATTGTTCCATCTTCTGTCTGCTGTGGTAAGTTATGTTTTTGAACAATGTTTGCTCATTTCTCTAGCTTGTCCAATTTGTTATTATAAAGTTGTTCATTATTACCTTTTTCAGGTCTGTTGGATCTTTGGTAATAATCTCCTTTCATATCTAACATTTATAATTTTGTCTCTCAATTAATCTAGCTAGGGTTTTAATTTTTTCATCTTTTCAAATAATCTGCTTATTTTTAAATTTCTATTGCTTGTTTGATATTTTTTCATCCCTGTTCATTATTAGTATGTCCTTTGTTCTATTTAGTTTGGGTTTATTTTTCTCTCCTTTTTGAGCTTCTTAAGAAGAAACTTAAGGTTATTTATTTTAGAATTTCTATTCTAATCTAAGCTTGTAAAGTGACTAATTTCCTAATAAATACAGTTTTATCTGAATTCAACAATATTCAATATGTTGTAGTTATATTTTCATTCTGTTTGTAACATTTTCTAGTTTCTCTCGTTGTATCTCCTCAGGAAAAATTGATTATCTAAATATTTAAATTTCCAAATATGTGTGTTTTTTGAATTTCAAGAAATATTAGAAGTATTCCAATATTTCCAAATAATTTCAAATATTTTTCCAAATACTTAAACTTCTAAATATTTTTGTGATTTTCTTGTGAGAACACATTCTTTAATATTTCAACCGTGTTAAATACTTTAATTCTTATATACAATGAAAATATGAAAAGAACATGTATTCTACTTTTAGGGGATGCAGTGTTCCATAAATATCAATCAGGTGAAGGTGGTGGATAATGTTTGTTTAGATTAACAGTCTTTTTAGATCAAATTATTTTTTTGTCTAGCTTTTCTATCAGTTACTGAGACAGTGGTGCTAAAGTTTCCAAATATGACTTTGGAAATGTCAGCTTGTTTCTTTAATGCTGTTAATTTTTACTCTGTGTATTTTGAAGTAGTTTGTTAATGGAAACCCATTTCTGATTGTTATGTCTTTTTGATGAATTCATTCTTTTATCATTTCATTATGAAATGTCCTTCTTTATCTTGGCTGATATACTTTTCAGTGTCATAGTCTGTTTTGTGTTATGTATGTAATCACTTCAGCCTTCTTATGCTTAAGGATTGCACAATACATCTTTCCTATCCATTTTCTTTTAACCTGTTAGTCTCTTCGTATTTAAAATGTATCTCCTGTAGTCATTAAGTAGTTGGCTATTACATTCCATCCGTTTTGACAATCTCTGTTTTCTGGTTCATTAACATTAAATGTTAACCGTTGACATAATTTAACTTAATTCTACCATTTTATTCTTTGCTTTCTTTGTCCTCCCAGTTCTTGATTTGTTTTCCCCTTTTTTGTCTTTAAAAATTTGAATATATATTGGCATTCTAATTTACCTATCAGATGCTTATCTATACCCCTTTGTGTTATGTTTTAGTTCTCACTCTAGCAATGAAAGTATATACTTCTAACATTGCCCACTATTTTCTTAGAGTTAATAATTTTCTCATTTTACAAACAATGTAGGAGTTTTACAATGTGATTTTATAAGTAATTTTACTCTTCTCTGGCTTTTATGACATAGTTGATGTATATACGTTTTTAGTTTACATATTTTTTATATAGTTTATATAATTTATAGTTGACATATATATGTTAGACCCCACAAGACAATGTCATAATTTGTTCTTAAACAACCCTTTATATATGAAGGACATTAAAAATAAATAGTCCATTGTATTTACACACATACCTACCTTGCCCAGTTGCCTTCATTCCTCCTGAAATTCTGGGCTTCCCTCTGGTATCATCTTTCCTCAGGCTGCATATTTTGGCTTACTATTATGGTACAAACCTGCTGGCATCAAATTTTCTTAGTTTTGTTTTGCTTACAAAGATCTTTATTTTCCTTCAATCTAAGAATATTTATGCCAGCTAGAGACTATGGGTCAACGACACTATTTTGTCTTTTGGTTCTTGTAGATATTATCACATTGTCTTCTGATTTCCAAAATATCTTTTAAGAAATCAGCAGTCACTTAAATCTTTGCCCTTATGAAAACTGGAAACCTAACAGGGTGTAAGAAGAATAAATTAAGATAAAGAATTCACATTAAGTTTATGCTTGTCGGTCTCATTAAGACACTGTCTTTAGTTGCACTATAGCATTATTTTAAAAACTAGTTTTAAATAAGTTATAAAGTCAGTATCCTCTAGTTAAAATGCCTGGTGAGTGCATGCAAGTTTTGAGTGAACTCAGTCCACAGAACTTCCCTCTTTTCTGACATCAGCTGCAGAGTTTGAGGATTCCCAAGACCACCATTAGATTTGATAATCTTCTAGAAGAGTCCACAGAACTCAGTGACCACTGTTATAGTTATGTATTATTTCAAGGAAAGGACACAGATCAAAATCATCAAAGGGAAAAAATACATGTGGCAGACTCCAGGAAGTTTCTAAACATGAAGCTCCAGGCTATTCTCTCCCCACATAGTTATGGACAGTGTTAAGTTCTCCTAGCAAAGATGGGTGACAACACATACTGAACACTGCAAACCAAGGAAGCTTACCCAAGATTTGGTGTCCAGAGGCTTTATTGAAGCTGCGTGGTCCACTGACTACATGGCTCACCTCAACCTTAATCTCCACTCTAGCCCCTCTGGAGGCTGAGTGGATATTGAATGACCAAATCCCCCACTGACACACCTACCACTCCATGAGCCGCAGTATTAGATTTTCTGTCATGGTCCAAAGACCCTAAACAAAGACATGTATATCAGGCAAGACATTCCAAGGGCTTAGAGATCACCTCCTTGAAGCTAGGGCAAAGCTCAGACTTTTATTTGGGAAAAGCTAAATTCTTCACCATACAGTATATCTTTCTCTTTCTTTTTATTTTCAATCAGTATTTACAGGTTTTATGTCTGGATCAAGAATTTTAGCATCACTATGGTCAACCTATATTATTAAATATTTATTAGTCAAATGTGTACTCTGTTGAAATTTGTCCTTGCTAAATTTTCAGATATTTGTATACACTATTACTAGTTGTACAAATAAATTCATTTTTTAAAATTTTAGATGTGAGAAGGGAATTTATTTGAGCAATTTGGGATACACTTAGGCAAAGACAAATTGATGAAAAGGAAGTGGTTATTTGGGTTGTCGGCAGCAGGTCAAATATTCTAAAAGTGATTTAAGCAGTGGAGTGAAATAGTGAATTCTGAACTCTGTGCAAGATTAGAGTGAAACAGATGGAAAACAGTTTTTTTATGGTTATGGGAGACCAAAGGTAAAATTAGAAATAATGATATTCCTGTTAGTTACAATTTTTTGTTTGATAATTGTTGCCGGAATGAGATTGAGAAGTGCAGTGAAAATATCAACAAATGTCATGAACTTTTCAGACATGGTGAGCTATTATAATTATAGAAGGTTAGACTAAATAACTGATGAAGAACTCCCATTTGTAAAATTTTATTAGCTTGTTATATAAGGACAATTTTTGAAACGATAATCCAGATACCTACTTTCAAATCCCAATTATTTTTAAGAAGATTTTAGCCTAAGGCAATGCACTTAAATTGACCAAATATTTATTAAGTGTGTACTATATTCCTGGAAATAAAGATGTGAGATTCAAATGAGGTTTACAGATATAAAATTATGTGAGTTTTTAGTTTGTTGTCATATATTAATTTATTTGTACTAAATATTTTTGAACATTTAATATGTGTTAAGAAATGTCAGATTTGGGAGTTTAATGATAAACAGAATGCATCTCTTTCTGTCTAAAATTTCATCTCCAAAAGTCAAAAAACAGACAGAAACAACTGTACCATAATGTGATGAGTATTATAATAAAATCTTATAATAGAAGATCCTAGATGAACTCAATACATTCTGAACACAGAACTTACTTCAGAAGCAACGGTGTCAATGCATATAGTCTAAAAAGTCTCACAGTTCTTAACAAATTCTACATAGTTTTATCTATACTATTTGATCCCAACTTAGCTCTACAATCAAAACATCATCATTGTCAATAATCAAAATGCGGCAAAAGTATACTATTAGAAACATCTTTTGTGGTAGAAACAAAATAGACAAACCATAGTGAAAAGTCCACTATATTTAATACTTTGTAAACAACCAACATTCATTGAATTGAACTAAATAATGCCCCTAACATTGCTAAATGATGCATTAGCTTAAATATGTTCAAAATAAATCATGTTTTGAATTCAAAGACACACACACAATATGCACAGGCTGTGTGTGTACATAAAATAATGGTTACATTTCAGTGGATTTCATTCTGCTCCTTGAAGTCTTCCAATAGCCTGAAGTCAGGAACTCCCTTACTTATTTATATATATCTTCATTTGCATTTAAATATATATAATATTTCTCTTGTATTCCCTTTTCAATACTCGGTAAGAATATTGCATCAACAATAATTAGTCTAGATAATAATTTTTCTTTGTTAAAGGGGATATCAACATTTTTAAAATGCTTGTTCGAAAGGTAGGGTGTTGGAGAACATTTTTGCTTGGCATCTATTTGAATTTTGCCACTGAAACTAAACAATTAGTCATCTTCATGATTGTATATCTAGAAAACCCCATTGTTTCAGCCCAAAATCTCCTTAACCTGATAAGCAACTTCAGCAAAGTCTCAGGATACAAAATCAATGTACAAAAATCACAAGCATTCTTATACACCAACAACAGACAAACAGAGAGCCAAATCATGAGTGCAATCCCATTCACAATTGCTTCAAAGAGAATCAAATACCTAGGAATCCAATTTACAAGGGATGTGAAGGACCTCTTCAAGGAGAACTACAAACCACTGCTCAAGGAAATAAAAGAGGATACAAACAAATGGAAGAACATTCCATGCTCATGGGTAGGAAGAATCAATATCGTGAAAATGGCCATACTGCCCAAGGTAATTTATAGATTCAATGCCATCCCCATCAAGCCACCAATGACTTTCTTCACAGAATTGGAAAAAACTACTTTAAAGTTCATATGGAACCAAAAAAGAGCCCACATCGCCAAGTCAATCATAAGCCAAAAGAACAAAGCTGGAGGCATCACACTACCTGACTTCAAACTATTCAAACTATACTACAAGGCTACAGTCACCAAAACAGCATGGTACTGGTACCAAAACAGAGATATAGATCAATGGAACAGAACAGAGCCCTCAGAAATAACGCTGCATATCTACAACTATCTGATCTTTGACAAACCTGAGAAAAACAAGCAATGGGGAAAGGATTCCCTATTTAATAAATGGTGCTGGGAAAACTGGCTAGTCATATGTAGAAAGCTGAAACTGGATCCCTTCCTTACACCTTATACAAAAATCAATTCAAGATGGATTAAAGACTTAAATGTTAGACCTAAAACCATAAAAACCCTAGAAGAAAACCTAGGCATTACCATTCAGGACATAGGCATGGGCAAGGACTTCATGTCTAAAACACCAAAAGCAATGGCAACAAAAGACAAAATTGACAAATGGGATCTAATTCAACTAAAGAGCTTCTGCACAGCAAAAGAAACTACCATCAGAGTTAACAGGCAACCTACAAAATGGGAGAAAATTTTCGCAACCTACTCATTGGACAAAGGGCTAATATCCAGAATCTACAATGAACTCAAACAAATTTACAAGAAAAAAGCAAACAACCCCATCAAAAAGTGGGCGAAGGACATGAGCAGACACTTCTCAAAAGAAGACATTTATGCAGCCAAAAAACACATGAAAAAATGCTCATCATCACTGGCCATCAGAGAAATGCAAATCAAAACCACAATGAGATACCATCTCACACCAGTTAGAATGGCAATCATTAAAAAGTCAGGAAACAACAGGTGCTGGAGAGGATGTGGAGAAATAGGAACACTTTTACACTGTTGGTGGGACTGTAAACTAGTTCAACCATTGTGGAAGTCAGTGTGGCGATTCCTCAGGGATCTGGAACTGGAAATACCATTTGACCTAGCCATCCCGTTACTGGGTATATACCCAAAGGACTATAAATCATGCTGCTATAAAGACACATGCACACGTATGTTTATTGCGGCATTATTCACAATAGCAAAGACTTAGAACCAACCCAAATGTCCAAAAATGATAGACTGGATTAAGAAAATGTGGCACATATACACCATGGAATACTATGCAGCCATAAAAAATGATGAGTTCATGTCCTTTGTAGGGACATGGATGAAATTGGAAACCATCATTCTCAGTAAACTATCGCAAGAACAAAAAACCAAACACCGCATATTCTCACTCATAGGTGGGAATTGAACAATGAGATCACATGGACACAGGAAGGGGAATATCACGCTCTGGGGACTGTTGTGGGGTGGGGGGAGGGGGGAGGGATAGCATTGGGAGATATACCTAATGCTAGATGACGAGTTAGTGGGTGCAGCGCACCAGCATGGCACATGTATACATATGTAACTAACCTGCACAATGTGCACATGTACCCTAAAACTTAAAGTATAATAATAAAAAAAAAAAGAAAAAAAAAACAATTAGTCATCTTAAAAGTCTCTTCTAGGGTATCATTCATTCTTTTCTGATTAGAAACAATATGTATGATTAAGACTGCTGTTAAAGTCCCATAAAATATTAATCAAACATATGAAGTTCTGGTTAAAAATGTCCAGTGCAGGTTAATTTTTGTTGCTGTCCTTGGCCTTCATTGATTGCTTCCTATAACCATAACGTTTCACTAGAGAGAACTCATGGAGAATGTAAAAGGAGCCAGTAGTGAACTGGATTTGTTTCCCTCTATGAGAATCAGATATTCATATAAAGTTGAAGAGTTGTTTTCTTTGTTTTAATGTAAAATTTCAATTGTACAAGTGTATATTTATCTCCTATCATCATGAAGTTGCATGTATTATAAAGCTTTTTGGATACATATTTTTTTCTTGTTCAGTAAAGGTAAAAAGCAATCTTCTGCCTATTTTATTTACACTTCACAAAATAATATAATTTGAGCATACACTGAAAATAACATATTCATTATAATCACAATAAAATAGAAGCTTTCTGTCTGAATACAGCTCGGTATGTATTATCAAGAAAAAAAAACATGATCAGGTACCTTAAATTAAAATCATATTCCCACGGAACATTCTATTCTTTGAGTAGTATTACATTTCTTTCTGGAGTGCTTTTTAGTGATGTTATTGAATTTATATGTCTATACTACTGAAATAGCCTCCTCATGATTTAGAGGAGCAAAAGCTTGCGATACCTAACTCTGTAGTTCATTTAATTTTTCATTTGAATCTCAGTTTATCAAAACATTCTATAATGTATTCTTCTAATTGTTGAAAATGATAAAAATGTAAGGAACATGTGCATCTCACATACAGATAATGTAGAATTTCAGTGTCACTGAAAAAAATCTGTGCTTTAGTGATAAGTAGAAAATTATAGAAACTCTTGAGGAATTTCAGCTTTAATTGAATTTGATTATATTATAATATATAATCTGAAAAGTCCAGATGAAATAATATAATGCAATATAATCAGAAAAATATAATATCATAAAAATCCAGATAAAAATAGAGTATGAACAAATTACTTGTATATATTCTAGCATAAAACTAATAAAAAATACATTTGCAGGGCCAGCAACTATTTTAACATGATTTCTCAATTTTTAAAAAATGGGATAAATTCAAACTCACCAATAAAATATAGAGTTAAAATTTGAATTAAAAATATTGTATCCAGGTGGAAAATTAGAAGTATTAAGTACTATTTATTTGATTCCTATTTAAAGGCATAAGTTAAATAGGAATCAAATAAATAGTTCCAAATAAACAGTAAAGCAAAATTAGAGCATATCTCACTGTTTTTTAGAATTTCGTTTCACCATTCATGTAGCTAATGTCTTGGATTCTACTGTTCATACAAAACATGGTTACTATGTAAGTTAGGATTTTTTAGAGAAACAGAAGCAATAGGAGAAGTATTTATTTATCTATGTATTTATGTATTTATTTATCTATTATTATGAAGTTTGGGATCACCCAATTTTGCAGGCTGAGAAATCTGCAGTCTGCAAGCTGAAAATCTCAGAAAGGCCTGAGAAGGGGACCAGGTGGTACAAATCCCAGACCAAGGCTGGGAGGAGGCTGGTGTCCCAGTGTAACAGGCAGGCTGGAAGGGGAGGAATGTCCCCTTCCTCCACTGCTTTTTTCCATTAAGGTCCTCAAAGGATTGAACGGTGCCCACCCACATTGAGGAGGACAATCTATTTCACTGAGTTCACCAATCTACATACTAACCTCATGTCAACAGCATCACCGACATATTCAGCGATATGATTTGGCGGTGTCCCCACCCAAATCTCATCTTGAATGTAGCGCCCATAATTCCCATGTGTTGTGGGAGAGACCCAATGGGAGATAACTGAATCATGAGGGCGGTTTCTCCCACACTGTTCTCATGGTAGTGAATAAGTCTCATGAGATCTGATGGTTTTACAAGGGGAAATCCCTTTTACTTGGTTCTCATATTTCTCTTGCCTGCTGCCATGTAAGACATGCCTTTCGCCTTCTGCCATGATTGTGAGGCCTCCCCAGGCATTGGGAACTGTAAGTCCATTAAACCTTTTTTTCTTTGTAAATTACCAGTCTCAGGTATGTGTTTATCAGTAGCATGAAATCGGACTAATACACTCAGAAACAACGTTTACTTGGGCACTCCACACACTCAAGGGGACACATGAATTAACCACCACAATTTGCCTTGTATCCTCAGTTCAGGAATCATCAGCAGAATTCTTGGGTACGCTATTTCCTTAGAAGTTAATTTATTTCATTTAAGTTTCTACCCAAATTCACTTTAGCAGAATGGACTTCCCTGACAATTCTTTCTAAAACATTGACCCATCACTTACTCTGTTTTATTTTTCAAAAGTAAAGCACTTATAACTATCTTGCACAGCATGTCTGAGTTTGCTTATTTAGCCATTGTCTGTCTCCCTGCACTGGAATATAAGCCCCCTCTGAGTAAGGCTTTAGTCTGTTTCTTTCCCGTAGCAGCATCCTCAGGACATCGTTCAGGTGCTCAATAAATATTTACTGAATGAGTGAACAGATTTGTGGTTGAATGAAGGACACAATGATTATTTTATCACACAGGCAGTGAGCTTTCTTGTATTTGAGGACCACGTTTAATTCAACTTCTCCAAACTAGCAACCAATATTCCTATTACTACTTTTTTCAAAGCCAAATGTTACCTCCACTGTGTATCCATTGAGGTTTCACTATGTCGCTCAATAAAATCTCTCTAATGAACTCAGATGCACCCTCCATCCATATTCTACATTTCTGCAAGTTGTTGAAAGGGCGTCTTCTTTTGAGAAGTGTCTGTTCATGTCCTTTGCCTACTTTTTGACTGAGTTGTTTGCTTTTTTCTTGTAAATTTAAGTTCCATGTAAATTCTGGATATTAGACCTTTGTCAGATGGGTAGATTGCACAACATTTTTCCCATTCTTTTTTTTTTTTTTTTTTTTTTTTGATATGGAGTCTTGCTCTGTCGCCCAGGCTGGAGTGCAGTGGCGCAATCTCAGCTCACTGCAAGCTCCGCCTCCTGGGTTCACACCATTCTCCTGCCTCAGCCTCCCAAGTAGCTGCAACTACAGGCACCCCCCAAAACACCTGGCTAATTTTTTTTTGTATTTTTAGTAGAGACGGGGTTTCACTGTGTTAGCCAGGCTGGTCTCGATCTCCTGACTTCGTGATCCACACGCCTTGGCCTCCCAAAGTGCTGGGATTACAGGCTTGAGCCACCATGCCCGACCCCATTTTTCCCATTCTTTAGGTTGCTGTTTGCTCTGATGATAGTTTCTTTTTGCTGTGCCTAAGTTCTTTAGTTTAATTAGATCCCATTTATCAATTTAGTGGACTGTGACTATCAGAAATGTTCTGTGTCATCTGTGGTACTTGCGTAACAGTTGAACATGGCCACAGAGGATACACTACCTTCTGATTGAATTGATTTGGACTCTTGACCTAAACATTCAGAGCAGAGGATTCAAATTCTTTCAAGCATTTCTACAGTGCCTTAAATCAGCTTCCGTACCACAAGGGATCAGTAAAATGATGAAAGGACTGACATAATTTAACAGAAAATGTGGTATGTACTTTCATTCAAAGAAATACTATGCACCTATTAATAATGATGAGGTACAACATATGTATTTAAGAATGACAGTAACTAGAAGGCATAAATTGTTATTATTTCTAAAAAGTAGAATATGAGAAAGTGTGACCTGTGATTACTTTTGTTTTATTTGTGTATTATATGTTCACATATAACATCAGAAGACATGCTCCAAAAGGGTGGCCATAGAGATTTCTGTATTGGAAGATCACATGTTCTTTTTAATTTACTTTTGGTTCATATGCATTTTCTAATGTTTTTACAATGAGTATATGTTACATAAATCAGAAGAAAATAGTAACAACACCACCAACAAAAATAATCAGTTCTTTTGTTTCTGTTTGTAGTCTTCTGGTCTAGCATCTCCAAGAGAGGAAATCTATGGTCACTCTCCTTAGTAGCAATATGTTATTAGTGTCAGCAGCTAAGTGAGCCTAATGTAGCTATTTCAAACTAATGAATGGAAATAGCAGCCTTTTTCTCCTACCTTTTTCTTCTTCAATCATACTCTTCAAGCTTGGTGCTACTCACATCCCCTTTCATCCCCCTCACCCTCCTCTGAAGTCACACCAATTCATTATGTTAATAATATTCAGTACTCCGTAAACAAGAGAGAGTCTGAGGAGCTCCAATAATCAGTGAACACTTTCTTTTTTCCTGGGAGTGCCACAGTCATGTGAGGATTATGCAGAGTAGTAGCGTTTATATGGCTTTGGGGTGCTATGCAGGGCCTGGCATAAGAAGGAAGAATCCAGCCCTTTAAATAATAATAAAGATGATGGAATATTTTAAGAAATATTTAATTTCTCTTATGAGAAAGCAAGTGTAATTAAGAAGCCAAGCCAAAGTGGAATAAAAGTGAGATTCCCTGTAGGTTAAAAACCAATGTAGATGCAGGGATAATGCATTGGGTTTTCTGATTTGTTTTAATTAAATTCATGTGGTTTTTATCCTCCATGAACCCAGCATTTTTTAAGTGAGGGTAAAACTCCCAAGTTTAGACAGAAACACTTGTTCATAATACATTAAGCTAATCTTTTGTATTTTCTTAGTGACACTGTAATATTTTCCTCTGAAAAACAACAAGTCATTGTTTTATTAAGACATGAATGCTTTTAAACTGATACATTAGGAATCTGTTTCAGAAGAGATGTCATTTTGTTCTCTAAAATTCTATGCTTATATAAATCTTTTCTTTCTTTGATTTGTATTAATGGAGGCATTGCCAGATATAAAATTTCCTCAGTTAGGTAGTATCCTGAGTATCCTACCTGAGATTTTAGCAAAGCTGTGGAGAAGGTTCCCACATTGGGGAAGAAGTGGAGAGACCATTGTTCACAGCACTGTAGGGTTCTGGCTTTTCCTATCTATCCAACTATTAAATTAAATTTGAGTTGATGGGAGACACGCTTTTATTAAAGTGCTATGTGATTCCTCATTTTGCACCCTTCTGAAATTCATGTATTGTTATTTAGTTTTAATTTTCAAAGATATTTCATTAGTATATTAGCTAATTAAATTATGCAGATAATAAAGAATAGTAGATAATCCCCCAAATACAATCATGGCTTCCATTTAATAAGTTTGATGTAGGTCTCTGGAGTACATTTAATTTAATCTTTATGTCCATTTCATAGGTGAATGAAATAAGATTTGGTGAAATTAATTCACTTGCAATTTTGCACAGGAACTTTTAGGGAAAAACTAAAACATCATTGCAGATCAGTCTGACTTTGAGCCTGTTCATCTCACCCCTACTCTATATGAGGTGTTTGAATTTTATAGCATGTTAAAACATTTTTTCTGCATGATATTCTTGACATATACAACATTTCCAAAACAGCAATGAACTCTCAGTAAAAAAGGGAAAGAAAATGGGATTTGAAGACATCAATGGAAATTCAGAAAAGCTTTCCCATTTTCCAATTATTCATCCATTTCACTTCCTTTTCATGCTTGTATGAACCATTGTCTCTAATCCACATTATAATGAATAATGAACCCTTAACCCCCAACAAAAGAAAAATCACACACACACAAACACACACACACACACACACACACACACACACACACGAGAGAGAGAGAGAGAGATAAATCTCTATAAACTTGATGGTCTACATATATATTGCTGTCTAAAAAATTGTCAAGAATGAGGATAGATGGTTGAAAATAGTAGATTTTTCTTAAAATAATTAATATTGCTTATGAATCTTCAGTTTGGCCAAGTCTCAGCAAGGACAGCTTATCTGTGTTCTACGTCAACTGGAATAGCTCTATGAAGGATGGAAGAGCCATGATGTCTGGCAATTCAGTTGAATTGGGACAACTAAGTCAATCATGTCTGAGGGCTGGGGGGCTTAACTCCTTTCCACACAGGCCTATCCATAGGAGCAGCTCTATGGGCTGCTTGGGCTTCCTTGAGACTGATGCTTTGGTTTCAAGTGTGAACATCCCAAGAAAGCTGGAAAAAGCTGTGTGAAGCTTCATGACCATCTTCAGAAGTCACATACTGTCACTTCTCTTATATATTGTAGTTATGAGAGCACTCAGATTGAAGGGGAGGAAGGTAGGGAGACACCACTTCTCAAAAGGATAAGACTCAAAATCACCTTGTAGGAAGAATATTGTGGCCACCTTTAGAAAATATCTTCAACTGGTGTTGGCAATTTTCTTTATTAAGAAAGGTAATTAGTGCTTTGTGTTTGCTGGTTAAGGTGATGCCAGTTGGGCAGCAGAAAGTACAAGTAAGTAAAATTAAATAACAGCTTTTGCCACCCATTTGGGCTGAGATTTAAATAAGGAAATGAAAGCAGCAGTTGCCAAAGATAATCTAAGACTGACTTTTTGTTCGTCGTGCACATTCTTTTTTAAAATCAAGTTTTCCCTAGGTGCAGTCTTGCTGTATATACATTTTAAAAGCATCTAGTTGAAGGTTGCAAGTTTTTATATTCCCAACAGTACGTGTGTTACTTCTTTCAGGAATACGCCTACTGGACTATATGAATGTTATTTCTGCAAATGTTTCTTTAAATCATACATTTTCTTTTTAGGATAGCATTGAACTGATTTTAAACTGATTTCATTATGCTCCACTTAGGACCCTGGACGCTGCCTTTCACACCTAGGTGCTTAATAATGTGATTCGGTGATGAACTTCTATTAAAAAACCTTTCTAGAAGTCAAAATATTTCACTGTATTGTTTGGGTTACAGCATTTGACTAAAGTATTTTTTCTCTTTTATTCATTTAATAAATATTTATTAAGTATCCCCAAGGTCACAGTTTTTAATTATAGGCTTTAGGGGTGGAATAGAGGGAATCTCATAAATATATGATCTTTTTTTATTTTTGAAATTATGTAAGGTCCAGGGCAGATGATATCATTTAAATCTAGGTATTCAACTTAAAAATATACAAGGCTGGGCATAAAGGCCATACCCTTGGCCTTTGAGAAAAGGGGCAGTATGTTGATGTCACTTTGGAATATAAGACAATTACACAAATGGTCAGTTCAGCAAGCACTGCTCCACAAATACAATGTCTCCTATAAATACCCTCCTGTCTTCATCTCAGGGATTCTGTTCTGTTACTCTGGTCAGAGTCATGTTTTCTGTATTTTTTTTTTTTTTTTTTGGAACGAAATTTTGCTCTTGTTGCCCAAGCTGGAGCACAATGGCGCGATCTCGGCTCACTGCAACCTCTGCCTCCAGGGTTCAAGCGATTCTCCTGCCTCAGCCTCCTGAGTAGCTGGGATTACAGGCGCCTGCCACCACGCCTGGCTAATTTTTGTATATTTAGTAGAGACGGGGTTTCACCATGTTGGCCAGGCTGGTCTTGAACTTCTGACCTCAGGTGATCCACCCACCTCAGCCTCCCAAAGTGCTGGGATTATAGGCATAAGCCACCACGCCTGGTTTCTGTGTCTATTTTTAAAATTCAAAACACATTTTTACAATTTAAAATTATTGTAATCACTTTAATTTTCCTTTCATTTATCTATTAAAATTGGATTTGGGCAACAAACTAAGATTACTTATGAGAGAAGCTTTTGTGTATTTAAAACACCACTTTCCTCACTGTTTGAAATACGCATTTTCCCACGTATCCCATAGAGACCAATCCTGCTTAGGCCACTGTGAGTGACATGACCATTATAAATTATTCTTTCTTTAAGAGTAATTTTCTAGAATGGCTATCTAAATCCATGTAGAGTATCAACCTGAAAGCAATAAGGTTGCATTTCTCTAGCTATAAATTAAATAATTCAATTTTCACCATATCAGTCAGACACTGAGTCTTTTCTCCAGTCCCCAAGTCAGATTAATATTTTGAATTTCTAATGATATTATAGTGTCTATGTTACCCCTTCCCCAAAGGGTCTCCTTCTTTAATTTTTGAGGAGAAAGAGTGTGTGGCTTGTCTATCCCTAATCCTTGTCCTGCCAGTGGCTCGCCTGTGTCTACGGCCAGTGCTTATATGCAGCAACTGCGCACATCTCGATTCTGCTCCCTGTGAAGGTGGCATGCTACTTCAGTGGTGTAAGGTGGACTGGCCATTTATTTTACCTCAGCTGATATGCTAAGAAAGATCTTTATTTCTCCTACAAGCAAATTCTTTTTTTCTTCAACTAAAAAAATGGTAATAAGCTATATTTAATTGTTTGTTTTCTTTTTAATTGATTGTACTAAATAAACATTGTTGTACATATCTGGGCAGTGCAGGTACTGCCTTGGCACCCTCCTTTAAATGTGGATTATGTTTTTAACGGCCTCTAAATCTTTCAGTGGGAGAACATTTACTCAACTGGAGGTTAGGTGAGATTAATGTTCTTTTGCCTATATTGATTTCTCTTATTAATCCAAATACACATTTTTTTCCTTGCAACTTATTTGAATTGCTATTTGGATACAAGTGAAGTTAGAATTTGATTTTGTAGTGATCCATATCAACCTGAAATGATAGGATTAGAGCCAATATGTTATAGTTTCATAAATTTGCTGATAAAGTGGGTTACTGAAGCTTGTGTTGCTGTTGCCATATGTTGAATTGTTTACTGCTGTAGTGAACAATCTACATGAACTAACGGAGTCTCCTGCCTATGATGGAAAAACAAGGTCTCTAGAGAAATTAATGTGGATAAAGGGGTTGTTATTGGGGTGATGATTAGATCAGAGGGCAAAAGTGGGTGTGCTGGCATTTAAGATGTAAAAAAAAATAGAGATCTTTTGTAAAGCTTATTCTTTGTACTTAATAAATTACCATTATACTAAAATTCACTTGTAGAACAGGGATTTGTTCATCCCGTTCTCCATTTTCTGAGTTCACCTGTCCCCGTATCTTCTCTAACTCTATTGGATACAGCCTTTCTCACTCTCTGGCAGTAAGTATATAGCACCAACACACACACTGACTCTTTACAAGCATCACAGGTTATTTTGAAATAATTGGCAATAAATATACCAGACGTCTAAATTACTTACTAATAATTTAGAATGGAAAAGGAAACTGTATTGACTCACTGACCTTGTAAAACTCCTGGAGATCGTTAAAGTGAAATAGGTGAAAACTATTAATTCACTGTTACCAGGTAACATCAGACAGAGTAAGTCATCTATCCCTAGAAGAACTGAGTTAAAATAAAAAATTATATTTAAAATCCTACTCTTCTCTCCAAATAGTAATTAATGTGGTAGGGTGTAAACTGATACTTATTTTCACACAAGCTGTTTTCCTTAAACTGCATAATATTTTCTTATAAATAGTTACAAATCTTAGGAAATATGACTATTTTCTTTGTTTCTAAATTCTGTGTAAATAACTTATTTAGCTGATTTTTAAATTTCTGACTTTTAGACAACAGTTTTGTTTCTTATTTCTCTAAAAGGGAGCAAACAATCCAATAACCTGAAAATTGTCCTGCTCCTTTCAACTTAGCTTTTGCTTCCAAGTGTGAGAAAGTAACTTGTTTGTGCTTAGGGAATACTGTTGAGCAACAGTTGTCTCTTTTGTCCCTGTCAAATCAATCAGCAAATTCTGTAAAAGATGCAGCCTAGTCAATTGCATCAATTAGGGTTGTCATGAGGTGTGAAGTTGGAGACAATGTTCACATTTGAACAGAAACAGTGAAAAATAAACATTATTTCAGAATGTTACGATTTCATCATTGTATTTCTAACTTGAATTTCAAATAGAAACTACAGAACACTGTAGTCCCAGCTACTTGGGAGGCTGAGTCTGTAATGCACTATGCTTGTGCCCGTGAATAGCCACAGCACTCCAGCCTGGGCAACACAGCAAGACCCTGTCTCTAAAAATTTTTTTAAAGAAACTACAAGACAAAAGCAGAAAAAGTATGGTCAATAGCTTTGCTTTCTACCATTACAAAGTGTATTTTTAACTTTTCCTAAGAAATATTAATTGGATAAAATAAGGCTACCACAGGATGAATGAATGATTTTATTCTTTGTCAGAGTTTTGCACTAATATCTCAAATCAGATATAAAACCATATAGCAAAATGAATTTTATCAAGAAGTGGCATGTGTTTTAGAAGAGTATTGTAACATCTTTGAAGTAATGTGCTTCTTCATCCTGACTTGGGAGTTGTCTTTTGAGTTTGGTTTATATTTATATTTATATTTAAAATAAAATATTAATGTTATACATAACATTTACATTTTAGCCACAATTGCATTCATTAATTTTGTTTTATTCAAAGTTGTGAACGCTGAACTTAACATTAAAAATATATTTCAACTTGACCTGCAATTGTGAAGAGATTTTCTACCTGCTTCCTTTTAGTTACTTTATGCCAAGTGTGGTTTGGAGCACCTCATATGCTAACTCCTTTAATCCCAATCAGCATTGTGAGAAACTGACTATAGAAAAGACCGCATTAGATAAGGAGAAATAGACAGAGAAGGCTCCTCGGTCACCAAATGAGTGGCAAAAATGAGATTTGAAACCAGGCAGCCCCATTCTGGAATCTCTGTTTAATGCTAAACAGGGCCACCTCTCAGGGTGCAGAATAATTATAGCTACAATTTTGTACTTCCCATCACTTGGCCAGAAAATGTAATTTCTCTGCAATAGTTTGCTTAATCCTCACAGCAGACCTGCAAGATAAGGAAATTAACTTTCCTTAAAGACAAGAAAATGTTGGTTCAGAATGCCGCATGACTGTCCCACTTGCCCTAAATTATGTCACCGAGTGCCAAGCATAGAACAGAAATTGGAGCTACACTACCCTTAGCCCTTAGATGCTTCAATCAATTATTCTAAAAGTTTAAAATGTTACTATTATTATTTTCCCTTTTAAAAAGTTACAGTGCGCGTGAAAAACAGATTGTGAGCAGACATCAGCAAGAAGAGGATGAAGAAGCAATGGAAGCTATTGTTGCAAACCACATGAAGGGTGCCATTTTGAGTAACTGCAGAGTGTTGCCAGGAGCAACACCCACAAAATGAAAGTAATTCAGTAAATTCTTATAATTTTTTGTTGCCTTGACATTCGTTTTGAATGTGGTTTGGCTTTCTCATATCAGAAAAAAGGCTCAGTTACCCTTGTTTTTATACTACACCCAAATGGCTCAAGCTGGTGGCCAGAGATGAAAACTTACAGGTTCCCCATTTCCTCTAGTCTCGATGGATTACCTGGTAGCCTAACCTGGCCCTCATTTCTGAGGGGTCTGAGCCCTGGTCACCATGCCATGGTTGCCACATTAGCCAATTCATCAGCAGCAGCAGTTAAAGAGAAGTAAGAAAGGCTCCAGTGGGTCATCTGTCCCTAACCCATGCCTATTTTTCTGATTGTAATACAGCAGCAGTATTTCCTTCCGATGATGAGGATCAACCACTCTCGCCATGATAGTGTCTCATTTTCTTGTCTGTTATTCACAAGACAAAAAGACTCCAACTATTTGCAACCTGGTAATGTAGTTTTCTTGTAACTTTAGGTTCAATCCTGGATATAACATTCAGACTTACAATAGATTATGGCGGGGTTCACCTAACCTGTTGGCTTGGGGAGCTTACTAGAAGTCAGCTCATGATGGGCAGCTCTGGCTGTTTGGTCATTTGGTGTCCCATGTTCAAGAGCTCCATTTCAACCAGGGCCTACTAGCATACTAGGTGTAGGTTGTCAAAGGTGTTTAACCATTTGCTGCAGCTGTATGGCTAGTGCATCAGATACCTACAAGGCTGTGTTGTTACTTCCCATTAGAGCTTTGAATAAATACCACATGGTGCTATTCTCCCACCATCGATACCTCTAAAGCATTGGTTCTCAACTGGGATAAGTTGCCATTTATGGGAAATTGGAGAATGTCTAAAGATACTTTAGATTGTTACAACTTGGGAGGAGAGTGATATCACCACATAATGGGTGGAGGCCAAGAATGCCACTAACCATGTGACAATGCTCAGGCCAGCCCACCCAGGACGATAAATGAGCCAGCCTGAAATGTTGGTAGTGCCAAGGTTGAAAAACCCTGCTCTTATGCCATAGGAACTACCAGCTTTTGTGACTAAAGTGTCACTTTTACTCCGGACAAGTCAGGATTTGTGGCAGAGACCTTTCTGCTCTGGGTCCCACATAAAGCTGGTAGACCTTCACACTATCTGGCTAGTGAGCAATGGTAGTGCCCCTGGGTTTTGGATTTGCTGCTTTACTAACCCTAAGAGGCCTGCCGTATGCTGTGAGTCTTTCCTTGTGGTGGGAGTTGCCTGAGCCAGCAATGATTGAACTTTTATTTAAGGTAAACAGTCAATATGCTCTTAAAAATTTATAAAATGAGAAAAATATATTTTATTATTTTCCTATAAGTTTATCTATTTGGCTTTCTTCATTTCTTTAAATAGGCTCAAACTTCCATCTGGTATCATTTTCCTTTTGCCTGAAAAGCTTCTTTTGACATTACCTATAGAATAAGTCAGCTGGCAACGAATTCTCAGAATTTCTGTTTATTCAAATATACTTTTAATTTGCCTTGATTATTGAACGAGACTTTTTCTGCATGTATAATCCTAAGTTAATTTTTTTCTAGCACCTTGAAGATGTGATTTAGTATCTAATATTTTTTGGCTTGAATATATTCTAATAAAAAGTCCGTAGTAAATATTGTCTTTGTTTAGCTGGACATGTTTCTGTTTTTCTTTCAAATGACCTTAAGGGTTTCTATCTTGTTCTGTGTTTTTAGGCATTTAAAGTGTTTTAGGCAATTTAAAAGTTGCCTAAAGACATTGTTGAGAGCGTGATGGTTATGAGCAAAAACAAAAGTGATCCAGTGATGATACTGAACTTTCAAGCATTAAAAAAATGCAATTAAATAAATATTCTACCTATAATGGAACTTTCTTGAGGTAAAGATAGATTTGAATCTGAAGATCAAAGAGTCATATCACATGGCAGGAGATACAGGTGGGTGGTGAGGATTCCAAGACAGACCTGGCAACAAAGAGACATGTCTTGGTTAGATGATAAGGATTCACATATTGAGGGAAATATTAGTGTGGCCTCAAAAATAGCTCCACATTCTGAAAAAGGAGAAAGGCATCTATTTTATTTTTAACTTTTATTTTAAGTTCGGGGGCACATGTGTAGGTTTGGTACAGAGGTAAACATGTGTCACAGCGGTTTGTTATACAGATTATTTCATCACTTAGGTTTTAAGTCTAGTACCCAATAGTTACCTTTCCTCATCCTCTCCTTCCTCTCACCCTCCAGCCTCCGATAGGCCCCAGTGTGTGTTGTTCCTCTCTATGTGTCCATGTGTTCTCATAGCTTCCACTTCTAAGTGGGAACATGCCGTATTTGGTTTTCTGTTCCTGCATTCGTTTGCTAAGGATAATGATCTACAAATTTCTGAGGAAAGTGCATCCAAGGAGTTTTATATTCATCCCAATTATCCTTCAAATGTTAATTCAAAAGACATTCCCTCTCAGTGTTTTATGATTTTAGGGATACTTGGTAATCAATACGGAATATAATAATGTGACATCTGATAAAAAATGGTACATGCTTTCAAAGAGAGAGCTAAGGCTAAATAATTGTATTTTTATATAGTACAATGCACATAGTATAGATAATGAGAGCAAGATAATTATATAAATAAAATTAGTTTCAATGTAACAAAAGGTTGAAATAAGTATAAATGCAATTGTTTCTCCGTTTATCATAGCAGGGAGCTGGGCACTAAGTAGTGCCTAAAATTAAAGATTTTGATCCCTTGATTTTTTTGTCAATCATTTTTTTTAACTCTAAGGAGATCCCCTAGTGACTAAAATTTTACTTGATAAAAAATAATAGACATTTAATTATGAGGTGCACCATTGCCACTAAACAACAACAACAACAACAACAACAACAAAAACTACAAGAAAACCAGGACATATTATCAAAACACCCTTGACTGTAAGAGGTACTTTGATTTCAAAGAGCGTAAAATGTGAATAATTGGAAGTCTTTAACTGGTGGAAAAATCCTTTTGGTGAAGAAATATTTAACCAAAGTTCAGAAATTCCTTTAATTCTACATTAATATCTACATATTATATTTGAGTAACCTTAAGTGTACACTTAAGTGTAAGCTCTTTATTTACATTAATATTGTATAATGCTATGTATATTTATTCATTTACTCCTATGTGTTAAATGTGTCTATCTGTCTTCCTATCTCTCTGTCTATTCATTCATCTAGCTTTCTATCTCCATATATATTTCCAGCCACAGAAAAATGTGTGCTAATTGCCTTTATCGCATAATAGCAAAGATTGTCTTGTGTGGTTTTCTCTAATGCAGGGTAATGCAGTTTTTGTTTCCTTTGATTTTTTTCCTTGCCTTGAAATTTTTGTGATAAACAGCTACCAAATTTGCAAAAACATCATTATTCCTAGAAAAATTTCTTTCTATACAGGAATAACAATATAAAAAGATGTGTCACCATTTTTTCTCACAAGGCATTAGTGCATTAAGTACCAATTGCAGAGATTTGTTCTGATTTGAATAGGTGTGACCCTTGCATATCTAATTTGATGTTCAGACAATTTCTTTACTGTTTTTGCCTCATAACATTTTGAGATGTGTTCACATGTGTGTGGACAAACACATACTCTTTATTTCCACTGTTCTATATCTGGAAAATCACTGTGAAACAATTCTCAGAAAGCTGCAAAGAAGTAGCGGAATATAGAGTATAGTGTTTTCAGGCTGCTGAAATGCTGATGGACATTTTTATTGCTTTATCTTCTTGCTGATAGATTGATTGCTCAGTCTAAGGCAAATCATAAGAATCTCTGATCCCGGTTAGTCAGTCAATGTACTGCCTCAGAGAAACGCCTGTCAAGTGAAGGTTATCATTGATAAATGACTTCTGTGAGTAATAATCAAACTTTAATCACAAGTAAATAAACCAATGAACAGATAATTATTGGTCTACCTAATTAACTTTGAATTTCAGCCAAATCAGGAGGGACATGAGAAACAGAATTCTCATGTTGCCACTTATTAAAAATGCATTCCTGGGGAAATAATTTAACTTCTCAAAATATCAGTCTTTTCATCTACAAAAAAATTATTGTTGTGAAGAATAGATGAGAAAATGTATGAAAGCATTAGCAAGATAATTTTTACGTGTATATATGTGTATAAACATTTATTTTCTTAGTGAGCACTATGTATATGAACTTCTATCTACACAAACCAAGAACAAGATAACATTTTCCATTAACCAAAGCATGACAATGGGCAAAGAAAGGCAATAAATCTACTTCAGGATTGGCAGGACCGCCACATAAAGCAAGGAACTGCAGTGGTATTCCCACCTTGAGAAAAATGGAATTACAGAAGGCGCAGAGACAGCACTCAGCGGAAAACTGGACCACAGCACTCACTCTCCTGGGGACGCCATCTCCACCAGCCCTGTGCATTTTATAGCCCCAAGCTGCCACATTAGGACCTGCTCAGAACTGTGGTATTCTGGCGATCTGGAGAATATACCACAAAACAACCAGATGAGAAAACACATCCTCAAGGTTATCTTCAAATACAAAACTTCCCTTAATATTTGCTTGTATACAAAACATTAATAACATGTAACATAGGCAATAAGCACAAGAAATTGAATTCAGGTAGGAAGGTAAAAGCTGAAAGTATTGAGGAAAAAGGGAAATAAGTATATGTATAATACACAAATAGATAATGGAAGGAATATTATCTAAAATAAAGCAGTGTCTATGAAACAAAGCCAGAGGAATTGGATAGAAAACCTAGGCAGAAATAATGGAAAGAAAAATGAAAGAAAGCAAAGAACTACAACTCTGGACCTTCATTCTTTCCACAAATCTTCCCACGTGTGACAAAAACATTCACAGATCTTTGCACTTGTGAACTATGGCATTGTTTTACTAATATGTTAAGTTTATGGCAGGAAGATCTGGATACGAATTCTGGGCTTCACTTACATGTCATGTGAGTTTGGAGAAGTACCTAACTTCTACCACTTCCATTTCCTCATTTGGATATCATTAAAAATAGTAACTCAGTGGGTCACATTGAAGATTAATCAGCTAATGCAGTTGATTTCATGGTAAGCCCATAATCTTAACTTTAGTGTTAACTTTAATGTGTTGTTAGACTTTAATGTTTACTGATTTGACAGTGTCTAGCCTTGAAATCAGCCTTCTCAATTAGTCGTCGCATGAGTACTTATTATTTTCATGAACAATGAACTCATTACTTGTGTGTGTGTGTGTGTGTGTGTGAGTGTGTGTATGTTTTTACCCATTGTGAAGACATCTTTCCTTCAAGAAGGAAAATTAAATAATTACTCCCAAGTTTAAAATTCCTGACCTATACCTCTTCCAGCCAAGCTAGTATATCCGAAAATGGCAGTCTGCCTTCTTGTTGTGATCTGATCTAGAGGGGAAGAACAAAAGCCCCTTTCTCAAGCCCTAGCTTACCTGACTTTCAGCAGAACAGCAACAAGAGACCCTAGAAACTGTTAGCCACAGTTTCTGCTTCAGGGAGCCAGGGACTTCCCTGAAGCCCTCCATGTGCAGTTAGGACTAAAACTCAACTTATGGTTACTCCTTGTTCATTTTAATGCTAAAAAATCATACCCAAAGGAGGAAACTTAAAATGCCAATGCTACAGGAAATGTGTAAAGAAGCATGTAAAACCATTCTCCTATGCATGCCCTGATAATACCCCTCCCCCTAGGAAGGCCCTATAAAATTAACTCCCACACTTCTTTCAGGGAGAAGCCCACACCTTTTCCTTCCTCAGTGCTGACTCCCTTGTGCACAAGCTAAATAAATATTCTCTTAACTGCTATACCTGATAGTCTTTTCTCATTATTTATCTCCTGGGAGACTGCAAGAACCCAAGATACCCGTAACATATCTTTCATAGATTCTGCAAATCATTATTGATAACATGACAAAATTGTCAAGATAAGAAGCTTGCACAAACCGTTGTACTTTTTATATATATGTTGCTTTGTTTTCTCAATGTGCTCCTAACTGCTAATACACAGACTAGTAAATATGGGTGCTAAATCATGTTGATTTAATTAATAAATGAAAAAAATCATAAAGAACATTGTATGCAATTCTTCCATAATCAAGAATATTCTGACACATTTATTATTTCAGGCTTCATTTGGACTTTTATGTATTTCCTGGGTAATAGATTAGAACATGGTTCTTAGAAACATTACTGCATTATTATTGTGAAGTTCTGAAATTTACACAATATATAGGGTTTTTAAAAATTTTCAGTTAATTTAATAGTTCCTAGTAAATAGCTTTATGAATTAAACACCTTTGTGGAATATCTAGCTCTATCTCTCTGAACAATGTGTCAATGCTTTTTCTTTCAGATATTACTTTTATTATTTCTGTATAAAACGAGTTTCAGAACTCAACATATTTCAAAAAGTATATATATTTTAATAAATATTTATATAAATATATATTTCAATACATATATATTGAGGTTTTTGTTTTTTCACACATATTTTGAATATTCAAGGCACTTGATCATATCAACGCAAAAATACTTATAACTGAACAGAAAAGTTTTCACCTTATTCTCTCTCCAACAGATTTGTGTGTCTGACTATTAAAAGGCTGCTTTAGATTTGTTTTGTGTTGTGAATTATTAGCATCTTGATGTTCTTTAAAATAATTAGCAGGGAAAATGTATTTAGATATATATTTACATAGAAAAATTATGTTAAAGACTACATATTATATGCGCAGTGTGTGTGTGTATATATATATGCCACATATATATATGCCATAACGAAGTACCAGATACTTATTCTGTGGCTTAAAACAACAATAATTTATTCTTTCAAAATTCTGGAGGCTAGCAGTCTGAAATCAGGATGTTGGCAGGGCCATGCACTCTTGGATGGCGCTAGAGGAGAACCCTCCTGGCTTCCTTCAGCTCCTCCTGGTGGCAAGCTTTCCTTGTAATGAGAAGGAATTGCAGCCAACAGGAGGAGCTGAAATATAAGATAGGCTGAAACACAAGATACGCTCCTTGCCTTGCTGATGCACCACTCCGGTCATATGACCATCTTCTCCCGAAGTGTCTTCATGTCATGTCATTTTTACCTTTGTACATGTGTTTCTTTGTCTGAGTTTCCCCTTTTTAAGAGGACACTAATCATATTAAATTGAGGCTCACACTAATGGCCTCATTTTTACTTGATTTTCTCTGTGAAGACCCTATTTCCAAACAAGATTCTATTTTGAGATAGTGGGGTTTAGGACTTCACTATGTCATTTGGTGCCACACAATTCAAGCCCTAACAATACATTTATTTTAAAAATGAATCTTTGAGCAACTATGTCTTTCTCTCTTGTATAAGTGAAATTACTAATCAAGATCAAGATAATTTTCATCTTCTAACTATCTGTGATGATTAAAGAAATTTTCAGATGGGCCTAAATATTTGAAAACATAGCTTCATTCACATTTCTTTTAAATATTAGTCATAGTTTTACTCTCTCATCAGGTTTTCCTTTAAAATAAGAACTGAACATAAGATTCACTTTCACACTGGATGTTTGATAATTGGCTTATCAGATCAAATTATGTATACTTTGTAAGGAAGGGACATTTTTATGCTTAAATTTTCATTGCATATGGAGGATAGTCCATGCCTAGGTGACACTGGCCTTATGTTAATGTATTCAACTATAAACTTCTCAGATTAGGGTGTTCAAAGGACAACATCTGCTTGTCTAGTGGTCTTACTCCCAGGGGAGGAATGGTTCCAGCAAGGGACACAGTATGGCATTGTTTCCATTAAAATGAATGGTCTTCCTCGCAAAAGCCCATAAGCTCATTCTAATCACAAGAAAAACATTAAATACGTACTGAGGGACATTCTACAAAATTCCTAACCACTATTCTTAAAAACTGTCAAGGCCATCCAAGCAAAGAAAGTCTGAGAAATTGTCATAGCCAAGAGGAGGCTAAGGAGATATGACAGCTAGTGAAATGTGGCTTCCTGGATGGAGTCCTAAAACAGGGAAAGGACATTAGGTGAATATTAAAGGCATTGGAATGAAATATGGACTTTGTTAATCCCATCAATATTGGTTTATTAGTTGTGACAAATGTACCATATTAATGTAAGCTGTTGACAATAGAAGAAACAATAATACACTGGAATTCTCCATATTAGCTGTATGACTCTTCTATAAATCTAAAAGTATTCTAAGATTGGAAGTTTATTTTTTCAAAAAAAGAAAGGTGTAACTGACATTTGGCCATATTGGGCTCCTCATTTAATGAAAGTGTTATTATATTGGCTGCAGTAATTGACACTAATTATCAAAGAAAAATTATGTTGCTACTACACAAATGGGGATAAGAAAACATGTCTGAAATATAAGATAGGCTCTGAGGTAACTCTTTGTACTCCCATGTCCTGAATAACAATCAAAGGAAAACTACAGAAACACAAAATAATCAGCACTGAACTGCTAATGGCTTAGAGCCATCAGAAGTGGAGGATGATTTGGGTCATTCCAGCACACAGAAAGCCACAATCAGTCAAGGTGCTTGAAGACAAGAAAGAAAATAAAGCATGAAGAGTGGAAGAAAAAAGTTTGGACCAATTACATAAATGAATATTGTAATAGTTATGAGTATTTTTCCTTGTTTGGGTATGAGTGTATTCATATATAATCCAACAGTTTTGTCCTTTCTATACACCTATCATATCAGATAAGTGTGACTAGTAGCTAATCTTATCTTAGTATTTAGCCTAAGGCATATTAAAGGGATATATGACTCAGCTAGAAGCCAACCAAACCTCAACCAAAGGTAGATAATGTGACCATGTATCCTCTTTGGGGAGCAGTTAGAGTGCTCTCATTTATATGAGGAATGGTTGAAACATTGCAGATGGAAGCATGATTTTATTTACTTGAAGATTACGTATGATAAAAAAGAGATGTGCACAAATGCTTAGTTGACAAGAGGTGGACTGTTGTGCCATTGTACTGTGTCAACTTAGCTAGGTTTCCCAACATTCCCTCAAAGTATATACTAGGTTAGAGACAGTCGTGAAAAATTTAAAGGCAAAACTGAAGTAACGGTTATCATATGAACACTACTTTGGACTGCTAGAGGAGCTGTAGCTCACATACACCCTCACTGACTGACTAGCTCGCAGATTCCATAGCTTAGGCCAGGTGCTATGCAACTTTGCAAGGTTGACATTCTCTTCTGCAGATCATTTTCACTGTCAATGTTGGAGGCAGTCAGAGACAGACACAAGTTTCCCTTTGTTCTTGTGGGTTCTGATTTGTTCTCATAGGTTTGAATTTTTCTATGCTCTTTCCTGATGCACATCCAGCTTTTTTTACTGGACCCATGACACTGCCTACCCCAGGCTCACCAATACACCAAGACTTCTTCATCAGTTTCCATAATGTGTAAGGATTAACCTCTATAATAAATGCCTTATTTCACATTATTCATAGTAGTCTGCTTCTCCAATCAATTATTTATATATGTGGTTACAAAATACACAAAGAAATGTTGTGGAGGTAGGAGAAATTCTGGGTTGCAACAATTTTACAGTTGATGAGTGCACCAGAATAGGAAGCCAGATGCTATGTTCTGAAGGTTTGTGTCCCCTCTCCCAAATTTGTACATTGAAATCCTAACCTTCAAGGTGATAGTATTAGAAAGTGGGGGCTTTGGAAGGGGATTAGACCATGGGGCTGGAGCCCTCATGAATGGCATTATTACCCTTAGAAGAGAGGCCAAAGAAAGACTCCTTGCAGAGTTTGAAGACGAACAAATGGTGCTGTCTATGGTCTGGGAAGTGGGTCCTCACCAGACACTACATCTGCTGGTGCTTTGATCTCAAGACTTCAGAACAGTGGTAAATTTCTATTGCTTATAATCCATCCAATGTATGAGATTTTATTATAGAAGTCCAAACAGACTAGGACTTCAGAGAACAAACATTAAGGCCACTAATTGGAAAGAGAATTTGGAGACTAGCCTGGTTTCTTCTTGTCTACACCCCAACACTGAAGAAGCAGAGGTGAACAGGTGTAACAAATAAAGCTGCTAGCAGTGGCTGGAGATTCAAGGGAGTGTTCCAGGAAGATAGTAGCCCCTTGAAGAGACAATGCACACTAAGAAGTGGAGGTCAAGGTGCCAACATAGACCCCAACAGGAAGCATGGTCTTCCCAAATCTGCAGAATGGTAAGAAATAAGATCCTTTAATCAATCACATCTCTACCCACAGACAAATGGACATGGATTATAAAATTAAAAGAAAACTACAACAATCAAATCTTACTAATTACTTGAACAAATGCAGCATCCTGGTAGAAACATCAGCTTTTACTAATAGTTACCTAACACAGGACTAGTCAAGAACAATTCCAAAGCATTTAAAAAATTTAAGAAAATGTTTTTAGATACATTGGGCAGATTTTACTTCTTAGAAAGAAAAGTGTTATAAAATGGAAACAAACATGTTGAAACTGTAAACATTAATGGCAACAAGTTAAGAATGAGAGCAACATACTCTAGAGGATGCAGAATGCAGAATGGAGAGACCTAGTCTATGTACAAGGGAAGTTGACTGAATTATCCATGAAAAGTTCATTCTATACTTCAAATGTGGGAGGATAAAGTGATATCTTAAGTATTCTGAGGAAAATTTAATTGGGAACCCAACCTTCTGTCCAGACACAGTAGAATTTGTAGAAAAACGCAAATAAAATATTTTTGAATATTTAAAGTCAGAAATACTTGCCAACTAGAGGATCTCTCTTGAAAAATTATTTATGGGTAAATAGTTTTAAGAAAATTTTAGGCTAAATAAATAGTACTACTTACAATGGCAGTAAAACTTAAGTATATGTTGAAGTAAACGTTGCCATAATTTAAAAAATATAAATATAAAATCTCAGGAAATCTCCTAATGGGATATGGTGGGAATAGAAAATGCAGAGAAGGTGAAAATATGTTAAGGTCATTTTCTTATTCAGAAAAAAGATATAGATATTGTTTAACTCCAAAATTTACTTGAAAAAATACTTTTAAATAAAAGATGAAATGAAACAAGGAAAATTTGTTCAAATCAACAAGAGAAAACAAATGAGAATAAATAAAATAGAAAGTATATCTGGAAAACCTGAACTAAGATGACAGAGGAATAAGATCAGGTGAACATATGTAATGATAATTATGAATTGTAGATAATCTCAATAGTTGACACCAACAAGCAAACAAACAACCTGAACAATAGACTATTCACAAGGGATGATTTTTAGAGCGAAAGAATTAGGAAGTTTCAGAATATTGAAATAGAAATACCTGGTTGTACGAAGAAAAATAAAACATGTAATATTGATGTCCGATGAAATTCAAAACAAAAACTTTTCCAAGGTGGAGAGATTACATCTGATCAAAATGGCAAAGTCTGTGAAAACTGAAGGAGGGTGTTCATGAGGTCAGTAAATAAGGGTGATGCCATCGGGAGAAAGCTGAATAGACTTATGGAAAGAGGTGTCGAAGATACTGTTCTTATTACGGGAGTGACTGAAAACAAGATGAACCCTGTCCTTCCTTTCTGCATAGTGAAAAGCAAGCAACTTCCAACTTACAATTCTTGGAGAGCAGTGCCTTTTGAAGATAGTCCAATCTCAGGTAAGGCATAGAATGGTGCAAATATACCAAAAACATCGTTTAATGGAAGTGAGTTTGCAGGTTATCTTAGAAGGGATGATTTTGGATGAAACCACTCAATAACGTAGGAAAAAAAGTTGGGTATAGAAGTACAGAGTAGAATGGGGCACCAGTCCTAGAAAGGTTTGCTCTTGGATGTGGGCCATGCTGGCCTTAGAGAAATCATATTTAAGGGTGATGATTTCCCAGAGTTAAAATAAGGCCTTTCCTGTCTCTCCAAGTGACCAGGCAGCAGCCCCTGAGATGGAGGTGAACAGAATGCCTTTGTGGAAAGGCTGTGATGACAAAGTGGTGCCACCTTGGGGAACTGGGTTGGCAATCTGCATCCTTTGGTGGCTGGCACTCTCAAAATGACAGCAAGAGTGGGTTATTGCTCAAACAATGATCTTCACTCGCTAACTCTGCTTTAACAAATATTCTTGATATGTGCCAGTTTGTAGCAGTATCCTTTCTCTGTAGAGCTGCAAGGAAATGTAAGTGAGAAAAACTATGAGATTCCTCTTGTAAACATCAGCCTTTGGTGAAATAAACATAAAAAGGGAGAAATTAGTGCAAAAAGTTAAGGGTAACTTGTTCCTTGTGCACATAGGAGGGGATGTGGTTAAATACATACACCCACATGCACTGAAACATGTTGTTAAACTTTAAAAAATATGCTCACCACATCCTCTGAGAGTGCAGAGGTGGTTAAAAGCAAACATGGTTACATATATGGAGGTGGAAACAGGTGTCTGAGAGATGAGAAATTTCCCCTTAGGCAGCATCGTTATGGTTTCTCATCTAGTATAATAGTTATTAGCAGAAGACCTGGATACAGACTGCAGGGTGAGAATCCTGGCCCTAACATGTATTAGATTTGGGATACTTGTATGCAAAATTAGCATACTGATGGTATCTAATTCATAGGATGTTTGTGAGAATTAGCTCAGGCAATCTAAGGAATGTGCTTCATTGAGCTCAATGAATGAACAATCACCATTATGATGATTAGTCTTTTTTCCCCACTCCTTGCTTATTTGCCAGAAGAGAAGAGAATACACAAATATATACCCAAACTATAAAACCTTGAAAAACAGTGAAATTTTAATAGGAACTCCAATAAAACAAATAACAGGTATGTAGGAGAGCTAATAGGAAGACAGGTAGATATAGATGATATACATACAGACATGTCTGTTAGGCATAGGGGCATTTGTAGTCTCATAGAAAGTTTGTCACCAGAGCACATTTATTTATAAATCCACTTCTTGTCATAGATTAAGTATATATGGATTAGTTTAATATACCCTCTTGTGTGACTGCCTAACAAACATTAATAATAGAGCTTTAAAAACAAATCCTTCTTGAGAATTTTACATTTATTCTGAAAAATTCAACCTTTAAAAAGTCTAGTTTTTTAAAAAAGTGTTTTAAATATTTTGCTTAAAGGTGTACTGAATATTTGGATTCTTTTCTTTACCTCTTCTGGAGGTAAATATAATATGGTTATGTTTCTACCAGAGGTTGTTTTTCTACCAGGCATTAGCATATTTACTTATTTTCTGCGATGACAAATACCAGGTATTTTTCCTTTCTCTCTGTCGCTGTCTCTCTCTTGCCTCATTCCTCTTGCTCTGTTTATCCTTCTTCTCTGTTTATATATACAGAAATGTCTTAAAGATTATTGCATGTTTTTTCAACTAGAGGAAGGGATAAGTATCTTAAGACACTTAAAAGTGTAAAGTACAGATAATGTATTTTGACAGCAACAGCAGAGCCCACTTTCACTATTTTTTAAACTTTATTTCAAGTGTAACAAGCATAGAGAAAAGAGAAAAATCCTAACCAAACAGCTCAATGGATTGGTACAAACTGAACCTACTTATAGCCAAGACCAGGTCATTAAGTAGAACATTTTAGCATTCAGAACTCTCTTGTGTCTCCTCCCCATCACTAACATTTCACTCCCCTAAAATAAAATAACTATTATTAATTCTGAAAAGATAATTTTATCTGTTTATGAATTGATATAAATTGAATAATAAAATTGGAATTATTTTGTTACTGGCAACTTTTATAAAATATTTTGAGATTATTTAATTTGTTTTATGTAGTGATCATTTGTTCTTGCAAATACCCATTAGTAAGTATTCCATTGCATTGTTGATTAACATTTGGATTGTTTCTCATGTTTGACTATTAAGAATAATTCAGCTATGAACATTTTTGTACCTATGTCTTGGTACACATATGCATACATATCTTTTCTGTTGAAAGTATATCTAGGAGTGGAATTGCTAGGGCACATCATATGTTTATGTTGAACTTGAACTTTATGATTGACTGACACACTCACCAATGTGCACAGCCAGGAGAAGTGTAGAAGTTCCTTGTTCCAAAGCTTACCTTGCTCTAGGCATGGTGAATAACCTTTGCCTTTAATCATTCTGGAGCATGGGTAATCATAATCCTGCAGAATGCATTGATCAACTTTGTACTTAATTATTGCAGGGCATTTAGGTAATAATCTTTGGTGCACTGTCTGATTATGTTTCTTGCCTTTATTTCTGTTGGGTTGCCTGTCTTGTATTTATTCTCTGGCAGTATTTGATTATTCTGGATATGAGTCCTTTTTCAGTTATGTGTGCTGCAAATTTATTCTCCTGCTCTGTTGCTTACCTTTCAATCTGTTAAAGGTATTTTGGATGTAGGGCATTCTTATTTTACATAGTTAAATTATCAGTATTTTTATTTGTCATGTTAGTGTTCTTTGTTTCTTAAGAAATCATTCTCAGAAGTCCTAGCTAGAGCATCCAAATTGGAAAAGAAGATGTCAAATTATCCTTAATCTTACATTTGGAAGAACCTAAATACTCTACCAAAAAACTATTAGAACCGATAAACAAATTCAGCAATGTTACAGGATACAAAGTCAGCATGTGAAATTGGTAACATTTCTATATGCCAACAGTAAAAAGTCTAAAAAATGAATCATGAAAGTAATCCCATTTACAGTAGCCATAAATAAAATAAGCACTTAGGAATTAACTGAAGAAGTAAAAGGTCTCTACAGTGAAAACTATAAAACATTGATGAAGAAATAAAGAGGACACTCAAAAATGAACAGACATTTCATGCTCGTGAATTGAAAGAATCAATACTGTTAAAATGTTCATAGTACCCAAAGCAATCTACAGATTCAATGCAATCTCAATCAAAATACAAATGACATTCTTCACAGAAATAGAAAAAATAATCCTAAAATGTATATTGAAGTGCAAAAGACCCAGAGTAGTCAAAGCTTTCCTGAGCAAAAAGAACACAACTGGAGGAATCACATTATGTGTCTTCATATCATACTACACAGCTATAGTAACCAAAAAAGCATGGAGCTGATATTAAAACAGACACGAAGACCAATGGAACAGAATAGAGAACCCAGAAACAAATCCACACCCCTACAGTGAACTCTTTTTCAACAAAGGTGCCAAGAACATACATTGTGGAAAGAACAGTCTCTTCTAAAAAGGTGCTGGGAAAACTGAATATCCATATGCAGAAGAATGAAACTAGATCCCTATCTCTTACCATATACAAAAATCAAATCAAAATGGATTATAAATTTAAATCTATGACCTCAAACTATGAAATTATTACAAGTAAATATTGGGGAAACTCCCCAGGAAATTGGACTGAGCAATGACTTCTTGATTAATACTTCGCAAACACAGGCAACCAAAGCAAAATGGACAAATGGGATTGCATCAAGTTAGAAAGCTTCTGTATAGCAAAGAAAACAATCAACTAAGTTCCCAGAATGAGAGAAGATATTTTCAAACCATCCATCTGAAAGGGATTAGTAATCAGAATATATAAGAAGCTGAAGCAACTCAATTGAAACAAATGAAATAATCTGATTTTAAAATGGGCAAAAGATCTGAATAGATATTTCTCAGAAGAAGACATATGAATGGCAAATATGTTATGAAAAGGTGCTCAACATCATCGGTCATCAGGGAAATGCAAATCAAAGCTACAATCAGATATCATCTTACTCCAGTTAAAATGGCTTTTTTCCAAAAGACAGGCAATAACAAATGCTGGTAAGAATATGGAGAAAATGGAACCCTCATACACTGTTGGTAGCAAAGTAAATTACTACAACCACTATGGAGAACAGTTTGGAGGGTCCTCAAAAAGCTAAAATTAGTACTAACACATGATCCAGCAATCCCACTTCTAGGTATATGCCCAAAATCAGTATATCAAAGAGAGATCTTCACTCCTATGTTTGTTGCAGCACTATTCACAATAGCCACGATTCAGAAACAACTTAAGTGTCCATCAACAGGTCAACTGATTAATGGTGCTGTTCAGTTCAACTATATCCTTACTGGTTTTCTATCTGCTGGATCTTTCAATTACTGTTGGAGGGATGTTTAAGTCTCCAAGTGTAATAGTGCATTTGTCTATTTATCTTTGAATTTCTATCCATTTTTGTCTCACTTATTTTGACATCCTTTTATTAAGTGCATATACATTAAAAATAGTCATATCTTCCTAAAGAACTGATCTCTTTACATTCTGTAATTTTCCTCTTTATCTTTGTTAATTCTTCTTGTTTTAAAGTCCGCTTTGCATAAAATTAATACAGCTACCCCAACTTGCTTTTGATAAGTGTTAGCATGGTAGATCTTTCTTCATCAATTTACTTTTAATCTGTTTGCTTCTTTATATTTTAAAAAATGTAGACAAGATAGGGCTGGGTCTTGATTTTATATACAGCCTGACAATCTCCATCTTTTAATTGTTGTACTTAGACCATTAATTTAACATTATTATTTATATTTTTGAATTAATATCTCCATCTTTATAACTGTTTTGTATTCATTGAGCTTATTATTTTTCTTTTATGCCTTCACCTTTTAAAAAATATTTTCTAGTTTTAATTGGTCAATTGATGGTTTTATTTTATCTCCCCTCTTAGCAATATTATTTATAATTCTTCTAAGAAGTTTTTATAGAGTTGTCCTAGTGTTTGTAATACACATTTACAACTAATCTAAGTCCACTTTAAATAACACATACCACCTCATGGGTAGCACAGATAACTTTTAACAAAACATCCCAATTTTCTCCATTGGGTCTCTCATAACATTCACTTATTTATCTCTAGGTCAGTTAAGAATAAGAAAAATAAAGTATTTTTTTACCTAATTTATTTCTCCTTTGATATTCTCCCTTCAGTTTTTAAAGCTTTATTCAATTATAACAGATATACAAAAACTTCACATACTTAATGCATACATGTGATGAGTGTGAATAAAGGTATATACCTAATATACCATCACTACCATCAAGGCACTAAACATATCCTTCACCTTTAAAACATTTTCTTGTGTTCCTTTGTGTGTGTGCATGTTGTTAGTGATGGTGGGAACACTTAACAGGAGATCTATTCTTTTAATATCTTTGAAAATACACACTACCATGTTGTTAACTATAGGTACTATGTTGTAAAGCAGATCTATAAAACTACTTTATCTTGCATATATTGAAACTTTATAACCACTGAACAAAAATTCCCCTTCCTCCCTCCTCTCTACTCCTGGCAACTACAGTTCAATTCTCTGCTTCTATGAATTTGACTGCTTGAAATGCCTCATATAAGTAGATTCATACTGTATTTGTCCTTCTGGAATTGCTTATTTGACTTAGCATAACTTCCTCTAGGTTCATCCATGTTGTTGCTAATGTCAGGATTTCCTTTTTTTAAAGAGTGAATAGTATTCTATTGTATGTAAATACCTTGTTTTCTTTATTCAGTTATCTATTGATGGACATTTATCCAGAGAAGACATAAATGGTCACCAGGTGTATGAAAAGACGCTCCATATCACTAGTCATTAGGGAAATGCAGATCAAAACCACAATAAGATACCACCTCATATCTGTTAAGATGGGTATTATAAAAATAAAACTCACAAACACAGCAAGTACTGGTGAGGATGTGGAGAAACTGGAACTCTCATACAGTGTTGAAGGGAGTGTGAATTGGTGCAGCCACTATGAAAAACAAGATGGAGATTCCACAAAATATTAAAATTAGAACTGCCAGGTGATCCAACCATCTTATTTCTGCATATTTATTCCACGTAACTGAAATCAGGATTTTAAGGAGACGTCTGCTCCCCCATATTCGTTAAAGTACCTTTTACAATAGCCAAGATACGTTCTTCTTTGCTTTATGTAGATTTAAGTTTCTGACACGTACCATTTTACTCCTCTCTGAAGAACTTCTTTTACCATTTCTTGTTGGGCAGGGATACTGGTGACAAATTTCCACAATTTTCATTAGGTTGATAATGGACCAGGCAGAATATAATCGGAAAAATAGCAACAACTTTATTTATTTGAAATAAGATCATTTAAAGCAAGAATTTGTAAAATATGTGATGGAAAACTGAGAAGCCAAATGAGGGCAAATGTTGCCACCAGAGAGAAAGCAGTGAGCCTCTGGGACCGCTGGACTAGAGGGGCAAAAGCTGAGGCTGGTCTTTGGAACTCAGAGGACTGTTAAACAGGGTGCGAATCCAAGGAGCATATGCTCCTCCTGACAGAGACACGGTTTGGATAAAGAGGGAGGGGAAGAGACACGCTAGTTTCTCCCTCCACCTACTCTCCATTTTTTCTATTGGACAATTACAAAAGTCCCTGGCAAAAGACCAGGGAAACATGCCCTTTCAGCAGCCAGGCGTCTGTTTTACAGAGCAGCGTGGGCAAAAACTGAGGAATCAATCTAAGGGCAAATGGCCTAGAGACACTTAAATATTATATTTGTTTATATTTAAGATACATTTACTCCTTCAGAAAAAAATCTTTGAACACAATACTATGCCAGATGCAATTAAGGTAGGTGCTGGGGAATAAAAGGACTAGGAAAATTATGCAAATGTTTGTAAGAGTGTTGGATTGTTACAAAAGTGGAGAGTCTGTATTGTGTGGCTCTTTATCAGGGGAATTAATTCTAGAATCTGGTCAGGGAGTTAAAATACTTTGCTCCTTCCCACCCTCCCAAGGAAATGAACTTTATACTTCCATGTGTAGGTTAGTTAGGGGAAAATGAGGAAAATTGGGTGAGGAAGAAAGTCCTAAGCAGAAGGAAAACCACATGTGAATGAAAGAAGGTCAGACAGTATAATCCATTAGGAGGTTAAAGTAATAAAATTATGGCTTAAGTCTCTTAAGAGAATGGGAGAGAATTTCCTAGAACATCAGTGGTATGCAGAGGCCAGGTTGTGCAACTCTTTGAAAGCTTTGTCAAAGGTTTGAATATTCTCAGATGAATAAAGCAAGGAAGAAAATAAAGTTATGACTGGATATAGATTTTTAAGGGATTTCTCTTACTGCAGGTGGTAAACTGACCACAAGGCTTCTGAAAGCAATACAGAAAACATGGCAGTGGTTTGTGAAAGAGGGAGTGGTTCGTGAGAGAGGCAGTGGCTCAGAAGAGATGATGGGAGCCTGGACTTTGGAGACTGATGTAAGAAAAACAGTCTGAATGAATTCCAGAAATATTTATTCAGAAAAATAAAAAAGAGTTAGTGATGTCTGCTTATTCAATTATTTAGCTATTCAACAATATTTGTTGAACAATGACTACGTGAAGTGTACAAGATAAGCTGAAGTGAATGAGATAAGCAGGAGTTTATAGAGTAGTTTAGATATGTTAAAATGTTACTATTATATATAATTATAAATATATATCGTTATTTTTGTGTTGCTATAAAGGCCAAATACGTATTTTTTGGAAAGTGTTTCAATACAGAATAGTAAAAGAGAGGAGATTAAGATTGTCATGTAACATCAATTAGAATTCAAATAGATGCACAGATTTCTGGAAGAATTGCATTAAAATGATCATCAAAACTGTGAAAGTGGATAAAATGCCTCTGGAGAGAAAGGATTCCCGAGTGAGAGAAGAGGAGGCCGTAAAAAGATGAAAGTGAAAGAGGATAAATGGTTCCTCTCCTCCCCCAATGTTCCCACGCCTCACTAGCAAATCAAGACAAGATTTCAGAGAAATCTTTTCATTTTCCTGTCAATGTAAGAAATTTAGATCCTCATTTGCTATAATAATTTCTTCAATAACAAAAGAATGCTAGGACCATGGTCCAAAGGGTGGAGAGAACCAGTACATGATCAAGGGTGCCGCCGAAAGTAGACCTAGTTCAGAGTGCAAATGCCTTATTATGGATTTCAGCCAGGTCTCTCTTGCTCTGGTGATTTCCACACCACCTTTTCTCTGCCCTAATCTTCCTGAATTGTCCCAAATTTGCTTTTTATGGTTCTGTGTTCACTCATGGAAATCTAACGATACATGTATCCTAAAAATTGTGTTGAAATGCTCTAATGTAACAAATATGATTCCTGGACCAGGAATCATAAGTTATTTTCCTTTACTTTGATGGCACTGAAAATGTTGCATTAGCCTCACTATATTAAAAAAAAAAGTTACTCAAAACATCAATATTGCTACAGAGCCTGGAGATGCACTGTTTGCCAAATATTAAATATCATCATGCATACACTGCTATGAAGGTAGAAAATATTTATTTAAAGGAAAATGTTTTACATCTCCAATAAGAGAAATACAAAATATTGTGGAAAATTCAATATTTTTTTTTCTCAGCTGAAGCCATTGGGGGATTGTGGAAAGAAGACAGGTTCAACTCCCTGCCTGGCAGCCCCCACTGATTGTGTGAACTATTGCAAGTTGCCGAACTTGTTTAACCTAAAGTAATGTCGATAAGAATCCACTTTCCTCATTTAAAGTAGATGAGATCAGCTTTTTCAACTATGTAACCCATAGCAGTGCTATGAGGATGAGGAAGATGAGACATAATATACTTAAACAATGATGGTGATTATTATTGTATGAATAGGAACTGTTATTTCAGGCATGGTTATTTTTAATATAAAATGATATTACAACTATAAAACCCAGTTGGCCAATGTTTTGTGAAATTTTCTATGCCATTAACAGTCTCTTGACATATCAAGATTCGTTCATTTAAAAAGTCACATATTTGTGAGAGTATTAATCGAGGATATTGATTTAGCATAAGGTTGTGGAAAGAAAGAAAAATATAGCTGGTTTATAAAAAGATACATTTGAACATTCTGCCATTGCCTTTAACTAGTGAGCTTACCTCATTTAGACAATATAAGAATATGATACAACTTTAAGCAATTACTATCAATGACTATCATATATTAAATATACAATTAGTAAAGAAATTTTACAATCAGAAACAACTGTATTTCTTTAATACCTAAAATAGACCTTATGAAGACTTTTTAGTTTCAGATGGCATGAATAAGAGCTATTTAAGGCTGGACTTTTATATGTAATAGGAAAGATGATGCTAGTTAGCTATAGACTTATTTTCTGTTAAAACATGATCACAGCAACAAAGCCCCTAGACTTCCAAAAATACACCTAGTGATATATCTAAAGGCTGCAATAAAAAATAAAATTCATGTTTGAAAACATAAAATCAGACTTTTCATCTGTAAATATTAAGCAAAAAAGTGATGAGTTATACAATTAAAACATTGCCTTCAATATTATAAAAAGTAAAGCATGAATGGAATAATCTAGGATTCCTCATTCCAAGTTGTTGATTAAAATGTAATTCCATGTCCAGTAGTAAATCCGCTGTAGAAATAAATGCGTCTTCAATAAATTCCTGCTGGACAATTCCAAATTTGATTGCTAAGAAATGACACATTTACAATGTGATTGCCACATATTATGGCAGATAAGTGAAAAATTTATCATAAATATGAAGTACTTAGAGCTACAAATATATTTTTATGTCTTAGACATAAGGTAATAATAGATAATTATATTCATGCAAGTGATATTTTCTTTTTCTCTACTCTGATTAGTAAATTCCTCTAATAATTCTGAGTTTACCCAGTGTCCTGTTAGCTGGATGGATTTGAATGATGCATTCTGGTAGGTCTTCTAGGTATTCCCAATAGGCTCAAATCAATCTGTTTCTGCACAAGAAATGCTTGCCTAACTTTCATGTGGTAGATAATTATGGGCTTCAGAATAAAGACAACAATTCTTAAAACTTAGCTGTGTTACTTACTAGCTTTTCCAAGTTCATACAATGTGTCACTCGTAAGCCACCATTTTTAAATATAAAATGATTTGATAGTAATTTTATCTCTGAAGATTAACTAAGATAGTATATGTGAATAGTCCTACAAAATATAAACTGTATTTTCTTCCTTCTTTGTTAAAAATTTGCATCAGACATTGTGTGAAGCTCTGAGAATTCAAATGCACAACTCTAATACTTTTTTTCCCAATATTTTATTATGAATATTTTCAAATATACAGAAATAGTTGGGCAAGGAGCACCATATACTCCCTATCTAGATTCTACAATAAACATTTTGCTTTGGTTGCATTACTTATCTATACATCTGTCCATTTCTCAATCTATCTTATTTTGTATTCATTTCCAAATAAATTTTAGAAAATATGTTTCACCCCTAAACTCTTGAGCATGTATAACATTACCTAGAGTTCAAATACCTATTTACTATTTTTCTAAAATTTACCTCAATGAAATGTACACATTTTAAATATATTTTTTGATAATTTTTGACAAATGTCTTTCTAAACCCCAAATCCTATTAAGGTATAGAATATTACTGTCACCCCAGGAGGCTTTCAGGCTTTCATGTAACCCTTCCCAGTCAATCTACGGCCACATCCCTCCTACAGGCAAACACTGTTCTGCCTTTCTTTCACTATAGATTAAATTGCACAACTCTAATTCTCATGAAGCTCACATCCTATGTACATAAAGAACAGGTACATACCTGCTGTGTTATACGGATACCACATTATTAATCCATGTCATCTGTTGATGGACACTTAGATTGCCTCCATACCTTGGTGACTGTGAAAAATACTCAGTGGAATATTATTTAGCCTTAAAAAAGAAGGAGAACCCAAGTCCCTGCTAGTTCATTCCCCTCGCCCCTCTCTCCATTGAGTTTTGTGTTCCTCAGAGCTCACCTTAGTCTGTGGCTCATCCCTCTCTTCACTTTCAGAGGACTTTACATTCCAAGGCTTTAATTATCCAGAAAATATTTAATAGATCTTAATTTCTATTTATACTGCAGACTTTTATTCCAAAATCTGGAGTTATATAGCTAATGCCCTATTTGACATTTGGATTTAAGGAGATCACAGGTATCACGACTAACATTTCTGATAAGAGCCTTGATATTTCCTCCCAAATCAGGTTTTCCCTCATTCGTCACCATTTCAGTAAACGGCACCACCATCTACCGTGTGGCTTGATCTAGAAACTTGACCCTTCCTCATTTCTTCTCTTTCTATTAGCATCCACATTACAACCACCAAGCAGATCAGATAACCTTGTCTCGAAATTATACCTGGAATATTTTCATTTATTACCTTCTCTGCTGCTACAACTTAATCCAAATTAGTGTCATATCTTGCTTTCAGTATTTATGCAACTTTCTGTGTTTATTCTTTTATTGTTCCTCACAACTCCCAAATCCTCAAAATAACAAGAGTCATCTCTTGAAAATGTAAGCTATTCATATGGCTTTCCAATGAATTTAGAATAAAATGCAAAATATATCACTTGGCATGCACAAATGTGTATACTCCATTCCTATTTTCCTCCGCAACTTTATTTTTCACCGCCTATTCATGTAATGAGTATTCTTTAGTTACCTAGGTCTTAACACGCAAGCTTGTTCCAACTTTAGGACATTGGCCCTCTGGCCTCTACCTTTTCAAGTGTATGGCTCTTTCTCATTCATTCGGTTTTACAAACACTTCCTTAGGGAGACCTTCTAGAAATATCTGAGGTAGCTCTCAGTGCATGATTGGTAGATGAGGGTTCAGCATTCCTTTCAACTTTCTTCTAATGTCCATTTAAATAAGGCAGAGGGTCGGGTGTGGTAGCTCATGCCTGTAATCCCAGCACTCTGGGAGGCCGAGGTGGGTGGATCACCTGAGGTCACGAGTTTGAGATCAGCCTGGCCAACATGGTGAAACCCCATTTCTACTAAAAATACAAAATTAACCAGGTGTGGTGGCACATGCCTGTAGTCCCAGCTACTTGGGAGGCTGAGACAAGAGAATCGCTTGAACCTGGGAGATGGAGGTTGCATTGAGCAAAGATAGCAACACTGCACTCCAGCCTGGGCAAGACAGAGAGAGACTTCATCTCAAAAAAGAAAAAAAAAAAAAAAAAGGCAGAGAAAAGAAAGCCAAAAATAGCGTTTTAGAAACTCTCTGTATCTAGGTGTGGCCATGAGATAAATCTTAGCTAATGGGATCAAAGTGGGAGGAGTGTTTGCAACTTTCGGGTAGTATATATAAAAGAGAAAAGGTGCAGGCTAGTATTAGCAGGTTCTGGCGTACCATTTTAGAAAATGTGGATGAGTAAATCCCTTAGGGATGATGGAGCTGTTTACTGCTGTTTTGTGAAACACACACACACACACACACACACATTCTTATATATATATATACACACATATATTCACACACACACACACGTTCTTAATAAAACCAGTGTTATCTAGGGATCTCTAGAGTAGCATTTGATCCTACACCTTACTAATATAGCCCTGCCATTCTTTTCTGTCTCTGAGCTCTGTTTACTTCCCTCCCATTTTACAATTATTAGCTTTTTTGCTTGTCAAATATATATTATCACTGCTAGACAAGATAAAGACAGGAACTTTTGTTGCTATACTGATTACTGAATATCCAATGTCTATTCCAATAATTAGTTAACAATAGACCTGCAATACATATTTGTGAATGTATGGATGAATGGGAATGGAAGAATAATTTAATTGGGTAAGTACTTTGAAGCTATTATTTATACAATTCCTTCAGCTTAAAACTCCAGAAATCACCAAAGGAGAGTTAATTCTGATGAAATTGACTGGGCCAGGGTGTCTGCAGCTGAACATTAGGAGGTCCCCAAATAATTCCAAAACGCAACCAAAGTCGAAAATGTCTATCATGGAAGATTCCCAGAAAAACACACTTCTTCATCAAAACTGATAAAACATTGACTACTGAGGTATTTGGGGATTTAGCATGCAACCATCTATCATATTTTGACAAGATAATTGATGCTATGCATGGGCAGTAGAACCATGTAGAAAGAAGTTTTGAATGTCGAATAGTTATCAAAGCAATAAGAATGTTGGGCAAAATTTAAAACACCACAAGTAAAAATTTATATTTAGTATATACATATTTTAGTTATATGTTAACATATACTAAGCCATTTATTCAAATATAATCATGGGATGGTTGAAATCATTCAATAGAAATGTATAATCTTAAATTCACTGAGATTACTCAATTTCTTTAATTTATGTAAAATCATGTGAAGTACATGGGCCTTGGAATTCTAATGATAAACCAAATCCAGACATTGCTTTTGGGGATTTCAAGGATAAAGTACATAAACATAATGTATGAGAATGCGTTGGCCCGTCAACAAAATATCCTTCTATTTTTACATAGCAAGAAAAAAATCATCAATTCTCCAGTTGAATGGAAAAGTGAAATATATGTAACTCCACATATATGTAGCACAGTTGCATACAATTGTATACATATAATTATTGTATTAACAAAGATACATAAAATTATTGACCATATAATAATAATTATATATAATTACATACATATATATATATATATATATATATATATATATATATATATATAAAATAACCATGCCCACTTAACATTTTTATCCAACTATGTGAAAACATTTACTATGTTGAGTTGTAGGGTGACAAGTCCAGGGTAATGCGTGGATCTGTAGTATCAAGATTAAATTTAATAAGTACTCTGCATGCAACCAAATAAACAAATGAAAACAAGTAGATAGAAGCTGACTGTGTGCCTTGATATCATGGATCCAGACTATAGGATATAGATATAACATCAACTTTTGGTAAACCTTTCATTTTCAACACTTTGCAGATGAATTATCATATACATTTTGAAAGAAATCCCAATGGCACTCCTTAAAATATTTCTGGGTTTTCAAAAGTGAGGCTTTTGCAAAGATTCTCACCTCTCAATATGTCTAATTACTCTCTTTGTGCATTGAGACCTACCAGGCTCTTTCAAGATTCAAAGCTAAAGTTAGAAACTCAATTTCAAATGATATCAAAGCCTGTTCTGATCAGCACTTTGGTTTTTAATATACAATGAAATGCTTGAAAATCTAGGCAAATTATCATGTTAAATCATAGGCACCTGTCAATGTTTCAGCCTTTTAAACACATTTTATTGCAAGTTATTGAGATTATAGCAGTTAACTGTGAATTTTCAGTTTTACATTTGTATGAAAATTAGAAACAAATTAAATACTAGAGACAAAATGTGTTGGTTTGTTTTTATGAGATATAAGTATTATTTGGTATCTTATACCCAGTAGTGTATCTGCATTTCATCACTTAAAGCATTTTTACTTTGATTCGTCTGAAACACAAACACAAACACACTCACACACACAGTGAAACTATGAATGGTGATATGACTGATTAAAAAAATCTCTGATTATGCCTTGGAATCAAATCTGTCATTTACTCAAAAGAATCTTGTTCTTGTACATAATTGCATTCATTTATGACTAGCAGAACGCCATTAACATATTTGTAGTTTCTTTTAATTTCAGAAAAAAATATTGCATGGGACATACTTTTACTAAAATTTCTTCTTTGCTAATCTGAAGTTCTAATTTAACAAGAATCCTGTATGTTATTTGCTAAATCTGACAAACCTACTAATGGTAGAGAAACTTTGGAAGCCACTAAGATATTCATCGATGGAATATTTTAATACAGCAAACACATATATAGAACTTAAAACATGTCACACACCATTCCAATCACTTTGCACATTTCTCTAGTAAATTTCTTGCATCTTGAATCCTATTTTGGTGTGTGCTTCTCAGAAGATCCGAACTAACACAGAAAATCTCTTTGTCCAGCTTGTCTAGAATGTTGCTCGTAATGTTAGATATCCTTCTTATGCTATGAATTAATTACAGCTCTATAACCATGCCTTGAAAACTCTGGACAATATTGGAGGTTAGTGGTGTGTGTTATCCTTTTCCCCTCTCCTAATGATTTCTCCACCTGGGAAACAGACTGGAATTAGCAAAGCACATTTCCACCTGACTTGGGTATTATACTAGTGATTTTTGCCTTATGTATCATATGCCTCGATATTTATTGTCATGAGATTTTATGCGTTTCGTCACTACCAATCATCCCAGATGTAAAATAAGAGTGTGCCAGAACACCTGGCAAAGTATAACAGCGATGTTTCCTTAACTCTGCTGGGGTATCCATAAACTTCAAACACTAGGGGGCAGTAAGGCAGTGTTATTCATTTCTACAGACTTGAAACAACTCTGGAAGAGATTTCCCAAGCAGATGGTCAAGAGAGCTATTTTGATGAGGTTTAATTTAATTATTATTTGACGCTATTTCATGTTGAAAACTACAAAAAATTTTTTACAAGCACCTTTCTAAATGGTTCTATCATTTGAAATTCTGTAATTTCATTTGTTATTAAAAAATAATGTATTGATTAATTTGAAGACGTGAGGAGGAATTCTTTAATTGTCAAAGAAAAAAGTACTTGTTTGTTTTCAAAAAATCATCTTTTAAATGTCATGTAGAGTTATTCCAATAACATAGCATTCTGGAAAAGCAAACTAATTGGTACAGAGAACAGATTTGGTGCCCAGAGGATGAAAGTGGAAGGAAAGAAATTCTGGAGATAACGAAACGTCTGTATTCTAATTGTGGTGGTGAGTATACAACTATAGTTTTGTCTAAACCTACAGAATGTACACTAGAAAGTGTAATTTTACTGTATACATGTAAAAATAAATTAATAGATGCATATATGTTGTTTGTTGCCCAACAATTGTATATTTTGATATTTATTGAAATATTGCTACTAGATCATGGAAGAATTTACTAGCAATTAAAGCACAGTTAGCCTTGCATATATCAAACAAGGGAATTTCATATCCAAGAAAGAAGATATAACAGTGCAATATAAACAGTCTATGAAATAATTAAATCATCATTTGTATAAGATGAGTTTATTTATAAAATAAAAGAAAGAAAACTTGAAAATAATTATACGAAAATCCTGGAAATGACAGTATAATATTTGAAGTAAGAAATAACTTTTCCTAACTGATTGCTGTGTGTTGAAATATTACTTCTAAGTTACTAAAGATTCTTTTAAATTGAATCCCACTTTCTAGCCCAAACAAAATATAACAATTACTGAACAAAAACAAAAACAAAACAAAAATCAGCTTGGTAAGCTTGTGGACTTGGTCAGAGTTCACTGCAAATCTAATTCATAGGGATTACACCATAAGACAGACAAGTGCAATTACCATGGATGCTCTTGCTGAAAGTATAAAGCATCTAAAAGAATCCACAGCTATGACATATAGAATGCAACAGCCTAGGATATTTCATGCCTCAAAAATAAGATGAAATAATTATGAAAAACATTGAAATAGGTCTAAACATTATTTGTATAGGAAACTATTATTAAAAGGAAATTGAAAAGTAGTCATACAGTAATCCCTAGATGTGAGAATTTAATATTTGAAATAAATATGTTATATGAATCAACTAATAAACACTGTTAAATAGACACTCAGTGAATTGGAAAACTGATGTGAAGAAATCACACAATAAAACACTGAAATATAAAAAGAAAACATTAGAGATATTAGGTAAGTTGTAAGAGATATGAAAAGAAAATGGACGCATGAGGGGTGCCTGTCCATATGGATAAGACAGGGCTATAGATGCCCTCATCTTGCCACAGCTCTTCTAGGCCTCTTTAGGGTTAAGGCCTAGGGTTAAGAATTTCTGGTCAAACCGGTTGTCTAGCTTCACGTCCTGTTTCTATGGATTGTTTGTAACCAGCTTTTGCTGCAACTGTTTCTGCTGATTAATATCTTGCTAATCATAGGTTATGGAAAGACGGTGTTTCTGTTTTAAAGCTCTGTTAGAAATTACTGATGCACACACTATATTGTAAATTCTTACCTCTGTATACCGTACTTCTGCATACAGATGTTATGTTAAAGAATTACTTCATCCCCATGTGACCATCACACCTCATAATCAAATGACCCTAAATCCCTCACTAATCTACCCTCGCCCTCACTAAACTTAATAATAAATGCTGGTATATCCAGTGCATCGTTGGCACTGTGGGACCAGAAGGCAGTGACCCCCCTGGACCCAGCTTTCACTATCTTGTGTGTGTCTATTATTTCTTGACCTGCTGATCCGCCTGGGAACAAAGAGAGACCCCCACTGCATTGTGGGCTGCTGGCCAGATCCCACAATACTATTCTACTGTTTAGTTTTATGAGATAAACTTTTTTAGATTTCATGTATGAGTGAGGTAATGCAGTATTTGTCCTTCTGTGCTTGGCTTATTTCACTTAACATAATGTCCTCCAGACTCATCTAACCTGTAAAAAGTGACAAGATTTCATTCTTTTTTAAAGCTGAACAGTATTTCATTGTGTAAATATACCACATTTTCTTTATTCATTCATCCATTCATGGACACTTAGGTTAATTCCCTATCTTGGGTATTTTGAATAGTGTTGCAACAACACGAGAGTGTACACATCTCTTTTAAAAACTGATATCAGTTCCTTTGGATATATACCCAGTAGTGGGATTACTGGATGTTACGGTAGTCATATTTTTACTTTCTGAGAAACATCTATACTGTTTTCCATAATGGCTACACAAGTTTGCATTCCCATCAATAGTGGGTAGGTTTCCTTTAATTCATATCTTCGCCAGCATTTGTTACCATTTTTCTTTTTGACAATAGCTTTTATACGTGGGATGAGATGATATTTAACTGATGTTTTGATTTATATTTTCCTAATGATTAGTGATACTGAGCATTTTTTTCATATACCTCTTGGCCAGTTGTATGTCTTCTTCTGAGAAATGTCTATTCAGATCATTTACCCATTTGTAAATTAGATTATATTTTTTATATTGAGTTGTTTGAGTTCCTTACATATTCTGAATATTATCCCCTTGTCAGCTGTGTAGTTTGCAATTTTTTTTTTTTTATTCTGTAGGTCGTCTCTTCACTCTGTTGCTTGGTTCTTTGGCTGTGCAGTAACATTTCTGTTTAATGTATTTTCATTTGTCTATTTATTATTTTGTTTCCTGGGCTTTTGAGTTCTTATTAAAAAAATTCTTTGCCAAGACCAATGCCATGAAGCCTTTCCTCTAGGTTTCTAGGTTTTCTTCTGGTAGTTTTATAGTTTGGAGTCTTACATTTAGGAATTTAATTAATTTTAAGTTAGTTTTTGTCACTGGTGAGAGAGAATGGTCTAGTTCCACTCTTTTTTATGTGGATATCCAGTTTCCCCCAGAACCACTTATTGAAAAGACTAACATTTCCCTATGTGTGTTCTTGGTGCCTTTTTTGAAATGCTGTTGTCTGTGAATGTGTGGATTTATTTCTGGATTCTCTATTCTGTTCCATTAGTCTGTGTGTCTGTTTTTATGCCAATACCATGAAGTTTTAGTTGAAATAGTTTTGTAGTATATTTTGAAGTCAGGTAGTTTGATGCCTCCAACTTTGTGCTTTTTGATCAGGATGGCTTTGGTTATGTGTGGGACTTTCGTTATTCCATGCAAATTTTAAGATTTTTTTTCTGTATATATAAAAATAAAAATATATAAAAATTAGCTTTGGTAATTTGATAGGGTTTGCATTGAATCTGTAGGTAACTTTAGATCACATGGACATTTTAACAATATTAATTCTTCCAATGCATAAACACGAAATATGTTAATATTTATTTGTGTTTTCTTCAATTTGTTTTATCAACATTTTATAGTTTTCATTGTAGAGATGTTCTCATTGGTTAAATTATTCCAGGATATTTTGTATTTTTGTAACTATTATAAATGGGGTTGCTTTCTTGATTTCTTATTCAGGTAGTTCATGTTGGCATATAGAAATGCTAATAATTTCCGTATATTGATTTTGTATCCTGTGAGTTTATTGACTTTATTTATTAATTCTAACATTGTTTTGGTGGTGTCATTAGGCTTTTCTTTATATTCAATCATGCTCTCTGCAAATAGAGACAATTTTACCTCCTCCTTTCCAATATAAATATCCCTAATTTATTTCTCTTACCTAATTGCTCTGGCTAGGACTTCCAGTAGTATGTAGAATAGTAGCAGTGGACATCCTTGTCTTGTTTCAGGATTTAGAAGAAAAGTTTTCACCTGTTTCCCATTCAGTATGATGTTAACTGTGGGTTTGCCATATATGGCCTTTGTTGTGTTGAGGTAAATTCCTTCTATATCTAATTTGTTGAAAGTTTTTCTAATAAAAGGATGTTAAATTTTATCAAACACTATTCCTACATCTATTGAAATTATAATATGGGTTTCTTCTTCATTCTGTTGATGAAATGTATCTCATTTATTGATTTGCATATGTTGAAGTATCTTCGGAATGCTGGAATAAGTCCCACTTGATTATGGTTAAATAATATTGTTGATGTGCTGTTTTATTTGCTTTGCTGTATGTTTTGGTGTCAGGATAATGCACATCTTGAAGAATGAGCTTGAAAGAATTTTCTCCCATTTCATTTTTTTGGAATAGTTTGAGAAGAATTGACACTGGTTCTTCTTTAAATGTTTGGTAGAATTCAGCAGTGAAGACATCAGGTCTTGGGCGTTTCTTTGATGGGAGATTTTTAAATTTTTAACTCAATTCTATTATGTGATATTGGTCTTTCCAGGTTTTCTACTTCTCTGATATTCAATACGTGTCCAGGAATTTATCCATTTTTCTAGGTAATCTGGTTTGTTGGGTTATAGTTGCTCATAATGTTTTCTAATAGCAAAAATATGGAACAGTTTACAAATTTGTATGTTATCCTTGCATAGGGGCCACACTATTCGTCTCTGTATCAGTCCAATTTAATATATGTGCCGCTAAAGGAAGCAAGCATCATACATACATTTTAGATGATAGAAACCTAAAAGAAATGGAAAACTCCAAAATTATCCAAGAAAAAGCTTATTCATTAACTTCAAAGATTAAAAATAAGATCGATTGCTGACTTCTCAAAAATGATTAAAGCCAGGACAAAATACATTTAAAGTGATAAAAGAAAATATTGGCTAACCTAGAATTCTAAACCTTTTTAAAAAGTATAAAAATGAAGGCAAATATTGTGTAAAATAATGGATTACATCCTTTATAAAAGGCAAAGACAGACTGAATACCTAGTTTATCTTAAAAGATTAAAAAATGTGAGAACTGAATGTAATATGAAATCCTGTTCTGGATACTTCACAAAAATAAATGTGAAAATCCAACAAAAAGCTATAGCAGTCATGAATTCATATGTATCTGCAGTTAGAATGCAAAACATATAAAGCAAAATTCAACATATTTCAAGCCACAATAATAGTGCACTATCTCATTTCTTTCAGAAAATTTTGTAACAGTAAATGAAAAACAGACTACATGATATTTTGAATATTATGTTACATTATTTGAATTATTGTAACTGTGTTATTTGAACACAGTTAAAATAAGCAATCTCCATTGCATTTGCTAGAAGGGATTCCTCTGGCTACTATATCCCTCCTTCATATATTTTCATTTTCCGAGGCAGAGAGACATATAAGTTTAAGAGATTGGGAGGGAAAACCGAGCAGCCTTCCTCACCTTTTAAGGATCTATCTGCATTTAGAGATTCTACACTCTGCTCCATTGCCCTCCTTTATGCCATACTGGTTGAGTGAAGCCCTCACAGTAAAGCAGCATTGCCAGTGATTCTACCTGTGTAAGTCTGCCTAATTCAGGAGTCATATACTAGTAAGCCATTGCCAAGGACAACTAAGTCACATTTCTCATGGTCAATTTAACAATTATAAACTAGCTTTTTGTCTCTACTTGCCTGTCTGTAGTGACTACCTCTTAACTGGCTGAAATTATGGTAGTGGGAAAAAGAAGTGCTATTGTGTATGGGATCCTTATGATCCCTTTTCACATTTATAATTATATCATTCTACATAATAATTTAAAATTCATTTTTAAGCAGACAAAACTCATGCGCTATAATAGAAGTATTAAAATTTCAATGAATTTACTTAATATTGAATATGCCATTGGATCAATGAATTTGAAAATACCAATAAAATGATTGCAAAACCATAGTAAAAGAAAAATTTCACTGATGAGTAAATCAAAATTATTTTGAAAAAACTTCCACAAATCTTATGTGTTAAAGAAGAAATTAAAATAGATTATGCAATATTTAAAGCACAATAATAATACTGCAGATTAAAATGTATGAAGATCAAGATACCTGAGTAGAGTTATTCAATGCTTCTCTTTTACTCAAAAAAGGACCAAAAACAGGAAATACATAACTGCACTTCAAGTAGAGTGGCTAAAAGCAGAGTAAATTGCAGAACACAAGAATTCAGCAAGAAAGTGACAAGATTCTCTGGAGTACACTAACTTAGGGTAACAGCATAGAGAGGGAAGTGAAGCACCCAGCCAGGATTGTCCCAGAGCTAGGATGAGCTACCCATTTTGGGAAAAATGTAAGCAAGAGACCCCCAGCAGTCCTGATTACAACTCTGAATGCCTCCAATACTAGCTTCATGAGAGACTCATAGTCCTCATAGGCCAAGCTCAGGATAAGGAGCTGCCTAGAGTTCAGATGGCTGTATTGCTCCAGAGAGGGAACTCATGCTGGGTCTGTCTCACTCCTTAGGATCTAATCTGCTGTGGTACATCATTTTGAAAGCAGAGTCACTGCTGAAGAACATTCTCTCCTAGGGCTTATTAGCCCCTGCATCTCCACATCCCTAGAGTCCTACTGTTTTCTCATTATGCCTACAAAAATGGATGTAATACCATGACTCCAGCTTGAACCAGCAATTGTGACCCTTCCTGAGCCCATGCAGCATCATTTGCCCCAAGGAGAAGTACCATGCCTGCCTACTTACCTGGGGAGCCAACAACCACTAATGGTGTCAACCACAATCCCTCAATTGGTACAGTAGCTAAGCACTGTGTGTGCTCCCTCAGAGACTGAGGAGAGACCCATAGGAGTTAACTGCTGCTGGTAACCCTAACCCTGTGACTGGTAGCACCAAAGCTGCTGAGGGTGGTGTATATGCTCCCCTGGGTCTGATGACAGGCCCACCTGGTGGTTGCTGGTGGCAGTGACCAATCCCTTGCTATTGATAGAGCTGTGGAATGCTACATGTAACCTATTCCCCTAGAAACTAATGACTATCCCTCTTGTTGACTAGTGCTGCTGATGACCCCAACTCAGCAAAGACACACTAATGCCTTCACAAATGCTCACAGTCTAGGCCACTGAGGAACCTGACGACACTGATGACTGGATTACAACCAGTAAAATCACAGAGACCACACTACTGCACCTCCTAAGCACTCTACCCAACTGCAACAATAGTCACATCTATAGAAAAAGGTCTTCACTTATGAAAGCTATTCTGTAAAATTGAAAAGGCAATTGTGTGGCAAGGTGTGTAGATATCAACATAGGACCACAGAAATATAAAAAGCAAGAAGGTATGACACCTCCAAAAGAAAACAGTAACTCTGTAGTAAACAACCCCAAAGGAAAGGAAGTAAATGAAATGCCTGCAAAGGAATTCAAAATAATGATACTAAGGAAACTCAGGAAGATACAAGAGAATAAAGAGAGAAAATCCAACAAAATCAGGATAACAATTTATATTATGAATGATAAATTCAACAAAAAGATAAATATCATAAAAAAGAATCACACAGAAATCTTGGAGCTGAAAATTTAATGAATGAAATAAAAAAGGATCAAAAGGATCAACAATAAAGTAGATCAAGCAGAAGAAAGACATTCTAAACATGAAGACATGTCTTACGAAATGACAAAGTCAGTTTAAACAAAACAAAACTAAACTAAAAAGAAAAGTAAAAAGAAAAAACTAAAAAGAAAAGCTAAACTAAAACTAAAAAGAAAAAATGGTAAAGAAAGTCTATAGGATGTATGGGACACCATTATGATAAGAAATATTCATATTTTGGGTATTCCAGAAAAAGAAGACATGGGAAAAGGCATAGAAAACCTATGTAATAAAATAATAGCTGAAAAATTCCCACATCTTGGGAGAAAGATGGACATTCAGATCAAGGTAGATGAAAGATTTCTAAACAAATTCAACCTAAAGTACCCTCTAAGACACATTATTGTCAAAATGTCAAAAGTCAAAGACAAAGAAAGAATCTTTAAGTAGCAAGAGATAAGCAACAAGAGATACAAGGAAATCCTCATTAGCGTAATATTTCACAGGGAAACACTTGTAGGCCAGGAGAAAATGAAATTATATATTCATAGTACTAAAAGAAAAGCAAAATTCTGCCATTCAAGAATACTAGACCCAGCAAAGGTGTTCTTCAGAAATGAAGAAATGAAGGCTTTCCCAGAAAAGCAAAAACTGAGGGAATTTATTACCACTGGGCTGGCAGAAGAAATGCTTAAAAAGTCTTACATCTGGAAGCAAATGGGCAGTAACTACCATCATAAAAGCACACAAAAGTATAAAATGCACTGATAGAGCAGAAATAGAAATGAGAACGAGATGAGAATCAAACCTTACCATCATAACACAAAATCACAGAACTGCAAAGATGAACAATAAGAAAGGAGAAAAATAACAAAAAATATACAAAAAAATCAGAAAACAATTAACAAAATGACAGGAATAAGTCCACAGCTATTAATAATAGTCTTGAATGTAAGTGGATTAAATTCCCTAAATATAAGCTATAAACCAGTAGAGTGGATTAAAAAAGCAAGACCCAACTCTATGCTGCCTACCAGAAACTCACCCCATCTTTAAAAACATACATAGGCTGAAAGTAATGGGATAAAAAAGATATTTGATATGGTTTGAATTTGTCCTTGCCCAAATCGCATGTCAAATTTTAATCCCCAGTGTTGGAGGAGGGGCCTTATGGGACGTGATTGGGTCATGGGGGCAGATTTTCCCCTTACTGTTCTCATGGTAATGAGTTCTTATGAGACCTGGGTGTTTAAAAGTGTGTAGCACCTCCCCCTTTCTTCTCTTCTTCCTGTTCTGGCCATGTAACATGTGCCTCCTTGCTCTTTGCCTACTGCTATGATTGTAAGTCTCCTGAGGCCTCCCCAACAATGCTCCCTGTACAGCATATGGAACTGTGAGCAAATTAAACCTCTTTTCTTTACAAAGAGTATTTCTTTATAGCAGTGTGACAATAGACAAATGTAATATTTCATGCCAATGGAAAGGCAAAATGAGCAGGAGTAGCTATTAGATAAAATAGGCCTTAAGTCAGAAAGCATTAAAAAAGACAAAGAAGGTCATTAAAGAGATGATTTTAGCAGGAGTACATAATACTTGTAAATATATATGCACCCAGCACTGGAACACACAACAAAAAAGGCAAATATTATTATATCTGAAAAGAGTGATAGATTGTAGCACAGAAATATTTGGGGACTTCAACACTTTATTCATAGCATCAGTCAGTTCATTTAGAAAGAAAGTCAACATGGAAACATCAGTTGAAACTACACTATACTATAGACCAAATGGACCAAACATTTCCTTCAATAGCTGCAGAAAACACATTCTTCCCATCAGCACATGAAACATTCTCCAGGATAGATGATATATTACACCATTACCCAACTTTCAAATAATTTGGAAAATCCGAAATAATATCAAGTACCTTTTCTGCCCAGAATGAAATAAAAGTAGACATTAGTAACAAGGGAAACCTAAGAAAGTGTGTAAATACATAGAAACTAAACAACATGCTCCTGAATGACAAATGGGTCAATAAAAAAATTAAGAAGAAAATTTTTAAAAAATTGAAACACATTAAAATAGAAAGACAACACACAAAATCTTACGGGATATAGAAAAAGCAGTACTAAGAGGGAAATTTATACCAATGAACACATAAAACAGAAAATAGAAAGATTTCAAATAAGATAACAATATGTCTCAATTACCTAGAATGAACTAAATTCAACATCACTAGAAGGAAATAAATAATAAAGATAAGACAGATATCTCCCAAATGGAGACTAGAAAAAATACAAAAGATCAATTAAATGAAAAGTTGGTTCCTTGAAAAGATAAATACAATTGGCAAACCATTATCTAGTGTAATATTTCATTCTTGCATTGGCACAACGACATACCTCAGACTGGGTAATTTATACAGAAAAGAGGTTTAATTGGCTTATAGTTCTGTAGGCTGAGGCCTGATGCTGGTGTCTGCTTGGGTACTCGAGAGGTGCAGGAAACTTACAACGATGGCAGAGGGTAAAAGGGAAGCTGGCACACACATGGTGGCAACAGGAACAAGAAAGAGAGAGTGAGGGGGAAGGTGGCACACACTTTTAAATGGCCAGATCTCATGAGAACTCACTGTCTTGAGGACCGTGCCAACAGGGATATTGCTAAACCATTCATGACAAATCCACCCCCATGATCCAATCACCTTCCAGCAGGCTCCACCTCCAACGCTGGAAATTACAACTGGACAAGAGATTTGGTGGGATCACAGATCCAAATCATATCAGGTAAGATAACTACAAAAAAGAGGAGCCGAATAAACAAAAACAGAAAAAACAGAGACATTACATCTGATAACACAGAAATACAAAGGATCATTGGTAACTATTATGAACAACTATATGCAAACAAATTAGAAAACAAAGAAGAAATAGATAAGTTCCTAGATACATGAAAACTACCAAAATTGAGCTCAGAAGAAATAGAATATCTGAACAGAGCAGTAATGAGTAAAAGATTAAATTGGCAATATAAGGTCTCCCATCAAAAAAAGCCAAGAAATGGATGGGTTCATTGCTGAATTTTACTAAGCTTTTAAATAAGAACTAACATCAATTCTTTTCAAACTATTTCAAAAAGTCAAATGGGAGAAAATTCTAAGTGTATTCTAGGAAGCCAGCATTATTCTGATGACACAACCAGAGAAGCGCACAAGAGAAGAAGACAACTGCAGGCAAAAATTCCTTATGAACACAGATGCAAAAATCCTCCACAAAATACTAGCAAACCAAATCCAACAGCACAATAAAAAATGTATACACTGTGATTAATAGGGACATATCCTAGGGAGCCAAGATGGTTCATAATATGAAAATCAAAAAAATGAGCTACATTACATCAGCAGAATGAAAGACAAAACCATTACAATCATCTTAACAGACACAGAAAAAGTGTTTGATAAAATTTAACATCTTTCTATGATAAACACTCTCAACAAATTAGGTATAGAAGAAATCTTCCTCAACACAGTAAAGGCCATATATGAAAAACTCACAGCTAATATCACACTGAATGTGAACAAGCTGAAAGACTCTAAGAACTGGAATAAGAAGAGGATGCCCATTTTTTACCACTCGTTCCACATAGTACTGGAACTATGTTGCCGGAGCAACTAGGCAAGAGAAAAAAAATAAAGGGCATCCAGATTGGAAAGGAGGAAGTTAAATTGTTCCTGTTTGCAAATGACTTGATTTATTTATAGAAAATCCTAAAGATTCCAGCAGAAAACTCTTACAATTGATAAACAAATTCAGTGAACTGGCAGGATACAAAATCAGCTTACAAAAATACGTAGTATTTCTGTACACGAATAACAAATTATCTGAAAAACAAATCAAAAGAAGCAATCCCATTCACAAGAACTACAAAAAAATCTAACAGTAAATTTAACCAAAGAGGTAAAAGATCACTACCATGAAAACCGCAAAGTAGTGATGAAAAAATAGAATTGGGGAGGACACACATAAATTGGGAAGACATCCTATATTCATAGATTGGAAGAATTAATTTGTTAAAATAAGCATACTACCCAAATTTATCTATTTGAAAGCTACCGCTTTCAAATTACCAATGCCATTTTTGTCACAGAAATAGAAAAAGAATCCTAAAATTTTTATGGAACCACATAAGTCTCCAAATAGCCAAAGCAATCTTAAGCTCTGCTCCCCGCCAAAAAATACAAAGCTGGAAGGAGGGATCACAATACTTGACTTCAAAATATACCAGAAAGCTATTTTAACTGGAAGAGTATAAGACTGGCATAAAAACAGATAATAGACCAATGGAACAGAACAGACAGCCCAAAAACAAATCCGTATATATGGAACCAACTGATTATCAACGAATGCTCAAAAAACAAACACTGGGGAAAAGCCTGTCTCTTCAATAAATGGTGGTGGGAAAATTGGATATTCATATGCAGAATAATTAAACTAGAAACCTTCTCTCCCTGTATATAAAAGTGAACCCGAAATGCATTGGTTATTTAAATGTAAATAATTAAAACTGAATTATTTACACTTAAATATGTAGCTATGAAACTAAGAGAAGAAAGCAGGGGACATGCTTCAGGACATTGGTCTGAGCAAATATTTTACGCATAAGACCTTGAAAGCACAGACAACAAAGAAAAAAATAGATAAATGGGGATATATAAAACTAAAAAGCTTTCACACAGAGAAGGAAACAACAGAATATAAAGACAACCTGCAAAATGAGAGAAAACATTTACAAACCTTTGATCCAACATGGATTCATATTTAGAGCATACAAGGAACTCAAACTACTCAGCAGCAAAAACAAAATAATTTCATTAAAAATTGGGCAATTGATCTGAATAGACATTTCTTAACCCATTAATGCCAGAAGTTACAATTTTGTGTGTGTGTGAAAAATTAGACCTTGGCGATGACCTTGAGCAGTAGGATATAAATAACTCCCGCTAGCTTAGCGTTCCAATAATGAAACACTAGGCATTAAGAGAAGATTTAGAAATGACCATTGAGTATATAAGGAAATGCTCAGCTTCACTAATCATCAGGGAAATGCAAATAAAAACGACAATAAGATCATCTCACCCCAGGTAAAATGGCTATTACCAAAAAGATTAAAAAGTAACAAATACTAGTGCGGTGTGGAGAAAAGGAACTCTTACACACTGTTGGTAAGAACATAAATTAGGTCAGCTATTATGAAAACCATGTGGAGGGTCCTCAAAATGTTAAAAAGATAACTCCCACGTGGTTCATCAGTCTCACTACTCAGTATATACCCAAAGCAAATGAAACAAGTACATCAAACAGATATGTGCAGTCTCATGTTTATTGCAGCACTACTCCCAACAGCCAGGATTTGAAAGCAGCCTGTGTCCATCAAGAAATGAATGGATAAAGAAAATGTAGTATACAAACACGATGGAAATTCTTAAGCCATAAGAAAATAATGAAATTCCGTCATTTTTGGTAATATAGGTAAGTCTGGAGGACATGTTAAGTGGAATAAGCCGGGAACAGAAAAGACAAATACTGCATTTTCTTACTTACGTGTGGAATCTAAATAGTTAATCTCACAGGAGTAGAACATAGACCAGTGGTTACCAGAGGCTGGAAAGGGGACTGGGGGATAGGGAGAGTTGGCTTAACAGGTATAAAATTAGAGCTAGATAAGATAAATAATTTCTAGTGTTCTATAGCATTGTAGGGTAAGTATAATTAATAATTTGTTGTATATTTTCAAATAGCTAGAAGAGAGGATTTTTATTCCCAAAACAAAGAAATAATAAATGTTTGAGGTGATGGATACAATAATTACCCTGATTTGATCATTGTACATTGTATACTTGTATTGAAATGTCACTCTGTACCACACAAATATGTACAGTTATATATGAATTAAGAAGAATAAAATGTGTGGTTGCAGAAGCTGGATTCATCTATTACTCTATAATGGATAGCTTTCTACTTAGATCAAACCACATTTTTGTACTTTTGATCATTTCCTTCATTTTTTTCTTGTAGAAAAAGTGATAGCAATTTATATGAAGAGGAATAACTTTAGAGTTGATTGGTGCCAGTTGTAGATCACTAATCAGCTGCTTCAAATAGGAAACCAGTTCAGTCTAATGTTTAATTTTTTCCATCCAGTTTATGAAATCAAAGTAAAACTGTTGAAATGTATCCTCCTGAAGGTTAAATATAAAAAATTCTGAGTATTATTCTATAATAAATTTAAAATGTCAACACTGAAGAGAAACGATTAATTTTCTGGTGACATTATGAATACAAATGTTGATAAAAACGGTTTTCTAAAGTTGGAGATCTGCTTGCATTTGGATGTGGTGCACACATCATTCATAATTACATTCATACTGTCAGAAAGCAAAATGTGTTTATCGCAAAAAATTATAATTGCCAAAATTTGTAAATGCTTGTTCGTAGGTACAGAATACTAAATTACAAAATCTTATGATAATGCTGATGTTGAATATAAAAAATACTTCAGAATGGCATTATATGTTTTCCCTCTTTGTTGCTTGTCATCAATCTGATGCTGAAAAAAGTCTGAGCCTTTGATATCTATTTTGTAAACCAATGTAAGTTTTTTATCACACTGAACTCTTTATAAACAAATACTCTAAATTTTGGCTGTACATTGTTCACAACTAGTTGGAATTTGTTTGTTCTCTTTTGTTTATCAAGGTAATATGTATATTAATTTTAAGTGTCCAGATTGGTGAATTTTGGTAATTGTGTGAAATCATTTAGCCACCGTGATTGAAGTAGAGCAATTCATCACCACAAAATGCTTCCTCATACTTGTATGTATTCCATAATCTTTCTTCACCCTCACTCCAGGCAACCTTTGGTTTGCTGTTGGTCATAGTTTTACGTGTTATAGAATTTCATATAAGTGGACTTATAGAGTATGGAGTCTTTTATGATTGACTTATTTCTCTTAATGTTTTTGAGATGAATCTGTGTTACTGTCTATATTGTCTATATTAATATTTCTTGTCTTTTTATTGCTGAGTATTCCACAGTATGAATTTACCACACTTTGTTTATTCATTTAATAGTGATGGCCACTTGTGTTGTTGCCAGTGGGGCTAATATGAATAATGCTACTATGAACATTTATATACTTGTTTTTTGTTGGAATGTATATTTTCAATTCTCTTGGGTAAATACCTGGAAGGAGAATTTCTGGATTATATAGTAATGAATCTAACTGTATAATGTAATGTCGCACGCATCACTAGTTACTGTACCATTTTGCATTCCTACAAGCAATGTGTATGAGTTCCGAATGCATCAAATCCTTGTCAACACTTGGTAGTGTCAGTCTTTATGACTTTATCTATTCTAGTATGTAGTGATATCTCACTGTGATTTTAATTGACATTTTTCTGCTAATAAAGTTGAACACCTTTTGCTAAAACTTCTAAAAAATGATAAAATTTCTCATCCACATTAAAATAACATTTAAACCTAAGTGCTAAGTGAACTTTTTAAAATATAAGCAAAAAAAAAAGAAAAAAAAAGAAAAGAAAAGAAAACAAGAAAAAAGTTTGAAAATAAGTATCTGAAAATAGGGAAAATAAATCATAATAACCTAAAAAAATGTAAAAGAACGGGTATAATGAAGAGGAGAAATTACTATAATAGACCAGGCTGGGAAACATAGTGAGACCCCATCTCTCCAGAAAAAGATAAAATTAGCCAGGTGTGGTGGTGTGCACCTGTCACAGCTACTCCAGGAGGCTGAGTTGGGAGGATCATTTGAGCCTCGGAGATTGAGGCTGTGGTGAGTCATGATCATGCCACTGCACTCAAGCCTGGATGGCAGAGCAAGACCCTGTCTCAAAAAAAAAAAAAAAAAAAAAAAAGAAGAAAGAAACAGAGGAAATAATATAATAATATAGAAAGTGGTACCTCTAAAAACATGAAAAGAATAATGCAAGAGACCAACTTTAGGAAGATGTAACAAGTTAAAATGAAAGAGAAAAATAACACAGTGAAGTGACAGGAAGACTGACACACGCAGGAAGTGAAAATAATGATATGAGCGCTACATGCATTACACTTTAAATTTTAAAAATGAGAAAATTTCTAAAATATTATAATTAAAAATTACTCAAATTACCCAGAATTAAGACAACATGATTAGACCAGTAAACATAAGAAATTTGATTGCTACTCAAGTCTCATCACTCTTAAGACAGGAGACCTAGATAATTTACAGGAAAGTTTAACCGAAACATGAAGAAAACATAATATATCATTTAAAATCTCTTATAGAAATTAGAAAAAGCAATAATTCTCCCTAACTCAATTTCTATAGCTAGTATATTATCAATATCAAAAACCACACAATTAAAATTCAATTAAGATGAGCACTATAAGGCAGCAATATCTTTGCTTATTTATATGAAAATTCTAACTATGTGAGATGATGGAAATGCTAGTTGGCTTGATTGCCTGTGATGATCATTTCACAATATATATGTATACAAATCTATCAAGTTGTATACCTTAATTTACACATTTTTTGTCAAATATACCTCAATAAAGCTGCAAAAATCTAAGTAAATTATGAATGAACTTAATATAACATTTAACCCAATACAATGATTATTGTGGTTTATTATAGCCATGCAAGTTTGTTTTAGTGTTAGATAGTCATAATAGCATCAGGCTAAAGTAGAAAAACAAAATGATTATCTCTGCAGGGCCATAAAAAAGTATTTCATGAATGCGTATTTAAGAAAATTTGGCTAAGTAGAACAGAATGAAATGCCATTGAATTGATTTTAAAATCTTAGCGAACTAGTAACAGAATGAAACTCCATTAGTAAGTTTCTCTCAAAATCCTACAGCAAGCAATGTGCCCATTTATGAAAATTATTCAAATCTTTAGACATAAAGTCAAAGGTGGCTATAAGTGTGTATTAGTTCATTCTCACACTGCTATAAAGACACATGTGAGACTGGGTAATCTATGAAGAAAAAAGGTTTGACTCACAGTTCCACAGGCTGTACAGGAAGCACGGCTACCGAGGCCTTAGGAAATTTATAATTATGGCAGAAGGCGAAGGAAAAACAGTCACTGTCTTCACATGGCCAGTGGGGGACAGACAGTGATGCGGGAAGTACTCCACACTTTTAAACAACCAGATCTCGTGAGAACCCACTATCATGAGAACAGCAAGGAGGAAATCTGCCCCCATGATCAAATCACCTCCCAGTAGTTCCCTCCCCCAACATTGGGAATTACAATTTGACATGAGATTTGGGTGGGGACACAAAGCCAAACTATATCAAAGTCCTTTCAATTCCATTGGCTTATTCAAGGACTATTTTATTATTAAGAAGAATGCACCTATATTGTCTTGTTTTCCACTAACTGATTAGAGCTCAGAGACTGAAATTATGTGTGCACTCATAGATTACTGTCTATAGAAAAGGCCATCCCCAAAGTAAAAATCTTCTGCTGGTAGGGCATAGGGCATTGACTAGCTTTGTTTCTACATGTAAATTCATTTTAGGCTTACTTCATTTTATATATATATATATATATATATATATGAATTTACTTATGATCCTAACCTACCATTTGGCAGGTTTTGTCACTGATTAATGAATTGAATAAAATGTTGACACATGTTCTTTTACATTTGTGTAGAAGCCATGGTTTTAATTTTAGAAAATTGTACCTTATCAGTACTTAAAATAGAAACTTTAGAGACATTTACACTTAAGTTGAGAATAGCACATACATGCTAGCTTCACCTTTATTATACAAGATTAAACTGTAAATTTATAGTTCTGTTCATTTATAAACATTTATATAAAATAAATAAATGAACAATTAGATAAAAGATTTGATATACAGGTGTTCATTTTGAAATATACTGGGCCCACTATCCTCCTGGCACAAATAAAAACATTCCATTAGTCCAACGGCTATTTATTATGTCTTCATAATATGCAAACCACAACCATGGAGTTTCATCCAAAGTGTATTCCTCTATTAGCAGTGACTTTAAAATGGAATAGCTTACGTATTTTATAATATCTTGAAACCATGGATAATTTAAGTTGAAAAAATTTACATCTTTAATAGAAATTTTGTCATCACTTAATTCATTTTACAGATATTTGTCAAACGGTCTTTCTGCATCAGGCACTTGCTATTAGGATGATGGCCAACTGTAAGTACCTCCTTTAAAAGGAACATAGTCTGATCCAGCTGGTTGTTTAGGGAAAGCTGACAGATTGATTACAACTACAAGAAGATTTGAAAACCACTAAGTGTCTGTGTTCCAACAACTTGACTTCTAATGCTTCTTATTCAAAAAAAATGGTAAAACCACCAACACAAATGCCCATACCTGAAACCTAGAGCTCATGTTGACATTCCCTTCATGATCCTTTCAAGACATCAACATTTCCCACATTTTACCACTTCTCTATCAACCTTGTAGAAGGCTCCATCAATTCTAGCCAGGAAAACCAAATGGATTTTCTCAAGAAGCTGAACACACAGCCATTGGAAGATCTTTTAAAAGTAAATTTCTTGTGCTATTATCTAACTGAAATACTAATCCCAATGAAACAAAATAAGCAAAAGAAAAACTCTAGAATGTGTCAATGTGTACAATGGTAATAATAAATTAAAACATCTAGTTTTCTCATAATGATATCTATCTTATTCTGCTCAAGGTGTAGACCATGAACTACTCCTTGTCCTTAAAATATTCATTAATGGTCCAAACTAGACAGGTATACAGAAGTTAAGAGTAATATTTTAGAAATTGTATAGCAATTTGATACTGTTGTGATTATTTCTCTTATTTTACAAAAGCATCTTGCTGGAGAGAGTGAAAAAGATTTTTTTTTAAAACAAAACAGTATTTCACCAAATATATTTTAAGAAGCATAATCTAGCTTATAAAGCTACCAAAATTTTGTTAGACGATAGCAAAAATTGCCAGTTTAATATGTTTTACAAGCTAGACATTCAATAAATATTTATTTTGACTCATATTCTCATATTATATGTAGAAATATTAACAGCCTTGAGTGTTCTATCTTTGGAAATAGTCAGGGAAACACTTCATAACCACCAGTCCAGTAAGAATTCAAAGTATATTGGAGATAGGCTTATATAATCTTACATGTCTTCCAGTTTTACCATTGTACATACCAAACGATAATGTCTAAGCAGTATTTTCATTTATTTTTCTTATATTTCTTTCCAAGTAATAAAATTTGCTTCAATTTATGTACATAACAACTGCATATTTAAGCTTTGGTGGTAGCATACAAATTGGGTTTATTTGCCAAAAAGGGCATATGTGGTTTATCAACATTTCTATGAGTTCTTATTACGATGAACCAATTGTTTTCACCTTTCTAATGAGAACACTCACATGTGAATTTGTTAGGTTAGCTTGATCTGTAACATAGACATCTGTTAACCAGGAACAAAAATCTGTCTGGGTCAGGAACCCAATTATTTTCACACTTTCTTCTTCAGAACTGCCAAACAATGAATATTTTTGATTTCTAATAAGAAAATAGACATTTAACCAATGTTTATTTAGTTTGTAATAAGTTTCACCTTTGCCTTGTTTTCCAGCTTATATCTTCCCATTTCATTCTACTAATTTGAATTGCCATTGTTGCTTCAAGCTTGAATGCATTTACTTTTTCTTACTGTTGGAAAATGAATCCAGCTAGTCCTGGCACTGTGTACTAGGAACGATAATGCAATACATAATCAGGGTATTGCTTTTTATTGCCCCAAAGGGATTTATTTCCTTATTAAAAATTAAAGGTAGCAATACGATGTTTCCTTTTAAGTAAAAATATTTTTATCTCAGATCTCAGTCACACTGAGTACATATGGCCGTTATTTATTATAAATCAGTTACCATATAGTAATTGAAATAAGAGTGAGGTTAAGAAGTCTAAATTCATGTCACACGTTCCAAGGAGAGTCAAATTTTAGATGCAAAGTGAAGATTTTTTATACGGACTTATAATGTATATCTGTGAATTAGTCAAGAAACTTTCATGGCATTCCTTGCGTGCACAGTACTGTGGAAGGCACACTGGAAGGTATAAAGTTACTAAAGGTGTTACCAGCCATTCAATTTGTAAAATGAGAAATATTTTTATTCAAATGAAAATGGATTTTGCAGGGAGTCTCCTAGGTCCATGCACAGAAGATATATGGTATCAGACTCGGTAAAAGAGAGAAATCAAGGTGGGAATGGTTAAGTAACTTTTTGCAGCAGATAAGACTTTGAAGAAAGAGTAAAATTTATAAAGAATTTTTAGTCAAATGAAACATTTGGTATGACTCTGTCAGAAAAAGGAATGTCTAACTTCTAATGGGATAATATCAAGTATCCTTGAGGATATAGATACACATATAGATGTCTGAAGATTTTTTCATTCAACCACCTACTCTTCCTGTATAGACTCTGCATTCCTTAAGTGAAACACAACATAGACAAGTAAAAATATGACAATAAAAGGTACCAAATTTAGCCCTGAAAAGTATCCAACTTAACTTCAAATTTTGATGGTATAATTTGTCCAAACAATAACATACCCTTCTAGCATGTTTGCTAGAAGCTTGCAGCAATGTCTTATTTGATCCACCCCAAATCTTGAGGTTTGATGTTGTTACATATATTTTGAACTTTCCTTCTTATCACTTATTTTATGTAGGTGGGAAGATTATCAGGTTTTTTTCACATGTATGGTGTGAAAAGTGGGCATTGAGAGTAGGTTTTTAAATAGTTTCAAAATACTAAGTATTTTTAAAAACAGCTTTATTAAGATATAATTGACATAAAATCTGCCCATTTAAAGGATATAATTCAATGATAGCAATCCAGCATAATCTAATTTTCAAACATTTTCATTGCCCCTAAAGAAATCCTGTACCCTCTAGCAGTTGCTTTCCCTTTGTGGCTGACCATTCTAGCCCTAAGCCATCACCAGTCTCCTTTCTATATACATAGACTTTTCTGTTCTGAACATTTTATATGAGTGAAATAATATAAGCATGATCTTTTATGACTGACTTGTTTTGCTTAGCATGATATTTTTAAGGTTCATCCATGTCATAGCATGTGTCAGCACTTCATTCCTTGTTATGACTGAATATCTTATGATGTATCCAAGGTGTGGATGCATCACATCTTGTTTATCCTCTTTCATCAGTTAATGAACATTTGGATTGTTTCCACTTTTTGGCTATTATGAATAATGCTGTGGGTTAACCCTGAGGACATTACACTAATTGAAAGAAGCCAGTCACAGAAAGACAAATACTGCATGAGTTCATTTACATGAAGTACTATGACAGTCAAACTCACAAAGGCAGTGTGGAATAGTGGTTGTCAGGGGGTGGAGGAGAGGAAGAAACGGGGAGTTAATAATCAATGGGTATGAAGTTTCAGTTAGCAAGATGAGTAAGCTCTAAAGACCTGCTGTATAATATGGTACCTACAGTCAACAGTAATGTATTATATAATTAAAAATTTAACACGGTATATCTCTTGTTAAATGTTCTTACCAAAGTAAAATATCTTTTAGAAAGAAAACAGGTCCATACAAACACTTTTACATGAATGATCATTACTGCTTAGGTGTTTTTTTTTTTTGTTTTTTGTTTTTTTTTTGATACAATATGCTGAAATAGTGACCGAGTCAATATAAATGGTACTGTAGGGTTGAGGGAAATTTTTAAAGAAAAGGTTAACAGGAAAATCCTTGAATGAATCCAGAGAAATTTTCTTTTGTGTATCCTTGCCTCTGAGAATCTGTTTCTTCAATGAGAAATAATGGTGTAGGGAGCCCACTTAGCGCAGCCAACAGCCTGTCAGTCTCATAATCTTAAATAATGGTGAAAAACAGATAATTTTTTAAATAATTAAATAATATGGAAAACAGATTCTAGAGGATCCACTAACGTATATCACTAAATATTAGCCCAGAGGTTAGACATTTATTTTTCATCTAGAATAATGTTGTGTAACTTTTATAAGTGAAAATATTATTCAATGATTTAGTATGTATTGAGTTATGATGAATAGGATTGTTAGAACTTCTTATCATTTGAAATTAGCAGAAGAGTACTACTTTTTAAAATCTTTCTCACAAAAAATAATATCCAGATGAATATAAGCTCACAGTGTCTACTTTCATTAATAAAATCCATTAAAAAGTCCCTAAATTTTTCATGTTTTTTGTTAGATTTTAAAATTATGAGCATGTAAGAATATTTATCTGTTTCAAATCTTTCCAAGGGTAAGACCAGATAATAAAATTAAAGTTTTCCAAATGTGAGGGAGGTATTGAAACCTGTATATTAATATAATTTACAAAAAGAGTATCAGAGCTAAGGAAAGGGTCTGATAATAGTGGTCTGGTGAGACAAATGTAATGAAATTGGTCAGCTCTCCTAAACTATGGTGCTGGCTCTTTCAGTAAAAAGTACCATTATTTGCTCTGAAATCACAAAATTGTATTTGAATTAACTAACTTAAAAATTGTCTTATTTCTCATGGTTTTGGTTATTGTCTGGATTCCTTCTAACTCTAAATTTTTATAATGTAATGTCATACAGTTCATGTATAAATACTAAGACTAGGTGTAATATTTAATATGCCTAATACATCTATATATGTTGTATAACATGTAGTTTAGTAATTAAAGAATTTAACCACATAATTTTGCTTTGGGTTCTATTTATGAGTTGTTCTGCATGAAATACATTGTGGTTAAAAGAAAGGTAACACGTGCGGATTTGATTATGCCTCATCTGTCAGTAATCAAATGCCTGCATTGGCAATGCCAACATTTTTGAATGACTCCAGGGCACATGTTTCCACAAAACTGAAGACCTGTGTTCCCAATTTGCATCTGATATACCAGTCAGGAACCTAATTATGAGCAGCACACATAGTTTGTGCTTTTATGCTGTAAGTATTGCAATCATCAGGCTAATGAAGGTGAATAAGTACATAAAGAGGGAGACGCATTTTGTTTGTCTTTGGAAATCACTTTATAAGATTTTGGCAGCAGATTTGCCTACCACTTCATTTTTTGGATAATGTTTAACATACTTTACATTTTCTTTCTATTTATTGACATAAGGAGGCCAAGAAGTACTCTGAGAGGCTAAAAGAATCCAAATTTGGATTCAAATTTTGCTACAGAAAATGGGAAGTGGGAAAAATGCAGACAAGTAATTGGAGAAGTGAGAATTTACTCCCTGTGTATTAATATAATGCATGATCTGTCAGAGATTCATCTTCTAGTTTTATAGATGAGCCAAAAATTCTTTCTGAATTCTCATACACTCCTCAGCTTTGCATTCTGCTTGATTTTTCTCCCTGCAAATAATTCAATAATTTTAATATTTAATATAAAGCTTTCAGAATGGTTTCATTGGCATTCCAGTCACTTATGGGCAAGGTATTAGGATAAATATTTCATTCTCCAGAGAGCACTGCATGCAATTGCTGCTGTTAGAAATTTAGTTCCTTTGAAAGCTATCACTTGGTGTTGCAATAATATTTTAGAAATACAGTCTTTTAAATGTGGTCTTCTTTACTGCCAGGCAAACATGGCTCCAAGAGTATTATTTATCAGGGTCATGACTCCAATTAATAGAATTGTGGTTCTTGTCTTTTTTAGAAACTATAATAATATTGCTTTTAATGTTTATAGTATTAATCTTACTTTGTAATATTTTAACACTGTTTTGGCTTATAGCGAAGTTACAGAAAAAATAAACTATATTTGGGGCCTGATGGCTTCAATTCAAGTCTGTTCCCCACTACTTAAAAACTATGTAACTTTTGGTAAGGTATTTGGGTTCTCAGAATGAATGTTAAACTGTTTATCAAATGAGATTAAAATGACCTTTGATAATCTCTTATGACTATAAACTAGATCACAATAGATAATGAATGTGCAATTCTAATCAAACTTATAAGCTATATTACAAATTTAACTTCACTTCCAATTAACACATACGAAGTTTACAGAATGTGTAATAATAGTTATAATTAAATCCATAGTTCCCACTCTCAAGTAACGTGTTCATTAGAATTCATCGATCATATTATATAATCTTGATAATTTTATAGATGCTTTAGGGGATTCAATATAAAACACCCATATTTGTGCAAGTGCATGAGTGTATGTGTGCACACAACACACACGCTCTACAACTGCCACAAGAAATTTACAATCCAGCTGCAAGTGAAAAATCAACATTCACATAAGATCTCTACAGAATCCCATAATTTAAATGTTAACTTGTGTAGTGCACCTAGATCATATGCAGTATGAAATTTCAAGGTAGAGGAAAGTTCTATGGGTAGTAGTGTCTCAGGTAATTTTATAGAAATTTTTGAGTAATAGAGTAGTTTAGGTTTGTAATTCAACCTGGGCCTTTCTGTACATACCTCCCACCAATCTCTTCCTTGTTTTCTGATCTCCAAACCCTGGAATCTCAAGGTTACTCTTGCCTGGGGCACCTTCTGTCTGCCTCAACCACTCTTTCTCAAGAGAGTCACATTACTCACTTCCTCACATTATGCAGGTCTCTGTTCCTATGCCTGTTGTGTACAAGACCTTTCTATACCACCTTAAATAAAATATCTGCTCCGTCCTGACCAAGCCCACTCTCTGGTTTTTACCCTACACTGTCTTGGCACTGATCACTCAGTATGTGCTACATACTCCAGGCATTCGAGGTAGTGCTATGACCTGCAGATCAAGTTACTGAGACACAGAATAATTAAGTGAACTCTCAAGGTGACATATTTGACATCAGAGCCAAAATTTGAGCCCCTTCAGACAGATTCCAGATTTTTATAATTTATCCAGCTTTTCTAGCTGATGTTAATGGACACAGGCCTTGCCGGACATGCTCTCATCCACAGACAGACATTTCCAATTTCCCATTACATTTATGTAAGTGAAATAGCTTCTGAGTTAACAATTCTAATTCTTTAAAACTAATGTTTGGGAAGAATACCTCCAAATTTTATCTCACATTTCAACTTTTATGTGCCTCCCTGTATTAAATTGCTCAAACCTGTCACTTCAGAAGAGTAAGAAGAAAAATGTGACACTTGAAAGAAGGAACTGTGGAGCCAGCAGCAAGGGTGAAAAGTTTTGCTGTTCAGCTTAGGGAGGGCATCTTGGGAAATTCATCTTCTTTCTGGGCCTAAATTTCATCTGTGAAAGAATATCTAGTCCACTGAATTGTCATGAGGGTATGGTAAACTGATACATTTAATTACTTAGTCTGGTTTTTCATAAGCACTATATACTTGCTGGTGTAAAAATAAGAGTACATTGCTTCGTATCGTATATATTTTACATATTTTAAAAATTATGTTTATTTGGGGATAATTTTAGATTTACATAAAAGTGGCAAAAATAGTAAAGAGATTCTCTGTGTATCCATGACCCAGTTTCCCTTAGTGTTAACATCTCACATAAAAACATGGTTCTTTTACTGGAGATTGGCAGTTAGAGATCAATATCTGTGTGTCATCGCTCTGGTTTCTTTCGAAGTTTCATTTCATCTAGGCTTTCTCCCAGTGGACCAAGTTAGAAAATACATGTATATATACTAATATCTATATGCAGCATATCTATGTTGATTTCTATATTTATCTGTATGCATATATGTATATCTATCTATCCACCTCATCTATCCATTTCAAAATTAATGTTAGTTCACACCAATATCTCTTAATCTAAATATAAGTTTTAAAACAGACACTATCTATATACTTCTGTGACTTTAATAGAAGTGAAATTAATATTTTCATTTAAAATATTATTTGCTCTAAATTTTGCTGCTTTGTATAATTGACTATGTGGTTTTTAAAATCTCTCTGCACTATGAACAATATAAAATCTCCCTGCATTATGAACAATAGTATGAGGTTTCCTACAAGAAATAAAAATAAAATTACCACAGGATTAAAAAATCCCCACTACTGCATATATATCCAAAGAAATGAAATCGGCATGTCAAAGAAATATCTCCACTCCCACGTTATTGCAGCTCTATTCACAATAGTCAAGGTGTAAAATCAGTTTAAGTATTCATCAGTGGATGAATAGATAAAAAGAAATGTGGTGTGTATACACAATGTAATACAATTCAGCCATAAAAAAGAATAAAATCCTGTTATTTATGTGACCTGAATGAACCTAGAGGACATTATGTTAAGTGAAATAAACCAAGCACAGAAGGACAAATACCACTCATAGGTAGAATCTGAAAAAGCTGATCTTATGGAAATAGGCTGGGGAAGGTGTGGGAGGGTGAGATTATGGTGAGAGGTTGGTTAATGGTACAAAGTTATAGTTAGGTAGAAGGAATATGTTCCGCTGTTCTATTGCACAGTAGGGTGATTATAATTAACAATAATACATTGTATATTTCAAAAGATCTAGAAGAGAGAATTTGGAATGTTCTCACCTAAGAGACAGGTGTTTGAGGTGATGGATATGCTAATTATCCTGATTTGATTATTATATAATATACACATATATTGAAACATCACACTGTGTCCCATAAATATCAACAAATATGCAATTAATAACAATAAAATTTTTTAAATCCAAACTTAATTAAAATAATGCCTTTCTCACTTTTTTTTTTTTTTTTTTGAGACAGGGTCCCTCTGTCACCCAGGCTGGAGTCCAGTGGTGCAATCTTGGCTCACTACAACCCTAAACTCCTGGGCTCAAGCAAAAAATCCTCGCACTTCAGCCTCCCAAGTAAGCAGGGTTACAAGAACATGCCACCATGACTGGATAATTTGAAAATGTTTCTTATTTATTTTATTTTGTTTTGTAGAGACAGGGTTTAGCTATGTTGACCAGGTTGGTCTCAAACTCCTGACCTAAAGGGATCCTCCCACCTTGGCCTCCCAAAGTGCTAGGATTACAGGGGTGACACACCACACATGGCCACTTTAATCATTTTTAATAGCAACATTTGTTTACAAAGTAAGTTGGAAAGTGCTATACTAAAATATATATGCTGAATAAAAATACACATTTACAGACATACATATACATATACATTGACTCTTGACAACATGGATGTCAATTCTGTATGTCTATTTATTTAACTTTCATTTTAAGTTCAGGGGTACATGTGCAGGTTTGTTATACAGGTAAACTCATGGATTAGGGGTATTAAGATTAGCATCCATTAGTTATTTTTCCTGATCCTCCCCCACCTTCCACCCTCCATCCTCCACCCTCCAATAGACGCCTCTAATAGAAAGCCACTGTGTGTTGCTCCTCTCTATGTGTCCATGTGTTCTCATCATTTAGCTCGCACTTATAAGTGAGAAGATGCAATATTTGGTTTTCTGTTCCTGTGTCAGTTTGCTAAGAATGATGGCCTCCAGCTCCATCTGTGTTCCTACAAAGGACATGATCGTGTTCTTTTTATGGCTGCATAGTATTCCATGGTATGTATGTACCACATTTTATTTATCCAGTCTACCATTGATGGACATGTAGATTGATTCCATGTCTTTGCTATTGTGAATAGTGCTGCAGTGAACATATGCATGCATGTGTCTTTATGATAGAATGATTTATATTTCTTTGGGTATCTACTAAGGAATGAAATTGCTAGGTCGAATGGTAGTTTTGTCTTTAGGTCTTCGAGGAATTGCCACACTGTTTTCCACAGTGGTTGAACTGACTGACACTCCCACCAACAGTATATAAATGTTCCTTTTTCCCCACAACCTCTCCAGCAGTGGCAGGACAGAGTGCACACATTACACGTGTGCTGGTGGGGCAAGGAAGGCAAAGCCTACCCAGCTGCTAGCAAAAAGATGTGGGAGGTTGCTGTAGGCCTGGGTGAAGCTACAGTGTGAGGAGGAAGTGGATGGGCTAACGTATGGCTGTGGGGGCTGCCCTGCTACAGCTCTATGCTGGTCAGGCACGTCTGCCAGTATAGGGGTTATGATTCAGTCCCCCAGGGCATCTGAGACTACCGTGGAAGCAAGCAGAAACAGGTTAAGGACCCAGGAGAGGCCAGCAGACCAAGGAATGCTCAGATCAGACCAGCCCTGTCTGATGGGCAAGACTGCCCTGCAGAGTTTAGGTCTGATAGTTCCCCTAGGGCTAAAGTCTCCTGTGGGAGCAAGTTGAGGCTAGGGAGATAAGCTTCCCTGGTTGTGCTCTGCTATAGAGACTCCCACAACAAACACTTTTTGCTTTGCCTCAGCCAGTGTGCTACCATCACCACTTCTCTAAGGACCTCTCCCTGCCAACTGGAGTGTCTGTGGTGGTTGAGGGGTCTCCTTCAGCCAGGATTCCAGAGGCTAGTGTCAGGAGCCAGTTGCTCCTTGCCAGTTCAACTCACAGGTTCACCAGGAGTCACTGGAAGCAAGGAAGGAGTCGGGATGTGGATAGCCCTGGGCAGGGTTCCCGCCTTCCTCCCTCTTCAGCCCAGCTTCTGTGTCTTTCCTCCATCAGCTCTCAGTGCCTTCCCTCTGAAGTTCTTTTATAAGTGTACCAGCCATCTTGATCTGTTATTGGCAGCTATTCCACCTAATATGTATATTTTTAATTGAGCCTCCAAGAGGGTGCAAAACCAGATATAGGAGACCCTGATTCAGTCCCCTGTATAGATGAGGAAGCTGAGGTTGTGTGTCCATTTACATGCAGGTTTTTTTCTGCCTCTGCCACCCCTGAGACAGCAAGACAAACTCTCCTTTTCTTCCACCTTCTCAGCCTACTCAGTGTGAAGATGATGAGGGTGAAGACCTTTATAATGGATCACCTCCACTTGATGAATAGTAAATATATTTTCTCTTCTGATTTTCTTAACATTTGAAAAATCTGGCTTACTGTATTATAGGAATACACTATATAATAGAGATAGCATACAAAATAAGTGTTGATCAATTTCATTAAAGCTTTTGGCCAACAGTAGGCTATTAGTAGTTATGTTTTTGGTCACTCAAAATTTATATGCAAATTTTCAACTGCATGGCTGGAGGGGGTGGTCAATGCCTCTAACCTCTACATCTTTCTGTAATAAAGAATACAGAATGTCAAATATTGGTCTGATTTTCTTTCATGGATCATGAGTATTATAAGACTCTTTCATAAGAAGGTCATGAGCATGATAAACTTATTTTGGTGTAGCATACAAATTACTTAGAAAACTGAGCCCTTTTTAGAAAACTTTCATTACTTTACTGACATTAATAGTACTGAGAATACTGGGGCCCTAACATCCATATCCCCAGTTTGAAGCAATGGCTCCATACAGGGAGAGATAAGACAAGAAGACCTCAGGCTCTTGCCCACCTTTCACTAAACCAAGAATATCCCTCAGAGAGAAGCTTGCCATTGTCTGTGGTTTAGAGATTTTGCCTGGGGGGAGAAGGAAACCGTAAAACAGATAGTTCTTAATCTTTTCCCCAAAGAACTGACTTTATTTCCAACAAATCTTGGGGAAGTTCAACCTTAATGTACTCTCAAAAATAATGAAATTTGTGGGATAAGATAAATAGGAAGAGATTCCAGATACAGGCTAAACTGTAGGCTGGTTAGATTACAGAGGAGAAATAAAACACCATGGAGGAGCCCTCCAGATGTCAGAAAAAAATGTCAAACACTGACCTCAGAATGTTTTTTTTCAAAGGAGTCAGACTTTGAATAGATTACTTTGTAGAGCAATTTGTGCCCCAGGACATTTTTGAAAACAATGGAGCAATCAGCTGGCAATTAGTAAAGTTTAATAGCTGGATGTGTCAGAGAAAGTGGAAGAAAGCCTTACAAAAGCCACTGTCATGCAAGGTGACTGCGAGTGTTCCCAAAGCTGAGTTTCCCTGAGGAGTAACATTAAAAGCTTAACAATTTGAGGGAAAAATGGACTTCACCAAAATAATTAGGCCAGTCACTAAACACATAAACAAGCCAATAATGATAACATACATTGAGTGAAAGCAGAAGTAACCAGAGTTGCCATATTATCAAAGATAGCCAGTTTCCAACAGAAATTTTGAGGCATGCAAAAACACCGGAAAGCATGACTTACTCACTAGAAAAAAGCAAGCAACAGAAACAGCCTGTCAAGGCGACCAGATGTCATATGTATCAGAAAAAGAATTTAAAGGGGCTATTATAATCATGTTCACAAAATTAAAAAAGAAAACTATTATTAAAGAAAGTTCTGATTACAATGATTCATGAATTTGATAATATTAATAAAGAGACAAATGTTGTAAAACAGAACTAAAAGGAAATTTTACAGTTAAAAAGTACAATAACTGAAATGAATAATTCTCCAAAACAATTCAAAAAGATATTTCAACTTGCAAAGAAAGAATAATAAAACTCAAAGGCATGTCAATGGCGATTATGCTAAATGAAGAATATAGAGAAAAATGAATCAAGAAAAATAAAAGAACCTAAGATAAATATAGCCATGGTTGAACACACCATCAGAAGTGTAATGGGACTTCCAGAGAAAGAAAGGAGAATGAAAAAAGCAGAATAATATTCAAAGAAGTAATACCTGAAAATATTCCAAATTTATTGGAAAACAGTAAGCTATACACCTAGAAACTCAACAAACTCCTAGTAGGATCTATGTAAAGACATTCACAAAGAGATACATTACAGTAAAAATATTGAAAGTCAAATACAAGGAGAAAATCTTAAAAGCAGGAAAAGTGACACATTACTTACAAAGGAGCTTGCAATAGACTGAATGCTTATGATTCTCAAAAGTTTATATGTTGAAATCCTAACTACCGAGGTGATGGTATTGAGTGATGGGGTCTTTGGAAGTTTGGAAATTTGGCACTGAATCTGCCAGTATCTTGATCTTAGACAATTTTTTACAATTCTTACAACCATAAGGGTATATACCCCAGACAACGAAGCTGATTCAGTATCTCAGTATTGTAAGTATAATTGAGAGTATAATTCTTACAATTGTAAGAACTGTAAACAATAAATTCCTGTTGTGTATGTTACTCAGTATTTTGTTACAGCAACCTGAAATAAGATAGAGCTCAAATAATTTTTACAGCTGACATTACTACAGGAGTTATTATGAAATCATTTTTAGGCAGCTAGAAAGGGGGAAAGTTCTCAGTGGAATTTTCCTTTAATAAAAAGCAGCCTCTAAACTATTTATTCTCTAACAGAAAGCAGCCTGAGAAGTCAGGCATAGATATGCAAACTAGGAGCTTTTATATGTAAATGACAGCAGCTGTACCTGGAAGCCATGTACATTCAGTATGGCCTCTCCTGCCCTCTTTTCCTTGTCACCCCTTTTATGGGTGTCATGGCAGTCTCCAGGTAAAACCACGTGTACGAGTATCAAGGCCACGGCCAGGTGGAAGCCACGTTTGCATAATAAAAGACTAGGATGGGAGGGCCAGTCTTTTCCTGGGCTATGTGAATGGCACACCTGGTCAAACCAATCCCCTGAGCCCTAGGTAAATCAATCACTTCCTCCTCAAGCCTCCGTACAAAACCGATTGTGTTCACTGCAAACAAGACACCCTCTTTTGGGCAACCCGCTTTCTCAGCATGAAGAAGCTTTTTATCTCCCTTTTCTTCTTTTTCTATTAAACTTTCCACTCCTAAACCCACTCCTCATGTGTGTCTATCTTCTGAATTCTTTCTTAACTAAGACCCAGAGCCAGGGTATATACCCCAGACAACAGAGCCATTTCAACATCTCAGTATAAACAATTCAGTTCAGAGTAGTATTTTCAAAGTGCTCAAAAATCAAAAACAAAAACAAAGTAAAAAAACTTTCAACCAAGGATCATACATCCATCGAAGTTCATTTTTCAAAAAGAAAGGTAAAATAAAAACTTTTCAGGATAAACATCAGCTAAGAGACTTTTTTTGCTAGAAGACCCACCTTAAAAGAACTGCTAAAACAGTTCTTCAACCTAAGAGGATTTAACTTCAGTCATTTATTTGAATCCACATCAGTAAGAGTAATTACATGATTATATATCAGTATGAATGCATATTTTTCCCCTTGTTTCTCATAATCGATTTAAAAAACAATTGCATATGCAATTTAAAAATTGTTAAAGCATATGCAATTGCCCTTCAAATTAGTTAAGAGAAGCAAGGAGAAAATATTATATATAAAAGTATAGCTGTGACTACAAGATAGAGAAATGTTTAAGCCAGGCACAGAAGGAAAAACTTCATATATTCACAATTATTTGTAGGGGCTAAAAATCAAAATAATTGAACTCACGGATATAGAGAGTAGAAGGATGGTTACCAGAGGCTGAGAAAGTAGTGGGGAACAGTGGGGAAGGAGTTGGGAATGATTAATGAGTACAAAAAAGTAGTTAGAAAAAGTAAATTAGCCCTAGTATTTGCTAGCACAACAGGGAGACTATAGTTGAAAATTAATTACACATTTAAAAATAATTGAAAGGATATAATTGGATTATTGTAATACAAAGGACAAACGCTTCAGGTAATAGATACCCCATTTACCCTGATGTGATTATTATGAATTGCATGCCCTTATCAAAATATCTCATGCAAGCCCTAAATATATACACCTGCTATAGACACCCAAAAATAAAAAAATAAAAAGTTAAAAAACATTTAAATGTAATATATATACTAATAACATCATGGAGGAGGTAGAACAAAGCTGTATCATTACAGGTAGTTAAGTAATAATTTAATGTTGATTCTGATAAATTAGGTTATATATGGTAAACTACAGAGTAACTTCAAACTTTTAACTCAAAAATATAGTGAAAATATAAATGAATTAAAATGCTTAGATATCCATTTAATGAAAGATGAGTCAGGGAAAGAGGGATAGAGGAACAAAAAATGCGTGAGATATATAGGTAAACAAAAAGCAAAATGACAGACAAATCCAGGTATATCAATAATAATAATAACAAATGTGAATGGATGATACAATCTAATCAAAAGGTAGAGATAAGATTGGATTAAAATATGTTCTATACAGGAGACACAGATGTATATATTAATAAAACAGAAAATAAAAATTGAAATAATCAATAAAGCTAAACGTTTCTCTGAAGAGAACAACAAAATCATCAAATCTTTAGCCAGATTAGTCAAGAAAAAGAAAAAGAAAAAGACTTAATTTGACAGACCCAAATTCAAAGATACAACTAGGATAAAAGTAAAAGTATAGAAAATGATATATCATGAAACTAGAAACCAAAATAAGCTAGAGTGGCTATATAGATATCAGAGAAAATAGACTTTAGAACAACAAAAAAGTTACTAACTACAAGGAGGGACATTTCGGAATAATAAAATTGTCAATCTACCAGGATTATAAACATAAATTTATCTAATAAAATAAAAATAGCAGACAATAAAAAATAGAGCATAAATTAATAAAATAGAGAATAAAAAATAACAGAAAATCAACATAGCCAAAAATGTTTATCTAAACAACAAAATTGTCAAATTGTTAGCTAGATTAATAAAAATAAAGAAGAGAGAGAGAATACTTAATTTACTAGAATCAGAAATGAGAGCAGGCACATTACTACCAATCTTACAGAAAGAAAAAGGATTATGAAAGAATACTATGAACAACCGTATACCCCAAAATTATATAACTTAAATGAAATGGACAAACTCCTAGAAGGGTACAAACGAATGACTAAAACTTACTCAAAAGGAAACACATTATGAACAGAACCATAACATGCAAAGAGTTTGAAGTATTAATTAACAAAATACCCACAAAGGACAGGTCAGTCCCAGAAGTTTACTACTGGATCCCACCAAACATTAAAAAAAAAAAATACAAATTCTCCACAAACTCTTTCAAAAGATAGAAGAGGATGAACAGTTTCCAATTATTTTTATGAGGCCAGTTTATCCTGATACCAAAACCAAATAAAGATATCACAAGAAAAGAAACATACAGACCAATATCTCTTATGAATATGTTTTCTAAAATCCTTAACGAAATAAAACTAAATCAAATACAGCAACATATAAAAATAATTATATACGATGACCAAACGGGATGTTTCCAGAGATGCAAGGTTAATTCAACATGTGAAATTCAACGAATGTAAAACATCATTTGTTAGAGTAGGTAGATAGCTAGACATGAACATGGGGGAGGCTCCTGAGAAAGGAAAAGCCTGGGAAGGTTCACTACCCACTCCCTAGAGGGGCCAACCAAAATTTGCATATTAATAGCATCTCTAATGCTGGAGTGGGTGGGTCTAAGTCAAATGTGGTTAGGAAGAAGAGGAAGTACTTAGGCAGAAAGAAACATCCCAGAACACCTCTTAAGGTGCCACAATTATCATTCACTCTGCCATTACAATGTCAGAATATCGCTAGCTACATGCACATTCCTAAGAGCAACCTGGCATCATGAGTACAGATTAGGGCAAATAAGGAAATTCCAAAGAGATATGCAGGCACAAGAGGTAAAGATTTGACCACTACACAACCTTCCTGGGGTGGCGGTAATTATTAGGGCTGCTGTCAGGCAAGACTCGTATTGAATTACCAGTTGTATTAGTCTGTTCTCACACTGCTATAAAGACGTACCCGAGACTGGGTAACTTATAAACAAAAGAGGTTTAATTGACTCACAGTTCTGCATGGCTGGGGGGGCATCCGGAATCTTACCATCATGGCAGAAGGGGAAGCAGGCACATCTTACATGGTGGCAGGTGAGAAAGAGCAAGCAAGAACAGGGAAAATTGCCTTATAAAACCATCAGATCTTGCAAGAGCTCATTCATTATCACAAGAACAGCATGGGGAAAACCACTGCCATGATCCAGTCACCTTTCATGTGGTCCCTCCCTTGACACGTGGGAATTATGGAGATTACAATTTGAGATGAGATTTTGGTGGGGACACAGAGTCAAACCTTATCACCAGCCCAAGTATGCACATTAACCAACAGTAAGGGAGGATCCTGCAATCCTATGGGTAGGGAGTAAGGTGGAACTTAAGGCAGGAGTGGGAACACTAGACAAAGGAAAAAGACGGAGACTTGAGGCAGAGGTGGGGATTGCACAGAACCTTCAGAGCTGTTTTCCCTGCATGATCAACCCACTGCTCCATTGGGGCATCCCTCTTTATTAAATTTTTTTTCCTACAATAAGCTCTCTACACTGTATTTCATTTCAATAAAGTTCTCTGCTATGTTTGTACTGTCTCTTGGTCAAAATTGTTCTTCCAAGTTAGACAAGAACTCGGACATCTGCTCTTTCTGGTAACAATATCAATAGAGTAAAAATAAATCACATGATTATTTACTTAGATGCAGAAAAAGAATTTAATGAAACACAACATCCTCTCATGACATAAACAATTAGGAAAATTGAGATAGAACTTTTTCAACCTGATAAAGGATGATATGGTTTGGCTGTGTCCTCACTCAAATCTCATCTTAAATTCCCATGTGTTGTGGGAGGGACCCGTTTGGAGGTAATTGAATTATGGGGGTAGGTGTTTCCTGTGCTGTTCTTGTGATAATGAATAAGTCTCACAAGATCTGATGGTTTTATAAGGGGGAGTTTCCCTGTACAAGCTCTCTCTTTGCCTGCTGCCATCCATGTAAGAAATGACTTGCTCCTTCCTTGCCTTCTGCCATGATTGTGAGGACTCTCCAGCCACATGGAACTTAAGTCCATTAAACTTCTTTCTTTTGTAAATTGCCCAGTCTCGGGTATGTCTTTACCAGAAATGTAAAAACGGACTAATACAAAGGATATCTATAAAAAGCCCATAGCTAATAATATCAGACTTAATGGTAAAAAACTTAATGATTTTCTTCTAAGATCAGGAACAAGATATAGATGTCTGTTCTTGCCATTCCTTTTTAAAATTACACTTTAAGTTCTGGGAGACATGTGCAGAACGTGCAGCTTTGTTACATAGGTATACAGGTGCCATGGTGGTTTGCTGCACCCATCAACTCATCATCTACATTAGGAATTTATCCTAAGGCTGTACCTCCCCTAGACCCCCACCCCAGTGTGGGTCTAGACAGGCCCCAGTGTGTGATATTCCCCTCCCTGTGTCCATATGCTCTCATTGTTCAACTCCTTCTTATGAATGAGAACTTGCAGTGTTTGGTTTTCTGTTCCTGTGTTAGTTTGCTGAGAGTGATGGTTTCCAGCTTCATCCATGTCCCTGCAAAGGACTTGAGCTCATCCTTTTTTATGGCTGCATAGTATTTCATGGCATAAATGTGCCATAGTTTCTTTATTCATTCTATCATTGATGGGCAGTTTGGTTGGTTCCAAGTTTTTGCCATCCTGAATAGTGCTGCAGCACTGTTCTTGCCATTTCTATTCAACATCATATTGGCAATTCCAGTCTGAGCATTTAGATGGAAAAGAAAAAAAGAGAATAAAAGAACTAAAAGGCATCTAGATGTATGACATAAACTTGTAAATAAATAGTAATATGAAATTCAATTAAACAACTATTGGAATAAGTGAAAATTATTTCAATAACTACTTTAGTCATTTTAAGATAACTCATTTATCTTGGAAATAAGTGAATTGAGTAAGGTAAAAGGATATAAGATCAAGATACAAAAACCAATTGCATTTCCATACACATTCTATGAGTAATCTGAAAATAAAATTTTCAAAAACTTTCATTTATGATGGCATTAAAAATATTAGAACACTTACAAATAAACTCAACAAAAGAGTGCAGAATTTGTACTCTGAAAACTACAAAACATTGTTGAAAGAAATTAAAGAAGATCTAAATAATTAGAAAAACATCTCATGTTCATGGATCAGAAGATTAACATTGTTAAGAGGGCAACACTCCTCAAACTGCCCTACAAATTCAGTATCTCTGTTTAATTCTTTGTAGAAATTGATAACCTGGAATTGAAGGAGACCCAGAATAGTCAAAACAATCTTGAAAAACAAAAGTTGGAGGACTCACACCTCTCTATTTTAAAGCTTACTTAAAATCAATGTTAATAAGATAGTATAACACTGGAATAAGTATAGACATATAGAGCAATAAAACAATTAGGTGCTGGGCGCAGTGGCTCAGGCCTGTAATCCCAGCACATTGGGAGGCCAAGGCGGGCGGATCACAAGTTCAGGAGATCGAAACCATCCTGGCTAACACGGTGAAACCCCGTCTCTACTAAAAATACAAAAAAATTAGCCAGGCGTGTTGGCACGCGACTGTAATCCCAGCTACTCAGGAGGCTGAGGCAGGAGAATGGCGTGAACCCGGGAGGCGGAGCTCGCAGTGAGCCTAGATCGTGCCACTGCACTCCAGCCTGGGCAACAGAGCAAGACTCTGTCTCAAAAAACAAAACAAAACAAAACAAACGAACAAACAAAAACAATTAGGAGTCCAAAAATGAACTCATGTATCTGGTTAACTAATTTTTGACAAAGGTGCAATTACCATCCAAGTGGGAAAGAATACTCTTTTCACCAATGATGCTGTGATAATTGCATAGATACATGCAAAGAATAAAGGTAGAGCCTTACTTCATACCTTATAGGAAAAAAAATCAAAATGAATAGAAACCTTAACATAAGTGTTGACAGCTGATGTGATACTTTGGTTCTTGTCTTCTTGGTTTAAAAGAATTTAAACAAGAGACACAGCAAAGGAGGTGTAGCATAGAATAATTTATTGCAAAAAAATAAATAATATTTTGAAAGTTAGGTGCAGAATAGACAGTACACCATGAGAGAAAATTCAAGATGGGCTGCTTGTAAGGATGAGACAACAAAGACTGGCAGTAGGTAGACTCCCTTCATGGAAGCCTTACCTGATTATTCATGAGGAGGTGGAAAGAGGTTACTAGTAAGCATGTTCTGGGTGGTCCTCTGGGTTCCCATGTGCGGTAGCTGTACATGCTTGTTCATATGTCACACGTCTCATTAGCATCTTAAATCTCCACCCAAGGGTGTGTTTTCTACTATTGTTATGAACAAAGTGTCAGTTTGAGGACAGGTAAAATCAAAATGTGCATGCTCTCTAGAAGGTAGCTTAGCTTGACTGAGCTCAATTACAGAGCCGATGCTGAGGCTTATTGTGTTGACTGTATGGTTACCATGGTTGCTGCATCCCAAGAACATGGTCACTTCCTGGACTATTCATCCTGCCTCATAAGTGCTAAAACTATAAAACTTTTAAAAGAAAACATAGAGATAAAACTTCGTGGCCTTAGATTTGACAAGAGACTCTTAGATATGACACCAAATGCACAAGCAAAAATAGTAAGTAAAAGGAAAAAATACATTTAAATTAGACTTCATCAAAATTAATAATCATTGCATTCTGAGGATATCATCAGGAAAGTAAAAAGACAATCCATAGAATGCAAGAAAAATTACATATTTGATGAGACTTTTATTCAGAATATATAAAGATCTCTTTAAATTCAATATTAAAAAGACAAACTGTGGTAGGAGTTATTAAGAAATTATTTTAGGCAGATGGAGAAGAAAAGAGGTCCTTGGAAAGTTGTTTCTTTTAAAGCAGCTTTAGAAAAGTTTCCTGTCTAGCAGGAAAGCCTCCACTCTTAGAGCCTGGCTGGCAGCTTTTGATATGCAAATGCTAGCCATTAGAAACTGGGTCCACAAAACAGGGTGATTCCCGCCCTCTTCTTCCTTGCCCCCACATCTGCCTGGCAGCAAGGTCGCCCTCACATATCCCCATGTGTGTAGAACATCACGGCACCCTGCATTTGCATATTAAAAGGCTAGGATGGGAGGGCCAGTTTTTTCATGGGCTAGGTGAATAACATGCCTGGTCAAACCAATCCCCTGAGCCCTATGCAAATTAGACACCGCCTCCTCCAGCCTCCTCATATAACCGGCTGGTATCTGTGCACTTGGGGTCTCCTCTCTCGACTTTGGACCCCTTTCTCCCTCTATCTCTGTACAGGGGAGCTTGTTTCATCTTTCTTCTCCCTTCTTTCTTGCCTGTTAAACTCTCCGCTCCTTAAAACCACTCCACGTGTCTCCATGTCATTTTTAATCTAATTCGGCACAAGGACCAAGAACCCTGGTGTTCCTCCATTCATTGCAGCCATATCAAAACAACCCAAAGAAAAAATTCACAAAGTATCTGAACTGACATTTCCCCAAATAAGATAGCTGAATGAGTGATAAAACTATGTAAAGATGTTCATCATCATTGATCAGGGAAATAAAAATTAAAACCACTATGAGATATTACTTCACACCCGCTTGAATGGCTAGAATTTAAAAAGCCAGACAATAAGTATTGGTAAGGAAATGCAGCAATTGAAATCCTTAGTCAATTAAGGATTGCAGCCATTTTGTAACACAGTCTGACAGTCTCAAACAATTAAACATAGAGTTACTACATAAAACAGCAAGTACGCTTCAAGGTAAATGTCCCAAATAATTGAAAACATATGTCCTTGCAACAACTTATACATGACTGTTTATAACAGCATTTTTCATAAAAGCTAAGTGGGGAAATAACCCCTGTCCATCAAGTGATGAATGGATAAGCAAAATATGAATATACCTGTGAGAAATACAAATTAAGTTCTAAGCCTACAACTGACTGAATGGACCCCATTTTGGCCAAGGGGACGCTGAGTTCACTGCCATAATGAGATGGGAAGTTCACCTTATTATACCTCCTCCCTCACTAAGCATCATTAGTCTTTCTTCCCTAAGTGCTAAATAGAAACCAGCCCTTTCAAAAGACTCCACACTGATAGTTTATTATGTCAACGGAAAGAGTCAAACTCAAAAATATTTGAAGATATTTATTCTGAGCCAAATATGAATGATCGTGGCCCATGACACAGCCCTCAGGAGGTCCTGAGAACACGTGCCCAAAGTGGTCGGGGTGCAGCTTGGTTTTATATATTTTAGGGAAGCATAAGGAATCAATCAAATATGTTTGAGAAATACATTGGTTTGGTCCAGGGGCTTCCAGGTTATAGGTAAATGCAAACATTTTCTGGTGGACGCTTAGTTACATTTGTCGAAAGACCTGGAATCAATAGAAAGGAAATGTTGAGGGTAAGAAAAAGATTGTGGAGACCAAGGTTCTTTTGAAGTCTCATAGTGGCTGCCCTTAGAGACAATAGACGACAAATATTTCCTGTTGAGACTTTTAAAAGGTGCTAGGCTCTCAGTTAATCTCTTCAGGATTGGGAGGGCTTGTAAGAAATAGAACTGGTTATGTTAATAGAGATTCTTTACAAATGCAAATTTACCCCCCAAAAGGATGGCTTTGCAGGGCCATTTCAAAATATGGCAAAGAAACATGTTTTGGTATAAAATAGCTTGCTTTTCTCCTTTGTCATGTAATGTTATGCCAGAATCAGATTGGAAAGTAAGTCACAATATATAGGGTTAAATAAAACCCATCGGATGAGAATTTATGGTTTGTAGGGCATGACTCCAGGCCTCTTAGAAAGGAATTTGGGCAAGATAAGATAAAATCAGAGCTTAGTCCTCAATTACTAGCTTATCTTCCCAGGAACCAAACAAAGATAAAATGAGATTAATCATTTCTTCACTCTCCCAGAGGCCTCTGTTTTTTCTAGTCTCTTTTTCTTCAAATGTTCTCCATCTCTTATGTAAAATGTAGATTTACTGGGCACTAACTAAAGTCTCAGAAGTGTGTAATCACTCATCTCACTGCTGCTCTATCCTTTTTTAAAATTCTATTTATTTTTTATTTTTATCTCAATAAGCTTTTGGGGAGCAGGTGGTGTTTGTTTACATGGGTAAGTTCTTTAGTGGCGATTTCTGGGATTTTGGTGCACCTGTTACCCAAGCAGTGTACACTGAACCCACTGTGTAGTATTTTATCCCTCACACCTGTCCCAACCTTCCTCCCAAGTCCAGAAAGTTCATCGTATTATTCTTATGCCTTTGCATCCTCATAGCTTAGCTCCCACTTATAAGTAAGAATAGGCTATGTTTGGTTTTCCATTCCTGAGTTACTTCACTTAGAATAATGCTCTCCAGCTCCATCCAGGTCACTAAGAATGCCATTATTTCATTCCTTTTTATGGCTGAGTATTATTCCATGGTGTGTGTATATATATAATATATATATATATATATAGAGAGAGAGAGAGAGAGAGCGCACATTTTCTTTATCCATTCATTGATTGATGGGCATTTGGGCTGGTTCCATATTTTTGCAATTACAAATTGTGCTTTTATAAACATGCATGTGCAAGTGTTTTTTTTTCATATAATGACTTCTTTTCCTCTGGGTAGATACCCATTAGTGGGATTGCTGGATCAAATGGTACATCTACTTTTAGCTCTTTAAGGAATCTCCACACTGTTTTCCATAGTGGCTGTACTAGTTTACGTTCCTACCAGCAGTGTAGAAGTGTTCCCTTTTCAACCACAGCCATGCCAACATCTATTATTTTTGTATTTTTAAATTATGGCCATTCTTGCAGGTGTAAGGTGGTATTGCATTGTAGTTTTGATTTGCACTTTCTTGATAATTAGTGATAATGAGCATTTTTTTCATACGTTTGTTGGCCATTTGTATATCGTCTTTCGAGAATTGTCTATTCATGCTCTTAGCCCACTTTCTGATGGGATTATTTATTTTCTCCTTGCTGGTTTGTTTGAGTTCCTTGAAGATTCTGGATATCAGTCATTTGTCAGATGCATAGTTAGTGAAGATTTTCTTCCATTCTGTGGGTTGTCTGTTTACACTGCTGACTATTTATTTTGCTGTGCAGCACCTTCTTAGTTTAATTAAGTCTTATATATTTATCTTTGCTTTTGTCACATTTGATTTTGGGTTCTTGGTCATGAAGTCTTTTCCTAAGCCAATGTTTAGAAGGGTTTTTTCAATGCTGTCTTCTAGAATTTTATGGTTTCAGGTCTTAGATTTAAGTCTTTGATCCATCTGGAGTTGATTTTTACATAAGGTGAGAGATGAGGATCCAGTTTCATTTTTTTACCTGTGGCTTACCAATTATCCCAGCACCATTTGTTGAATAGTACGTCCTTTCCCCACTTGATGTTTTTGTTTGCTTTGTCAAAGATCAGTTTGCTGTTAAGTATTTGGCTTAATTTCTGGGTTCTCTATTCTGTTCCATTGGTCTATGTTCCTATTTTTTTTTTTTTTTTTCTTGAGACGGAGTCCCACTCTGTCGCCCAGGCTCGAGTGCAGTGGCGCAATCTTGACTCAATGAAACCTTCACCTCCCGTGTTCAAGCAATTCTCATGCCTCAGCTTCCTGAGTAGATGGAATTACAGGCGCCCCCCACCACACCAGGCTAATTTTTGTATTTTTAGTAGGGACAGGGTTTCACCATGTTGATCAAGCTGGTCTCGAACTCCTGACATCGTGATCCCCCTACCTTGGACTCCCAAAGTGCTGGGATTACAGGCCTGAGCCACTGCGCCTGGCCTATGTGCCTATTTTTTAAACCTGTACCATCCTGTTTTGGAGACTACAGCCATATAATATAGTTTGAAGTCAGGTAATGGAATGCCTCCAGATTTGTCCTTTTCGCTTTTTTAAGGAAAATGTGTAAATATATTACTAAACTTCCTGAGAACCTCTTTGGAAAAAAACAGCCATAGATGTGTCTGTAACTTATGTTTTTCCTGGGTACATCCTCCGACTCACTCAAGAAAACCCAATGAGTTGGGAATGATGCCTCAGTCACTCATTTTGATTGCCACACGCAATGCGATATTATTTGGCCTTGCAAAGGAATGAAGTATTAATATCTACAATAACATGGATAAACCTTGAAAATGCTACGCTAAATAAAAGAAGCTAGTCAAAAAAGACCACATATTTCATTCCAGTGCAATGCTTAGAACAGGAAACTATATAGAGACAGAAAGTAGATTAGTAATTGCTAGGGGCTGGTGCATATATGTGGGGATAGGGGATAATAGCTGAAGTGCACAAGGTTTCTTTTTGCAATGAGGAAAATATTCTAACATTAACTGTGGCGGTATTTTTCCTTATCTGTGAATATACTAAAAAGATCCTTAACATTTAAATGTACATTTTATATGTTGAAAATTATCTCAATAATGCATTTAAAAATAAGAAGTTACCCCTAAAATGAATTTAAATACTGATATATATGATCAGATCAGGTGAATCAGATTTTGCAATCTGACAGAGAAACATGGCTGTTGAGTTACAGAAAGGACTGAAGAAATTGATGTGAAGTGAGCAAAAGAGAAAATACTTAGGAAATAAGGGTTTTAAAATATGTATTCATAATTTAGGAAAGTGATTAATGTAACGTTTCCCAATAGTAGTGACACATTTTTATACTAGAAAGCAGGAGATAGTAAAAGGGAATATGGCATGGTAGATTCTCTGAATCCCTAACCAACAGGCAGGGGATGGCTGGAAGTCTGTTTATGCGTAGGCCTTCCACAGCCAGGGGTTCAAGAAAGAAATTTTATCTTCAGGCAGAAAAAGAAGAAAAGACAAAGCTAGGCAATTTTTTTTTGCAGGAAATACTTAGTTTTGCAATGTATTCAAATGAGAAATGAAAAGTCAGTCCTCAGGCTAAAATCGAGTTATGCTAATCAAGGGTTTTGTCAGGTGAGAAAAAACCTTAACATTTACTGAGTGCTCACTTTGCTTCCTATTGTGCTTACAGAAGAGAAAGGTCAGGCACAGCGATATCAGGTTCCAGAAACTTGCCATCACAATTTGGTAATGATAGAGGAAAGAGGGCAAGGAATTAAACAATGTGAGATCTTCTTGTTATAATTAGACGTAAACTAATTAAGATTTACTAGAGGCTAGGGGAAGACTATTAGGGAGAGAAAGGGATTAGTCAAAGTGGCTTGCTTATAAACCCACTTAAAATATTAGGAATGTATTTTTTTTAAGAAATCACTTTTAAATCATTTATTTCTCATTATCTCACTATTAAAGTGGTGTCTCTTAATCACTTAATTATAGCTATGTAATTTTTGTATATTTTAGTACTTAAAAACCCTATTGACAATCATGAATTGTCCTCAATAATATACAAATGTTTAAATAATTCTGAAATTAAATTTTTGAATCACATTATTGTTGGGAGGAATATATTCATATGATTGATGTATTATCTGGTGGAAAATAGAATTATTAGAGAATAAGATTTAGTATGGAATTAAAAGTTGTTTTTATTATTTTAATGCAAATAAAATAGTGCTCTGGAACCTGAAAATAACCAGTAACTAATGAGGTTTTTTCATTTACAGCTATTTAACATAATATTTTCCACAAAGATTGAGTCAACTAAATGGATCCAGAAGAATCAAATATTAGCGCTTTAATAATTATTTAGCAGTGTAGTTTAGGTCCCACAAAGATCAGTTGATATTCAAATAAAATCATGACCTGATCTTCCTGATTGTTAGTGTGATTTATTTTTTCTCACTTACTTAAAGCAAGATAATTCCTCTTGAAAAAAGTCAAGTAATAATTTTGTGTTACAATTCTCACCTAATTTAGATATTCAGAATTTTGCAAAGATGGTTAGAAAAATGAAAAGTAAAGTTTGCTTCATTTTCAATTGCTTTAATGTCCTAAAGTGTCATATATAAAAAGCATGTGATTATTTTCTGTGTGTTGTATAAGATAATGATACTTGTGATCTAATATTGTAGAATTTTTTTTAGATGTTTTACCTTTCGGTACCTGAATGATCTTAACTGTTTCTCTAATTATCTGGGTGACATAAGACAATTTGATCTTAATTAGGGATTAGAGCTTTCTTCTTATTCATGTCAGTTGTAAACATTATAATTATAAAATTGGTATAGTGGGGAAGGAAAAATAAAAACTCATTGGTATGATTTAAGGAAAGTAATTTATTCTGGGTTGGTTAAGGTTAGTGTAAAAAAAGACAGAGACATAGGATACATAGTAATGTAGATACATGAATATGCAGGGCTAAAAATATTGCTTTGGTACAATTTAAAATAGTGTATTTGAAACATATTTTCTGTTAACAAGAAGAAAAGAGAAGATTAAAATATATCCCATAGGATATATGATGTAGGCTATTTTATTAAAAATATTGTATCTGAAGGCAGTTATATCTCTGTCCTGTAAAATTGACTTTCCATGTTTTTACATATTTACATGGATAAGTTTAAAAACAACATAAGACTTCATTGGCGTTTGCATCCTTTTTTTGCATTGTCTAATATATCCATGCTAATTCTGGTTGGGGTATTGGCAATATAGTATTATTTTTCATTCTTTCTAATTTTTGGATTCTTTAAAAACTAATCACATATAAAATATTATACTTTATTAAAATCTGTTGGGTACAAACTGCACAAAATTTTATATTTGTTCACTGTATCTGCCCTATCTCCATTGACATGTGCTCCTTTAAAAGTATTATATTGAGTAGCATTTTACTTAGTTCAAATGTACAAAAAAGCACAGAGTGAATCGTCAGTATATGAACACAACCATGTATCCTCCACTCAAGTTGCCTAAGGTTAGATTCCCCAGAAACAGAGATGGGCACAGGGATGTGAGTACCCATGGTTATGGGTGAAGTGCTCTTTGGGCAAGTCTGTGAGCAAAAGAGTGAAGCTTGAGAGGGAGTTAAATACAGACATACCCTCAAGAAAAGTTTAGGCATGGCTGCATCAATAGGAAAAGGCCCCTGGAACATCAACTGCAGCAGTGTTTTCCTCTTTGAAGCAGGGTAACTGGCCATGAATAACCTGAAAAGGCTTCTTGGTAGGATGGCTCCTTTCATGTAAAGGTTGGTTTCTGGAGAAGAGGTGAAGCGGGCAGCAATAGGAAGTCAATATTTCCAGCAATTGAGTAACGAGTGGGCCAGGATCTGGGCAGGGCCCTACAATGTCCTCTCCAGAGGTAAATAAGCAGAATTATTTGAGGGAGCTGTATTGGGCTTCCTTATATTATATGATCTCAGGGTGTGGGACTTCTTACGTTGCAGTTGCCTCCTCTTAGGGGAGGTGGAAGCTTCACATTTCTTAAAGGCGTGGTCCTTTATTGGCACAGTATCATTTTCAATGCATTCTATTAATCAAAGAATGTCACAAGGCCTGCCTTAAATCAAGGCAGGAATTATTGCAACCATTTTAGATACTATCAGAAATATTAAGCACGGTGTTTATTAAAAATGTTTTGTAGATGATCTTTTATTTTCAGGTGAAAAAGCAAGCACAGCAGTACACTGATTTGGGTCAAAGAGACCTAGCCCAACCCAAGGTAATATTATCTTCCCTTCCTAATTGTGAATCTTAGCCAACCCCCATGGATTGAATCAAAGGCCTCCTTCCTTCTTAGGGCTGGGTAGGATAGTGAGCTAACCACCTGTATTCAATGTAGGGATAGAAATTCAATTCTCGTTCCTTGCCAAGATTCCCCAGCATACTCATACAGGTGCATGTGGCATTTAGTCCCTTCTCTCCTTAAGGAAGCTGATGTTGGGGTAGGGAAGGGTAGAGGGCTCAGGAAATGTACAAGTAAGTGAACTCTTTCAGATTCGAATGTCATGGAGGCTGCATGTAGCTTTAACAAATGAAATTCATTCATCCCACCAGAAACTCTGTATCAGGTAGAAAGATAATCATTACTGAACTCATCTATTTCAGCTTTGTGGATCCCTTTATTCAATAGTAACATCCACTTTGTTCTCTGGTTGGCCCCTGTATACCCTTTAGCTAACTCAGGCTCAGCTCACACAGAAGGAGGCATTTTTTAATGACTGCAATTAAAGAAATACACTTTAATTGGGGTTTTTGCTGCCCATTTTTCATACATCTCTTATCTTTTTCCCAGTTTTATTATGAGGATGAGAGGAGTTTTCCAAAGCAGTAGAGACGACTACAAGTATTTATACAGATATCTTGACTCAATTTCTCCTTCTCCAGTAGGTAACCTCATCAATATTGTAATTCTAATCTAGGTCAGTAAGAGCCAGCTATTAGTGTCTCATCTTCCTGTGGGAGTTTGTCTGTCTCATGGAAATCTCCCTGAGAAGGTCAATATTCTTTCACGTCTCAGTGCTTTTTGTTTGTTTGTTTTTTGTTTTTTTTTGAGACGGAGTCAGAGTCTCCCTCTGTCGCCCAGGCTGGAGTGCGGTGGCACGATATTGGCTCATTGCAACCTCCACCTCCCAGGTTCAAGTGATTCTCCTGCCTCAGCCTCCCGAGTAGCTGGGATTGCAGGCGCCCGCCACCACACCTGGCTAATTTTTGTATTTTTAGTAGAGACGGGGTTTCTCCATATTGGCCAGGCTGGTCTTGAACTCCTGACCTCAGGTCATCCGCCCTCCTCGGCCTCCCAAAGTGCTGGGACTGCAGGCGTGAGCCACCTCTCCTGGCCATATCTCAGGTCTTTAATGAAATAAAAGTGTTTTTCTTGTTCTTAAAACCATCCACTATGAAATATGTTGGTTGGGTGATATCTTTCACATGTTGATTCAGAAATGGGGTCTCTTCTATCTTAATTCCTATGGCTTAAACAACTGTAAGTATTATTTCTATCAAGGTAACTGCTACCAAAGTTTGAATATGTTTTCCTTCCAAAACTCATGTTGAAATTTAATTGCCATTGTAACAATATTAAGAGGCAGGACGTTTAAGAGGTGATTAAGCCATAAGAACTTCACTATTAAGGGTGGGATTGCTGCCATTATTAGAGTGAGTTCAGCCTTTCTTACTCTCTCTTGTCCCTCTGTCTTCTCTCATGGGATGATTCAGCAGGAAGACCCTCATCAGATGTCAGCTCCTTTATCTTGCACTTCTGAGGCTCCAGAACTGGGAGACAATACATTTCTCTTCATTATAAGTTATCCAGTCTCAGGTAATCTGTGAGACCAGCAAAAACAAACTAAGACAGTATCCTTGGAAGTCGTATCCATTTTAAGGATGATAAACACGGAGAATCACACATGGGAGATTTTGATGTGATAAGTCTGCAAGTAGCTGACATAACCTTTACCTTTATTTATTGGCCTAGACTCAGTCATTTTCCCAAACTATAATTGCAAAGGAGACTGGTAAACATAGTCTAGCTCTATGCACAGGAAGAATAAGCAGATTTGGTTGATCAGACATTGATAGTCAAAGTCTGGTAACAAATAGCATTTCACCCTTCTTCCTAATCCCAGTGATGGCACTTATTTCCTTTGTCCAATCAAAAGAATAGATTTTGAATGATGCAGGTTGTCTCTATTCTTTTCAGATACAGAGCTTCTAAGTCTGGTGACCTAAATAACTGAAGAGTTAAATTATGTGCGCTCCCCTACATTTATTCATATATACCCTATTAAATCAGGGACAGTGTATTTGAAGTAAATTTCTTTTTTATTTCTTTTGTTCCATGACCTCTTGGTTTTTCTCTCAATTTAATGGCAGCTCCCTCGAGTCTATTAGAAATAATTGCATCAGGTGAGAAGAAAATATTCATGTCTGAGGGTGAATATTAATATCTTTATCATTTAAAGTGCCTTCTGTTTTATTTTATACCTCTGCACTATAAAGGCAATCAGGTTTTCCAACCTTTTAAATACCTAAATTATTATTTGTATTTACTTTCATTTCTTCATGTAAATAGGCTAATTCTTTCCTGAATTTATCTTTTTTCATGATGAGAGGAAAAGCCAAAACACATTATTACTCCAAATCTTTGCAGCCTTTTCACTTAGATGTAGGCTGAGCGATCTGATTTCTGTAGGTACTCATTTCTTCTGCCATTACACAACATTGTTCCCTGTCTTTCCATCCACCGATATCTAGATGTCACTTGGTAAAAAGGGGCCTCTTAAACAAAGATTAGATTTGATGGAAATTTCAACATATCTTGAGTCTTGGAAATTTCCTTTGTTAAAATATGTCTTACCATCACCTTTTCTACATACCTGATTTATTATCATATCAATGATTACTGAAGGCATACAGAGGAGGCCACAACTCAGTGAAAGACCTGTCTTCTAATCCCAGAAGTCTGATTATTGTTTATAGTCAGTTTCCCTCAGATACCTGAGAGAGAAGTCAAAACCTCTCTGCTTGTAGTCCTGCAGGTCAGAATGTGTTGGAATACCTTTCTGTTACTGATATCCAGTCTACTGAAAAGACAGATTGGGCAGAGACTTCCCAGAGGTAACCCATCACATGTATTAGCATCCTATTTTAATTATTTTTTATTACCCAGTTGGGTCACCACATCAACAGAAACAGTCCAGTAATCTGGACATTTTCCTTTGTCTTAGAGAAAACATTTTTCTAAACTTTATTTTATTTATTTATTTATGTATTTGTTTTTGAGATGGAGTCTCACTCTGTTGCCCAGGCTGGAGTGCAATGGTGCGATCTCAGCTCACTGCAACCTCCGCCTCCCGGGTTCATGCGATTCTCCTGCCTCAGCCTCCCGAGTAGCTGGGATTACAGGCGTGCGCCACCAGGCCCAGCTAATTTTTGTATTTTTAGTAGCGATGGGGTTTCACCATGTTGGTCAGGCTGGTCTCGAACTCCTGACCTCGTGATCCGCCCACCTCGGCCTCCCAAAGTGCTGGGATTACAGGCATGAGCCACTGCACCTAGCCGAGAAAACATTTTTCAACTTCTGGTGGTATTCCTCCAAGATTGCACTCTTAAACATGGTAATTAAAAAATAAATACATATAATCTATGTATGATGACAGTAATTAAAATTTGATCGATTATTTCATTTTTTGGTGTTGCCTAGTCCAGTCTTAACTCTCAAGAAAAGTTAACCAATGCATGTTGTTATGACTCCATGAAGGTTATTTCAAGTTTTCAGTTGGATTTAATTTGGTGACCAACTTCCAGCCCTGCTTACTTAAGTGCTTTCTCTTATTTCATGAAGTTAGTTATTAATGCAGAGAAAACATCATTGAGTCCTGAATATGGTGCATTTATAGACCTTGCCAACTTGCTTGACAACAGCCACCATGCCTGGAATAATTAGGACCATCAACCTCTGTACCATTGCCCATAAATCTCGTCAACCTTTGCATAAACTCCACTTCAGTACCCTTCTTTGTCATAGTCATAAGAATGTAAGAATGACAATCACTTCATTTATTCATTTCTACATTATGCCTACATTCTAGCTTACCAGCCAAGACATATTCTTCCTGTTGAGCGAAAAATGGTCATCTACTATTTTACTAATGAAATGCATTTCTTTTTAGCCATTAAAATATTACAATAAATATAAATATATTAATGAATACAGATATTTTACAAGGCATATTTCCAACCTGCAAAGATAGAGCTAAAGGTGCAGCTATAAAAATACCTCAATACATTCTTACAATTTTATAAGATTAATATTTCTCCTGATAAGTCTTAACAATTAACATTATGTTGAAAGAGATGCAGTATAAAAGTCCCACTGAAAACATTAAATGTTGTTCATGTGTAAATGTGTTTGATTTTACTCTTGAAAACCAATTACAAATACGTAGACATACATATATAAAGAGGCAGAACTTACAATAACTTAATTCCATAATACATAATAAGATACAACTAAGACTAATAATTTTGTTCATAAATATTTCTCATATTTATGGCTGCCTTTTTTATTATATTACAAGCAAACTAGCCTCCCTTGCATTATATTGAAAAATAAAACAACTCTGCAAAGAAAACAAAGCAAAAATTTCCCATAATTGGAAACAATTATTCTTTAAATTACTCTATAAAAGTAAATAAATGTTACATACCTGCTAAACTGATATTCACAAATAACTCTGAATTGCAAACCTAAAAATATCATGACACAAAATTTCTATGTATGATTTTTTATTATTTGTTATTTAATGAATGGTAAAATTATTTTATTATTTTTTATTCCATATATTCCTGATATAGCTATAGAAACACATACATTATACTCATAACCAACAAATCTTAATAAAATAATGTATTTGTATTTATATTATAGTTTCCTGAATTTAAAAAAAAGCAGGGGATTAATAAGCCACTTTCTTATTTCCCAAACATCCGTTTTCCACAGATTGACTCAACAGGAGCATGATATAGCATATATTTTATTTTCTTCTGTCATTGGATAGGCAAGAAAATTACTGTGAAATTATCGTAGTTTCCTGTCTTCTTCTCACATAGGCCAGAGCTCATCTGCAGGTCTCTGACCTCACTGGGAACTCCTGGTACAGAGCATAGAGAAATGCCTCTGGCCCCGATAGAGAGTTCGACCCTGGCAAAATCCCTGCCTCAGCCAACTGAGCTTGCAGACCTGTGGGTTACTGGGCACAGATTGCCTGTCTTGAGCTGCATTATCCCCTACACTCCTTCTGCTTAATGTCTCTGGAAGTCCTGATCCTTTGGGTCATGCCTGACATAGGACCTTAAATCCTGTAACTGAAATATGCAGTGAAACTTTCTGGGTATATACAGCTGAAAGCAAAATAAATAACATTTAAAATAACCAGAAAATAATATTGACCTTCTTTTTTGATTGACACAAGATAAATGCCCAATTGTCATGACGAGTAAAATATGTATTTAACTTCAGAAATAGTATATCTTTCTTATCTATATAGTTTGATAATTTTGATCATTAGGTCTATCTCTGTTCCTTTCTATATAACACTCTAGAGTCATTTTTTTCTTAATGTACAATCAAGAGGGAAAGCTTTACGATCCAAGTAGCAATAGTAGGCATTGTCTTAACATCTTTAGTCATGTTTGGTTACATTTATTGTCCAAAAGAATAGGATGCAATGTGTAATTAGTGACAAGGAAATGTGGCAACTTTATATTACGGCATTCTTCTCACAGGCATTTAATAGTTGTTAAAAAGTCTCCAAAGCGATGGGTCTCCAATGTAATTAGTTCTTAAGTTTAAGAAAAATAAACTTCATAATTTACGTCTCAAAACTGTAATTTAGAATAAGAATGATGTTAATGAGTATGCACATAATTGGAATAAGTTTGATTTTGTAGTGAAGCACGTGGAAAGAAGAATCTGGACAATCACTGGAGGGAAAACAACATTTCTGGAGAGAAATAGGTAGACAGCATTTGAAAAAGCACACGTCTAAACAACAGTGAATTGAAATCATGCTGTGTATTTTTATAATCTAGTTTTATATTGAGTATTAAAAGTAATATAGAAAGTTATTCTGACACATAATTTTACTGTTTCTTATGGAAGATAAGAATCTTGTTTATCAAGGAATACGTCAAGTAAGACCAATCACTATCCAAAATGAACTGCAAAATCACAATCTAAATTCAGGGCTATGGACAAAACTCAATACCTCAGTATTTAAAACAATTTTACTCCCAACTTGTCCAGCAAGTCTTAGAAAACAATAAAAATAACTGAATTTTTCTCCTTATGAAATCCCTGAAGACATTAGATTCATAAGTCAATTATTTCCTATGCACCAGAACATTTTGTTTCTGCCATTGGAGACACTAATGTGGTGCGAAAGGGAACTGAATTATTAAATTACAAGTGCAAATTAATCAAAGTTTTCAGGACCTTTTTCACTACACCGATTTTTTTATGCCTCCTCATTTTAGCTCTCTGACCTCATCTTTAACTGAACACACACACACATGCGCATGCATGCCCACAGTATTCCCCCCTTCCAACAAACCATTTATTGGATTGGAAAGTAACACTGGATTACTTACTTTCCAGAATCATAGCACATTGTTCTTTGGTATTCTGTTTTCAGTGTATTCAGTTATGGTTATTGTTTTCCGTGTCAGAACAACCAAATAAAATATATTGATTCAGAAGAATTGAAAGAGTTTAAAGTCAAAGTGTAAACATTTGAATTATTAAATGCACCATTATCGTTTTAAATCTGCATAAAAATCTGATTCTAAAAAATTAAAATAAAGGATTTATTTTTATGAGTAATGACAATAATACAGACAAAGGCAATTTGTACTGGGAGAGAGGGGGGAGATGAGATTTGTGCCCCTGAAGTTTCATCTCTGATATTGTTAATACTTCTTTTTTGTTTTCCGAGATGGAGTCTTGCCCTGTCACCCAGGATGGAGTACAGTGGCACAATCTTGGCTCACTGCAACCTCCACCTTCAGGGTTCAAGTAACTCTCCTGCCTCAGCCTCCTGAGTAGCTGGGATTACAGGCGCCTGCCACCACACCCAACTAATTTTTGTATTTTTAGTAGAGACGGGGTTTCACCATGTTGGCCAGGCTGGTCTCGAACTCCTGATCTTGTGATCCGCCAGCCTCGGCCTCCCAAAGTGCTGGCATTACAGGCGTGAGCCACCACATCCAGCCAATCTTTTTAATAACATTAACTAAAAAAGATATTTTAAAAGACAGCTTTAACTGTAAGTGCTAGCATATTGGGTCAGCAGAAGCATAATTTTCATGAAGGTAAAGAACTCTAAGGCGATGGCTATCAGGACTATGAAAGCCCAAAAATCTCTTTATACCTATTAAAGCATTACTTGTCTAACCTCAGTTCTAAGTTGTGCATAGAAGATAGAAACTCATTCCCATTCTAATTCAAATAATGAGTTTTCTCTTGCAATGGCATGTTTGAAAAGGGACAAATAAAAGACACTGTTCTTGAAAACTAAACAGCATTGTGGGAAGTATGTATGTTTAGCATTTGTTATAGTTATTGTCCAAAAGAATAGAATCCAATGTTTATCTTATGGCATTTTTCACACAGGCATTTAGTAGCTGTTAAAAGTCTCCAATGCAATAGCTACTTGTGCTACCAACACTGGTTATGCAAATCATTTTGTTTTTTATTCATGGATGATGATATGGTTCGGCTCCAGGTCCATACTTAAATCTCATCTCAAATTGTAATCCCCACACGTCCATGGGAGGGACCCAGTGGGAGGCGACTGGATCATGGGGGCAGTTTCCCCCATGCTGTCCTCGTGATAGTGAGGGATTTCTCATGAAATTTGGTGGTTCAAAAGTGGCAGTTTCCTCTGCACGTTCTCTCTCCTTCCACCAGGTAAGAAGTGCATTGCTTCCCTTTTGCCTTTCACCATGAATGCAAGACTCCTGAGGCCTCCCCAGCCATGGAGAACTGTGAGTCAATTAAACCTATTTTCTTTATAATTACCCAGTCTCAAGTAGTTCTTTATAGCAATGTGAAAATAGACTAATACAAAGAATTGTTACCAGCAGAGTGGGGTACTGCTATAAAGATGACCTGAAAATGTAGAAGCAACTTTGGAACTGGATAACAGAAAAAGGTTGGAACAATTTGTAGGGCTCAGAAGAAGACAGGAAGATGTGGGAATGTTTGGAACTTCCTGGAGATTTGCTGAATGGTTTGACCAAAATGCTGATAGTGATATAGACAATGATGTCCAGGCTGAGGTGGTCTCAGATGGAGATAAGGAACTTATTGGGAACTGAGTAAAGGTCACTCATGCTGTGCTTTAGCAAAGAGACTGGTGGCATTTTGCCCCTTCCCTAGAGATCTGTGGAAATTTGAACTTGAGAGAGATGCCTTAGGGTATCTGGCAGAAGAAATTTCTAAGCAGCAAAGCATTCAAGATGTGAACTGGGTGATTCTGAAAGTGTTCAGTCATATGTAATCACAAAGACCTTATCTGAAAATGGAACTTTTATTTAAAAGGGAAACAGAGCATAAAAGTTTGGGAAATTTGCAGCCTGACCATGCAGTAGAAAAGAAACACCCATTTTCTGGGGGAAATTCAAGCCTGCTGCAGAAATTTGCATAAGCAACAAGGAGCCAAATGTTAATAGTCAAGACAATGGAGAAAATGTCCCTAGGGCATATCAGAAATCTTTGTGGCAGCCCCTTCTATCACAGGTCCAGAGGCCTAGGAGGGAAAAATGGTTTTGCGGGCTGCGACCTGGGCCCTGCTTCTCTGTGCAGCCTCAGGACTAGGTGCCCTGTGTTCTAGCTGCTCCAGTTCCAGTCATGGCTAAAAGAGGCAAAGGTACAGCTCAGACCACTGCTTCAGGGGGTGCAAGCCCCATGCCTTGGCAGCTTCCAAGTGGTATTGGGCCTATGGGTGCACAGAAGACAAATGTTCAGCTTTGGGAACCTCCACCTAGATTTCAGAGGATGTATGGAAACCTCTGGATGTCCGGGCAGAAGTCTGCTGCAGTGCTGGAGTTCTAGGGGAGAATCTCTACTAGGGCAGTGAAGAGAGGAAATGTGGGTGTTGAAGCCCCTACACAGGGTCCCCACTTGTACAATGCCTAGTAGAGCTGTGAGAAGAGGGCCACTGTCCTCCAGACCCCAGAATGGTAGATCCACTGACAGTTTGCACCATGCGCCTGAAAAAGCCTCAGGCACTCAACACCAGCTCATGAAAACAGCCACAGTCTGTACCCTGAAAAGCCATGGGGCTGAATGGCCCAAGGCCTTGGAAGCCCTCTCCTTACACCAGCATGTCCTGGATGTGAGACACAGAGTCAAAGGAGATTATTTTGAAACTTTAAAATTCAATGACTGCCCTGTTGGCTTTTGTACTTGCATGAGGACTGTTTTCCCTTTGTTTTGGCCAGTTTCTCACATTGGAATGGCAGCATTTACCCAATGCCTGTGCCACCATTGTATCTTGGAAGTATCTAACTTGTTTCTGATTTTATAGTCTCATAGGCAGAAGGGACTTGCCTTGTCTCAGATGAGACTTTGGACTTGGAGTTTTGGGTTAATACTGTAATGAGCTAAGACTCTGGAGGTGTGTTGGGAAGTCATGATTGGTTCTGAAATGTGAAAGAGACTGCTGTTCTTAAAATCAAAGAAAAATGATGACATTTTGATACTTAAATTTTAATGAATTTACTAAAGAGTATCTTGATTCATTTTTGATACTCTGTGTTTAAAATAAAATACTTGGTTTATTATAGAAACTCTACATTCCAATAAAACGTACAGACAATATACCCACAGTGGCCAAAAACTCAGTGGTTGGAAAGTAACCTCAAATATATTTAAAAATGTGAAATAAAAAAGAATTCAAAGTATTCTATGGAAGGGTTTTTTTTTTTTTTTTTTTTTTGAGATGGAGTTTCGCTCTTGTTGCCCAGGCTGCAGAGCAATGGCACAATCCCAGCTCACCACAACCTCCACCACCTGGGTTCAAGTGATTCTCTTTCCTCAGCCTCCCAAGTAGCTGGGGTTACCGGCATGCACCACCATGCCCGGCTAATTTTGTATTTTTTTTGTTGTTGTTAGAGACAGGGTTTCTCTATGTTGGTCAGGCTGGTCTCGAACACCCGCCCTCAGGTGATCCGCCCGCCTCAGCCTCCCAAAGTGCTGGGATTACGGGTGGAAGTGCTCTAATACTAACATTTGGCCAAACTGTTTTAAAATTCTTCTTCCATACTTACAAGAATCGAAATGCAAATTATGAAATAAATACTATATAAAAGTAATTATGCTCAACATTATATTTTTGTGTTATTTTATAAGGTAATGTAATAATTAGGTACACAAAGAACAACTTTTGGTGTGAAATTGCATTTAGTTCTGAGTGCATATATCTATTTGTGGCTTTTTTCTATTTTTAATAATGAATAGAGTGCTGCTGCAATTCTGCAAACAAATGTATCTTTTTTTCCTTTTCTTGAGACAGAGTCTCATTCTATACCTAGGCTGGAGTGCAGTGGTGTGATCACAGTTCGCTGGAGCCTCCACCTCCTAGGCTCAAGTGATCCTCTCACCTCACCCTCCTGAGCAGCTGGGACTTACAGGTGTGCGGCACCACTTCTGGGTAAATTTTGTATGTTTGGTAGAGGCAGGGTCTTGCCATGTTTCCCAGCCTGGTCTCAAGCTCCTGGACTCAAGCAGTTCACCCGCCTTGGCCTTCCATAGGCCCGGCTTACTAATGTAATTTAAAAGACTTTACAGAATAGTGTAATGATTCAAATTGAATATTCTAAATTAGATTTATGCTGCTAACAAAATGTTTTTTAAACGTAGGGCATTTATTCATATTTTCTTCTCTAAATAAGTTTCCTTATGTTCTATATTTATGTCAATGTCTCGATCTATATGTATTTATCTACAAATCTATTGATTTAGTTTTCATGTATGTTGTAGACTTTCATATTAACTATGGTAACACCATATAATGTTAAATCAGTACACTCATCTTTGAGGGACTATCATGTTATTCTCTCATACGCTCTTTCTCCTTATCTTTTTAATTTTGATATTTGACTGTTATATTTTCTTATGAGAGTTTAGCTATAAACATAAAAAAACTAAATTATTAATAATAGTATTATTAATAATTTATTTATTGGAGGGCTGACACTTCAATGACACAATTTGAATGAAAGAGAACAGTATCTTATCATCTGATTTCATTTTTTAAAGTGTTAAAAATATTTTAATTGTATTTAATTCGTTTGATATTTTTAATCCTGATGTTATATGCCATGTAACAGAGTATCAAGCGACAGGTTGTTAAGATATTTTTTCCCCTAGGACTGTAGTATGATCTCTCACTTTTTGAATGTATAAGCTTATGGAGACATATGTTACTTTATATTACTTCCCCCTGTGATTTACATTTTCTAATAGCAAGTTAATATGAGAAAGCCAATGAAGTAAAAAAATATAGCATTGAAATACACCTGTGTTATTACTGACAACTGGGTATTGGGATGATGCTCTCTGCCTTCTAATGCTGAATATTTCTCTTGATTATTAGTTTTCCTGTTTGCTTATTTGTTGTAACTTTTTCCTTACTGCTCAGGTCAAAGTTTAGGTATTAAGTTCATCATCTGAACTTTTGCTTGAAGACAGTTATATCTCCTGTGTAAAAGTGAGGTCTTAACTTGTACAGAGCACCATGTGTGATCCCATTTATTCATGCAGTTGGGGATCATCTAGCCCAGGCAGAACTATGTCTTGTCTGTGCCTTGGCTTGCTTGAGGGCTGCTACCCAATCACAGCCCTCTCCTAGCAATCTAAAGGTGAGAAGAGGACACACGTTTACAAAACAGTCTTTCAAAAAATAATGGGCTGTGGGGAGATTGATCCAATGTAGGCTTAGAACATCAGAATATTCCTCTCCCTAATACTGTGACCAAATTACATTCTAAACCTTGAGAAAGACTAATCCTAGCTTTACCTTTTGTAGGTTGAATGGGAGCAGGGTAGCACATTTTAGTTTCTAGAGATACCATCAAAACAGTGTCATATCAGAAATCAGCTGTGGCAGGCATGGTAACCTTTATTTAGTAATGAAAGGAGATAAGAGAGAAAGCATACAACCATGTCCTACTCCATTACATGATTAAATGTTTGAGAGTGGATTCTTTTCTTCTGATCACTTATCTGAGCAAGAGCTGGCATTATCTTCTAGGTATACTCATTGGGAACTGAGACAAGTTTTAATTCTATCAGATTATGTGTGTGTGTGTGCGTGTATGTGGCAATTAAAACATCTATTCAAATGATGATCATAATTTTCCTCCAAAGGACTAATGAAGTGAAATATCGATTTTGAGGAGACTTATTAGGATAATAAAATGCAATGACATTCTGAAGACTAAGGCTATAATTTAATTTTTTTCTATTGTTTTACCATAAAAACAAGGGTGAGAAACCTACGAGGCATTAGGACGTTTGAATATGTTGGAATTGGATCTTTGTTTTGATTGACATTGAACGACCAGACCCTTTCATTCAGTTCTGTGTGTCTGTTGTATTCTTATGTAAACTCATCATTTTTACTCTTTTTTTTATTTTATTTTATTTTTATTTTTGAGACAGAGTCTCGCTCTATCGCCCAGGCTGGAGTTCAGTGGCGCGATCTCGGCTCACCACAAGCTCCGCCTCCCGGGTTCACGCCATTCTCCTGCCTCAGCCTCCCGAGTACCTGGGACTACAGGCGCCCACCACCACGCCCAGCTAATTTTTTTTGTATTTTTAGTAGAGATGGGGTTTCACCGTGTTAGCCAGGATGGTCTCGATCTCCTGACCTCATGATCCGCCCGCCTCGGCCTCCCAAAGTGCAGGGATTACAGGCGTGAGCCACCGCGCCCGCCCATTTTCACTCTTTAAGAGATTGTATAAAAGTTTTCTTCTGACCTTTCTTCTAGTTTACTAGTTCTCTTTAGTTGTTCTTCTCTACTTTTAAACTTACCTATTTCTTGAGTTCCTAATTTTTGTCATTACAGCAATCATTCCCAGAATTTCCATTTTATTCCCTATGGCATCACATCTTCCATTTAAATTATTCTTGTCATTTCATTTCTTGAAAGTATTAATTGCTGTTAAAGTCCTTCAGTGTCTGACCTGCCTGTTAGTCTGTTTTCAGTGTTTCTTCTCCCGTCTCATTTCTCAGACCATCTACTTTTTTTTTGATGCCTGCTATTTTTTCCCCTGTGTTTTGGGCATTGTGATTTGATGCTCTGTAGGATGTTTCTATTTTTCAGAGATCATTTATTTTTGCATTGGGTTGGCTATTATGTAGTGACAGATCCCCCTAATCCAAGCAAAGATTGAGCAGATCTGTGGGGGCTAATTTATGTTTAGGTCCCCTTTACTTCTAGTATATATCCCTTGTTATTCCTAAATAATACCCTGGAGTTTGTACGGCTCCTGAATTCCAAATTTGTCCCTTTATTCCTTGGAGCCAGCCAAAAGCCTCAGGTGAAAAATGATATTAAATACTGAGCTCGTCTCCCTGTATGCCTCTCCTCTCTCAGACTTTGGCCTTTCAAAACTTTTGTGACTTGCAGCCTTACCAATACTTTTAAATAGGTGTGTGTGTGTGTTTACATGTGTGTTCATATGTGTGTGTTCATGCATGTGTACAAGGATATGTGTATGTTCTATCCACCTTCTCTTCTTCTTCTCTTTGGGAAGTTTAGCTGAAATTAAAATAGTCTGCAATTTTGAGAAGACATTCCTTGTTAGGAAGTAAGTTGTGGTATAGCAGTGTGCCTGGAATTGTGCATAAACCTAAGAGAACTGGCAGGCAATTAGTCACACAGCTATGACAAGTTCTACGCACATGCATAGAAATGCATCACTAGGCAATTTTGTTATGTGAACATTATAAAGTGTACTTACACAAACCTAAATCGTATGACCTACTGCACACCTAAACTATATGTTGTAGCCTATTACTCCTATGCCACAAACTGGTACAGCATGTAACTGTACTAAATACTGTAGGCAACTGTAACACAGTGATAAATAATTGTGTATTTAAACATATCTAAGTGTAGAAAAGGTACAGTAAAATTATAGTATAAAAGATAAAGAATGGTATACCTATATAAGGCATTTACCATGAATGGAGCTTGCACGACTGGAGATTGCTCTGTGTGAGTCAGTGAGAGAGAAGTGAGTGAATGAGAAGACCTAGGACGTCACCACACACTATTGTCGATTTTATAAACACTGAATATTCAGGCTACACTAAATTTATTAAAATTTCTTTTCTTTCTTCAATAATATATTTACCCTAGCTTATTGTAACATCTTTATTCTATGAACTTTTAAAATTTTTAACTTTTGGGCTTTTTGTAAGAAAATTTAGCTTAAAACACACACACATTGGGCAGTCATACAAGAATATTTCTTTCTTTATATTCTGATTTTATAAGACTTTTTTCCATTTTTAAAATTTTTTATCTTTATTTTTATAATTTTGAGCTTTTTTTGTCTGTCTGTTTGTTTTTTTTAAAAACTAAGACATAAACAGATTTGCCTAGACCTACATAGGGTCAGGAGAATCTGTATCACTGTCTTCCATTTGTACATCTTGTCCTGCTGGAAGGTCTTCTAGGTCAATAACACGCATGGAGCTGCCATCTGCTATGACAACAATGCTTTCCCCTGGAATACCTCCTGAAGGACCTGCCTGAGGTTGTTTTACAGTTAACTTTTTTTCTTCTTTTTTTGTAGAGACGGAGTCTTGTTCTGTTGCCCAGGCTGGAGTGCAGTGGCGTGATCTCAGCTCATTGTAACCTCTGCCTCCCCGGTTCAAGCAATTCTCCTGCCTCAGCCTCCCAAGTAGCTGGGACTACAGGTGCACACCGCCCCGCCTGGCTAATTTCTTTTGTATTTTAGTAGAGACGGGATTTCACTGTGTTGCCCAGGCTGGTCTCGAACTCCTGAGCTCAGGCAATTTGCCCGTCTCAGCCTCCCAAAGTGCTAGGATTACATGCATGAGCCACCACGCCCTGTCTTTTTTTGTCGTTGTTGTTAAGTAGAAGGAACACACTCTAAAATACTGATAAAAAGTATAACAAAGTAAATACATAAACCAGCAACATTGTCATTTATTATCATTTTCAAGTATTATTTACTGTGCCTAATTGTATGTGCTACACTTTTATATGAATGGAAGTGCAGTAGGTTTGTTTACATCAGCATTACCACAAGCCCATGAGTAATGAATGCTACAACATTATGATGTCACTAGGCGATAGGAAGTTTTCAGCTTCCTTAGAATTTACGGGACCACTCCCATTTTATATGCAGTCTGTTGTTGACTGAAACATAGCTATGCATCACACGGCTCTACATTTTACCTTTACTGTCCTCTACATTGTTTGCTTACCCAAGCCATGCTATTTTTTCATTTCATTATAGATGTGAGCAGAGACCGCGTTCTCCTTGTCATACAGAATGGGGCATTATATTTACATATTTCAGAGATAATGTATGTGAGAGAGAAAATATACTGTTTTCTCATCCATCTTGTGATTTCACAAAATTACTTTGTGTAAGATTACGTTAAATTGGGCGACAACCCTATTAGGTGTAAAATTAAAATACATTTCTATTTTATGTCTGTGACTAGGAAAACATTTGTGAAGATTTTAAGTTAAAGTTTGTCATTGGACCTCTTGTTTTTCTACTGTTAAAGATTAGGACTGTGGACCAGGCGCTGTGTCTCACGCCTGTAATCCCAGCACTTTTTGGGCGGCTGAGGCAGGCGGATCACGAGGTCAGGAGATAGAGACCATCCTGGCTAACATGGTGAAACTCCGTCTCTATTAAAAATACAAAAAATTAGCCGGGCGTGGTGGCGGGCGCCTGTAGTCCCAGCTACTCGGGAGGCTGAGGCAGGAGAATGGCTTGAACCCGGGAGGCGGAGCTTGCAGTGAGCCGAGATCGCGCCACTGCACTCCAGGCAGGGTGACACAGCGAGACTCCGTCTCAACAACAACAACAACAGAAAGATTAGGAGTGGTTAATTGGTCATAAATGAACATTGATTTACAAAAGGAAATAAACAGAGGAAGAAAGTAGAGAGCCTTATATTAGAAACAGCTTTGGCAGTGGGAGCAACAGCTGCAGTAAGGATTATTGGGTAATACACGACACAGGCAGCCTAAATTCCCAAGAGAGTTCTCACAACAGACTGTCTTTTGTTTCTGGAAGTGCCTGGAAATGCGCTGAGGGCAGGAGAAGAGAGAGGTAAACTATCCAGACACACAAGAGTGATGTTAGGTCAGAATCCCCGGCCATTTGTATTGCACAATTTCAGAAAATAAAACCTCACAGGTGTGGGCATACCAGGACACCCTGTCTGCTAAGAGTAAATAACTGCTCCTTCTTACCCCAGGGTCTCCACAGTTGACCGTCCTGGAGGAGAAGAGGTTAACTGCTCTAAGAGATGTGGCTGACCCTATCCTACAGGCTTGTCTGAAAACCTTTCCGGTGTATTGAGGACCTTATAAATCCCAAAGTATCCTTGGAACTTCTTTTGCAGTTTCCTGAATTGAGCAAGTTTGGATTTCTATGAGAATTGACATGCAATTACAAATGGATGAATTTATAAGGAAAATGCAAAGATAAAGAAGGAAAGCTACCTGCATAGTATATATTTATCTACACTGCATGTTAGTATAATCTGTGAATATTTCTGTATGTGACCCAATACTTACCATAAAATTAGAGAAGCAAATGAACAAATTAATGATTGTATTAATGCTAAAATATATAATTTTTCTATTTTGTCATTTAAACAATAAAACAGCTCATTCTGATTTATTTATCAATAATAAGTACCTGTGTGTATAGCTTATTATTACCAGTGGAGAGGTGGCTTATAATAAAATTATAACAATTTATAAAGCTATAGTTAACTATGTAGAAAAGAATGGTTTAAGCTCAATAAAAATCCAGTTTAATTACTGCCTCAGCATTGTAATAGTAAGCAACAAATGCACTCTAGTGGGTGCATATAGCAATTTAAAAAGCTATTCAATCTATATAAAACCAGGTTTTTCGTTTGTCTTGTTTTAAATATTTACAAGTATTATTAAAACACATTAGAAACTTTATTCTTAGAGCAATATCCTTGTATGGCTCTTCATTCATATTCATCCATACCTTATAGAATCAACAATTCTATTTTTCCTAAATCATTTCATAGGCAAAACAAACTGGCTTGTCTATTCAAATAAAACAAGGATAAACAAGAAAGGGAGAAGGGTAGAAGGAATATATTGCAACTGATACAGAAATGAGCTTAAGTTTTAAGCCTGGACTCTCTTTAAATTCATGGTCATTGTATTAGTTTGTTTTCACACTGCTGATAAAGACATACCTGAGACTAAGTAATTTATAAAGAAAAAGAGGTTTAATGGACTCACAGTTCCATGTGACTGGGAAGCCTCACAATCATAGTGGAGGCCAAAAGGCATGTCTACATAGGGGCAGGTAAGAGAGAATGAGAGCCAAGAGAAAAGGGAAACTCTTTATAAAACCATCAGATCTCGTGAGACTTACTCACTACTATGAAAACAGTATGGGGGGAACCCATAATTCAATTATCTCCCACTGGGTCCCTCCCACAACACTTGGGAATCATGCGAGCTACAATTCAAGATGAAATTTAGGTGGGGACACAGCCAAACCATATCAATCACTAACCTCAAGAGTACCCTTCATTCTACTTAGCAAATGTGCCTCTTTTTTTTCCACATTCCCATATTCTTTGGAAATTTCATACTTCGTCTTTTTCATAAACCTTCAGCATCTTTCCCCAACATCTTTGCATTTAACTTTCTGTCATTTCCTCTTCTCCATGTAAAATGAAGTTCTTAGAAAATAGATTTCATAAACTCTCATCATCACAACTCTTGACTACTCCACATTTCCCAGCACTTGCATCTATGTATTCTACCTGCCTCCCTAAAATTTCTTATAGACCTATGCTTCCCAATACAATAGCTGCTGTCCACATGCGGCTGTGGAGCATAGGAAGTGAATGAGGCTAGTTCAAAGTGAGACGTGCTGTCAGGTAAAACTCACATTAGATTCACAGAGAGTATAAAAATTAAATGTAAAATATCTCATTCAATTTGTTATATTAAGAAGCTATCCTTCAAAAATGAAGCAGAAATAAAATCTTTCCCACACAAATAGAAACCAAGGTAATTCATCACCACTAGATCAGCCCTACAAGAAATGCTTAAGGGAGTCCTACATCTGGCAGCAAAAGGACAATATCTATCTTCATAAAACACGGACAAATAGAAAACTCACTGGCACAGAAGAAACAAAAGAATAACATTTTGGATATATTGGGTTAAATCACATATTAGAGTGAATTCCACATGCTTCTTTTACCTTTTTTTTTTTTTTAGTGCAGCTGTTAGAAAATTTAAAATGACCTACGCTGTTCATATTATAATTCTATTAGGCAACATTTCTATTAGAACTCTCCAAACTTCCATCTTAAGCCAATCTCTCCAATTTCGTAGATTTTTTAAAAGCAGACTTTAGTTAGGAACATTGTTCTAGCACATTTCCTATCTCCTACATTGCCAGTTTGTTTTCTCTCCCACATCTTTTCCGATTGTATGTAGATATGATGTTATTCTCCAGGTTTTAAAAAGACATTCACGTAATTCTTCTTCCCAATGAGTATCCCATTTCTCCAGTTTCCTTTTTAGTAAAACTTTTCAAGAGTGTCCCAAATTCTTAGTGTTTGCATTCTCCTTTTCTCATTCTTTCTTAAACTTACTTTTATTTGGCTTTTGCCCTCTCCTTGTCATCCTCTGCTTCTCAACAACAAAAAACCTCAATGACAACAAGCTGTTTTTCTTATGGTCACTATTGACTCTCATATGGTGTAAATTTAGTGGTCAATTTTAGGCAGTCATCTTTCTGGACCTACCATCAGTTTTGGCAGAGGTATCTCTCCTTCTTGACATCGTTCCTTATTGAGCTTCCAAAACACCACATACTCTTGGCTTCCCTTCAACGTTCTGCTGTTACTCCTTCTCAGTCTCTGTTTCTGGAATATTCTTTTCCCCCTGAGCACTTATGTTTTACATATTCTCTTTTAGTCTTTTCTTTATGCATATTTCTTGGTGATCTCATAAAACCCCAAGAATTCTCAACTTTTATCTTCTGCCAGACCTCTGCAAGAACTCCAGACTAATATATACAAATGCCTGTTAAATATCTCTTTTTATGTTTCTAATTTGCCAATCAAACTTAGCCCTTCTAAAACTGATATTCTGACCTCCCTGACTCCAAAACTGCTCCAGTGGCAGTTTCTTCGTCATCTCAGCTGATAAAAACTCTTTTCCTATTGCTGAGACTAAAAATCTCTGTGGAGTCAATTTTAAGCCTCTGGGTCTCCTCTTACTGATCATATTCTATTGGGCACCAAAACTTGTCTTTCATTTCGAAACTCAATACAAATTCCAGCCATTTCCCATCACCACCATTTCTACCACTGGGAATGTACCTCACTGGCCCCAATTCTTACACAGCTCTTTAACTGTGCTCTCTGGTTCTACGCTTGCTCACTGTATCGTGTTCGTAGCATAGAAAGTGGAGTGATCCTTTTAGGACACAAATTAGATCATGCCTAACTTCTACTTAAAGCCCTGCAATGGTTCTCCATCACACCATAATAAAAGCCCAAGTGTTTGCAATGGTGTGGCTGTGAAACCCACATCATCTCTTTTCCTCCAGCACTCTCCTGCCGTTTTCTTTTACTCATTTTATACTAACCTTTCTTTGTTCTAAGTTGGCTGAAGCTACACTGGTTTCCTCTTTGTTCTTGGAAAAAAAAAAGTTCACGCTTTAAAAGTAGGCACTGGTCGTTTGCTCTCCCTGAAAAGTTTCTCCTCTGGATGTAACATAAGAATAACGTTGTTACCTACTACTAGTCTTTGTTCAAGTGTCAACTTCCTGATAAGTACCCTGAGACAATTAATCAGAATCCCTTTGCCATTCCCATGTCTTTGTCCCATCCCATTGTAATAAACTATTCTTTAGTTAAAATATGGAAAACTTGATCTTTCAAAATTCAAATATGTGCATTAAAACATTTAGATTAATCATTCGCCCACTCCCCACTTTTCTGTGATGAGTAACAAGATTTCCTCTTTGCTTGACTGCCAACTTTCTCCAAGGAATCTAGAATAAATAATGAATATTTTCAGTCATAATGTTTATTTGAACTTCTCAGGGAAAAACCTGAGGTATGGGAGAAAAGGGGAAAGAAAAATTGCGTATTTAATTAACAATGGCATGTGAAGAGAGAATGAAGACTGATTACACTGTAGAAAGCCTTCTATTGGATTTTGTACTTTTTTCTGTTGCCTGAAATGCCAGAAGCAAAATCTGTATCTTCCTGGTGGATGCTGCACTAAATACTGAGGTGCAGACACTTGTGGACACAGAGGCTCAGGCCAAAATCACAGAGGATTTTATTTCCTTGTTACTTAAAAAAAAAAAAAAAAAAAAAGAATGTTTTTGAATACACAGTATCCCTAATAGTACAGGCTATTGTTTTTTCTTTAACTAACTATTATTATTACTATTATTATTACTATTTGGAGACAGTGTCTAGCTTTGTTGCCCAGGCTGGAGAGCAGTGGCACAGTCAGAGCTCACTGCAGCATCAGACTCCTGAGCTCAAGTGATTCTCCCATCTTAGCCTCCAGAATAACTGAGACTTACAGGTGTACCCACTGTGCCTGGACTGATGGTTTTTATAGAGTCAATTTTATTCTCATTAGGTTAAGGAAGTCACTAAAAGAAAATATTTTAAAAATACAAATGAGAAGAGAAGAGACTGAATCAGGAAGCATTATTCATTTTGTCTGTGATTAGCAGAAGTAACCTTTGGAGTATGTTGTGTTTCCTTAGTGAAACACAATTATTTCACCTATAAATAACACTCATAACTTGACTTTTTACCCCCTTTTTGTCCCATTGATTCTTATCTTCTGTTGCTCATATTGTTGGTTTGTGGTTTGTTTCTTTTGGTAATGTTTGATCTCTTTTCAAGTCTATAGTAAAAGTGAATTAAGTATCATTCAGAGATTTTCTTGAATCAAGGACAAGGTAAGAGTAATTTTTATATAACTTCATTAAATTAAGTGCACTAGAAGTACTGGGATCTTTAGGGAACTATAATGTTTGACCAGATCAAAGACTATACCAAAGGCATGCTCTTAAAATTGTCTAAATCTAAACACAGTGGGCTGGCTTTTTATGGAATTATTAACTATTTTAAAAAGTTGGCTATGCTAGCTCTTCCTATACTAGAATAATTTTTAAAAACCACAAAATGGTAGACCTAGTTTATTCTATATAATTTGATCATTTCTGCTGGTTATCTGAACTTTTTCAGATAAGGCTTCTACCATCTCCAATCTCATAGGTACATTCTGCATATACTTAGTATTTTTTCTAATCATTTTATGGACCAATGTGAATATATAAAATAGGATTTCAGATACACGGTGGCCATTGTACATCTTTCTTTGATTGCTAAGTGGAATAGGGCTCTCTCAAAATAATTTACATTGCTGTGTTTATTCCAGGAATAGCTTCAGCAGTTTTGGCGTGGATTGTCTTTAAATCTATATCACAATGTTGCTGCTACAGATAATCATAATTGAAATTAATTGTGGCCTGAAAACTATTTCTATTAAAATAATAGTCTACATCAGCAATTTCTTTGATGCATAAAACCAATAATAATTTATGTAACTACATTTATTTCAGTCTAAATGGAGATGTTTATTATTAGGCTGAACAAGGGGATATATTTGCCTGTATCATCTCACTTTTTTAGAATGAAATAAGTGGTTCTAGAAACTTTCCCTACATGGTCAAAAATGTATCAAAAATTGATATTTATCATTTTGCACTTTTATAATAATGGTTCAACTACGAAGATGCAGCTATATTGTGACCAGCAGTGAAGAGTTTTTAAAAAGATAAGATTAAAAATTTGTATACATAGGAAAGATTCATAGCAGTGCCTGCTTTTAAAGCTCTCAGGATGGCATCAAGTATCATTAATATCCCTGACAGTATTTCTTTATATATGTCATGGACAAGTATAGATTTTGATAAGCAGTCACCTTCTGGATCAATATTTTATAAGAAATTAAATACCTTTAATGATAGAAAACTACTCTGGACAGTTTCATCTTTTTGTAATGAAGTTTTTAAATTATAAAAGTAATAATTTATTGTAATTAGAAATTACAGAGTGCTAAGAAATTTAATATTTGCTAATTTCATTATTCATATTTTTCACTTTTTTGTGACAATGCAGTGCACTGCAATTTGGCATTTTATGTCAGTATATATTATGGGAGGGTTTACACATTTTTATAACATTGAGATCTTATCTTTGGAAATTTTGAGTCCAGGTTTTGTCTTGTTTACTAAATCCTTTCTGATACTGAAATCACTAGGACCGTTTTCTATTTTTTTCTAACACTTTTAAGTTTATTCTCCTAAATTGAACCCTTTAATTATTCTGGAGTATATTTCTGCACAATGCACAATACGGATTTTCTGAAATATATGCCATCTAATTTATATTTTCCAATATTATATTGTAAACATTTTCAAATTTTAAAAAAAGAATGAATTTACATACCCTCAGGGTTCTATAATTAAGATTTTATTATATTGTTTTGTCAGACACTTTTAATTTATTGATCTTTCGTCCATTAACACATTTCCTTTTTGAATAAATTTCAATGTATATTGAAGATATCAATACATTTCCCCTTGAATACTTTGCATATTATTAACTTGAATCTGCAACACGACTATAGACTATAGTTTTTATGTAAAAATTGCATACAATGAAATAAATAAATATTACATGTATTAAATGTATGTATTAATCCTAGTCCCGACTCACAGACACATCTTTAGGTCTAGTTATGTTGTTTGCTTTATCTATTGAAAACAGGTTGTTTTCTTCTTGGCTCTTTGTGTATCTCATGTTTGGTTGAAAGCCAGAAACTATTTGTAGAAGAATGCTAGGAACCAAGGTAAATGAAAATTACACAGAGAAATGGGCACACATTTTCATCTGTCAAGCAGTCAGCGTAAGGAATTCTGTCTTGTCATGAGTTGAACTAGGTTTGTGTTTTGTTTTTATCATTTTCAGTGCTCCACAGACATCAAATTCCCAGTGTTTTCTTTTTTTGTTTTTGTTTTTTGTTTTGTTTTGTTTTTCTTTGTGACCGAGTCTCGCTCTGTCACCCAGGCTGGAGTGCAGTGGTGTGATCTTGGCTCACTGCAAAGCTCCGCCTCCCGGGTTCACACCATTCTCCTGCATCAGCCTCCTGAGTAGCTGGGACTACAGGTGCCCACCACCACGCCTGGCTAATTTTTTTTGTATTTTTTATTAGAGACAGGGTTTCACCGTGTTAGCCAGGATGGTCTCCATCTCCTGACCTTGTGATCCACCTGCCTCGGCCTCCCAAAGTGCTGGGATTACAGGCATGAGCCACTGCGCCCAGCCCCCAGTGTGGTTTTAATTAAAGATGGGCTGCTCTTGCCTTGGGCTTAGAGTGATGCTTAGATCTTTCTTCTGAGTTCCTGCTTTGTCCCTAATTTTGTTCAGTCCCTGGACACTTGGTGCAAAAGTAGGGATCTTATCTTTACTCTTGATCCTTCCCCAGCAGCAAGCTTCTCTTGCTTCTTTCTCTGGGTTAGGCTGCTGAGTGGTGGTGGTGGGGATCCAATTCTACTGTTTGGACCACTAAAACTCTGCACCTGGGATTTAAAACTAGGCTTTCTCAGCAACCCCTACTCCCCAGCAGCAAACCTTTGTTCTGCATTAGCTCAGAATGTTTTGGCAGATAAAGTTTTGTATCTTTTGCTGCCAGGCAAAGCACTTTTGTTTCTACTTTCCACCAGGACAAATGGATCTTATCTCAATGGTTATATTTGAAAATAAAGGTATGAATTTTACATTACTAAAGAGAATTAAAACTAAATTTAACAGAAATTATTGCAATATTTATATTTAAGTTTCTTGAGGACACACTTAAATATTACATTTGTAATTTGCCATGTTGACTTTTAATTTATAAGAACTATATCATTGGATTAAAGATAGTTTGAAATGCTCTGCATTCAAATTCTAGTAATTCCTTATGTATATATTTCTTTCTTCTGGATCAAATATTCTTGTACAAATTTTAATTTTTAAGTAGAAAAAAATATTTGGAGTTATGACTTACCTTCCCACACGAAACTTTTAGGTGGTTATGATGATACAAAATTTACCAGGTCTTCTACCTGTGCATTGCTTTTATTTTTCTTTGGATAAGAAAAAATAATGCTCACTCTATCTTACTGGCTCATCTATCTAGAATATATGTACACAAACACACAGACACTTGTATTTTCTTCCAGAAACCAAATTCTAGAAATTTTTGAAACTATAATTTTCTTCTTCGTGCACTTTTTTTTTGCCATAAACACGTGGATAAGTTGTGGACATTAGTAACAAATCAGGTATGTCATGGCATTATGAAGTTTAAAAGTATCTGTATGAAATAAACTCTGTACCTCATTGACTCAATTCAGATATTTCTTCGTTAATTAACTGAAAAGCTCTACCCAAATCATACAGCCATAAAGCCTCTCTTTTCATCTTTCACCATCATGAAATACTAAATTTCCTTCTCTACTACCAGAAATCCAGTGTTTATTAGTAATAAAGCTAAGACTCAGAAGCTAAGGTATTTTTCCAGCAAACCTTAGGGACCCTTTCTCTAGTATTCCAGATGCACATTACAAACAGTAGGAAAGGTAGGAAGTCTTTCTAAAAAATTTTCCATGTGGGATCTTGAAGACAGAATTATTTACTGCCCAGGCTTTAGTTCATTGTTTCATCATTCTTTTTTTGAATAACATTTCATACCTTATGCTTTTTCTTGTTTTATTTTTGTTATGTGCTCAGAATGGCAAACCTGAGGTCAGAAGCAGTCTATAGCTTGACAGAGGATGTTTTGGTCAGAAGCAGGCTCCAGTGTGACAGTGGGTGTCTCTGGTAGCTGAAAGACAAGACATTAATTAATACCTGACAAGGTTTGCAGGCAGTTGGGAAACCCTCCTGATGAAGAGCTTCTTGTTCTGCTTCAAGCAGCCACCATGTACATGGCCAATCTTGTGTGTGGAAAAGGCTCTCAAGACTGTTAGTCACCATGTGCCCACTACATAACAGGAAGAGAGAGCTTGATTTTAAGCAGTGTTAGGATGCTAGACTAAAAGCCAGTCTGCTAGATTTCCATACGTGCACTTAGTCAAGTTCCAGCCCTTTCTAGAAGATTGGCTGCTAAGATTACTGCCTTACCCTTGTGGAACAGTCTCAGGCTAGGAACAGCAAGGATAAGTCCTCAGATGTTATGGGACATTTTCCTAATTCAATTGGCATGCCCTAAGGAATTCCATAACATAAAAACAACCTATCTCAAAGAAGTTCAAAGCTTTGAGAATTTGAACCCACCAACATGTAATGTTATTTAAAAAATTTTAAATATTAGAAGCAATAAAGTTTTCACATATGAGATCATCTAAAATCTCAGTAAAACCAGGCTGTTTCCTTACTCTTGAACACCTTACCCACTGTTCTAAGATTTTAATTAGTAACAATATCGTTGGTTATTCTAATGACATTTATAAATGGTTAAAATAAACTAATATCAGTCATGAATACTTAAAACAGAACAAAACAGACAACACTGTCAAGTTTTATAAAATATTAATTACCTGCAAAGCTGTTATTAATGCTACTAGTGTCAAACAAATACAATTTGGAGGAAAAAAGTAATACATGTCACTTTATTACCAGAATCCTCACTGCTTCCTTAAAAAAGAAACATTATATTCTATGTTCAGGCTCTTGAAATAAATACACCAAAAGTCATAGATATATTGTTATTTTATGGATATTAATTTTAATGTAGATGATATTATAAATTTATTTCCTATTATACATAGCTGATGAGTAACTTTATTGGTTATTTAAAATACAAGTTGTCTCATTTATTTACACAGCAGCTAGAAGTTTCACTATTTAAACTCCCAGCTTAATTTTTAGGTATGGTTGCAGTCATAAAAATAAGTAAATTTTATACATACCATACACAAGATTAGGTTTACATTTTCTGTTTGCACAGTTACCTAAGCCTTTTTATTTTTAGAATGTGTCACAACTACATCAAGGAGATGCTTCCAGATCAAAAACCCTGAAAATAAAAACTTTGCCTTTTCTGGTTTAATGTAAGAGCCAGGTATTAACTTTAGATGTAAACAATCCACTACTGAAAGTTACTTAAGTACACTAGCCAGACAACAACATCACCATCTAGGTGATAAGTTGATATCACCAATGAAAATTTGGCTGTTATAATTCTCAACACAACATTATCAGATAAAGCTACACAAAATCTGAGCTGGATACAAATCCCTCCCTTCTTGAGAAGCTGAGATTTGAAAGTTGTTTTCATGACTACATCACAGATAATTGACTAATTGCATTCTACAGTCAAAACATGCTGACTTGAAAGTATACTAACAAAAAAAGTTCAACAAGTTTTCCAAGCTAACGTAGATTCAAAATTGATTTAACTCTTTTGTTAATTGGTCACATTTTATTTTGTTAATATATTTGTCTTCCAATGGTATATTTTTAAAGCTAAATTAGTACTTTCGGTAATATTCAAAACCTAAGCCCAAACTACATTTAATGAGAAGATATTTTTAATTTCAAATGTTACAATGCGTTTCTACTTACAATAGTTTATTTAAATTGCGTCTTTAGACTAGTGGTGTTATCAATAGTATCTCTCTACTTTTGCTCTAAGGTATTGGTTCCAATGGAGAGGAACAATGCAAAATAATCATTCATATTCTGACTTGGATCAAGAATAGTTTTTGTCTTTAATGTCATCAAATAGAAACTTTATTACCTTTCCTTTTCTTATTAAATAGTTCTTTAAAAGAAATTTCCACCGACTAGTTAAACATATTTATATTTATGTACTGGTTAATTACTGCTTATCTGAAATGCATAGATCAAAAGTGTTTCTGATTTCAGATTTTTTTTATTTTTGGAATACTTGCAACATGCATAATGAGATATGTTGGAAATGGAACTAAAGATGAAACAAAATTCATGCATGCTTCATATACACCTCATACCCATAGACTGAAGGAAATTTTGTGCAATATTATACATTATAGAGTGTACTTACACAAACCTGGATAGTATAGCCTACTACAAACCCAGGCTATGTGATGTAATCTATTGCCCCTACACTACAGACCTGTATAATATGTTACTGTACTGAATAGTGTAGGCAGTTGTAACATAATGGTATTTATGTATCTAAACATTTAAACATATAAAAAAGATACAGTAAAAATAAGATACTATAATGTGGGAACACTGTCATATATGAAGCCTGTCATTAACTAAAGCACTATGTGGTATGTGTATTCCTTTGTGATTTGTATTTTCCCACTAACAAGTATTAGGTTTTCAACATCGCTTTTAGTTCTTTGAAATGTCAGCTAAATTTATCTAGGCGTCACTTTATTTTATTTTGTTATTTTTATATGTCCCTTTAGGGATTCATTGTACTTTCAAAATATATAGTTTCTAAACTGTCTAGCTCTAGAAAATTCTCAGGTATTTTTAAGTTTAACCTCTTAAACTCGCTTCCATTTTTTCCATTCCTTCTACTCTCAGTAATGTTTTCTGAATAACTAACTGGTGTTTTTTTTTTTCTTTAGTAATTTTCTTTTCAGCTTTTAAAATATACTTTGTCTCATCCATGAATTGAAAAATTTTAGGTTTTATAATTTACCCTTCTATACTTTTATAAAGTTTCATTTATTCAAATATGTTTATTAGTGTTTATAGTATCTACTTCCGTACTTATACTTTCAGTTTCATCTTATTTTCTTAATGTTCTTACAGATATTTATTTATTTTATATTACATAATTAATAATATCAATGTCTTTATTTTTCTAATTGTTCTGCTTACTTTTGTTTGGATTTTTGTTAATGGGCTTTATTATTTCATGTGTCTTGTAATTTTATGTTTTGGGTATGTTCATTTGAGATTCATGTTTAAAATTATTTGGGGAATATAGATATGAGGCATTTTCTTTGAAATGGAGACAAAAAGAAAAGTCCTATTTTCTTCTGTAGTATACAAAACAAATCTCAGTAAGTGCATTTTTAGTTTTTGTTTGTTTGTCTTAAATTCTGTGGTTAGTGAATCATCTGGGTCCAAACCTATATAAAAGGTAGTTCATGGTCACCCATACTCAGAGGAGACCCCCTCCTCTGTCTAGTACCAAGACCAGGTCAGATGAAATCTCTTTTTATTTAAGTGTCTACCGGCGAGTTTGTGTTGGGGGTATAAATGGGGGTGTTTGAGTGTTTATAGTTCACCCATACTGTGCGCTGAGTCTCTTCATGAAGACTTTGATCTGACATCCCTGATTGAGGTTCTTTAACATTTTTGACGTGGTTACAGAGAACAACCTTGGCAAATTCCTCCAAGGCAATAGTCAACTTTATCTTGCTTTTTCTTGATTTACACGCCTCACTGTTGCTTATTTACTTACTTATTATAGTTCTACCTTTGATTATTATCCATAATTTGTTGGACACTCCACCATTCCTTAATGAGATTTTGAATTATGTAAATATATGTATTTTTTTCTAAATTTTTGGTTATTTTTCTTTTTTAATTAAAGCCAATAATTTGTCCATATATGTAAATAAACTCATGAATCATGTAATGTATCATGTCTTTATACCCCAGAGTTTGCTATGATAGTGCATTATACAGTTCATCCCATCTTGTTTGTTTCAGAGCTTTTTTCAACAAACCTGTTGCTTATTACAAATAAATTAGCAATGTGGCCTGGCCAATTTCCTTTTACAATAATTTTCATAGAAATATAATAGATTTCTTCATTATTAGGATTTCCAAATTTTTAAGTTAAGGAATAGCTATAACTATAATTTCAAACATATGTAATCTTAATCAAAATATATTGTATGAAAATGTGAAAACCAGACTTTCACCACTATGTAATACATCCATATGACAAAACTGCACTGGTACCCCCTAAATGTATATACGTATAGAATAGAAAAGAAAACAACCTAAATTCCTTACCTTGAGCCTTATGATAATATTGCAACACAGGAACAACTCAAAGGTGGGAATTCTGTGGAGGGAAGAAATATAAAGGTTTTATAAAATAGGCTGAGGAATACAGTCAATTTTAAATTTTGTTCTAAGAATCATTCACTGAATTCTTGGAAGCTGTGGAAAAACTTGGGTTACCATAGACATGAAGCAGATTGTCGTGGGAAGCAAAGACTGTAGTCACAGTTGGGCAACCGTTGCCCAGGCAATTTGGGTTTAGCCAGACGGGTGGTGTTATGGACTGAACTGTGTCCCCGCCAAATTATTATATCAAAGCTCTAAAACCAAATATATTTGGAGATAAAGTCTTTAAGGACATAAATAAAGCAAAATCAGGTCATAGGGGTGGGACCAGAATCCACTAGAACTGGAGTCCTTATAAAGAGAAGAGGACACAAAAGCACTTTCTCCATGCCCAGAGAAAAGGCCACATGAGGATGCAGCAAGAAAGTAAGCCAGGAAAGAAGTCCCCATCAGAAGTCATCCAGGTTGATGCCTGGATGCTGGACTTTTAGCCTCCAGAACTGTGAGAAAATACATTTTTGTTGTTTAAGACATTAGTCTGTGGTATTTTGTCAGGGCAGCATGAGAAGACTAACATAGGGAAAGAAGGATGATCATGAGCTAAAGTCCTACTAGGATTAGTAAAAACTAGTCTTTCATCCATCTTTCATAATGATATGTATGGTTCTAACGATGTTCTGCAATAACATATACTTTCTTGAATTATAGGCAACGATGAATATGTCCAAGCTGGATGTGGGGATGGAAATGCAAATTAACGTCTTTGAGACTTGGAACAGCAATCTCTGTCTCCTGTCCATGCTATCTGGAACATTGTCATGGTAACTAATGAATGTACCCCCTTTTGGTAGACAATTGATCTGTTTGCCTTTTGGAAGTACTTGTTAGGAGAAGAGAGTAATTTGAAATATGAGAAGGGAACACAAATGAAAGAAAAGTTTCTGTTGAGGAGATAAAACTTGACTAATTATACTTTAAAAATATAATTTAGTAGAGTTGAAGTATCATTATTCTAAACCAATTTATAGTAAGTATGTTTTCAAATTATAGGATAAAGTATTTCAAAGGCAAAATTTTAACATTATTTTATTTAAGTACTCTAAGCACCTGTGAGATTAAAGAGTTCTGTAGACCATGATTTAAAAGATCAAATCTACAGATAATTGTGTCAACTCTAATTAGTAAATTTAGAAATACAGCGGTGTGAAGAGTCTTTCTTATTTTGTTCTATGAATTACCAGAAATCTCTGTCTCCTTTATGATAAACCTGAATGGAATTAATTTCAAAGTGCATGTATGTGTTTAATTTACTAAACAAGATAAATTAAATAACAGGCTTTTTCAAGGAGATTGGATACCTCAGATTTGATAAAAATCAGAAATTTAAAAAGGAAAGCAGCAATGAAATACTCATAAAATTCAACACTGGAAGATATTGAACATTATTCTCAAAGTATTATATTCCTTTACCCACGTTCTTTCAATTTAAGTTTTTACTTTAATCTCTTTTGCCTTTTGTTTTTAAAGTGATGCTTTTATTTATCTACTTATGCTATGAAATTGTCTACATGGATATTTTTGTGCTCAGAATTTTAAAATAATGCATTTATTCAAATTTGTCTAACTCTGTTTTTTGATCCAAGTCTTATTTACTTCAAAGGAAATTCACCTTTTAAAGAACATCACTTTGAAAACTCTTTAAATGCTTTCCCTTGTTTGGGGGTTGTGGGAGGTGAATATGAGTACTGCATTTTCCTCTCCCTCTAAGCTTAACCTTGGTAAGCCTTGACTCAGTACCAGATAAATTAACTCCATATAAAACACCACCTAGTACTATATTTCTAAAATTTAATAAAGGCTTCTACTTGAGACATTATTTTATTTTTAGAAAATTTGGATTGAGTGTTTTTGAGGCTGAATATATATATATATATATTAACAGCACTTCATAGATTCACTATAGTCACTCCTTCTTATGGATGGGACTGAGAAGATAATGTATCTTCCAGAACCGGAAAAGGTAACGTGGGCACCAGGAGTACATACCTTCTATATTACACTGATGATACAATATGGAAATCCAGTGTTGTCACAACAATCTACATTTTGAGTATTTAAGCAATACATTGGTTTGCACTCCAGCTGCTTTAGATTTTGACATGTCTTAGCTGGCATCGTGTGTGTGTGTGTGTGTGTGTGTGTGTGTGTGTGTGTGTGTGTGTGTGTATGTGAGCATGTGTATGAAAATGTCGATTATATAAAACATATCTTTGGGGTTGTGTATTTTGGTTGTTGTGTTGTTTTAATTCCATTCATTTTGGTCATGTGTGCATAACTGTATCTATTTGATGGTGGGGTTGTTTGAAAATGTTCCTTAGGAGGATGTAGGATGTGATATATAATCTTCAATACCTGTTAAATATCCATGGCCTTGAATCTCCAGTAAGTTCATCTGCCTTTTATATCTTTGCTTTCTTCTTGTAATATGTGAACCAACTGCAATACCTCCTCCTGCTTGATTCTCGGAAATAAACTATTCTTTTGCAAAGCATTTAGCCTCTTTTAAAAAGCATTAAAACATAGCTTCCTGATAACTCTATTGCTGCCTTTCTCATCTTGATTATGGATCATTTTGATGTGATGTTAGTATGTTACAAAAGAGAAGATTGTTTTCTTTACCATAAGGTACTAATTGCTAGAAGACACTTTACAAGTGATAGGTAGCTATGTGGTGGAGGAGGCAGTTGCTTTCAAAGGACCTGTGCATCATACATTTTAAGACTTGGCACTTGAGTATTATTTTCTAGATTAAAAAATTACACATTTGATGATGATGCTCTTTCACAAGTACCGACATCTTTTAAGAAAAGACAAATTATAAGACAAGTCTGCAGCAGCAAATGAGTCAAATGAAGCTAACCTAATTAGCACTAATAGGACAGTAAATTTTATTATACTATTTATTGACTCCTTGCATTTACTAAAAATGATAACCAGGCTTCAGCCATGTTATACAGCATCGAGTCTGTAGTACATCTCTAAATCTGTACTGCAATAAAGCAGACTATCAGCATTATTTGGTGAAATAACGTATTACCCCTAGATTAGTCAGCCACTGTGGTATAGAAAAGAGAAAAAAAGCTTCAGGTAATTAAAGAAATTGTAAGTACTTGACATTTTACATCAAAGTTCTTTTGTCACAATTGAGATGTTCCTACAAAATGTAATACATATTTTATCACATTTTACTTTAAAATGAATTTTTATTAGTTTTATGAGATTAACATGTGAAAAAGCATTTTATCAAAATTTCATGGGTTCTGATTGAGAGATTATACTTATACAGCCCTCATGGTTTTAAACCTTTTGAAGAAAATTAACCAAAATCTTGGTTAATATTTTTCACTGTTATTAAACTGATTTGCTTGGGCCGTGTGTGTGTGTATCTGTGTGTATAAAACTTTGTTAGCAATAATAGAAATATGATAGATGTAATTAAATACAATATTAAAATCTATATATTTGTGATTCTGGAAAGAGAGCAGATCCTCTCTGTCTGATTCAAAAACCAATTATCATACTCAATTAAAATGTTTGTCCACTTGCAGATTGATTTAGAAAGAGAGGGACAAAGAGGCATAGTGAAAGGGAGAGAAAAAAGAAAAGAGAGAAAAGAAGGGAAAGTAGAAGAATAAGACAGAGAGAGGGCAAGAGAAGAGGTCCCTTTTTCTTGCTAGGAGTGTTTGCTGGGAACCAGGACTGGGGAAGCTATACTTGCTCACTTCCACCACTCGTCCTGTCACTGCTTTCTTTGTGACCTTGATTTAGGAACTTAATTTTATGCATCTCATGTGTAGAACAGAAATGTTAACAATTACTTAATATTTGATCACTGTGATATTTTATTATGCTAAGATAGTAAATGCTACTTAAAGGTCATCATTATTAGGGGCATTATTCTCTATCATGTTGCTGTTGGGAGGATTTGGTGAGTTAACATGTATCAAACGCTAAATGTCTCAGTCAGTTCAAGCTGCTATAACAAACATACCTTAGACTGGCTGGCTTGAACAACATTTACTTCTCATAGTTCTGGAGGGAGTAGCAGATCTGGTGTCTAAAGGGAGTTTGCTTCTTGACTTATAGATGGCCATCTTCTGGTGGTGTCAGGTGGCAGAGAACAGACACAGAGAGGCAAATCTCTCCAGTCTCTTCTTAGAAAAGCACTAATCTCATTCATGAGGGCTCTGCCCTAATGACTTAATCTCCTCCCAAAGTCCCCATGTCCAAATACCAACCCCTTGGGAATTCCAAGATGTTGACTGAATGCTGATAAGCTAATGTGTTTGCAACATTTTTCTATAACACAACTCTCTGGTGTTATTTTATAATTTTGTAATTAAAATAGGAAAAACACTTTTTAATTTAATATTTTAAAAATTCATTTGCAAGAGAAAACACATTTCATTAGTTGCTGCCATATAAATTTCTGATTCAGTAAACAAGAGCAAATTGTACACACCACATATGACGTACTAGCTATGTAATAGTTTCACAATTGTGACACGAAAATATTAAGTGCATATGCTTTTAAAAAAATTGGATTCACAGAATTTCCCTCCTCAAACATCAATACACACTTTAAAAAAGTTGTCAGTGGAAATAAATCACAACCATAGAAGACCAGAATGCTTCAACTATATCCATTTTAATTATGCCAGTATTCGTGGGAGAAAACAAATCTTTCCCTCAGCAATGTTATTTTACTTCAGCAGTGACAAAAATTTTGTCATAGAAGAAAGACAGTACTACTTTTCCTTTTATATGCTAAACAATAGCTCTGACACATTTTTTGAAAGTTGGTGGTGTTGCCAGTCTCAGAATTTATATGATTCATTTAGGTTCTGATTAAAATACATACAAAGAAATAAAGAATACAATAAGACTGAAATTTATACTTAGTGACAAATTTATATGGAAGTAAAATCTATTGTAAGGAAGATAAAGAGTGACCTTCTCTGGGGAAACAAACAACACTTACTTCCAGCTTCATTCTTTTGTTATTAGGTGCCAAGCAGCGTATGTAATAAAATTGTTTTAAGAATTATTTGGAGGCCTAGGACAACATTAACTTCTTTCAGAGGAGATTTGCATTTACTTCTGCCAGGCACCTCTCAGAGACCCTAGCAGTCTGTGGTCTCCTACCCCAATTTCAGAGACTGAGATTGGAGGTTGGAAGTAGGGTTGCTTCACCCTTATTTCTGAGGTACAGCTTTTCAGGGCTCCTTGCTAAATTCAGGCAGTTTAGCAGAGCCCCAAACTCGTTGGCTGTTAATTTCAACTTTTATCCTTTTCTTCTCACAAAACCCTCAAACATCCTGCTCATATTCATTGAGTGTCAGACACCTCTTTCAGAATTGAAAAGAAGAATCCTCTTTGAATTTCCGTCTCCTACCAAGATTGTGGCCTCATAAGCTTCAGAGCCTTGTAAGGCCCCAGTCCGGTTTATGCTTTGTCTATGGTTCTTAGTAGGAGGGTTGCTCTGGATTTTCTAGTTCACTTTAAGGGGACAAATATTCCATATTTTCTATAATTTTAAATAATTTTCCATTCCTAAGGCTGAATAAATTCCTTCTAAAATTTTGAATCTGTGAGTGAAGGTCTGGCAAGTCAAGGTTACCCACATCAAATCAGCAAAGAAAACCAAACTTTTGTGCTTTTAAAATTCATTATACTTGCTTGATAAGCATTCTGATTCTAATAACAATAACTGGAATAACATTAGACAATGAAAAATAATCACCAGGCAAGATCATTTCATGACAAGAAAAGTATTAACTTGGGAGAAAACAGTAATTTGGGAGAAAATATTCATTCATGTGTTCATTTACTCAGTAAATTTCTATCAGTGCCTTGCGTATGGATATATACAGCACTGAGCTGGGTACTGGGGGTTTATGTGATGACAATACGGATATGGGCCCTTCCCTCCTTAGAAGGCTTGGAATCCAGTGTGTGCTGAAATGTGTTTCGTGTTCATGAGCAGTGAAGAGTCATCAGTGATTAGGTTTCTATGTTTAAAGTAAAGTAGGCCTTAGAAATCACGTAGTCATTCTGAGCAAACTATCGCAAGGACAGAAAACCAAATACTGCATGTTCTCACTCATAGGTGGGCACTGAACTATGAGAACACTTGGACACAGGGAGGGGAACATCACACACCAGGGCCTGTCATGAGGTGGAGGGATGGGGGAGGGATAGCATTAAGAGAAATACCTAATGTAAATGATGAATTAATGTGTGCAACACACCAACATGGCACATGTGTACATATGTAACAAACCTGCACGTTGTGCACATGTATCTTAGAAATTAAAGTATAATAAAAAAAAGAAATAATGTTGTCAAATTTTCTTTTCTTATTGAAAAGTGAAAACTTGCCAATTAAGCTCCACTGAATTTCCTAAGGCCTCAAAGGTAAGTTAGTGGATGAACGTAGAGTAAAACTCTTCCAACTCTCAGAAGAGTTCTTTTCGTGGTAATAAAATGGCCTCTTTCATCCTCTGGGTGCTTTGAATAATCTTCACAAATACATTTTAGACATTGGAAATAATGATACAGGCTCGGAATTCATAGACATAATGACTGAAAGGCCATTTTTGTTTATGTAATTTCAAAAATTAATTATAATTTTAAAATAAAATATTTAGACTAAGTTGGTCCACTATGTCAATCTACTATACTCATATACGATTGAACTTGAAATGGCTGGCATCAAACACGAATGAGAACTTGAAACATTGTAAGTTAAATATTACCTAAAAATCTGTTATAGTTTTTAATCAAAAGTTTATTTACTAGAAAACTCAGTTCTGCTAGCACTTTTACATTATTCTCATTGTTTTATTGATTATAATACAATCATAGTTTTATATCTGTTTTCATAACAAATTAGAGATTTATGGCACTTAAAGTCAATAAAATATTAACACATATATAGCATGCAACTAAAATGTCGTGTGTGTTTCACATTAGGTGCAATCTATGACTTTTTTTCTTCAACATTTCTTTGCTACATGACTAAGTTCTATTATCATAGTTCAAGCTAAATTCTAATTTTTCCTTTTAAATAAAGTAAAAATTTTGAACTTTTCATTACAAATGATCATTTTATAATATTTAAAGGAAATAAAACAGAGGTAATTTGCCTACAATACCAAAGGCCATTTTTTATTTTAACATTTGCAGAAGGTTGATATGCCAAATTGCACTTGACCCAAAGTTTGCTATTTTTAACAGTGAAAAAATTTCTAGTATTTTTACAGAAATTAATAATGCAACAGGGAGGAAAAAGTGAAGTCTTACAATGCCTAGAAACTATATGCCAAATATTTGGAACAATAAGTACTCTAACTCCAGCAGCAGAATTATCTTCCTGGTACATATTTAAGTGAGGAGTTGTAATGATGTGTACATTTCATTTCTTAATGTACATTCACAGTTTGCTAAACATTCAGTTTGCTAAAATATGGAAAAATAACAAACCGTTCTCATTTCTAACAAGAGAACGCAGAAGTTGCAATTTTTGTCCTGCATGCATATTCCAAGCAGCACATTAAAAAAAGGTAAGGGTCCAAAATTCACTGGCTTTTACACTAGGGTGATAGCTGCTAAGGGCATTTTAAATAGTGAGAAAGATAAATGGTCTTTGAATTATAATCCCTAGTGAAATCTGAAATAAGAAAATACAGTTTCTATTACAATAAATAAAATAGAAAACATGGTCTATGCTTCCCAGAACGCCATATTGAAAGGACAAAATGAAATAATTAGAAACTAGGACTTTAGCTCAAAATACAAAATTTATGTCGGTAGCTATCACAAACTATTCTTTTCCTTTGATGTATCAATAAGTAATTCATTCTTTGCTCACCTGCTTATGACCCTCACTTAGCTTGGAAAAAAATGTGTTTTTCTTCTAGTGACTTTATTGTGAGAAAAATAAAGGAAAATATTACAATGTTATTATGCTTGATGAAAAAAATTGAACTATGCATTATTAAGAATTATCATTTTGCAAATCTGTCATAAGCCACATGGGATTTCTAGCATCTTCATCTTTATCTGTTTGCTCTGTTTTGGCATATCCAGAAACCTGTGAGCAATTCTTAGAGACACTTTTTTCTATACATACATCAAAGTGGCAACTTTTTAATAATCCCTAAGCTAGAGAAGGCCAGATAGTATCTCCTGCCTTTGTGAAACTATAAAAAGAAAGCAGGGGATATTTTATTTCTTTTCTTAATTGCCTTCCAAAGTTCTCAAGGTAAGCAAAATAAATTATGTACACAAAAATGAAGATCCTCAAAGGTTGCTTGTTACGGTCTAGATATTTTTTTACTTTCTAACATATATTTATAGAATTGTTATACTACAGAAAGCTTTAGGTAACAATGAATAGAGCCAAGCAAAATTTTTTTTTTAAGTACAGTAATTTAGGTGGAAGTTAGTATGATAGAGTAGAAAAACATGAAGATTTTACTGGAAGAGAGATTCTTAGCTTTTGGAATGTAGGTTTCCTTTTAAAATGGAACATTGCAAACTCAAGCTACTTTGTGTATAGGATCTGCTAATTTAATTTGGCGATTATCTAAAAAAGTTGCCTCATTTTGATTGATTTTATTTATTAGCTATTAATTTCTTGTCACTAAAGAAGGTGTGTGGGTGTGTGTGTTTATGTGGAGCTAAGCATAATCAGGGGAAGGGAGGTCATTTCAAATAATGTTTTCCACCAAAAATTTATCCTGGACTCTAAATTATTTTCACACAAGGAGGGGGCAGAAGGGTGCAGCAGAAAAATAATGGACACTAGAGTCTTGAGTTTGAGTTTCACATGTAGCCACTTATAGGAAAGTAATGTAAGACAATTTACTTAGATTCTCTAAATTCTTCTTGTGAGAATATGATAAACCGTATGAAATCCCTACTCTAGTGCCTGGTACATAGATGATTGATGTTTCTCAATAAAAGTTCCAACTATTTTTCATGAATAACAAAATAGATTGTAACAAGTATGTGAGTTGTATGTTGCCCTCTGCTGCATAAGAAACCAAAAACATAGGGGCTTAAAACCATCACCACGGGTCTAGGGTTCTGTAAATCTGGGCCAGCCGTGGCTCTTTCAGCTGGTTTTTCTCATTGTCTTGTGAGCTGCTGGGTCAGCAAGGGTTGGACTGGTTAGAATGGCTATAGCTTGGAAAACTCAATTTTTGCTCCACATGATCTCTTCTCAGTAGGCCAGCACAGTCTTTTTCTCAGAGTGGAGACCAAATTCCAAGAAACTGAGGTGATGCACATCAGGCTTCATGGATCAAAATGAACAGCCAGTGATATAGACACCAGAGTGGACCTCTATAAAGATGACTGACTGAGAAGTCTGTAGGTAGCTATCAGCCTCCCCTCACTGTGAGTCTGCACACAAAGTTCTGGTGATAGGTTTGATCGTTGGTCATTATGGGCAAGAGTCAGGAATAAGAAATGGGTGTGTTATTTAATAGAGCAAGAACAAGCTGGAATTTGCTGGTTACTCTGCCTCTGCCACAAGAGCCTTTCAATGGTGTTCATATAGTGATAGCTATTTTTTACATCCTCATGCCAAATCACATGCAAAGCCTTTGAAATCAACCCTAACCCCAAATCGTACTGAGGAGGGGACTCTGGGAAACATAGCTCTACATAAACCAAATCCACTCCTTGTCAACTTTTCATCCATTCACATATATCTAAATTGTGGTTTTTCATATCTCTAAAGTAAGTACATAAAACATTAAACTTATTTGTTTTGGTGTACAGTTCTATAAACTTTACCATCTGTACAGATTTGTGTAACTATCACAAATTAAAAAACAGGATGGTTTTATCATCCTAGAAAACATCTTCATAGTTATATAATCCCCCAACCGTATACTTTCCTAACAGTGAGCCTCTGGCAAACGGGAGAATCATTTCAAGACTGAATTCCTTCACTCAGTATCATAACTTTGAGATTCAGACAACTTACTGGGTGTATCAATAACTGGTTCATTTTTATTGCTGATTCATATTCCATTTTGTATACGTCTACCAGTTGAAAACATTTTGGTTTGAAAAACATGGGCTGTTATGAACAGAGCTACTACGTAAATTGGTGTATAGGTTTCTGTTTGCACTCAACTTTTTATTTATCTAGTATAATTCTTAGAAGTAGATTGCTGGACCATACTACAGATATAGATAGAGAATTATAAGACATTGCTAACGTGATTTCCTAAGGGCTGTACCATTTCGCATTCCCACCAGCCTTGTCTGAGGTTGCCACTAGCTCTGCATTCTCTCCCGCCTTTAGTATTGGTATTATTTTAACCATTCTATTAAGTGTATAGTGATATCTCATTGGAGTTTTAATTTGCAGCTCCCCATAGTCTAATAATGCACATTTTTGTCTATTTTCTGTCTGTATACCCTATTTGATAAAGTATCTTTTCAAATTATTTGTCCATTATTAATTGTGTTTTCAATTTCCTTTTACTTAGATTTTGAGAGGTCTTTTTATATTCTGGATACAAGTCCTTTACAGATGTAATTTTAAAAGATTTATGCAGGTGTAAAAATCTGTCCTTCCATGATTTTAATAGGGTCTTTGCAAGAAAATTTTTAAAAATACAGACTCCACTTTGTCCGTTTTATAGCTTTGATCAGGTATAAGAAACTTTTGTCTCATCACAGGACAGGAAGATTTTCTCTTTAAAACTTTGATTTTATAACTTTATATTTCAGATTTGGATCTATAAAAAATTTAAGAACTTTTTGTGAAGTTTAAGATTTGTGTCAAATTTCTTTTTTTTTGTATAGTGTTGGCCAATTATTCTAACTGCTGTTGAAAAAAATCACAGTTTCTGATGATAAATCTGAGGTCATTAGAATTTTTAGGCATTTCTCTGAATTTTCAGAGTGAATATTCCCTTAAAGCATTTTTTTGTTAACTTTTATTTTACTTTCAGGAATACATGTATAGATTTGTTATATAGGTACATTGTGCATCCTGGGAGTTTGACATACAGATTATTTCTTCACCCAGGTGATAAGCATAGACTCCAATAGGTAGTTTTTTGATCTTCTCCCTCCTCCTACCCTTCACCCTCAAGTAGGCCCTGGTGTCTGTTGTTCTCTTCTTTGTGTCCATGTGTACTCAATGTTTAGCTCCTACTTATAAGTGAGAACATGTAATATTTGGTTTTCTGTTCCTGTGTTAGTTCACTTAGGATAACAGCCTCAAGCTCCATCCATGTTGCTGTTAGGGACAGGATCTCATTACTTTTATGATGTTGTAGTATTCCATAATGCCTATGTACCAAATTTTCCTTATGCAATCAATGGTTAATGGGCAGTTAGATTAATGTCATGTGTTTGCTACTGTAAAAAGTGCTGCAGTGAACATATGTGTGGCATGTGTGTTTATGCTAGAATGATTTATATTCCTTTAGGTATGTACCCAATAATGGGATTGCTGAGTCAAATACTACTTCTGTTTTAAGCTCTTTAAGGAACCACCACGCTGCTTTTCACAATAGCTGAACTAAATTAGATTTCTACCAGCCATGTATAAGTGTCCCCTTTTCTCGTCAAACTCACCATCATCTGTGTTATAAACATCTGTTAAACATTTTGCTAAATTTTTCTCCCATCCTATAGGTTGTCTGTTTACTCTGCTTATAGTTTCTTTTGCTGTGCAGAAGCTCTTTAGTTTAATTAGAACCCATTTGTCAATTTTTGCTTTTGTTGCCACTGCTTTTGGCATCTTTGTTATAAAATCTTTGCCAGGGTCTATGTCCAGAATGGTATTTCCTAGGTTATCTCTTAAGGTTTTATAGTTTTGGGTGTTTTTTTTTTTGTATATAGTGTGAGGATGGGGTCCAGTCTCAATCTTCTGCATATGACTATCCAGTTATCTCAGCACCATTTATTGAAAAGGGAGTCCTTTCCCCATTGCTTGTTATTGTCAACTTTGTCATAGACAAGATGGTTTGAAGTGTGTGGCTCTCAATTCTATTCAATTGGTCTTTGTACCAGTACCATGCTGTTTTGCTTACTATAGGCTTGTAGCATAGTTTGAAGTCAGGTAACGTGATTTCTCCAACTTTGTTCTTTTGCTTATAATTGCCTTGGCTATTCAAGCTCTGTATTTGTTCCGTATGAATTTTAAGATTTTTTTTTTCTAATTCTGTGAAGAATGTCATTGATAGCTAGGAATTGAATCTAGCTATCAATGCTTTGGGCAATATGATCATTTTAACCTTATTGATTATTCCTATCCATGAGCATGTAATGTTTTTCCATTTGTTTATGCCATCTGTTATTTCTTCGAGCACTGTTTTGTAATTCTCATTACAGAGATCTTTCACCTCCCTGGTTAGCTGTATTTCTAGGTATTTTATTCTTTTGTGGCTATTGTGAATGCAACAATTTGGCTCTCAGGTTGGACACTGTTGGGGTATAGAAATACTACTGATTTTCGTATATTAATTTTTGTATTCTGAAACTTTGCTGAAGCTGTTTATTAGATCTAGGAGTTTGGTGGCCAAAACCGTGGGGTTTTCTAGGTATAGAATCCTATTGTCTACAAATAGAGATAGTTTGACTTCCTCAATTCCTATTTTGATGGACTTTTTTTCTTTCTCTTCTCTGATTGCTGTAGCTAGGACTTCTACTGCTATGTCAAAATAAGAGTGGTAAGAATGGGCATCCTTGTTTTCTTCTGTTTATATATTAAGGAGAATGCTTCCAGCTTTTGGCCCTTCAGTACAATGTTGGTTGTGAGTTTGTCAAAGATAGGTCTCATTATTTTGAGATATGTTCCTTCAATGCCTAGCTTGTTGTGGGTTTTAAACATAAAGAGAGGTTGAATTTTATTGAAAGACTTTTCTGCATCTATTGAGAAGATCATGTGTTTTTTGTTTCTAGTTCTCTTGATATGGTGAATCACATTTATTGATTTATGTATGTTGAACCAACCTTATATCCCAGGGACTAAGCCTACTTGATTGTGGTGTATATGCTTTTTGATGTGCTGCTGGGTTTGGTTTGCCAGCATTTTGTTTACAATTTTATCATCAAGGATATCTGCCTAAAGTTTTCTTTTTCGTTGTTGGGTCTCTGCCAAATTTTGGTATCAGAATGATGCTGACCTTGTAGAATTAGTCCGGTTGGAGCCCCTCCTTCTTAATTTTTTGAAGTAGTTTCAGTAGGAATGGTACCACCTCTTGTTTATACACTTGGTAGCATTTGGCTGTGAATCTCTCTGGTCCTGGGTTTTTTCTAGAGGGTAAGCTTTTCTTTATTTCCTGATTCAATTTCAGAACTTGTTATTGGTATGTTAAGGGAATTAGTTTCTTCCTGGTTCAATCATGGGAGGCTGCATGTTTCCAGGAATTTATCTCTTTCTTGTAGGATTCCTTGTTTGTGTGCATACGGGTGTTCATAGTAGTCTCTGAGGATTTTTTTTTTTTTTTGTATTTCTGTGGGGTTGGTTGTAATGTCCCCTTTGTCAACTCTGGTTGTGTTTATTTGGATCTTCTCTTTTTTCTCTTTATTAGTCTGGCTAGCAGTCTATCTGTCTTATTAATTCTTAAAAAAAAAACAAAGCCTTGGATTTGTTGGTCTTTCATAATTTTTTTTCTCAACTTCATTCAATTTAGCACCGATTTTGGATATTTCCTGTCTTCTGATATCTCTGGGGTTGGTTTGCTCTTGTTTTCAGGGGCTCCCAAGGGAAATAATACAGTCATGGTTTCTTAGTTTCTGTTTCTGATTGGGCCAGTAAAGATCCTTCCTTATTCCACTTTTCTGCCTATCACCAGAGACAGAAACTAAAAACCATGGCTTCAAGCTGCTAAAAGCCTAAAACAACAACGAAATAATGTGGGTTGGATAAGATTTTATTTCTTTAGTTTTGATGTAAGATTGTTAATTTGGAATCTTTCTAAGTTTTTCACGTGTGCATTTAGCACTATAGCCTTCCCTTTTAACACTGCTTTAGCTTTGTCCCATGGATTCTTGCATGTTGTATCTTTGTTCTTATCAGTTCCAAATAATTTCTTGATTTCTGCCTTAATTTCACTGTTTTATCCAAAAGTCATTCAGGAGCAGGTTGTTAAATTTCCATGTAATTGTATGGTTTTGAATGTCTTTTTAGTATTGATTTCTATTTTTATTGCACTACTGTCCAAGGCTGTGTTTAGTATGATTTCAGTTTTTTTTTTGGAATTTTTGGAGGATTGTTTTCTGGTTGATTTTAGAATATGTGCCATGTTCAGATGAGAAGAATGTATATTCTGTTGTTTTTGGGTGTAGACTTTCATAGATGTCTGTTACTCCCATTGTTCAAGTGTCTTTGCTAGTTTTCTGTCTCAATGATCCATGCCCTTCTTTGTCTTTTTTGATCATTGCATGTTTAAAGTCTGTTCTGTCTGGAATTAGAATAGCAGCCTCTGCTTTTTTCCTGTTTTCCATTTGCTTAGTAGATTATTCTCTATCTCTTTACTTTGAGCCTATGGGTGTTACTATATGTGAGATAGATCTCTTGAAGACAACATATAGTTGGGTATTGCCTCTTTATCCAACTTGCCACTCTGTGCCTTTTAAATGGGGGCATTTAGCTCATTTAATTTCAAGGTTAATATTGATGTGTATGAGTTTGATTCTGTCATCGTGTTGTTAGCTGTTTATTATATACACTTCATTGTGTGGTTGCTTTATAGTGTTAATGGTCTATAGATTTGAGTGTATTTTTGTGACGGAGAGTAACAATCTTTCCTTTACATATTTAGCACCCCCCTAATAACCTCTTACATGGCAGGTCTGGTGGTAACAAATGCCCTTGGCATTTGCTAGTCTGATAAGGATCTTATTTCTCCTTCTCTTATGAAGCTTATTCCAGCTGCATAAGAAATTCTTGGTTGGAATTTCTTTTCTTTAAGACTGGTTAGTATAGGCACTGAATCTCTTCTGGCTCTTGGACATTTTGCTGAAAGGTCCACTGTTGGCCTTATGGAGCTCCTTTCGTAGATAACCTGCCCCTTCTCTTTAAACCATGTTTAACAATTTTTCTTTCCTTTTGAACTTGCAGAATGACGACTATGTCTTGGGGATGGTCATCTTGAATAGTATCTCACAGGGGTTCTCTGCATTTCCTGGATTTGAATATTGCCCTCTCTAGCGAGGTTGGGAAAATCTTCATGGATGACATCCTCAAATATGTTTTCCAAGTTGCTTGCTTTCTCTCCCTCTCTTTAAGGGATGCCAATGAGTGTAAGATTTGTTCTCTTTACATGATTCCACGCTTCTCAGAGGTCTTCTTTATTTTTGTCTCACTGAGTTATTTTGGAGAGCTGGTCTTCAAGCTCTAAGATTCTTTCATCAGCTTCGTTGAGTCTGCTCTTAATACTTGTGATTGTATTATGAAATTCTTGAAGTGAGTTTTTCAGTTTTATCAGGTCATTTTGGTACTTTCTTAAAATGGCCATTTTGTCTTTTAGCTCCTGTGTCATTTTATTGGATTACTTAGATTCCTTGAATTGGGTTTTGGACTTTTTCCTGAAAGTTGATGATCTTTGTTCCTATCCATACTCTGAATTCTATTTCTGTCATTTCCACCATTTCAACCTGCTTAAGAACTATTACTGGGGATCTAGTGTAGTTGTTTGAAGGTAAGAAGATATGGTGGCTTTCTGAGTTGCCAGAGTTCTTGTATTAGCTCCTTCTTATTTGTGTGGGTGGCTGTTCCTTTCATCTTTGGAGTTGCTGTCCTTTGGAGAGATATTCTGGGGGACTTTTATCTTCTCTGATGTCCTTTGGGGTTTTATTTTGGTATAAGGTGGGTTCAGTCAACTTCCTTTGGTTCTGGAAGATTTCGGGTAGCCAAGCTTCAGTTCTGTGCTTCCTCATGCTGTAACTCTAGGGGACTGGGACAAAGTCCCTGGTTTTGTTCTCTGAACCCTTGAGGATAGGAACCTGCTGTGTTGCAGGGATTGACGTGTTCCTGGTCTTCTGGACACAACACTATGATGGATGTCGCTGGTCAAAGTGCTTCATCAAGGTGGTGGCAGTGGCAACTGTGCTTGCTTGCATGTGCCAGCAGGTATGGTGGTGCAGCAGGGTGCACACACATTGACTGGTGTGGGGCACTGATGGGAGACTTTGCTTTCATTTTCACAAGTGCTTCATATTGGCAATATATTTTGGTATTGTATTTTGGACTATGATCCAGTAGGTGGTGGTGAAGAGTGTTAGCCATCAGATATGCTCTTACTTGGCTGCACGGCTTTTTTGTGTGTGTTTCGGTGTAGTTGGCAGTAGTGCTCCGTGGTGGATGGGGAAAGAAAAGACTCCTTTACATAGTCCACTCCTGTGTCTTGGAGGAGCCCCCTCTGATGACTGTCTCTGTGCTCACATTTCTTTTGTTGGCTGTTCTGGTCCATGGGGCTCCCTCAGTCAGGGGCTGCAGTTTGCAGCCAGGCTGTATCCTCCTCGGGTCACCCTACTCCTCCACTGATCTGTAAACCCGAGCATCTCACTTCTCTCAGTAATTCGAGAGTAAGGGATCCTCCCTGCTTAGACACTGCCCAAACCAGCAAGTTCTGCTGAGCTAGAAGATGTGGGTGTGGGTGGGGTCACCCAATTTGCTATCTGAGTTCTTCCCAGGAAAACATGGGGTTGTGCCTGCCCAGAGACTTCAGGCAGTAGTGGGACCACTGCGCTGGAAGCTTTGGGAGGTGCGGCCCATCTAACTAAGAGAAGTGGGGTGGGTGGTGTTGTCCTCTCTGCCATCTAGGTGTTTTCCAGGGCAACAGGAGGCTGTACTGCTTGGCAGAATTCAGAAAGAAGTGGGTCCTCTTGGCCAAAAGCTCCTGCTGGCATTGCTCACCTGGCTACCAGTGGCAGGGATGGGTGGGGTCGCCTGCCCTGCCATCCAGGTGTTTCCCAGGATGAAAGGATGCTGTACCCATCAACACAGTCCACACAGAAGTGGGACTGCTGGGCTATTAGCTCTAGCATGCATTGACTACCTGATTAACAGTGGCAGTGGTGGATGAATCACTCACCATCCCTGGTGTCTGGTTGCTTCTGGGGACAACAGAAGGCTGCACCTGACTGACTGAGTTCACATAAAAGCAGGATGGCTGGGCTGGAAGCTCTAGCATGCATTGCCTTCCTGGCTACCAGTGGCAGGGGTGGAGTCTGGGGGATTGCTGGCCCTGTCGTCTGGGTACCTCCTAGGACAACAGGAGGCTGCAGCTGCTGGCCAAGTTCAGGCAAAGCAGGACCACCAGGCTGGAAGCTGGTACTGAGCCTTGTCTGGTGAAGTAGGGTGGAGCCATCTTACTGCTCCCATGAACTGCAACTGTGGCTTCTATTGGAGCTATAGTGCTTATGCTTGTCTGTTTCAGGGTCCAAGGCTTGTAGAGGACCCCTTGGACTTGATGGTTGCCTCCACAAAAGGGAGACTTTCTGCCTCAGCTTAGAAGTGCAGTGGAGGGGGCCAAGGGGCTTCTATCATTCCCAAGTCTTGCAAGGGTCCCTGTGGAAAGTATAAATCCCCCAAGGGACTCTCATTCATTTACCCTTTCCTGAGTCGGGGAGCTTCTCCTGGCTCCACATTGGGCCCTGTTAGGCTAGTGCCCAGTTTTGCCCCCTCTCTGTTCTCTGTGTCCCCCTGATGCCTTGATGGATCTTAGCATGGCTTCTTACATGATCAGCCTGTAGGGTCAGTGTTCACCAGCCCTATGTTTTGCTTTCCATGAGTGGCACACATGAGCTGCTCTAGTCTGCCATCCTGACCCAACATTTAGAGCATTTCTCTATAAAAATATATTATATTTTATTTTAATTTATGCCTTTTCAGACATTCTTTTTTAATTTTCATAGATCCACTGTTCTGACCTATGTCATATTCCTTCTACCTGGATAATTTATTTTAACATATCTTGTGGACAGTTCTGCTGGCAATAAATTTCTTGTTTTCCATTATCTGAGAAAGTTTTTACTTCTTCACTTCTTAAGAATATTTTCTCTGGACATGCAGCTTCTGATTGTCAACTTTTTCTTTCAAAATTTCAAACATTTCAGTCCAGTGTCTTCTTACTTGCCTGGTTTCTGATGAGAAGTCTGTTGTAATTATTGGTCTTGTTCATCCACAGGTGACATGCCCTGTCTCCCCACCTCAAGCTGCCTTCTTGGTTTTCTCTGTGGATTTTTGTCTTCAGTGGTATGAATATAGTATGTCTGGTTTGATTTATTTTTGCTCGTTAGTTTTATCTTTATATTTATTCTGTTATGGTGCAGTCTGTGCTTCTTGGATCTGTGTGGTTTGTTGTCTGTAACTAGTTTTGCAAAGTTTTGGGTAATTGATTATTTAAAAATTTCTGCTGCTCTAAATATCTTCTCCTTGTGGGATTGCAATGATGATGTATATCTTACATTGTTTATTACCTCAGAGTTCCTGTTTGTCATATTCTGTGTTTTCGACTTTTTGCTCTTTGCATTTCAGCGTTCTATTGAACCATCTTCAATTTCATAGGTAATTTGGCTGTCCTAAGTCTACTCATGGGCTCATTGAAAATATTTTCAGTTTTTGCTACTGTTTCTATTTATAAGATTTCCATTGGATTCTTTCATATAATTTCCATCTCTCTGATGATATTACTCATCAAATATTGCAGATTTTCTGCCTTTAATTATTTTAAATTCCTCTCTAATAACTTCATTGTCTCTGTTGTATCTGAGTATGGCTCTGATCATTACTTTGTTTTCTCACATTGTGCTTTTTCTTGCCTGTGGGCATGCTTTCTACATTTTTCTTCTGAAAATTGAATATCTTTTCACAAGGCAACGGATGCTTTAGTAGATAGGACTTTACTGTGAGAATTTTAATTAATTTAATCTGTACTCGAGCTATATTTGAAGTGTGTTGTTGGTGTGGGAACCAGAGGCTTCAAACTCCTCTAGTGACCTTGTTTCTAATCTCCCTTCTGATTTGGGTGCTTCCCTTTTAGCCATATCTCAGAGAAAGTCTATCTGTTGCCACTCGTAAGCTGCAGCCCACTGTTGTATTATTAATGGGGGCTTCCTAGCATGGTTAGAGCATGGGAAGAGCATTATCTAATCTTCTGATTAAGTCTTTGTCTTTGGAGTACACAATAGGCCTGTGTCTCAGGGGTGTGAACTTCAGAAACATTTCTATTTCTCCTTCAGGGCTAGAGACTTTTCCCTCTGTCCTCCTAACCCATTTCCTGGTTGCAATTGGACAATTTTCCTAATGTCCCTTAGGCCATTGTTCTTGCAGATTATGGCTTTTTCTGTGTCCTAAGCAAGACTGGGAGGCTGCAGCTGCACTTAGTTTGCTTCCCTTAACTATAATGGAATTTCACTACTCAGGAGGCGTTACTCATTTTCTACCCCTGTGGACTGAGACTTTGTTCTGTAAGTGAAAAGGATGTCTGGGCATCTCACTTGTCCCTTCCCACAACTGGTACTGGTGGGGCGTGTGTAGGGGGGTACTTTTTGCAGATCCACATTTTGAGAGACTTTGGGGGTTCTTGAAGGAAAAGGCTACAAAAGCATGGTGGTATCCCTACGACTATTGATCCCAAGCATTTCTCACTCTCATCCTAGCCCATATTTGGCTTCCAGCAATTTGTCAGAATTTTCAGTTTGATCTTACAATTGGTTTCTGTGGATTCCAGTGGCTTCTGTCCAGGTAAGAAAATTCTCAAATCCTGTATCTCGTTGCAGGTGCCTTGGGGATAGCAGTTTGTCCCGAGACCTCAAGATTCATGAAAAATCACTGGTTTTAAATTTGTGTAGTTCTTTCTATCTGAACTGAACTTATGTCAATTAATTTTTTTTATATATCAATTTATAATCTGACTAAGCAAATTGCTTGATATTTTCTTTACTAAAATAAATAAAAAGTGGATTGAAGAAATTAAGAGCTTCTTGCTTACAAACATAGAACATATAATGCATATTAAAACCTTAAGTATTTTGAGTTTTTTTTTTTTTGCCTTTGAAATAGTACTGGGATACTTCAGAGTTTTGTAAAAAAATTTTTTCTTTTTTTTTTTTTTTGAGACTGTGTCTTGCTCTGTTGCCCAGGCTGCAGTGCGGTGGTACGATCTCCGCTCACTGCAACCTCTGCCTCCCAGGTTCAAGTGATTCTCCTGCTTCAGACTCCTGAGTAGCTGGGACTACAGGCATGTGCCACCAGGCCCGGCTAATTTTTTGTATTTTTAGTATAGACGGGGTTTCATCGTGTTAGCCAGGATGATCTCGATCTCCTGACCTCATGATCCACCAGCCTCAGCCTCCCAAAGTGTTGGGGTTACAGGCGTGAGCCACTGTGCCCAGCCCTGTGAATATTTGAATAAAGAAAACAAATGTGAATCTTTACAAACATAGTTCCTTATATAAAGTTCTAGAAATGATAGTTAATTTGAGAATTCTTAAGGAAAAAATTAGATTGTTTATAACAACACTAGCAACCTTAATTTTTTGAGCAGCAATCAGAGTTTCTGTAAACACTTGTCATTAAAGAAAATAATTGTTTTTTAAGATTTATTAAACTTTTTTTAGAAACTTAGACAATTTTATAAAAAACCACTAAATCAGAGATTATTTGGAAACTCTAATTTTCACTGTACTGTTTTTGTATATTTTTCATCAGTTAGAGAGAGTTTTCAGTGATGGTAGAAACTAATAATATTTTGCTCACATATATTTATTATTTGTGAGAAATTATTTTTGAATAGGTTTCTTATTTCCCAATTGTTTCTTTTACAGAGATTTATTGGTTTAAATGGTGAACTGGTGGATATCTTACTCACCTCTTGTACCAGAGGTTTCTGCCTTCATAATTTTTGTATATAATTTGGTACCATCAATAATGTGCTTTTGCAAAAGCATAGTAATTGGTGTATTAACAAAAGCACATCTCATGCACTCACAAATGATTCTTATTGGAGAAGAAAGCCAAATATTTTTCCATGATAAAACAGTATCATTTACTATTCTTAACGTCAAGTAGAATAAAAGAGTACTGAAAACATAACCATACTGTGTAACAGTAGGACAAGTCTGTGCTTTGGATGATGCTGTGGGGTGACTTGTGCCCCCTCCCTGAAGTTTGTATGTTGAAGTAATTACCAGTACCTCAGGCTATGGCTGTATTTGGGAATAGGATCTTTTAAAAGGTATTTAAGGCCCTTAGTATGGGCTTTTATCCAGTATGATTTGTCTCCTCATTAGAAGAGATTAAGATACAGACACACACAGTGGAAAGATCATGTGAAGGCAGAGGGGAAAGATGACCATCTACGAGTCTAGGATAGGGGACTCAGGAGAAATCAACACTATCAACGCTTTGATCTTAGACTTCCAGCCTCCAGACCATGAGGAAATAAATTTCTGTTGTTTAAGCACCCAGCCTGTGACACCTTGTTATAGAAGCCCTGGCAAGCAAATATAGGTGATTGAGGATAATCATTTTTGGATTACAGTACAGATCTGGATGAAGGCCACCTGTCTCAATGAAAGCAATCATCAGTCTCATTAAGTTCTTGAAGATAATTAATAACAAACCAAAGAATAGAAATAATGTAATAGCCTTATGACAGTACAGTGGGAAATCTGGACAAAGCTTAGAATTCATGACTTCAAAAACTATCATCTTTTTCTAAATTTTTTATTTTGAAAATTGTTAAATTATAGGTGTTGACATTAGGGCACCAACTCATTTTTATTAGTTAATCCTTTTCAAAGAAGACTATGGTCTATTTATAAGAGCTCCAGAGAAGAATGTGTGAACATTGGGCTGTCACGATTCTCTCCTATGCTCATATGTTAAGACATTGCAACCATATCATGTTCTATTATTTCACAGGGGTCTAGATGGAGTCTCCGTATTCTTTCTGAACACAGTGTTCCACAACTCCCATGGCTATTGGTGATACTTACTCAACTTAGTCACTAAGAAAATGATTTTTCAGGCTACCATGTGCCCGACACTGCTATAGGCACAAGAAAAATAGTAGACAAAAAAGGAGTCAAGCAGCTGGTCTGGAATCCATTGATTTCCCTCTACCAGGAGGATGCTCAGACAGAAGGCAGGTGGCTTTCAATGGCATCATAAACTCTTTGGCAACTGACCTTCTGGTTACTAACTAATGGTATGTGTTATTTCATTAACAAAATAAAAATATTTTTGGTAGTTTGTTTCTGGTTTAGCATTTCTTTTGGCAGACAAACTTAACTCCTGTGGGCATGAATCCCTGGAAATTTTCATGTAAATTCTAACTATCTAAGTAAAAAAACAAATAGATGTTTCATGACCTAAAATATTGCTTGATGTTTCAGGGTGACTGTGATCTGCATTTGGAGACTTCATCCTTCAATCTGGGACAGAAAGCACATTTCCAGCAGAAAGAACCTGAGGAGTCACATTCTGTCCCAGCTTTCTCTAACCTTTGCTTGTGTTTCTTGATTCTTGTGGATTGAAAATGATGAGCAAACCTTGATTCTGTGCACTGCTTTGCCATTCCAGAACAACAGCATGGTTTTAACAAGGAGACGTAACCTTCACGACCATTGTTTCTAAAGTTTATAACAATTAGAGTTATTTCTTGAAGTATAAAATCTGTAAAACTGAATACAGTCTTCTGAGCTATTATTACAATTGCAGTTCGTCAATTTCTCCTTTGAAAACCTTGGGGCAAAATATAATTTGAAATTCGGTTATTTTTTAGATGTTAGGAGATACCAGTCAGGTATTATAAATGTTATAACAGCTGCAGTAGATTTGAAGGCATAGCTCCATACTCAAAAATGTTAATGTTTCTGAAATTAAACATATGAATATTTATACAAAATATCACACATACAGATTATAATATGTTGTTTCCTGTCAGTTCAGACTATGCCACCAAAGGAGTTAGAAAAAACTTTTAGTTTTCAGATAATTTTGGTTTATAATATTATAAATAAATAATTATGCAACTGAATTATCATTATTTATTTCTACATTTTTAACAAAAACATTTTTCAAAGCATTTTTGACTTCCTGTTTTAGATTAAACTGATTTCTTTTTCTGCCTGTTGTGGGCTGGGTATTTTTATACTACCTTGTGTATTTAATTAAATGCATTGATTCTTGCATCCCATGACTTCCTTACTGCTTTTTTGTTTTCAGTTTAGCTAAAACATGCTCAAGCAGTTTTATTTTCAAATGGATACGTGGGGGAAATTTAGATGCTTTTGCAAGAACAAAAATATGTTTAATTGTTTGTACACGTAATTTATAATTTGGTTGGGTAAAAAGTTCTAGATTCCAAATTCTTTTCCCTCAGAACATTGAAGATATTGCTCTATTGAGCTTTGAACTCAGTGCTGTTAATGGATTCTTTGATGACAGTCTGGTTTGCATTTATTTGCCAATAACCTGATCATTTTTTAAAGCCATTAGTATCCTCTCTTCATCTTTTATTCTTTGAAATTTCAACATGATGTTCTAAGGTGATGGTCCTTTTTAAATTTATCCTGGTGGTTACCTGGCAGAGCCTTTTATTACAAACGCTTTTATCTACTTTTTAAGCTTAGCTATTTTTCTTATTAGTCCTTTGTTTTCATTCTTCATCTATATATTCTGTTCCTTTATTCTAATGTAATATATTTTGCCATCCTGGTTTAATTCTATGTATTTCCTAACATTTTATGCATCTTTTTATTTTTATATTTTTTCTTTGTATTATGGGAAATTCTTTTAATTTTAATATTTTTGTATAATTTCAGGGCTTTTAACAAAGCAAACTTGTTCTCATATTCTTCAACTTCTTTATATGACCCTATTATTTTTAAAAAATATAATATCCTCTCATATATTTTTGTGAATAAAAATTAAAGTATTTTGAAAGTTGTTCTCATTCCCTTAAATATGCCTGTTTTCAGTACTAACTTTTTTGTTTATTAATCTTTCCCTTTCATGCTGTGCACTTAACCACAGTGTCATGATTTGTGTTCTTGTACATGATTGGTAAGGCCACTACCTGCTACCAGGCATCTCTTGTAACGCTCAGATCCTCACACTCCACATTCGCTATGTCATGACCTGTCAAGATCCTTCACATGATAGCTGCTTGTATTTTAAAAATTAATAGAAACCCAATAAGTGCAACAGAACAAGCTGCAGCTCTCCTCACCATGGTTGTTCCCATAGCCATAATTGCTATTCATCATTTCCTTCCTCTACCACTAATTCTAGATTCCTCTCATTCTTAGCCAGTATGTCTGCTGGCCCGTGACCTTGCCCAGCATCCTGCTGTGATCCTCAGTCATAAAACTATTTGCTTACCAGTTTTGTATTCACCACCTTCTCCAGTGCAGCACCCACAAGACCCATTCCCAAGCATGTTTTCTGAGTTACTTATTGTGTCTATTGACCACATCTCATAGCTCCTTTTGTGAATAACCTCCTTAGTCTTGAAGGGAGAACAAGACTTCTTTGATCAAGTCATGCTTAAATGCAGCCCTAGTTTTAGTCAAGTAGCAATGAAGTGAGTTTGATGCAGATTTGAAGACAAGTATCATCTTGCAAAGCATCCACTAGAGAATAGGACTTTCCATGGTCTTCAGGGGAGTGGAGGCTGCTTTCCACCAGCAAAGTGGAGAACATAATTTCAGAAGCTAGAGGCCTTGGACCTTTATATGTGTGTTTGAAACACATCCAACAGGATGTTCCTACTCCAGGTCTCCTGGGACCACACCTTCACTGTCAAAGCCTGAATTGCGGTGTAGGAATGCACTATTTTTTTATTGCTGCAAACAAAATACTACATCCTTGTCAGCTTCAAACAATACCATTAATGTCAAACAAAATTCTACAAACTTGTAAGCATTAAACAACACCATTAATTTATTAACTCTGAAAATCTGAAACCTGTTCATGGCCAGGATAGATTCTTTGTTCAAGTTCTCACAGATTAAATTCAAAGTATTGGCTTATCTAAGTTTTCAGCTGAAGATTAACATCCTCTCCCAAGCTCCGGTGCCTGTGACACAATTCAGTTCCTTTTCATTGTGGGACTAAAGTGTTTTTTTCTTGCTAGATGACAGCTAGATGCAGCACAAAGAGGCTGCCCACATTTCTTGCCATGTGGCAGCTTCTATCTTCAAAGCCAGCAATGGAGAATCTCTCTTGTGTTGAATCTCTCTCGTGAATAAATTTCTTTTGCCAGGAGGACTTCAGTGTTATTAAAAGACTGACTGATTTGGCCAGGTTTCTTATGTTCATGTCACCTGGTTAGAGTATTAAATACGTCTGTAAAATTCCTTTATAGCAGCACCTAGATTAGTGTTTGATTGAATACCTGGAAGAGTGGTGTGTCTACCAGGGATGGGAATCTTGAGGGCCATCTCAGAATTCTGTCTTCCACAAGGAGACTTGCGAGGGCTGTGAATTCAGCTTTCTCTGCACTTCTCTTCCCTCACAATGCATTCCTTGAATTGATATGCAGCACAGTCATCTTTCTAGATACAAGACATGGGGCCCTTAATACTATCCATAGAGACTGTACTGGGTTGACTGGTGTTCCTCCGAAATTCATGTCCACATGGAACCTCATAATGTGACCCAGTTCAGAAAAAGAGTCTTTGCTGATGTCATTAGTTGAGATTAGGTCATACTGGATTAAGTGGGTCTTAATTTAATGACTGGTGTCCTTATTAGAACACCACAGAAGCTAGGAAGAGACAAGACAGAATCCTTCCCTAGAGTTTTCCAAGAGAGTGTATAGCCTTGCCAACACCTTAGATTTACAGCTTCTAGAACAGGAGAAAATAAATTTCTACTGTTTTAAACATACAGTTTAAAACAGTATGTGTTACTATACAACTAATGCTGAGGAAACTAAGATACAGGCTTTCTGACTTTCTGACCATGTCCTGAGTCTGTAGTTGTTTAACCAACACTGTTATTTTCTTCGATTAGTACTGCAAAAATACTAAAAATTAATAAACCAATATGACAGTCCTTATGATTAGCATTGCCACTGTGGAGATATTGCAAAAACCAGTGTATACTTTCCTACCTATATCCCGTCCCACATGACCATGGGTGAGAATCCCTTAGCTCTGTGCTACAGCAAACAAACAGGTGCACAGGTTTTCTCTATATATGTATATCTATATACATATCATTCTTAGCTCTATATCTCTTTTTATTCCTATATCAATCTATCTACAGATTTATTTTAAGGAATTGGCAGACATGGTATTTCGGCTCCCATCTGAAGGAAGTCTGGAGGCACAATGCCTTCTTCCTCAGGGGAAATCAGTCATTTTCTCTTAAGGCCTTCAATGGATTCAATAAGGCATATTCACCTTCTGAGGAGTAATCTGCTTTACTCAGATTCTACTGATATAAATTTCAATTTCATCTAAACATGCCTTCACAGTGACATGTGAACTTGCATTTAGTCAAATATACGGGTATTGTGGACCAGAGAAGTGGGCACATAAAATTAACCATAATCAGCTGGGCGCGGGCGCTCATGCCTGTAATCCCAGCACTTTGGGAGGCAGAGGGGGGCAGATCATTAGGTTAAGAGATTGAGACCATCCTGGCTAACATGGTGAAACCCCATCTCTTTTAAAAATACCAAAAATTAGCCAGGTGTGGTGGCATGCACCTGTAGTCCCAGCTACTCAGGAGGCTGAGGCAGGAGAATCGCTTGAACCCTGGAGGCAGAGGTTGCAGTGAGCCAAGACTGCGCCACTGCACTCCAGCCTGGGAGACAGAGCAAGACTCCGTCTCAAAAACAAAAAAAAAAAAACAAAGCAAAACCAAAAAACCATAACCACTAGCAATTGAGTTCTCTTTGCTATGTCTGTTAAGTCAAGAAACCCATATTTCTAGGTACCAATCATGTTACTTAAATAACAGTAGGTAAAAATACTGTATACTGGTTATACTTAAAAATCACTTTATTGAAAGTTTCTGATAAAAATTTTAATGTTTCTTTTTAACTTTTAACTTATGAGTGAAGAATAAAAAAAGTACTATGGTGAAATACTATCAGTCTTGGAAGGGACCTCACAGCTATGTATTTTAGTCCTCATTTCACAGATGAGGACATTTTGATAAAGAAAAAGATAAGCTTTCTATAAGTGATTGTTAGTTTCATCATGCCTTTCTTATTTTTCAATCATTTTCCCAACATGACAATTAGTGGAGTCAGTGGCTCATTACTGGGGACATATGGCTAGGTTTGCTTTGTTTTATACATGTATTATATTTGTTACGGCATTTATTCCAGTTAAAAGATATATAATATATGCACAGATCGTAAGACATGTGCTAATAATTCCCTGACTGATTCTAATGATTTTCTTGGTACTTTTCTTCTTGTTTCAGCTCTGTATGTTTACTGAGAATTTCTGAATATCACAAATTACAATTGGTGGAAAGCTTTTGTTTTTACCACCTCGATTGAATTTGGCCACTGTGGCAGGAGATTTTTACAATGCCAAATATTCAACCAAGATTTACTGAGCCCTTAATTTATATTTGGCAAAAAGAAGAATATTGATTGTTTAAAGCATTGATCTTGTCAAAAAGTAGATAGGAAAAGCACATTACTATTTTTAATAATAATAACAAAATAATTTTTCAATTAGACTTATATAAGGTTTCAAAATATAACAAATATAAATTTCCAATAAAATTATTAAATTCAACAATAAACAAATAACTTTAAATTAAGTCCACAAGCATGAGTTGTTCTTCTCCTATCACACCTGTCAAATAAGTTTTTTTTTTTTTTTTTTTTTTTTTTTTTTTTGAGATGAAGGTTCGCTCTGTCACCCAGGCTGGAGTGCAGTGGTGCGATCTTGGCTTACTGCAACCTCCGCCTCCCAGGTTCAAGCAATTCTCCTGCCTCAACCTCCTGTGTAGCTGGGAATACAGGTGTGTGCCACCACACCCGGCTAAGTTTTTGTATTTTTAGTAGAGACAGGGTTTCACCATGTTAGCCAGGATGGTCTCGATCTCCTGACCTTGTGATCCGCCTGCCTCCGACTCCCAAAGTGCTGGGATTACAGGTGTGAGCCACTGTGCCTGGCCTCAAATACAATTTTTAATGTGAAAATAATCACTTAAATGCATTTTTCCTGTATAGCAGATTATTGCACAGTTAATTAACTGTTTTATTATATTTATGTTGCTTAAAGCTTCACAAGAGTCACTGCATTTCAACTTACTACTACCCAAATAATTTTATTAATATGCACTTATCTTAAAGTCTATGCCTTAATAAAATTTTATGTATAATTATGTTAAATATTACATGCTGTGTATTTGCCAAGCTATATTATTTATGAATATTGGTTCTAATGGCAGCGTTTGGTTTGAAGCATCAAACATTCATTTTATATTTTATAATAAACTATAATTACTAGTTTGGAGAAAAAAATGAAAGCATACATTGATTTAAAGAGCTAAATGTCACACATGTTACATAATAGAATGGTTTTAAGCCAGCATCAGATGCTTTACAGAATGCTTTTAGGAAAGAAAATTTACAGCTAATGGAACTTTGGGAAATAAAATTATAAGAAATAATTACCTGTGACACATTCATAAAGGAATAAGGATTTGAACAACATTTGAGGCAGGATTAGCATCTTGACTCACATTTTAAAAATTAGCCAACAACCTGATTTCATTCAAGAAATGATTGTTCTTTTCATTTGAGATTATTAAAAGGGAAGTATTATTATTCTGTCTGAAAGAGGCTTGAAGACAGAAATTCCCCAAGTTGGGTTTATTTTAAAAACTGTTGGTGGGACTGTAAACTAGTTCAACCATTGTGGAAGTCAGTGTGGCCATTCCTCAAGGATCTAGAACTAGAAATACCATTTGACCCAGCCATCCTATTACTGGGTATATACCCAAAGGATTGTAAATCATGCTGCTATAAAGACACATGCACACGTATGTTTACTGCAGTACTATTCACAATAACAAAGACTTGGAACCAACCCAAATGTCCATCAATGATAGACTGGATTAAGAAAATGTGGCACATATACACCATGGAATACTATGCAGCCATAAAAAATGATGAGTTCATGTCCATTGTAGGAACATGGATGAAGCTGGAAACCATCATTCTGAGCAAACCATCGCAAGGACAGAAAACCAAACACTGCATGTTCTCACTCATAGGTGGGAGTTGAACAATGAGAATACTTGGACACAGGGTGGGGAACATCACACACTGGGGCCTGTCTTGGGGCAGGGGGAGCGGGGAGGGATAGCATTAGGAGATATACCTAATGTAAATGACGAGTTAATGGGTGCAGCAAACCAACATGGCACATTTATACATATGTAACAAAACTGCACGTTGTGCACATGTATCCTAGAACTTAAAGTATAATAAAAAAATTTAAAAAGCTAGCTCAATATTCAGAGATCAATGTCATCCACCATATTAGCAGTCAAAAGAAGAAAAACCACATTATTGCATCAATTTATGTAGTTAAAGCATTTGACAGAACCCAACACCTACTCTTAACAAACTAGTATTAGAGAGAAACTTCAACTCCATAAAGAGCATCTACAAAAAAGTCCTACAGTTAACATCATACATAACATTGCAAAGGTGAATGCTGTCCTGCTATATAGAAAAAACGGTAAGGATGCCCACTCTCATCACTCTTATTCAGCATACGACTAGCCAGTGACATAAGGCAAGATAAGAAAAAGAAATGCACACAGATTAGAAGAGAATAAATAAAACTACCTTATGTGTGCATATGACAGGATTGTTCGTGTAGAAAATCCCAAGGTACCCAAAGAATCTCCTAGAACTAGTAAGTGAGTTTTGCAACACCACAGAAGGTCAAAACAAGTAAGTCAATATTTTGATATATTATCACAGAATATTTTGAAACTGAAAAAATATGATTTACAATAGCTTTAAATAAATCTGACAAAACACGTAGACGATCTATAAGCTGAAAACTTCAAAATGCTGATGAAAAACCTAAATATATGAAATGCTAGGTTTAACTCATTTTCCTTCAATAATCTGGCATGAATTCTTATAGATATGGTTAAATCTAAAATTATATGGAAATGAAGAAAGAACTAGAATAACACAATTTTAAATTAAGAAGAAAAAAATCGAAAGACCATACAACCAGATTTTAAAATTTAGTGTATTTCTACAGTGATGGAAAGGCTGTGGTTTTGCACAGAAATAGACACACAGATCAATGGAACCAATGAAAATTGAGAAATAGAACCAGAAATGTAGAATCAACTGAATTTTGAGATAGGCGCAAAGAAAGAGGAGTGTTTTCAAAAGTGATGTTGGTGCAATTATGCATCCATATGCAAAAGAATGATTCTTGACATAAGCCTTATACCTTTCAAAAAATCAAATCAAAATAGATAATTGGTACCAATTAAAAATATACAATTACAAAACGTTCAGAAGACAACAAAAGAAAAAAAATCTATGTGACCTATGAATAAGCAAGCAGTTTGTGAACTCATAAAATAAAAAAGTAATAAATTGGACTTTTTCAAAGTTAAAACTATTTGCTCTGCCAAAGACACTATAAGATAACCACACAATGGGCAAAAATATTTTCCAATAATATATCCAGCGAAGAACTTGTATTCAGGATATAAAAAAGGGTTCTTTAAACTTAACATTAAGAAAACAAATAATCCAATCAGAAAATTAAATACACTTCACCAAAGGGTATGTATAGCTGACAAATTACTACATGAACAAATATTTAACATCAGTAGGCATTAGAATAATGCAAATTAAAGCAAAAATTAGATATCATTATATAACTACTAGAATGGGATAAATAAATAAATAAATGAATAAATTTGCTCCACCAAGTACGGATAAGGCTGTGAAGCTCTAGAATCTCTTACATCTTGCTGGTGAAGACACAGATGTGTAGTAACTTGGAAAAGAATGCTGGCAGTTTCTTGGAAAGCTAAATATACAGTTATCACATGCCTCAGCCATCCCATTTCAGCATATTTATCCTGGAGAACTGAAAACGTATATTCAGGAAAAGAACCTGTACACATATTTCATATCATCTTTATTAGCAGTAGCCCCAAAATGAAAAAAATCTTTGATGTCCTTGTGTAGGAGAATGAATAAACAAACTGTCATTCATCCATATAATAGCATATCATTCAGCAATAAAAAGGAACAATTCACTGATGTGCACAATTTTAATGAATATAAAAAACTTTATGATAAGAGAAAATAATCTGTCTCAATGGGTTGCATAGTATATGGTTCCATTTATATAAAATCAAAATAACAAGCGGTGTTGCCAGAGTTAAAGTGTGGAGAGATGACATGACTATGACAGGGTAATACAGGAGTTTCTTTGGGGTGATGCAATTCTTGCCTATTCTGATTGCGGTGTTGGTTGCAAGAATCGATACATGTGATAAAATTTTGTGAACTTCTACAAATACAAACGAGTGCATAAAAAATAATAAATTCTGTATAAGGTCTGCAGCTAACAGTATTGTACCAATGTCTATTTTCTAGATTTGATAATTATGCTATGGTTATGTAAGATGCTATCATTTGGGGAAGTCAGGTGAAAGGAAGGTGAGAACCTTCTCATTATTTCTGCAACTTCTACAACAGTCTAAAATTATTTAAAAATGAAAGTTTACAAATAATATATTCAGATATTTTATATATATGTGTGTGTGTGTTTATACATACACACACACACACCATGGCATACATAATAATGGGGTAAATGCTAGTGTATATTTCCAAGATTTCCATTTTTTTACATAGTTGGTGCCATGTTGTAATACATTTTTTTAAAAAATGTAATACTGTCTTGCTCTGGTTATAAGGTCTTGGCTAGAGGCCAGTCAGGTCTCTTCTTGAGCAGCTGATTAAGTCCACACCCAAACCACTTCCTTTATGGGGCTTTCACACCTTTCACATTCCAGGCCTCTATGAACCTGCCCTAATTGTTCTAGGGCCAAGTATGACAACTAGAGACAGAGCTTTTGTCATGGAGCCCATGACATTATTCAAATTATCAAAGTGTTATGGGCTGATTTGCATCCCCATTGCGTCCCCCTCAATTTAATATGTTGAATCCTTAACGCTTCATACCTGAGAATCAACTATATTTGGTAACAGGGTCTTTAAGAGGTAACTAAGTTAAGATGAGGTAATTAGGGTGTGTCCTAATTCAGTATCACTGGTGTCCTTGTAAAGAAGAGGAAATCAGGCTATATGAACATATAGAGGAAAGATTATGTCAGGGCAGTGGGAGAAGAAACCAAAAAGAAACTCTCAGAAGAAACCAACCTTGCCAACACTTTAATCTTGGACTTCAAGACTCCAAAATTGTGAGAAAATAAATTTCCATTGTTTAAGCCACCTAGTCTATATTAGTTTGTTATGGCAGCCCTAGCAAACTAATGCATCAATCTTCAGAGAGCACAAACACCTAGCTACTAACCCCATTCCACTCAACATATGTGAACTGCCTCTAGCAGCTCCAGCTTGCTGTTTAACCGTGTCCCTGCATGTGACACCTTGTGTGACCCTACCTGGCAGCCTTCTCTCACTTGCAGCTGTAAGCAGCAAAGACTTCTTCCTTTCATCTCTTCAAGCACCAGTGTGTTCTGTCCTACCATCAATGAATCTCTAAATTTCAAAAAACAAATATTAATTTTAGGGTATCCTGTGAAAAGTTAAGAATGTATATTGTAGTACCTAAACAAGCCACTAAAAATGATGCACAGAAGTATCAGTAGTAAGCTGACAGACATATTACAATAAGATCCTAGGAGATATTCAAGTTATCCAAGGAAAACAGGGAATAAACAGCACCTAAATTGTTTAATATTAACGGACAAAACACCCAGTTAAAAGATGGATCCAGCTAATTGTTGTATACATGAGATGCACTCACAATATACAGACACAGAACTGTAGGAGTAAAAATGGTTGTAAAAATGTAACTACAAACAGTGACTCTAAGAGGCCTGAAATAGCTATATTAATATAAAATAAAGTACAAAACAGCAAGTACTACCTGTGATAAAAAAATGACATCTCACAATGATAAAAGTGTCAAGCCTATAGGAAGACATAATAAACTTAAGTGTGTATGTACAAAATAACAACTCCTCAAGGTAAAGTTGACAGGATCCAAGGGGACAATGAATTTTTCTTCAATTTTATTTGGAAAAATGTGAAACAATGTCTTAGCAATTGATAGAATTACTTAAAAAATTGAGGACAAAGGTGATCTGAACTAAACCTTATGAAGAATTCCACCCTGCCAATTTAGAATACAGATTTTTTTTTCATATTTGTGTGGTGGTGTATTTACTAATGTAGAACATATGTTGTATGACAAAATAGCATCAAATAATTTAAAAGAACTGGAATAACACAGTGTGTGCTGACCACAATAGCATTTAGTTAGCTATCAATAAAATATCTTGTTTGAACCTAACTATTTGGACATTAACATAAAGCTTAATAACCAATGGGTAAAAAGTAACTTGTAAACAGAATGAGCTCTTCATTGATTAGTGTTCGCATGATATGTCTTTCTCCAATCCTTTCACTGTAACCAATCTAAGTCTTTAAATTTAAAGTGGGTTTCTTATAAACACAACATAATAGGGTATTTTTTAATCCACTCTGGCAATCTGTCTTTTAATTGGTGCATTTAAAATGATTATTAATATAGTTGGATTAATATATACCATGTATGTGAATGTCTTCTATTCATTCCATTTGTTCTTTGTTTCCTTTTTATCTTTTTCTGCCTTCTATGGTTTTAATTGCACATTTTATATAATTCCATTTTATCTCCTCTTAGCATAGTAACTATACTTCTTGTTTTAATATTTTTAATAGCTGCCTTAGAATTTCCAGTATCCATTTTAACTAATATAAATTCATCTTCAGATAACACTATAGTGCTTCATGTATAACGCAGGTACTTTATAAAAAAGTATTCCCAATTTTTCCCTTTTGCTCCTTATAATATTGCTGTGATTTATTTTGCTTATTCATATGCTAAAAACACCCAATATATTTTTACCTTTATTTCAAACAAAGTTATTTTCAAATTGATTAAGAAAAAGGAAAATTGATCTCTTCTTTATTTATTCCTTCTATAACACTCTTCCTTTATGTAGATTTGAGACTTGTAAAAGCTAAATTGCACCACACACTAGTTAAAAACAGCAAAGAAGACTTATTTAACTATTACAATAAGGGAGAGAGCTTGAACTCAACTCAGCTGAAGCAAAAGGTGAGGCCATCCGTGTTTGCTAATAGCCACTTATGAAATTTAGGCTCCTATTCTCCCACAGATCTGAGAAAGTCTATTTCTCCTTCACTTTTGAAACAGTTTCACTGGATATAGATTATGGGTTACTGGGCTTTTTTTTTTTTTTTACCACTTTAAATATTTAACTATCCTTTTTTTGTGCATTCATAGTTTCTGACAGGAGATCCACTGAATTTCTTAGGCATATGCCTCTGTGAGTATGGTGTTTTCCCTCTCTCTCCTTTGAGTTATTTTAAGACCTTTGTCTTTGGTGTGCTACAGTTTGAATACGATATGTCAAAATGTAATTATTTTTCCTTTGGTGGTGTTCTTTGAGCTTTCTAGATCCATGTTTAGAGTCTGACATTAGTTCTGGAAATTTCTCAGCCAATATTACATCAAATATTTCTTTTACTCCATTCTCTTTCTTCTCCTCCTGGTGTTCCCACTATGCATATATTACAGCTATTGAAATTGTTCCACAGTACGTGGCTGTTGTATTCTGTCCCCCACATTCAGTTTCTCTTTTTATTTCAGTTTGGAAAGTTTCTATGCATTTGTTCACATTTTTCAAAACACAATGAATGTACGGTCAAGATTTGTGCATTTCATTTTACACTGAAGACATGAGTTCGGCCAGGCACTGTGGCTCATTCTTGTAATCCCAGCACTTTGGGAGGCGGAGGCAGGAGGATCACTTGAGCCTAGGAGTTCAATACTAGCTTGGACAATATGGTGAGACTTGTCTCTACAAAAAAAAAAAGTTAAACATTTTTTTAAATAAGAAATTAGCTGGGTGTGTTTGTACATGCCTGTGGTCCTAGCTACTTGAGAGACCGAGGTGGGGGGATTGCTTGAGCCTGGGAGGTTGAGGCAGCAGTGAGCCATGATTATGCTACTGTAATTCAGTCTGGGCCACAGAGCAAGATGCTGTAAACCCCATTTCTACTAAAAATACAAAATTAGCCAAGCGTTGTGGCGCATGCCTGTAATCCCAGCTACTTGGGAGGCTGAGGCAGGAGAATCGCTTGAATTCAGGAGGTGGATGTTGCAGTGAGCCAAGATCGTGCCACTGCACTCCAGCCTGGGTGACAGAATGAGACTCAGTCTCAAAAAAAAAAAAAAAAAAAAAAGAAAGACAAAAATTTATGATAAATAAATTGTGAACTCTAATTAACAATATAATGTTGGAGTATTTGAGTAAGTAAGTTAATTTCTGCTACTATTTGTGTAATTCATTGAAAGAGTTGGATGATTGATAGATTGGCGGTGGCAGATGGATGGAAGGATATGGGATAAAACAAGTCGAGTAGAATTCTATTTGTAGAATCCCCATGGTGAGTAGATAGACATTCACTATAAAATTATTGTATAACTGAGATATTCCTAATAAAATATTTGAAAAAAATACAATTGCTCAAAATCTCCTGAGGACTATAATTGAACAAAATGAGGCAATCAAATAATGAGGAAAATGTTGACCAGAGAACCCATATCAATCTGTCCCTAGATAGGCCGCACTTATTTTTGTACAAAGAGTATTATTTGTTATTAACCTAAACTCTAGTTTTGTTATTGACTTAAACACTAATTTAAGGTCAGACTCAATAAAGCCTCTCACATTTGAAATAAAATAATTTTAACTTAATACAGTAATAGACCTTTAAATCAGCAGAGTAGGGTTAAACATACTATGTCAAAGATATCAATGAGGATAAAAAGGATCACATGGTGATATTTAAAAAACAGAAATTAATTGTATGACTGTTGAAGTTAATGACTTTATACTAGAGGGAACTCAACGATTTAACAGACTATTTTGTGTTCTTTATCACATTATATAGGGTGATAAACCATAAACTTGAAAGGATTCTCTTTTATTTTCTCTCCTTATCAGTGCCATAAACATGCATTCTAATAGTGAGTATTTTCCTTTTGATAAAGTGGCAAATGAAAAGTTTTGTATTAAGTCCAGAGATAGATCAGCACATATCAAATTAGTTAATCTGCATCTGTGCTGCTTCACTTTGATATATTATCTAGCCATCCTGACCTCGAGCAGACATGTTCCTGCTGATCCTTCTGGTTGTCTGATGCTCAGGACTTTTTTCTCTGCTATTTCTTTAGATCCCTCTAGCATTGGGTGCATATAATCACAGATTTCCTCGTGGCTATTTTTGGTTTCTAATCTATCTTTCAGTTTGGGCACAGCTTCATTCTTTGATATTCTATTTACAGCTGCCTAGAGACCATCACCCTTTGAATGTCACCAGGTAACCTGTGATTCAAAATTTTTTTACACCAACTCTACTACACAGTCTTGGTATCACTTTTTAAATCAAATAGACTAGAAATCTTACAGTCCTTTTCACTATTCTCTCTGTTCCTTGTTTTCTTCTATTCTTTTATTCTCTCTATGACATATTCTTGCTTTTCTTCAAGTTTCTCTGGTATGTGGATTTTTCCTCATGTTACAATCATCATGAGGTCAATTCCATGCCCCTAGAACAATCAATTATTCAGTTCATCTAACAAAAAGAGCATATAATTTTGAAAGTATATCCAAGTAACTTCTCTAAGATTCAGAACAACTTTTTATAAAGTAGGAACAATAGTGATATTAATGAAAGCAAAAATATACATGGATGACAATGGAGCCTGAAATATATTGTTTATAAAGAGTTATAATGGCAAAGTCTTCAATCATGGCCTCTAGGGAGGCATTTTTGTTGGATTACAAGAATGTCTTGTCAAGTACGTTTCTGGCTCATGAGAACTGGCAATACCTATATATGAACTTAATCAAACTTTTTTGGGTTTAAACCATCTTTCTTTTATTTCACCATAGAAAAAACACAGAAAGATGCTAATTATGTGACAATTCTTAGAGAAAAAAGGTAAAGCCAAGAGCCAGATTATTTTATTTTCAGAGAACATAAAAAGGAACAAATCTCTGTATGAAATTTTTAAAGTTCATTATAGAAAATATGAGTAAAAGGAAATCTCATACTTCTAGTGCAGATAAAAGTCCTTTTTGTATGCACTTGTGTGATTTAACAAAATTAGCACATTACTGGATAGTTAATTTGCCATCTTTCAAGTTCTTTCAAAATTAACATCATGTAATAAGCAATTTTCCATCCATTAACTCATCCTCATGAGCATAATATAATGCATTTTATATGATAAATTATGCTTCATGATCTAATTGATCTTGTTAATATTTTTATATTAGAGTTTTTTCAATTTTGTAATATTGTTTAAAAAGTTTTTATTTTTTAGTTTTATGGGCACATAATAGATGTATGTATTTATGAGGTACATGAGATGTTTTGATACAGGCAGGCAATTCATAATAATCACATCCTGGAGAATGGGGTATCCATACCCTCGAGAATTTATCCTTACAATTTATCCAACAATTCAATTATACTCTTTTAGCTATTTTGAAATGTACAATTATAGTATTGTTGACTATAGTGACCCTGTTGTGCTACTTTTTGTAGGTCTTATTCATTCTTCCATTTTTTTTTGTACCCATTAATCATTCCCATCTTCCCCCTACCCTCACACTACCCTTCCCAGCCTCTGGTAATCATCACTCTACTCTCTATCTCCAAGGGTTTAATTGTTTTGGTTTTCAGATCTCACAAATAAATGAGACCATGCAATGCTTGTCTTTCTGTGCCTGGTTTATTTCATTTAACATAGTGATCTTCATTTCCATCCATGTTGTTGCAAATGACAGGGTCTCATTCTTTTTTAAACGGCTGAATAGTACTCCATTGTGTATATATACCACATTTTCTTTAACCACTTATCTGTTTATGGACATGTAGGTTGCTTCACAATCTTGGCTATTGTGAAGAGCGCTGCAACAAACATAGGAATGCAGGTACCTCTTCAATATACTGGTTTTCCTTCTTTTGGGTATATAGTCGGCAGTTAGATTGCTGGGTCATATGATAACTCTAATTTTATATTTTTGAGGAACCTCTAAATTGTTCTCCATGGTGGTTGTAATAACTTAAATTCCCACCAACAGGGTATGAGGGTTCCCTTTCTACACATGCTCACCAACATTTTTTACTTCCTGTCTTTTAGATGTGAGCCGCTTTAACTGGGGTAAGATGATAGTTCATGGTAGTTTTTATGTGCATTTCTGATGATCAATGATGTTGAGCACATTTTCATATGCCTGTTTGCCATTCTGTATGTCTTTTTTTGAGAAACGTCTATTTAAATCTTTTGTCCGTTTTATAATCAGATTATTAGATATTTTCCTATAGGGTTGTTTGAGCTCCTTATATATTCTGATTATTAATCTCTTTTCAGATGGGTAGTTTGCAAATAATTTCTCCCAGTATGTGCGTTGTCTCTTCACTTTGTTAATTCTTTTCTATGCTGAGCAGAAAATTTTTTCTCAATGTGATCTTATTTGTCCATTTTTGCTTTGGTTGCCTACGCTTGTGAGCAAAGTTACTCAAGAAATTTTGCCCAGACCAAGGTCCTAGAGATTTTCCCTAAGGTTTTCTTGTAGTGGTTTCATAGTTCATGGTCTTAGATTTAAATCTTTAATCCATTTTGATTTTATTTTTGTATACGGTGAGAGGCAGGGGTTTAGTTTTATTCTTCTTCATATGGATCATATAGATATCCAGTTTTCCCAGCACCATTTATCGAAAAGACTGTCTTGTCTCCAGTGTATGTTCTTGGCACCTTTTTTGAAAATGAGTTCACTGTAGGTGTTTGATTTGTTTCTGGGTTTGCTACTCTTTCCCTTGGTTTATGTGTCTACTTTTATGCCAGTACCATGCTATTTTGTCTACTATAGATTTGTAGTATAATTTGGCATCAGATTATGTAATTCCTCTTTCTTTTTCTTAGGATAGCTTTGACTATTCTGAGCCTTTGTGATTCCATGTAAATTTTAGGATGTTTTTTATTTCTGTGAAGAATGTCATTCATAATTTGATAGAGATTAGATTGAATCTGTATACTGTTTTGAATAGTATGGACATTTTAATAGTATTGATTCTTCCAATCCATGAACATGGAACATGTTTATATTTTTTGTGTGTCCTCTTAAATTTCTTTAATCAGTGTTGTATAGTTTTCATTATACTAAGATCTTTTACTTCTTTGATTACGTTAATGCTTAGGTTGTTTATTTTATTTTTTTGCTATTTAAATGCAATCACTTTTTAAATTTCTTTTCAGATTGTTTGCTGTTGTCATATAGACAGGATACTGATTTTTGAATGTTTGTGTCCTACAACTTTACTGAATTTGTTTATAAGTTCTAATAGTTTTTTTCTTTTCATTTTTGAGACAGAGTCTCACTCTGTTGCCTAGGCTACAGTGCAGTGGCTCAATCTCGGCTCACTGCAACCTCCTCCTCCCAGGTTCAAGCAATTCTCCTGCCTCAGCCTCCCAAGTAGCTGGGACTACAGGTGTGCAGCACCACCATGCCTGGCTAATTTTTTTGTATTTTTAGTAGAGATGGGGTTTCCCCATATTGGCCATGCTGGTCTCGAACTCGTGGTCTCAAGCGATCTACCCACCTTGGCCTCCCAAAGTGCTGGGATTACAGGCGTGAGCCACTGAGCCCGGCCCTAATAGTTGTTTTAATGAAGTCTCTAGTTTTTTTTTTTCCCCAAATAGAAGATCATATCTGCAAAAAAGGATACTTTGATTTCTCGCTTTCCAGCTTGGATGCCCTTTATTCTTTCTCTTATCTGATTGCTCTAGTTAGAACTTTCAGTATTATGTTGAATAACAGTGGTGAAAGTGGGCATTCCTGTTGTGTTTCAGATCTTAGAGGAAAGGCTTTCAGCTTTTCCCCATTCAGTATAATAATAGATGTTGGTCTGTTATATGTGGCTTTCATTATGTTTAGATATGTTCCTTCTATACCCAGTTTTTTTAGAGTTTTTATCATGATGGGATGTTGAACTTTATCAAATGTTTTTTCAGCATCAGTTTAAATGATGATATGGTTGTTGTCCTTCATTCTGTTCATATGATGTATCACATTGATTGTTTTGCATATGTTGAAACATCCTTGTATCCCAGGGGTAAACGCCACTCGGTCATGAGCAATGATCTTTTAAATATATTACTGAATTTGATTTGCTAGTATCTTGTTGAGGACATTTGCATCAATATTTATCAGGTATATTGGCCTGTTGTTTTATTTTTATGATAAGTATTTGTATTGTTTTGGTATTAGGGCAATACTGTCCTCATAGAATGAGCTTGGACGTTATTAGTCCTCCTCTTTTTCAGAACAGTTTGAATAGGATGCGTATTAGTTTCTATTAAAAACGTTTTATAGAGTTCAGCAGTGAGGCTATTGGGTCCCAGGCTTTCCTTTACTGGAAGACATTTTATTAAGATTTCAATCTTGTTACTTGTTATTCACATGTTCAGGTTTTGGATTTCTTCCTTGTTCAGTCTTAGTAGGTTAGATGTGTCTAGAATTTTGTCCATTTCTTCTAGATTTTCCAGTTTATTGTCATTTAGTTGCTCATAGTAGCAGTTAATGTTTCTTTGAATTTTTGTAGTATCAGTTTGTAATGGCTCTTTTTTCATCTGTGATTTTATTTATATGGATCTTCTCTCTTCTCTCCTTTTTTCTTTTTTCTTTTTTTTCTTTTTCTTTGAGATGGAGTCTCGCTCTGTCACCCAGGCTGGAGTGCAGTGGTGCGATCTCGGCTCACTGCAAGCTTCACCTCCTGGGTTCACACCATTCTCCTGCCTCAACCCCTGAGTAGCTGGGACAACAGGCGCCCACCACCACGCTGGCTAATTTTTTTTTTTTTTTTGTATTTTTAGTAGAGATGAGGTTTCACCGTGTTAGCCAGGGTGGTCTCAATCTCCTGACCTCGTGATCCGCCTGTCTCGGCCTCTCAAAGTACTAGGATTACAGGCGTGAGCCACCGCACCCAGCCTCCATTTTTCTTAGTCAGTCTGGCTAAAGGTTTGTCAATTTTGTTTAACTTTTCAAAAAAAACCTTTTTGTTTCATTGATATTTTGTATCATTTTCTTCATTTCAATTTCATTTATTTCTGCTTTGATTTTTATTATTTCTTTTGTTTTAGTAATTCTGGGTTTGGTTTGCTCTTGCTTTTCTAGTTCTTTAAGCTTCATTGTTAGGGCATTTATTTGAATTTTTCTTCTTTTCTGATGTGGGTTATTACAGTCATAAACTTCTCTCCTAGTACTGCTTTTCTTATATCCCATAGATTGTGATATGTTGTGTTTTTCTTATTTTTTTCAATAAATTTTTTAATCTCCTTCAAATTTTCTGCATAGACCCACTGGTCAGAAAGAAGCATATTGTTTAATTTTCATGTATTTGTATGATTTCCATAATTCCTATTGTTCTTGCTTTGTAGTTTTATACGACTGTGGTCATAGGATGTGCTTGGTATTATTTAAATTACTTAAAATGTCTCAAGACTTGTTTCATGACCTATCATATAATCTATCTTTGAGAATGATCCATGTGCTGAGACAAAGGATGTATATTCTGAAGCTGTTGGATGAAATATCTTGTAAATATCCATTGGATCCATTTGGTCCATAGTGCAGTTTAAGTCTGATGTTTGTTGATTTTCTATTTAGAAGTTCTGCCCAATGCTGAAAGTGAGGTGTTGAATTCTCCAGCTATAATTGTATTGGAATCTATCTCTCTCTTTAGCTCTAGTAATATTTACATGCCTGAGGGCTTCAGTGTTGGGTGCATATATACTTATAGTTGTTATATCCTCTTGCTAAATTCACCCTTTTATCATTTTATAGCATCCTTCTTTGTCTCTTCTTATACTCTTTGTCTTTCATCTGATATAAGTATAGCTACTCCTGCTTGTTTTGGGTTTGCAGTGACACGGAATATCTTTTTTTCAGGGTATGTGTGTCTTCATAGGTGAAGTGTGCTTCTTTTAGGCAACAGATCAATGTTTCTTGCCTTTTTTTTTTTTTGCCATTCAGCTACTCCATTGGAGACTTTAGTCCATTTACAGTCAATGTTATTATTAATAAGTGGACTTTCTCCTACCATTTTGATATTTGTTTTCTGGTTGTTTTGTAGTCTAAGCATCCATCTTTCCTTCCTGTCTTCTTTTTGTGAAGGTAGTTTTCTCTGGTGATATCATTTAGTTTCTTGCTTTTTATTTTTTTGTGTATCCATTGTATGGTTTTTGGTTTGAGATTACCATGAGGCTTGCAAATTCTATCTTATAACCCATTATTTTAAGTTGATAACAACTTAACTTAGTTTGCATAAAAAACCTAAAAAGCAAAAAGAAAACTAATAAAAACTCTACACCTTCATTCCCCACTTTTAGATTTTTTGTTGTTTCTATTTATATATTGTACTGTTTATATCTTGAAAAGTTGCTGTAGTTATTATTTTTATTGGTTCTTCATTTAGCCTTTCTACTTAGCCTAAGGTGAGTAATAACTAACCACAGTTACAGTGTTATAATGTTCTGTGTTTTTCTGGATACTTATTATTACCAGTGAGTTGTGTGCCTTCAGGTGATTACTTATTGATCCCTAATGTCTGTTTCTTTCTGATTAAAATACTCCCTTTAGAATTTCTTGTAGGACAGGTATAGTGTTGACGAAATCCCTCACCTTTTGTTTGTCTGGGAAAATCTTTATTTCTCCTTCATGTTTGAAGGATATATACCAGTATATCTGGAGTATTCACCAGATATATTATTCTAGTGTAAAGGTTTCCTTTTTTCTTCTTCAGCACTTTAAATATGTCATGCCACTCTCTTCGGGTCTGTAACATTTCCACTAAGAAGTCTGCTGCCAGACATATTGGAGCTTCATTGTATGTTATTTGTTTTTTTTTTCTCTTGCTGCTTTTAGAATAGTTTCTTTATCCTTGATATTTGGGAGTTTGATTATTAACTGCCTTGAGGTTGTCTTTGTGTTAAATCTGCTTGGTGTTTTATACATTCTTGTACTTGGACAATGATATCTGTCTAGATTTGGGAGGTTCTCTGTTATTATCCCTTTGAATAAACTTTCTTCCCCTGTCTCTTTCTCTACTTCCTCTTTAAGTCGAACTCTTAGATTTGCCCTGTTGAGGCTGTTTTTTAGATCCTGTAGCCGTGCTTCATTGTTTTTCATTCTTTTTTTGTGTGTGTGTCTCTTCTGACTGTGTATTTTAAAAGAGTCTGTCATCAAGCTCAGTAATTCTTCCTCTGTTTGGTCAAATCTGTATTTACAAACTCTGGTGCACTCTTCAGCATGTCTATTGCAATTTTCGGCTCCAGAATTTCTCCTTGAGTCTTTTTAATTACTTCGATCTCTTTGTTAAATTTATCTGATAGAATTCTGAGTTCTTTCATGGTGATACCTTGAATTTCTTCAAATTTCCTCAAGACAGCTGTTTTGAATTCTCTGTCTGAAAGGTCAGATATCTCTTTTCTCCAGGATTGCTCCCTGGCACCTTATTTACTTCTCTTGATGAGGTTGTGTATTCCTGGATTGTTTTGATACTTGTAGATAGATGTTCAGCTGTGTCTGGACATTGAATAGTTAAGTATTTATTGTAGTCTTCACTGTCTGGGCTTGTTTGTAACCATCCTTGGAAAGGCTTTCCAGATATTCACAAAGACTTGGGTATTGTGATCCAAGCTGTATCTGCTTTAGGAGGCCCAATAATGCTGTGGTTCATGAAGACTCGTAAAAGTACTGCCTCGATGATCTCGGACAAGATCTGGAATTCTCTGGATTACCAGGCAGAGACTTGCTCTCTTCACTCAGTTTCTCCCAAACAAATGGAGAAACTCTCTCTAGTTTCTGAACCACCTGAAGCTGAGGGTGGAATGACACAGTCACCCTGGTGGCCATCACCACTATGACTCTGCTAAGTCAGACCCGAAGCCAATACGTCACTGGGTCTCACACAAAGCCTGCTGTAAGTACTCCCTGGCTACTGCCTATGTTCACTCAAAGCCTTGGGACTCTATCGTCAGCAGGTAGCAAAGCCAGCCATTCCTCTGTCCTTCTTTTCAGGGTGGCGAGTTTGCCGGGAACCTGGAGGGTCCAGAGGTGCTGTCAGGGAGCCAGAGTCTATATTCAAATACCTTAAAAGTCCACCTGGTGTTCTATTGTACTGCTGCTGAGCTTGTACTCAAACCACTAGATGCTGACCTTCCACTCTTCCGTTCCCTTTCCAAAAGCAGAGGAGCCTCATCCCATGGCCACCACCACTACAGGCCCATGGAGAATACCTCCATACTACTGCTGATGTTCCCTTGAGGCTCAAGGGCTCTTCAGTCAGCTTGCAGTGAATGCTGCCTGGCCTGGGACTCGCCCTCCAGGGCATTGGATCCCCTTTTGCCCAGGGCAGGTCGGGACATGCCATCCAAGGGCCAAATTCTGGAATCAGGGACCCCAAGAGCCCACATGGTGCTCTACAACTCTGTGGCGGAGATGGTACCTAAAGTGCAAGACAATGTCCCCTTTACTTTATCCTCAACTTTTCTTAAGCAGATAGTGTTTTGCCTCATAGCCACCACAGCTAGGAATGTGCTGAGTCTCACGTGAAGCCAGCCGATCTCAGATTCTCACCCAAAGCCGTTAATGCAGTTCCTGGGTATCACTGCTTGTTTTTCAGGGCCCAAGGGCTCTTCAGTTAGCAGGTGATAAATGCTGCCAGGACTGGGTTCTTTCCTTCAAGGCAGTGGTTTCCCTTCTGACCCAAGGTGTACCTAGTATTGTTGTCTCGGAGCGATGCCCAAGGGCTAGGAAAAGGGATATCAGGACTCTGACAGGGGCCCTATCCTGCTGTGGCTTAGCTGGTAGGCAAAATGCAAAACAATGTCCTCCCCACTCTTTTGATTTCCTCTGCTCAGGGAGAAGGAAGGGGTTTCTTTTTAAACTGTAAACTGTGCAGCCTTGGCTTAGGGTTAGGGTGATGGCAGCATTACCTTAGCAACCCTGGCTTGTGTCTCAGTAGGTTATATGCCCACCCAATCTAGTATCTCTAGGCGCAGTTCAGCACTAGGACTCACCTAGTTGTTATAGTTCTTGTGGCATAGACCGCCTTTCTAGTTTATTTTATTTAGATCCTCGGAGTACTTTAGCCCAGTGTTGAGGCTTGCAGAATTCAAATTTGAGCTGCTGGGATTGATAATTTCTCTCTGGCGAGGGCTGCTTAAAAGCTCCCTCTGTGGGCTGGCATCAGCTGAGTTTGTTCTGATTTTCTTTTCTGCTGTAACAGGACAGCATTGAGTTTAATGCCTCATAATTACCGGGCTCTCCCTCCCCCAGCCCAGTTAAAGGCTCTCTGTACCATTCTGCTGCTGCCAGGTGGTGTCAGCAATTCAAAACGGTTTTTCTTCCCTCTTCAGTGCCTCTTTCAGTGATACGACAGTAAAACCAGGTACTGTGAGTGCTCAACTGATTTTTCATATGTACGAAGGTGTTTTCTTTTGTGTGTGTAGATAGTTGTTAAATTACTGCCCTTTTGGTGAGGGAAACAATTGATGGAGCCTTCTATTCTACCATCTTGCTCCACCTCCACCACGTGTTAAAAAGTTATTTTATTTCAATAATTATATGTTATATCTGACAAAGTCTTGTGGTGCTTTATCCCTCAGAATTTTGCGAAAACAACACAAGCCTTTAATGACAATGAAGAGACCCACATCGTGACATGGATACGATACCTTAAAGATTTTTTACAAACTCCCTCTTTCCGTGACACCAATACACTAATAAAAAGGTTTAGATCCTTTAGGTAGTAGGCAAAGTAATGGACCTCCAGCGCTTTTACTCCCTAATCTTTGGAACCTGTGAATATGTCACCTTACAGGGTAGAAAGAAACTTTGCAGGAGCAATAAAGGATAAACTGGAAATGAGATATTATTCTGAATTATCCAGGTGGGTCCCACCTAATCACATGGGTTCCTAAAAGTGGAAGAGGAAGGCAGAAGTTTGGGTTGGAGAGATGCAACAGAAGAAGAGAAAAGGTGGGAGTTGAGAGGGATTCAAAGGGTAAATGAGACACAACTGTCATTGCTGGCTTTGAAGAGGGAGGAATGTAGCCATAAGCCAAGGAAGTTGATGGTTTCTATAAGCTGGGTTCGGGCCTCAGCTTAAAGTCAGAGAGAAAATGGGGATCACAGTCTTAAAATCCAAGGAACTAAATTCTGGAAACCACCTAAATAAACAAGGAAATAGATTTTCCCTTAGAGCCTCCAGAATGAAGCATTACCAACATTACCAATGTCTTGATTTTAATCTGTTGAAATTATTATTATTATCTTTCAACATACAGAACTGTAGATAATAAATTCATGTTCTTTTAGCCCACTAAGTTTGTAGTAGTTTGTTGTGGTACTAATAGAAAACTAATATATTACACCTACTATATTAACAATAATAATGGTATAATTACAGTAATCATAATAGTTTACTATTTTTATTGAGCACTTACTATGCCCCAGTCTGTATATAACTATAGTAATTATATTAATTCAATTCATATTTAGACTCTATGAGTTAGAGTTAAATATCAAAGATGTGAGGAAACTGAGGTGCTAAATGGTTAAGTAACTCATTCAAAGGCATTTCATTAAAAGCACCATTAAAAGCAGCAATGTCAGGATTTGTTTTTAATTTTAGTTTGGATGTAGTTATCATAATCTTTATTTGTAAACAATTGATAATATGACATAACATATTTAAAGCCTTGAAACGTAACTATTAAACACAAAATCAATGAGTTATTGAAATGCATCATTGAGATACAACTTTTAAAACTCAACTTATATACTGTTTTTATTTTAATTTACTTATTTCTAAAATCAACCAGCATTTAGTGTCTATTCTATTTTTTATATGTTCATTTCTGATTTATTTAAAAATATATGTATAAAAATGCTTGTAACAAATTAATAGATTAAAATGAAAAACATTTTTTGGCAATATTTATTAATTCTTTGAACTTCTGAGTGTCATGTGCTCTAAATCACATAATAAACTCTCACCACAAAAATTATTTTTAAACCTATATTCCTTGACCATAAGGTAAGATCTTCTGCCAATTTAGTTGAGTTAAAATGATCTTGCAAAAAAAAATTTGCCTACACATTTGTAGTATCTACAGATTTACTTCATTTGAATTATGGGAAATAATCTCCATAGAAACTCATTGCCTGAAGCCCTGCTTCTCAAAACAAAAGCAAAATCACATACTCTCTCTCAGAAAAAGTCTCCCATATGACAGCCGGGATGGCTTTTTGGGAGGGAGAGGACACTAGAAAGGAAAAGATCAGAAAAGCCAACCCTTCTCCATGTTTCTCGGGTTTGGAGGAGTGACTATGCATACCCTCTGACCCTACACAGTCAGAGGCTTGGAAAAAGGAGAGGTAAGTATTGGACAAGTAGCTCACCTTAAGAAATTGGGGTACAGGTGCTCTACCCACCTGGGGAGCTTCCACAGAAAAATGCTATGTGACCAGGAGAAAGAGGCCTGCCAAATACTTTTGCCTAAATGTCCTTGAATTTAGAGTGCCAGGACCAGTGGGCAAGGGTGGCCTGCAGCAGTGGCAGAGGTAGGAGGTCAGGGTGCTGGATGAGTAGAGGATGAAGGATGTGATCAATGCCCAAGTGTGCACTTCGCAAGCAAAAACAACATTAAGCTCTGAGTTACAGCAACTAACACTTCAGCCCAAATATTCAACAGGGCAAACAATACTCAGTGGGGTGAGAGACACAGCTCTGGAGACGAATATAAGGAGGAACTAGCACAAAGTCAGCTGGTTCTTCTTAACACAACGCAGCTGACATTGAATTCCATTTTAGGAATAGGAAGGAGGAGGCTGGAGGACAAAGTAACACATTTCTAAAGATCATCTTTAAATAATCCTATAAAACTAACTTCAAACTAATTTGGTTACGTATTTATTTTGTTTCCTCTTATCATAAGAGTCAGGTCAGAGGAAAGTTCAGACTAGTCAGAGATACGAGTAGCTCCATTTTTTTCAGACATCTGTCCTGTACTGGGAGTTAAATTTGAAACTCTATTATATGTTATCTGGAAGTTTGCATTTTATTAACTTAAGCTTTGTGTACCTACAATGATACTTGCTATGTTCATGGAGGAAAATATCTTTTGGGAAAATAATAATTGCTGGAATTCTTTTTATCATTTACTAGATGCCATAGACTATTCTAGTACATATATTGTATTTTTTAAAAATCCTTATAATAACCCTACAAAATCACTCTTCACCTGCTGCAAATGAGAAAACTCTGGAACACAGGTTGTAAATAATCTGACCAGGACCAGCATTTTAATAGAAGGTGGAATCAGGATTCTGGACCAAGGAGTTTGAATCTAGAAGCTGAACTCTGAATTCATAAGTTGTACTTATATCCCAGGATGTAAAATGACATAGATCAGTTCTGAGTGGAAACTATGGAAACAAGAACAACATGTTTAAATATAATTCCCCCTTTTTAACCTGCCATTGGAAAAAGAAAGCGAGCTGTTGATTGATTGGTTCCCTTTTCTCACTCAAGGTATTTTATCAAAAAATAACTCAGCTGGCTGGATCTATAAAAGTCAGTTCCAAAATATGTTCTGTCTTTTCCTATTCACAGGAAGCTACTTACACTGCTTTACTGCTAACAAATCAAAAATTGGTCTCAGACAAACAGTCGGCCAGAAAACATCCTTCTTCCTTTTTAGCCAGAGAGTGAGGTATGGAGTATTGATTCTTCCATACAATCCAACTAAATCTTATAGTCAAATCTTATGTGATATAGCAAAATTTAAAGATACCTTCTTTATATACAACGATTGTGGCTCAGCAGGTGATAAAAAGTCATTTTCATTAGTGATTACGGAAAGGGATGTTTGTGCCTTACTGTAATAGTACCTCAACTGTCAGCAGGATAATTATTAGTGTGGACCCATCATTTTCTCTTTCACAACAACTAATGGTCCGTGAGGCCGGCAGCTTAGACCTGCCACAGACAACTGCAGTTGCTGAATATTTTTTCCTCTGACGTCTTCAGATGGCGAAGTTGGGATGGTGGGTGGGGGAAGAAAAGGAATATAAAACAAAGGAAAATCAGAAAACATGAGATATTCTTTCCCAAATATCCTCTTTTAGGTTTCAGAAATAGTTTGTGCCTAGTCTGGGTCTTCTGTCTGCCACTATTTTGTTAAACTTACTTATTCAAGGTAAAGAGTCAGGCCTCTGAGACACCTGATGAGTTTTGTAAGTAAATTCAGGCAGTGCATTGAAACCCTACTGAAAATATGCAGCCGTGGGAGTGTCTTATTCTATGATATCCACCTTATTTTTTTTATAAGGACACCATCTGGTTCCTACTAAAGTGGGAGCAAAACTTTGAGCACACATGGACATAAATATGGGAATAATAGACACTGTGGACTAGTAGAGAGTGGAGAGGAAAAGGTGGGTTAAAAAACTACCTATCAGGTACTGTGCTCACTGCCAGGGTGACAGGATCCCTGCTCCAAACTCCAGCATCATGCGATATTCCCATGCATCAAATCTATACATGTACCCACTCTATCTAAAAGTTACAACTAAAAATAAAATAAAATTTCAGGTAAAAGAAATAAAATGCTTAGGCAAAGCTTAATTTCCATTTTTAAAAAACATTATTTTTGATTATTAAATTTAATGTTATATTTCAAATATGTACTTTGTGGCTCCTCAAAGATTCCTGTTTGTTAGATCTTTCAACTTTTGACCTCCAGTGTCTCATGGGCAGGAATGAGCAGAGAGTCCAAGACCTTGAGTTATTTCTGGAAGGACCACCACCCACTTCTCCCAACCACATTCACCTCTCACCCCCTTTTCTGTCTTGATGCCACTAGCATTAGTTTCATTGTGGATATTAACTTTGTTTATCTTAGTCATCAAAGAAGCCCAGGACTACTGGATCTTCTTCACCCCAAACTCCTTAATTGTTAATATAACCCAATATAACCCCTTTGGTGATCCCCTACAACCATTTCCCAGGCTTTAACCAACTCCTCAAATCCTTCCTATTGCTCATGGAACTCCTGGCCTGTCAGCAGCAAAATCTCCAGAGGATTCATCTGTTCTCTGAGTATGCCCTTCCCTTTCTGGCTCTACAAGGAAAACAAAACTCTATGCAAGGAGTCACTGATCCCTGCAGTCCTCTCCAGTGGGAGCTTTTTCACTCCTGTAAATCTTATAACTTTGGTCTGGAGATGGGGTGTCTTCCTTACTCCCCGTGTCCACTTCCAGACAATTTACACCTCTCATTCCTTTAAACACCAGCTATGAATTTAGTAATGTCACATTGCACCACACACATTATCTCCTTGGAGTCATGTACCTAACCTTTATCACTGTCCTATACTCTGGACATTTTCCCTTCTGATGTGTGGTCACATTATGACTCTTCTTGATGCAATACTCACAATTCAATGCCCTGAGTGTCTCAGTATCTGGATCTTCTATTTGCTAATACTCCTAGTTCTTAAGTCTATCTCAGCCCTTCACTGCCAAGGTCTTTACTTTACACATCTTCTCATAAAGAAGTGGCCAGAAAGAACTTAGGCAAATTCCTACCACAATGTCTATTCACTACCTGCATTTATGCATGAATTCATATCTTTATAGTTTGAGTAAACTGCCCTTTCACAGAGCAATGCCTCTGCCATTGTTCTCAAACCCATTTTCCTCACCTACTCATGCACATAGTGCCAGCAGTTCTCCCGGCTGTCTCCTACGTCATCATTTTTTCTTCTCTCCTAGATAATTTCAATCAACATGGAAAATGCTTTCATTTTCCAATCTGCCTTCATTGTTACACATATGACAATCATTCATCCTTTCCAGTGCCAGACCATAGCAGCTTGGTGCTTTAACAGAGTCAACTGAAAAAAACTCTAGTTACAGTCTTGGGAAAAATGAAGTGCACTCCTGTATTTCCATCATCTGTGTCATTCCTGGGATTGTACTCTGGTTACTTCACACCTTACTACTACTACAATTTGCTAGAAAGATACCCAGAATTTTACTCAAGACAAAGATAAATGACTGGATTAGTAAATCTGTAAAAGTTGATCAATAACAACAGATTAATAAGCAAGAAACTCTTTAAAAAAGGAAAAAATGATATTATAATTAACCATCCCAATGTTTGCTTGGTCAGTTGCAAGCTGTTATTCCCCAAATTGACTAACTCTGTCTCCAATCAACAAACTGGCCATGAAAGAAAAACTGACACCAAGACACAGACAAAGGTTAGTCACCCCTGGGTCTCCTGTTAGATTTCTTTCATCTTCCCTAAGTTTAATTTAGTCTGTGAAATAAGTATTTTTTGCTGTTAATAAAAGAGAGATGGATCTCAAGAGCATTATGCTAAATAAGGGAAACCAGATTTAAAAGACTTTATGATTGCATTTACATAAAATATTAGAAAAAGCAAAATGATAGTGACAGCTAGCAGATCAGTGGATGCCAGGTTTTGGGTATGAGAAAGGAGACTGTAAATGTAAGAAGTGGACTTTCTGGAAGGCGGAAATATTCTACATCATGATTGTGGTGGTTGTTTTACAACTGCAGACATTTTTTTGAAAACATTGAATTGTAAAAATAAGTGAATTTTATAGTGTGTGAATTATAATTCAATAAAATCTAAAAAAGTATTTTGTGAATTATATAGCCTCTGTAGAGAGTTTATCTGAAAGGATTAATTTCACCCCAACATTAAAAAATTTCCAAGAATCTGTGTACTATACAATAACAAAAACAGTTGTCTCTTAGTCAAATATCAGATATATGTACATTTCACTCCAAAATAAATTATAATAATTTCATCTTTTACAATAAAAATTATATAATCAACACTTGATACATTTATTTTATAAAAATATACATTTAAAATTTTAGTTTTTAATACATTTCATATTTTTATTGGTTGCTAATAAAGTGTCCTAAAAAAGTAACAAGGCATTCTTGTATTTTCTAAAACTCAAGATAAAATATTTATACTAATAATTTCTATTCAAATTTCCAAAATTCAGCTCTACTTGTGATACAGTTTGGCTCTATGTCCCCACCCAAACCTCATCCTGAATTGTAATCCCCATGTCAAGGGAGGGACCTGGTGGGAGGTGATTGGATCATTGGGGTGGTTTTCCCCATGCTGTTCTCACGATACTGAGTAAATTCTCAAGGGATCTGATGGTTTAAAAGTGTTTGTCAGTTTTCCTGCCCCTCCTGCCACCATGTAAAATATGCCTTGCTTGCCCTTCACCTTCCACCATGATTGTAAGTTTCCTGAGGCCTCCCAAGACATGTGGAACTGTGAGTCAATTAAATTTATCTTCTGTATAAACTACCCAGCCTCAGGCGGTTCTTAATAGCAGTGTGAAAACAGACAAATACAGAAAATTGGTACCAGGATAGTGAGGCACTTCTGTAAAGATAACCTGAAAATGTGGAAGCAATTTTGGAACTGGGTAATGGGCAGAGATTGGAACATTTTGGAGGGCTCAGAAGAAGACAAGAAGATGTGGGAAAGTTTGGAACTTCCTAGAGACTTCTTAAATGACTTTGATCAAAATGCTGACAGCGATATGGACAATGAAATTCAGGCTGAGGTGGTCTCCAATGGAGATGCGGAACTTCTTGGGAACTGCAGCAAAGGTGACTCTTGTTACACTTTAGCAAAGAGACTGGTGGCATTTTGCTTCTGCCCTAGAGATCTGTGGAACTTTGAACTTGAGAAAAATGATTTAGGGTATCTGGCAGAATAAATTCCTAGGCAGCAAAGCATTCAAGATGTCACTTGGCTTTTTCTGAAAGCACATAGTCCTATGCATTCACAAAGAGATGATCTGATACTGGAACTTGTTTAAAAGAGAAGCAGAGTATAAAAGTTTGGAAAATTTGCATCCTGACCATGCAGTAGAATAGAAAAACCCGTTTTCTGGGGAGAAAATCAAGCTTTCATCTGCAGAAATTTGCATAAATAAAGGGAAGTGGAATGTTAATAGCAAAGACAATGGGGAAAATGTCTCCAGGACATTTCAGAGACCTTCATGGCAGCCCTTCCCATCAAAGGCCTGGACACATAGGAGGGAAAATGGCTTCCCAGGCCCAGGGCCTCCCTGCTGTATGCAGCCTCAGGTCATGGTGCCCTGCATCCCAGCTGCTTCAGCTCCCATTGTGGCTAGGGGAAAAAGGTGCAGCTCAGGCCATTGCTTCAGAGAGTGCAAGCCCTAAGACGTAGCAGTTTCAACATGGTGTTCAGCCTATGAGTGTGCAGAAGACAAGAGTTGAGGTTTAGAAGCCTCCACCTAGATTTCAGAGGATGTATGAAAACACCTGGATGTCCAGGCAGAAGTCTGCTGCAGACTTCTCATGAAGAACCTCTACTATGGCAGTACTGAAGGGAAATGTGGGATTAGAGGCCCCACACAGAGTCCCCACTGGGTCACTCTCCAGTGGTGTTGTGAAAAGAGGGCAACCATCCTCCAGACCTCAGATTGATAGATCCCATGGTAGCTTGCACCATGAGCCTGGAAAAGCCCCAGACACTCAACACCAGCCCATGGAAGCCACTGCAGGAGCTGTACCCTGCATAGCCACAAGGGTACAGCTGTCCAAGGCCTTAGGAGCCAACTCCTGCCTTCAGCGTGCCCTGAGTGTGTGACACAAAGTCAAAAGAGATCATTTTGAAGCTTTAAAATTTAATGAGTGCCCTGCTGGGTTTTGGACTTGCATAGGGCCTGTATCCCCTTTGTTTTGGCCAATTTCTCTCATTTGGAATGGGAACATTTATCCAAAGCCTGTAACCCCATTGTATCTTGGAAGTAACTAACATGTTTTTTATTTTACAGGCTCATAGGTGTAAGGGACTTGCCTTGCTTGTCTCAAATTAGACTTCGGACTTGGACTTTTGAGTTAGTGCTGGAATGAGTTAAGACTTTGGGGGACTGTTGGAAAGGCATGATTGTGTTTTGAAATGTGAGAAGGACATGAGATTTGGGAGGGATCAGGGGCAGAATGATATAGTTTGGCACTGCGTCCCCACCCAAATCTCATCTCAAAGTGTAATTCCTGCATGTTGAGGAAGGGACTTGGTGGAAGGTAATTGGATCATGGAGGTGATTTCCCCTATGCTGTTTTCATAACAGTAATTGAGTTCTCACAAGATCTGATGGTTTAAAAGTGTTTGGCAGTCTCCTACTCCCTCCTACTGCCAGGTAAGATATGCCTTGCTGCCGCTTTGCCTTCTGCTGTGATTGTAAGATTCCTGAGGCTTCCCAAGTCATGTGAAATTTTGAGTCAATTAAACCTCTTTTCTTTATAACTACCCAGTCTCAGGTAGTTCTTTATAGCAGTGTAAAAATGGACTAATACAACTTGTCAAACGCAGAAAATGCATTTCACAAAATTAAACACCAATCATGATATAAACACTCAGTAATCCAGAAATAGAGGTAATTTCCTCAATTAGATAAAGAGAATCTATGTAAACCAACAGCTAACATCACACTTAATGGTGAGAAACTAGATACTTTGATCCTAATACCAGGAACAAGACAAGATGTCCCCCTCACTATTTCTATATAACAACATATTGTATGTCATGGTTAATGAAATAAGGAAATAAATGGTACATTAATTGGAAAGGAAGAAACAATACTGTATGTTCACAAGTAACATAATTGTTTATGTATAATATTCCAAAGAATTAACAAAATAAATTCCTGGAACTAATAGCAAGGTTGTAGAAAAGAAGACTTCTATATAAAAGTCAATTGCTTTCTTATACCAGCAATGAACAATTGTTAGTTAAAATTAAAAATGTAAAATTAAATTTACGTTAACAATAAAAAATTAAATAGATATGAGCATAACAAAATGTACAGAATAAATGTTAAGAAAATTATAAAACTCTAATGAAAGAAGTCAAAGAACAATTAAATGAAGGAGATATATTCTTTGTTCCTAGATTGGAAAACTCAATATTGTTAAGATTTTAATTATTCCCATGTAGATGTATAGATTCCATACAATCTCAATTGTAATCCCAGTAAGCTATTTTATTGATACCAACAAATTAAACCTAAGTCTATATAGAAAGACAAAAAAAAAAAAAACAAGATTAGTTAACACTATATTTAAGAAGAGCAAAGTTGGAAGACTATAACTACCCAATTTTAAGACTCACCATAAACCTACAGTATCAAGACAGTATCAAGTGTTGAACTGGCAAAAGAATAGACAAATAAGTAAATGGAACAGAATAGAGAGCCTAAAACTAGCCCCAGTCACACATTGTCAACTCATCTTTAACAAAGGGGCAAAAACTATTCAAAGGTGAAAGATAATTTATAAATCGTGCTGGAAAAATTGAAAATATGTAGGCAAAAATAATAAATTTAGACACTTATTTTACATCTTTCACAAAAATTAACTCATAGTGGATTGATCATTGACCAGAAATATGAAAGGTAAAACTATACTACTTCTAGAACCCAATATAGGAGAAGATCTAAGGGACCTTGAGTTTGGTGTTGAGTTTTTAGATACAATACAAAAAGTACAATCCATACAAGAAAAACATTGATAAGTTGGGCTTTATTAACTGTAAAAACTTTTCCTCTGTGAAAGACCCTGTTAGAATGAAAAGAGAAACCCAGATTGGAAGAAAGTATTTGAAAAACACAAGTCTGATAAATGAAGTGTATCTAAATATGAACAGAACACTGTATATCTCAAAATAGCTGAGAATAAATTTCAAACTTTCAAACCCCCAAAATGATCAGCTTTTGAGGTGGTGGATGTTTTTCTTAGCTTCATTTAATTTTTCCACATTATATTCATAAATTTTAACATTACTTAATACCCCATGAATGTATACAACTATAACTTCTCAATTTATAGTAAAATAAACTGCCAAAGTCATGAATTAAAAGAAAAACTGAGAAACTGAAAACTGGATTGGATCCTGGAATGTGAAAAGAACATCCATGTAAAAACTGGTGAAGGAAAGGAGATTGTAAGGTTGTTACAAATACACTCTTGAGACAAACTTTAGACACGTCTAATCCCTGCAAGCCTCGGCATTTGCATTCACACTTGAGGGGCCTATATTGCTCAGTTGTAGCAAGCATCCTTCTAAGTCAATTTGGAGAGAAACCATCACCCTTGATATTGAACACCTGACTTGCTTTCAACAAGAATTCTGTCAAGTCAGTTTAGCCAGAATCCCCCATCCTCACTCCTGATATTCCCTGTAAGAACTTTTCCATCCGCTAGTCTATACCCTGCTCCTTGGGTATCCAGCCCCATCTGCCCATGGTGTATTCAGAATTGATCCAAGTTCTATACTGAAGTTTCTTTTCCCATATTGCAATAGTTCTGGTGTAAAATATATTTTTACTACTTTACTGTCTGGCTCTGGTTTTCTTTAGCAGTTAGTAAACTATTCTGTATGATACTTAATGGTGAACCCATGACATTATGTATCCCATAGAATTGCAGAACACAAAAAGTGAACTTTTATGTAAACTATGGTATTTAGTTACCAAAAAAGTATCAATATTGGTTCGTTAATTGTAATAAAGCTCCCACACAAGTGCAAGATATTAATAGTAGGGAAATATGTGTGCATGTGAGAGAGGGATAGATGTAATAAATCTCTGTACTGTCTACTAAATTTTTTGGTAAGTTTAAAGCTGTTCTAAAAATGGTGACTCCATTGACTTATCTGGAAAAAAGCTCTTATCTTTTGATCAAGAGCTGAATTATGTGTGTATGTACCCCTAATATGCAGATGTTGCATAGGCAGTTGTAGCTGGATTTCAGAAGAGGGCGCTTAGTTAGAGATAGAGATATAAGGGTTATTTAGAGCAATGACAATAAATAATCGCCAAGGCTGAAATTATAGAATGAAAGAAAACAATAGCAAGATTATTTCTGAAGAACCCCAACATTTGGAAATTGGGAACGTGAGTAGATGTGGGCAAAGTGTAAATAACATTGACTTGAGAAATAAGAGGAAAATAAGAAGAATGAGATATTAAAGTGCAGAATTGCTTATGCAAGACTTAGACTCAAGATATTTTTCTCAGTTGAAACAGGAAAAGTTATATTATGCTATGCAGCCAGGAAAACTTCCATCAGTGTATTAGTATGTAAAATACTGTCAAATGTATGTGAAAGACAAGTAAAAATTTTCATCTTTCCCCAAAATAATCCAACCCTAGTAAATAATTTTACCTAAGAGAAGACATACCAATTAATGATTGTGTGTGTGTATATATTATATATACTATATATATAGTGTATAATATATACACGCTATATATAGTGTATATATAGCGTGTATATATAGTGTATAGTGTATATATTATACACGCTATATATAGTGTATATATAGTGTATATATTATACACGCTATATATAGTGTATATATAGTGTATATATTATACACGCTATATATAGTGTATATATAGTGTATATATTATACACGCTATATATAGTGTATATATAGTGTATATATTATACACGCTATATATAGTGTATATATAGTGTATATATTATACACGCTATATATAGTGTATATATAGTGTATATATTATACACGCTATATATAGTGTATATATAGTGTATATATTATACACGCTATATATAGTGTATATATAGTGTATATATTATACACGCTATATATAGTGTATATATAGTGTATATATTATACACGCTATATATAGTGTATATATAGTGTATATATTATACACGCTATATATAGTGTATATATAGTGTATATATTATACACGCTATATATAGTGTATATATAGTGTATATATTATACACGCTATATATAGTGTATATATAGTGTATATATTATACACGCTATATATAGTGTATATATAGTGTATATATTATACACGCTATATATAGTGTATATATAGTGTATATATTATACACGCTATATATAGTGTATATATAGTGTATATATTATACACGCTATAGTGTATATATAGTGTATATATTATACACGCTATATATAGTGTATATATAGTGTATATATTATATATATAGTGTATATATATAAATATATTATATATATAGTGTATATATATAAATATATAGTATATATAGTATATATACACACTATATATATAGTATATATACACACTATATATATAGTATATATACACACTATATATAGTATATATACACACTATATATATAGTGTATATATACACACTATATATATAGTGTATATATACACTATATATATAGTGTATATATACACTATATATATATATAGTGTATATATACACTATATATATAGTGTATATATACACTATATATATAGTGACAGATTCTCACTCTATTGCCCAGGCTGGAGTGCTGTGGCACGATCTCAGCTCACTGCAACTTCCGTTTCCCAGCTCAAGTGATCCTCCCACCTTAGCCTCCCAAGTAGCTGGGATTACAAGGGTGTGCCACCACGCCCAGGTAATTTTTGTATTTTTAGTAGAGATAGGGTTTTTCTATGTTGACCAGGCTGGTCTCGAACTCCTGACCTCAAGTGATCTGCCTGCCTCAGCCTCCCAAAGTGCAGGGATTACAGGGGTGAGCTACTGCACCAGGCCTGCCTTAATAGTTTCTTATTTTATTCCATAAAACTCACTATTCTTTCAAGTCCTTCAATTTTCTACCTGAAAGAAAGCGTTGGTAACTGACCTGCTTACCATAGTAAGCTCTCAATTAGTGGCTTTTCATTAACTCTATTAGTCCTTTAGACATGAACAACAAAGGAAGAGTGTGTGAAATTCTTTTGAGCTGTGTGCATTGTGTTTTAAAAATAATCTGATGAGTTCACTCATTTATCAGTATATCACATAATAGAATACCCTTATATCTATTCCTAATTTTAAGAGTGTATGTTATATATTTTATTTGGGTTAACTTGTTTGTGTTTAGATCTTGTGACCTCTATAGTAATAACATTAATTGAAAAAAAGTACACAGTTAAATATGTATTCTACTAAACCAGTTTCTTCAAGCAAACATTAGTAATTTGAGGTTTAAGACATCAGCTCCTTAAATTATTAAGAAGTGTGTAATACTGTAGTAAGTTATCTTTGTCCTCTTTTTGTTAACAGACAAATAGGAACTTACATTTATGGCAAGACAAAATACTATATATACATATGTATAATAAAACTTAAATGTGTTTTGTTAAACTGGTAAACAATACATAAAAGATTTACTTCTTATTTTTCCTCTTTAAATAAAGTAAAATATTGAATATAGTATGTAGTGCAGTATTCACAAAACCAACTGCAATGATATCTTCAAATCCTCAGGTTTCCTGAAAACCAAAAGCAGAGAAATTATGTTTTGTCTGTATTCAACTATAATTTTAATGAAAATAAAATGAAAGATATTTAGAATTAATGAAAAATTATATCTACATCCCTGAGAAAAAGTCTTTAAATTCTCTTTCCATGTAGCAGCATGGATATCATTGGAGTGTCATTTTCAGTAAAAAATTCAATGAAATCGAAGAAAGATTGACATATGAAGAAGACCCAATAGGAAGTGAGAGAGTGAAGCCTGCATCATGTTTTTTCTCTAAACATTTCTGCCTTAGACTTGAATAACAGACTGTCTTATGTCTGGAAAGAATGCAATAGAAAACAAGAGTAGTGCTAAAGATGAAAGCCCCCTGAGCTGTGTGAGGACAAAGATTCATCTGAAAAATGACATGGCAGAGAAGGTGGAAGATACATTGTGATTGGACAGCATTGGCTTTAGTGACAGCAGCCATTTCTACTGCAGGCTTTCTCCAGAAGTATTTGGCTATTTAGAGTCTGCCTGTGACACGTAGGTGGTTGGGTAAGTTCAGACTGGATTTTTAATGAGAAGGTGATGGAAAAAGAAAAAGAAACGTGTTGGGAATATGTGTTAGTTTATTGTGGCTGCTGTAACAATGAGCACATGTTTTGGGGCTTAAAACAATGCACATTTATTCTTTCACAGTTATGGAGGTCAGAGTCCAAAACCAGTCTGAAATGGGCTGAAATCAAAGTATCCGCAGGTCCACTCTCCTTTTGGAGGCTCTAGGGAAACCTGTTCCTTACTTCTTCCTGCATCTGGTGGCTGTAGGCATTCCTTGGATTTTGGCCACATCACTCTAATGTCTGCCTCTGTTGTCACACTGCCTTCTCATCTATGTGTGTCAAATCTCCCTCTCCTTTTCTTAGAATACATGCTATTGCATTTAAGGACCGCTTGGAAAATCTGGGATAAACTTCCCACCTTTAGATCCTTAACTTTATTATACCAGAAAGACACTTTTTCCAAATAAGCTAATAGTTACAGTTTCCAGGAGTTAAGTCTTGGAATCTGGGGGCCATTATTGGCCTGCAGAGGGTATTTGATGATGATTTCAAAGATCAAAGCGATAAGAAACCTAAGCTAGATGAAAAAGTGAGAAAGTGTTAAAACATGGAAAAGAAGACAACTGTAAATCATATAATCAATATATTAAGAGAGAGAAAAGTCAGATGCTAAACCATACAGGCTATTTTAATTTATATTAAAAATACATACATATTAATGTGTGTAGATGCAGCTACAGTATATAAATTTATGCAAGTATGTTAACAGTGGTTTTTTTCCTGGTGGTGCTATTGGAGTGGCCTTTATATTTATTGAGTTTGTATTGTCTCCATGGTAGCACAGCCAAAACCTAAACTTAAAAGAAAAAAATCCTGCACCATTTTATCTCATATATGAAGTCTTTTTGATGGTCTTTGCAATATAACCATATTTCACTTGAAACATTTGCGGGAAAATCTGACATTGTGAATCAAACAATGTAATAGAGCCAGCAACATAGACTCCATTAAACCGAGAAAATATCTTAAGTTAGAGCAACACAAACTTCTTAAACATAAGAGTTTGTCATTTAGGATAAAGACCATGTAATTCTGACGACCTGTGGAGTTGAACATCAATAATCAATTGTTTTGATTTGGCAATTTGTTTTCCCTAACTTCAATCCTCCTTCAATTGCTGGTAAATATAATTCTTCAGCTCCCCCTTGATCTCAGTGAGGGTCTCTGACTTGAGGCTTACTTGGTGGTTATAAAATACCTTAAGCTCTTCAGATAAAAGGGATATTAGTGCAAAATACTAATAAGCATTATTATTATAAGTGGTCTGAGCACTAAGGTGTTTGCTTAGTACTGGAAGCTGGGAAATACGTAGTTTGAATGTAAAAGTGTCAAAAACATGTAGTTTGGGAAGTATTTTAGGAAAGTAAAGTGATGTTTTCTAATTCTTTCAAAAAATAATGCAAGAAATTAGGCAATGACTCAATGCAAGCCAACAGATAAAAATAGTAATTAAAAAATAAATTTTTCTAAAAGGAAAAGTCAAGCTACAAAAAAAGAAGAGTAATTTAGAGCAGTATTGATCCAAGGGAATGAAACTGAATGACAAAGCTCTATCCTAGGTAAAAGACAATGTCATGAAATTGGTTTTATTGGAGACACCTAGCAAGATAGATTTTAGTGAAGATCATTATTGACATGTTATATTTGGGAAATAGACAACTAAATTAGTATGTTCCTCCATCATTATTATGCATTGATGGTATTAATTTGTTCTGCAAATATGGTACATATATGCTTAATGTCTGCCATTTAGTTTTCTAACTACAAAAATATTTGCACTACTGATTTTTATGAGCATTATGTGGTCATGACACAATAGTTGCTATGAATATGAACAGTTACTGTAAATGCTCACACTTTTTTCTCACTGTGTGACTGCCCTTAGAGGGTCTTATTTGTTGTCTTACAAAATGTTAACAGAACCTCAAAGTGACAATATTCTCTTTATTTTTAAATAAAATGAAGGGCATGTTCTGATTGCTCACAAGCTGTTGTCTCTGAATTTACTGACATCTTAAATTCAAATGTCAAACTTCATAGTGATTCAAGAGAATGTTTTTATAATGAATTGAATAGATGAACTTTTGAAAGAAGATTATTATGGTCAGTGGGTTAACAAAATGCAAGAAATTCAGGATGACTTTGGAAAATATAATTTTGTATAATTATCTGTAGAATAAATGGTTTTTAACATAGAGAGTAACTTATTCTCAATTAATCCCACTCAAATATATTTTCTCTAAAGTGTTGTGGCTGCATGAGAATTTATTAATGGGCAACATATAAACATCCTAACTCCTCAAATATTTCAAGGAGGATGAGGATTTTTATGCACATTTATGCCTAGGGCTGTACTCCTTAAACATTAATGTATATAGGAATAGCCTGGAGGTTCTCTCTCTGATTCAGTAAGTCTCATTTGGGCTGCACGATTCTGCATTTCTAGACAGCTCCCAGGTGAGATTGCTGCTGCTGATTCACAGACTACATTTTGGAGTAGCCCAAGGCCCCACCCCACAGTGCATCACACACAGCTCTCTGTGCTGAACAAAATTATCAGCAGATGTAAAAAAAGCGAGGCAATGAAAGCTTATTATTCAAGTGGAAAGCAAGTTATTTCATGTATGTATTTATTATTTATTTACATTATTATTAAAGTAGAATGCAAGTCAGAAAGAAGCTTATAGTCAGACAGCAGGTTTTGTAGATAAAGTTCATGAAAGTGATTTAATGGTCAGACTAAATTTTCCACTCTTTTTAGTCATAATTTCTTAAAATTGATGTGTTGTCCCCTGTATCCCTGTAGAACAATACCATTGGTAGAAATAAACATTGTCCAATTTTTTAAAGGTAGATGTGCTTTTTGTTGCTTGTAAAGTGCATCTGTTTAGATGTGAAAAGATAGACGGTGTCCGTTTTATACCTGCCAGCTGTAGGCAGTGATGCTAGAAATAAATTTAATGATTTTTTTTCCTAGAAATTGGAATAAAACAAATTAAATTTAGCTTTAATAAGGTGGTTTAATCCATTTTCTAAAATTGTACCAGTACAATAAATATAAGCATCTTTAGCATTTAAAAATATGTTGTGGAAATCAATCATTAAAGCTAAAAACAGATTGTGGAAATCAATTATTAGAAACAATTTTAAAATGTTTCTGAAAGTATACAAATAAAATATACTAAATTGGTAATATGTTGGGTGCCAGTAATCAAATAGTATAATACATATGTGTGAGAGGGTAGATTGGAAGTGAAAGAACAAAAATCATCCACACAGAGACAGCATAGAACAGTTTTTGAAAGTATCCAGTAGTTCTGTAGCCTGGAGTAAATTACTTCAATTCTGTGTCTATCAGTTTTCTCATCTATACAACAGAGGTCATTATAACTGCCTCAAAGTGTTGTTCTATACATGAATACGTGTAAAATCTAAGAACAACGCCTGGAAGATAGTACATTCTCAGTAAATGTCAGTGTCTCAGTTCTTTTAGACTGCTCTAACAAAATACCATAGACAGGGTAGCTTATAAACAACAGAAACTTATCAAAAATCTGGAGGCTAGGAAGTCCAAGATCAAGGTGCCAGAAGAGTCAATGTCTGGTGAGAGGGCCTCTTTCCTGGTTCATAGATTGCAGTCTCTCTCTGTCCTCACCTAGTGGAAAAGGGTAAATCAGCTCTTCTCTCTGGGGCCTCTTATAAAGGTGGTTCTGCCCTCATGACCTAATCACTTTCCAAAGGCCTCATCTCCTAATACCATTACTTAATGGGTTAATATTTCAACATATGAAGTTTGGGGAGACATAACTATTCAGGTCATAGCATTTAGCTATCATTATCTAAATTTTTGCTAAAGTTAAAAGTTTCTTTGTGAAGAATCAGTATTTCTAAGTGATATTTGGGAATGTCTATAGGGATATTTTATAAGCCCTTTAAAATCAATGTCTTCAAATCTGTACTTATCAGGTTCAGCATTAATACTCTGTCTGCCTATTTACTGTCAACTCCTCCCCACAACAAATACATAATCAATAAAACCTTTGACCAAGGAAAGCTGAGTTTATTAGACCTAATGTAATAACGGAGAACACCACTTAGGTAGAAACTCAATACAATCTCAGAATAGAGACTTTGGGGAAAGGTATTGATATTGATTGAAACGTGGGAAGCTGATTGGGATTGGACAAAGTTCATGGCATGATAATTTGGGATTGGCAGGTACAGATGGCAGGAGGGTGGTTAAAGTGAGTCACAATAAACAAATAGCTTCCTGTTAGGGGAGTTCTTTGCCCAGGTGGGCAATCTATTGTCCAGAAAAGGAGAGCTGCTGTCTCAGAAGAAATAACTGTCTATATAAATCAATTTTCAGGGATTTTATGGAACCAATGTTAAAATATTTGTGGATTATAACTTTATATTCCTGACTGAGACTTTCACTGAAGAAATGGTTAAGTCATGTTGACACAGGTTGTGTGAGTTTTCAGGTCCAATAGTGTGTGAAGGTAATCTTAATTCTGATACCTAAAGTTCTCATGCCTTAATGATTGTCATGCCTACAGTTCAGATATAGACCCCTAAGTGACAACAACAAAAACATATTATATTCCCCAATTGTGCTCCTTTTCTCGTTCATATCCCTAGTTTACATCAACTATCTACCAGGTATTTTGGAAGACTCTATCTTCTCTATTGATGTCAGATTTCATGTCAGAACTACCAAAATGTCTTTTTAGCTTTATCCTCACTGCCAACTCTCATTGTCCTTCAAACCACATCTATAATCTTTAGAATATAATCCCAGTATTATCATTCCACTGCTTAATATCCTCTTTGTCTATAGGATGAAATACATTCTGTTTCTCAAGAAATAAAACTCCTTATAGCTTGTGGGGTGACCAGTTTTGCAGGCTTAACTTCTTCCTTGCTCATTAGAACCCTTCCCTTCCCTTCCCTTCCCCTCCCCTTCCCTCCCCTTCTCTCTTGTTCACTTTCCTTTCTCTCCTTCTTCTCTCCTCTCCTCTCACTCCCTCCCCCCCTCCATTCCTTCCTTCCTCTTTCTTTTATTTTCCTCTTTCTTTCTGTTATTTTCCTCTTTCTTTCTTTCTCTTTCTCTCTTCTTTCTTTCTCTCTCTTTCTTTCCTTTTTCTTCTTGTTCTTTTTCTTGTTCTTTCCTCCCCCTCCTCCTCTCCTCTCCTCCTCCTCCTCCTCCTCCTTCTTCTTCCTTTTTTTTCTCTCTCTCTCTCCTTGCTTTCATATCTCTGTTCTTAGTCTTGTTCCTAGTGAGCTAGGGTATCTTCCATGATGTGCTCAGACCAATAACTTAGAAATACGATTGTTATATAAATAGCAATGTTAAAATAAACTGTTCATTTATCATGATGTCTTGGCTAAGTGGAAAGTAAGAGTTGGCTTCTACAGGTGAGACAAATTAGATGGCACTTTAGTCTTATGTATCCACTTGTTCAAGTAATTCAATAAGCGTTGTTGGAATAGAAGTCATTTCCATCTGCCACTGGTGCCATATCTGATGGACTGTGGTCACACTGGCAGAGGCTTGGCTGTGGAGAGCAATGGGGGGACATGGAAATGAATGATCTTAAAGGAATAGTCTGACTGGTTAATAACAATATCTAGCTTTGGATGAATTTAGGAATTCCCATCTCTTCATATAAGTATTGATATCCCGGACCACTTGGACATGGAGATGTCTCTAGTGTAGGCAAGTGTTATAGCAAAGGTAATGGGGACATATGTGTAATACTTTCAGATTCAGAGTTGTTTGTCTGTACACCCATCTCCTACAATATTTCTGCCTACCCAACAATCATTAAAAGAATTGAAAGGATTTTTCTTTCTGCATTTGATCGGGAGGAGACTCTATGACATAGACATTTGAATAGTAGTCTATTTCTACCAGCTAATGAAGTCTGACAAAATGCTAGGCAGTAGACTCTAGTTCTATGAACAAAGCCCATTTAGTGTCGTATTATTACTGTTAACACAGTCTCTAGGAATGAGTGGGTACTTGATGAATATTTACTAAAGAATGGAAGGAAAAAAGAAAGAAGGAGAGAGAGGGAGGAACAGAAGTAGAGGTAGATAAGAAAAAAGAGTAGAAGAAAGAAAGGAAGGAATGAAATATTTGAGAAGAATAGAGGAAGAAAACAAAATTGAAGAAAAGCAAAGCAAAAAGGGAACTAGCATACTTAAAGGCCAACTGCATTCTTGTGTCTTAGATATAAAAAATCCCTACCCATAACGTAAGATAAAGGGAATATCTTAACTCTTTCACTATGTGAAATATATTCAAATATGTGTTTTTTTTGTGAGAAAAATCTCAAATATAATACTACATTTTACTATTTGCTATGGCCTCTTTTAAAATGTTATTTATAATTGCTAGGTGAGAATGTTTCAGAAAAGCATAGCTACATAAGGAAATATACAAATATTTATATGTTCTATATTATACTATATATAATTTATATATTGTATATTATACTATATATAATTTAATATATAATTTTACATATTGTATAAGATATAGTTTATCTATTTGTATTAGTCTGTTCTCATGCTCATGATAAAGACTTACCTGAGACTGGGTAATTTATAAAAAAAGAGAGGTTTAATGGACTCATAGTCCTACGTGGGTGGGAAGGCCTCACAATCATGGCATAAAGTGAAAGGCATGTCTTACTTGGTTGCAGGCAAAGAGAGAATGAAAGCCAAGCAAAAAGGGCAACCCCTTATAAAACCATCAGATCTCAGGTGACTTATTCACTACCATGAGAACTGTATGTGGGAAATGACCCCCATAATTCAATTATTTCCCACTGGGGAATAATTACTGTGTTAACATATTATTACTGTGTTAACAGTAATAGTATGACACTAAATAGACTTTGTTCATAGAACTAGAGTCTACTTCCTAGCATTTGATCAGGTTTCATTAGCTGGTAGAAACAGACGAACATTCAAATGTCTCTCCCACAACACGGGAATTATGGGAGCTATGATTCAAGATGAGATTTGGGTGGGGACACAGCCAAACCATATCATTATTCTATATATATAAAAATACCCCTCTCTCTCTAATATATATATATATATATATATATATATATATATATATACACACATATATATGTTATATATATATCACATATATAGTGTATATATATCACATATATATGTGTATATATATCACATATTATATATATATATGTTCCTCACAGGGAAAACAGAAGTTATAAAAGTTAGATTAACTGGTTTGTATTCTTTTTCCTTTACTCCTTCCTTTTCCTCTTTTTTCATTCTGACTCATTATTAAATCCTGCTTTCATTTAATATATATAAATGTAATTCTGCTTTAATTATATATAGTTATATTTTATATTTATTATAAATATTGTAATATATAAAAATATTTACTATTACAAAGATTCAGCATAAAGTAAAATAAATCCTAACCTTTTTGATAATTTATGTAAGGTATTTCTACTTAGTCAGAAAAATCACTCCTAACCTGTAATTTTTCATGGTCCTTTTGGGAAGTTTGTTTGACGCAAAAGGGATCATTTTGGAAATTATAAAGCTTCAATTTCTTTCTTTTTCCATATATATTGAGTTAGTGATCATCCACCCAAAAAATTTCTTATTAGGGTCATTGTCTATGGTTCTAATTTTTTTTTTTATAAACACCAACATGTCTGAGTGACATTACAGAAGTGAAAGGAAAGATGAAATTCTCTAACTTCAAATTCCTTACAACTCAGCAATTTGTTTCCTAGGGTATCTTAACATTTTAGGCTGAATAATTCTTAATTATGAGGGGGGTGTAGGCTGATCTGCACATTGTATGATGTTTAGTAGGATCCCATCCATTAGATGCCAGTAAGCTCCTCTTCCCAGTTATGACCATCAAAAATGTTCCAGGTACTGCCAAATGTCCCTTGGGGGACAAAACTTCCCCAGTTAACCATTGAAAGGCTGCATAAGTATATGTTAGTATAGTAGTAACATATTTTTTCAACTGTGTGTTAATATGGGTACTCATTTTTCAGTGGTAAGATCAAATACATATTTTTGAAAAAATCTATTTTGTAGTTTGCAATGTTGCATATTAACTTCATCTTTCCCTTAGATCTTTCTACATCAAAATGTAATTATGTTGTTATGCTTCTTGCTGGGATGTTTGGGTAATATCAGTTGTTGATAATAAAAAATAAATTTTTTTATACTAATAGAATTTGATTAAGACAAAAGCTGTACCTTTAAGTACTAACTGGAATTTATAATCTAATTCTGTCAGGCTGCATTGGCATGAGCTTCTAAGCTTGTGTTACAGAGTAATTGGGCATCTGGTACACAGAGTGGTGAGAAATAACATTTGGTACCTGGATACCATATCTTATTATAGACACTTGAAACATATGGTATCCCAACTTCTGTTTAGGAAGTTAGAATGGCACAGTCACTTTCATAAACAAAAGACTCAATGGCAATCTTCTTTCTCTCATTCGGAATCCCTTATGTGAAATGATATTCAACTCAACTGAAAGTAACTACAGAAAATTTCACATTTTAGAAGGTAAAGTGGTTTTGTGACTCCTAATTGTTCCTCACAGGGAAAACAGGAGTTATAAAAGTCAGATTTACTGGTTTTTGTTCTTTTTCCCTAAAACCTTCCTTTTCCTTTATCTTTTCTGACCTATTACTAAATTCTGCTTTAACTTCCTATCTTCTAAGTAGTATCACAATTATGAATATGTTACACTTGAGATCATCTGTAATCTCAAGCTTACCCTAAATTGCCTCTTGCTGAGATAAAAAATTCCTATGTATCTCTCTGTAGGAACTTGAAGTTGGAACTCAAATAGGGGAAGCCCTTTTATGGAATGAAATGAACTCCTGTTAATCTAGGGGTTCTCTAAGTTTGGTTTCCCAGTAGCGGCATGAGCTGCTAGATGTTTGTTAGAAATGAAATTTCATAGTCTCTGCTCCAGATCTACTGGATCAGATTCTGGTAGTAGGGCCCAGCAATCTACTTTATGAAGCCTGCCAAGTGGTAGTGATGACTGCCTACATTTAAGAACCAGTGGGCTCATACATCTATATCATCAAACTTTCAATGGAACAGGGATTCAGAATTTGCAAAATGACATTTGTTATATCTATCTTCTTGGAAAGATGGAGTAGAATGTTAAAATAACACACCACATAGGATGCAATTTAATAAAATCCACTGAGATTGTTTGAGTAACCTGTCACCATAGCAATTTCTTATCCACATAACATGTTCTTCCTTCTCTTCTCTCCTAGTGGTGCACATGGGGTTCCACATAAGTAGGCAATCAGACCTTAAACCATCAACTTATCAGCATATTCATCCAGTAAAAGCCAACCTTTTCCTACGGAGGGACTAGGTGCTGGAATTTCATAGCAGCTTCTGGAAGAATTATATTTATCTCTAGCTAGATAGCCATGTAAAATCAGCCACAGCTAAATGTTAGAAGAAACTTCAATAATATTCTACAGTTGAGGTGGTGATGAAGGGGATCAGGAGACATACAGTGATGGTTGGATGAGAAGAGAGAATTTAGGAGATTAAATTGGTTTTGGTAGACAAAGAATTTAGGCACACCTGAGGCCTGGGACTTAGGGAAAATGTGGTCATGGAAATTGACTTTCATGTCAACTTCCCGACAAGCCATTCAAGAATGTCCTCCATCTGTTCCCAGGGATGGGTTTGCAGATCACTGTCCCTAGAAATATCAGGAGGTGTTCAGAGGGTAAAGAATCTGCCCAGTTTGAATAATAAAATGACAATGATGATCTTGAGGTTAAAAACCCAGAGAAATTTGCTATCCCTAGAGAGAAAGCTATGGTGTGTCCTACCCTGTATAGCTCTATGTAGAAAGCTCTGTCATCTAAAATCATTACCTGAATTAAGAGAATTAGACTATGTCCCTGTGTTTATCACTAGGTGATAAAATGATTGGTGTATGTGTGTGTGTGTGTGTGTGTGTGTGTGTGTGTGTGTGTGTTTGAGATTGATGGATGGATAAGATAAAAAAGGAAAATGGGACCAAGATTGAACCCCTAGGATTTGTCTTGAGAAACCAGATGTTTAATCATGTTGTTCACAAGATAATATAAAAATAATAAAGGGAATCTCATTTAGTCATATTCGTATTAGGCATATAAATCTTGGACAGTTTTAGATCACATGATGCTGAAAAAATAGCTAAGATTACTCATGTCTTTCTAAATTAGCATGCATGAAAAAAATTGGTTAAAATGTATCCACTGCTTAACTAATTTGTACAAAAATTCTCTAGTCACCATTAGGTTCTATAAGGAAACGTGTAATACATGCCAGCTTCAATATTTTGCTTTTTTATAATATTTTTTCCTGTGTGTAAAATCATAGAGAAAAGTAGGTCATCCATTTGACTCCTGGCAAAGTACCTTAGGGAGACACGGATAAAATGCGGGATTTGTAGTTTGCGATAGGACCATGTTAACGATTTTTTAGTGGTTTGAACTTTGTGCTGTGATCAATATCATTTGGCTGTGTCATATCATCTTTGTCTGACTATTTCCGGGCATCTAATACAGGTCAGTTTAGATCGATATTAGGAAAAGCTGTTTTGAACTGTGGACAAAAGAAGAATGATTCTGAGTTTGGGTTCTCTTTAAAACTGTGCAATACTGTTTAATAATGCAGACATGCTAATATTAGGACATTGAAAATACTGCTCCCAGTATCGTTGGAAATTTGATGACACAGCATACACAGCAAACATATGATTTAGGAAGCCAACTGTACTGTATTTCATATAACTACATATAAATTGTTGTTAGAGACATTTTCTTGGGAATTGTTATTCTTTTTTTTTTGAGACAGAGTCTCGCTGTGTCGCCCAGGCTAGAGTGCGGTGGCTCGACCTCCGCTCACTGCAAGCTCCGCCTCCCGGGTTCACGCCATTCTCCCGCCTCAGCCTCCCGAGTAGCTGGGTCTACAGGCGCCCGCCACCACGCCTGGCTAATTTTTTGTATTTTTTAGTAGAGACGGGGTTTCACCGTGTTAGCCAGGATGGTCTCGATCTCCTGACCTCGTGATCCGCCTGCCTTGGCGTCCCAAAGTGCTGGGATTACAGGCGTGAGCCACCACCGCACCCAGCCAGGAATTATAATTCTAAAATTTGGTGAATGGACACATACATTCTTAACCACAATATTTTTGTTCATTTTTTCACATATATTTGTTAAAAGGATAAATAAAACATTTTTCTGCATCTAATTCAGTCCTCCAAACTGTCAGGTTCTACTTTTAATACCCTGATAGAAAACAGGGGAAGAATTTCTACATTTAGGGATTTTCAAAGTGGGCTAAGGCCTAACAGCCATTGAAGCAGCAATAATATAAAATAACATTGTTCATAATGACTTCCTGAAAACCACTTTATTTATTGAATTGTGGCGACATGAAGTCTTATATTGATGCCACTTCTCATGTAGGGAAAATACAAACGTCACAGCTCACGTTTTCAATGTGGTGTGGCTATAAAATAAGAGTTACTAGCTTTAAAATTGATGTAACAAAAAATGCATTCAAAGGATTATTACTGAATTTTTAAAAAGACTGTTTGGAAGGCTCTATGTATTCCAGTATATTGTATTGCTTTAACCATTTCTGAAATTATGCATGCAATTGTTATCAGAATCAGTAGCAAAACTTCTTTCACTTTTATTATATTAAATATTTTCATTTTATTAAAATAGTAGAATCTAATTTCAGAAAATTTAGAACATTTAGAAAAGCATGAAGAAATAATTAAAAATACCTGTAAAATGTTTTGATAGGTGGAAATAATAGCTATAAATATATTTATTTATTTCCTACCAATGTAGTACTTTGTTACTACCATTATTAATATGGCTTATATATAATGTATATGTGTATGTATGTGTATATGTGTATATATATAACTTAGTTCATAGTATCTGTATATCCTGTTCATATTAATATTTTAAATATTTTTGAAAAATTTAAAAAATATGATTGCATAAGCCAATGTAACGTCATTTATAACTAGACTCAAATTGATTCTTCTAGTGTAAAAATTGAGGTGCATATTTTTAAACATTCATATTTGTGCATACCTCATAATTTTCTTAAGATATTTGCTATTAGAGAAATTTGGGAGCAAAGTAGCGTAAAGTTTTTGTAGGTTGCCTAAACCATGTTGCCCTATTACATTTTGAAGATTGCAATGAACTCTGCTGACTCATAACCCCAGATTTGTTTCCAACTATCTTTTTTTGTTTGTTTGTTTTTGGAGACAGGGTCTCTCAGTCTATCAACCAGGATGGAGTGCAGTGGCTCCATCTTAGCTCACTGCAACCTCTGTCTCCTGGGCTCAAGCGATTCTCCATTCTTAGCCTCCCGTGTAGCTGGACTACCGACACGAGCCACCAACGCCCGGCTAATTTTTGTATTTTTTTTGTAGCGACAGGGTTTCGCCACGTTGCCCAGGCTGTTCTCTAACTCCTGAGCTCAAAACAATCTGCCCGCCTTGGCCTCCCAAAGTGCTGGGATTACAAGCTTGAGCAACTGTGCCTGTTCTCAACTATCTTATATTGAACAAGGATACAATTATTAAAGATGTGACAACTATCAAATGGCCATAAGAAATATTCCAAATGAATCACAACTTGGCCAGCCTGATAGTGTAAGCAGCTGAATCACCTCTAGAAGTCATATTTAGAATAAGTATCTGAGACAAATGAACTCCTAACTCTTTCAGACCACTTTTAGGAGGGTCTTCTTTGTCTTGCCTTTTGCCTTTATGATTGTAATGTGATTGAAATTACTTATAACTCTTATAAAGATCTTTAGTAGGGGGCAAATGCTTTTTGTCATTTAATACAAAATAAAAATTTATTTGGTATTAAGTCTAATGGATATTAACATTCACGTAAGAGAAAATCTTGTTTTGAAGATAAGTGTAATTTTTGACTGGGAAAGCAAAGAATCTTCAATATCTTTTAAACTATCTAAAGTTTTTAAAAATAGAAGTTCTGGAAATGTTTCGATTGGATTACATATGCAGATTCCTAAAGCTGGTTGCTCCTCAGGTAACCCTTCTCATTTGAGATTTCAATTCCCATGGATGTATTGAGTGAGGGAGATGAAGAAAAATAGATGCCTCAATAAGACAGAAATGGATAGAGGTAGAGACACAGATAGTACAAGAGTGAGAAAGTGAGATACAGAAAGAAAAAGAGACAGAGACAGAGAGACAGAAATTAAAGTGCCATATTTTCAGTGATTTTGAAAATGTTGTAGAAAAATGGTGTCTAGTTTACTGTTCTCATTTCATTTCATGTGATGATCTTTAACTCCTGCTCTTTTTATTTCCCTTCTTATAGGAGGAAAATCCTCCCTTACCTTGGCCCATTAAAGTATGCGGGCAGAATAAATTGTTAACTCCAACAACTGGCAAATATACTGAGAACCGAAGTTTTCCCACTGAAAAGAAGAAAAATATTGCTGCACTTGCTATTATTGAAATATGCCCTATTATAAATAATTTCTTGTCCTAAATTCTCATCATAAGGCACAAATAACATTCACCTGGAAAATGCAAAGAACCACATAACTGACGCACAAGGCAGAAAAACTGAAATGAAAATAAACAATTTACAAATTTGTACATCAGCATTTTTCAATATTTGGATAGAAAATGTCAATAGTACAATATATTCCATACTGTATAAATTCTTTCTGTGAGAAATAGTGTCTTTAATCCTTCCCTATGTTTTAGTTTTATTAGAATCACTAATCCATATGCATTTTCTCCACACAAACTTTCACATCCTTCTCTTGGGATCCACTCCACTTTCTACATAAAGTTAAAATATCACAACAGTTTCAAAACTACTCTCTGGTGTTTTGTATTCATCTTTCACAAAACCTAACTGAGTTGGCTATCTATAGTTTAGATTCTTCCTAAACTCTTACTTCTGCTACCCTAACTGCAGGGATTCTTTAAAAGCCAATACAAGTTCTGGAATCATTGCTTTTTCCCACTGTGTCCTTCAATTTCCCATTTCTGAGTTTACTTGTCTTCCCTAAAATGTCTTAGTTTCACAAAAACAACAGTCATGTCAATCATATTTATCATTTTCTCTCTGTGCCAATTACAAATAAGTTATTTCATAAATTTTTTTGAATCTTTTTATGTGTTAATTAATTTAGAAAGTGACAAATGGCGAGAATCCTAACAATCACCTAAATCTTTCAATAGTGGGTGATAATATCCTCCTAAATTACATTTTAACTTCTATTTCCAGAGTTAAATGTCATCAAATTGTTTACATTTTTGAAATATTTTGCCTAGATGGACTTATAAATGTATGAATAAGATATGTTTTGTTATTCTGCATAATTTAGACAACATGACGTTTATCTAACAATATATTATGTACTTCAGTTTTTAAAGGGCTTTATAGTATTCCAGAGAGCACAGTAATTCACTTTCACTAAACACTTTATAGTCTCCAGAGAAACAAAATCAAGAGAGGATACATGGATACACACACACACACACACACACACACACACACACACACACACGCGTATATACGTAGAGAGAGAAAGAGATAGTGGGGCAGGGGGAGAAAGAAAGGAGCAGAGGGAGGTTTTAAGAGACTGGCTCACATGATTGTGCGAGGTAGCAAGTTCAAACTGAAGGGAAGGTAGCAGACTGGAAATGCAATTAGGATTTCTATGGTGCATATTTGATGAGAATTCCTTCTTCTTTGGGAAATCTTAGTCTTTGCTTTTTATATTTTTACTTAATTGAATGAGGCCAATCTGCATTATAGAGGACAATATGCTTTACACAAAGTCTACTGATTTAATCATGTCTAAAAAATACTTTCACAGCAATATTTTACTAGTGCTTCACCACACAATTGGACTCTGTAGCCCAGTAAAATGGACATGTAAAATTAACCATCACAGCAATCTATCCATTGCTCAGGGCCAAAATTAGAGTTATTTTTGACTGATCTCCTTTATATGGCACAACCACTCCATAACTAATTCATATAGGCTTCTTGATCCAAACATGTCTACCTCTCTCCACATCTAATCCACTATACCATCATAGCCCAGTCACATTTTTTGTGTAGATTACTGCAATGGTACCTTAACTGCTCTCCTGCCTTCCACACTTGACCTCCCTCATATCCCACCCTCCCCAACACATATATATTCTCCATAAAACAATCAGAGTAATTTCATTTAAGGAAACTCCTCTACTGAGAACACCCCAATAGCTTCCCATCTAGGGCCAAGTAAAATTAACACTCCTTACTTCTTAGAACGCTCCAGACTCTGGGCCCTTGCCTCATTTCCTACCACAGCTCCATCATATGCCACTTCAGAAGCATTAGCTTACTTGACGTCCTGTGAACATATCAAGCATGGCCTCTCTCAGAACATTTCCTTTCTGTCCCATCTGTTCATAACCACCTTTCTCCAGGTATCTGTATTGCATTGTTTCTTACTGTATTTAGGTTTCTGCCTCTAAATCACTATAACACAGAGTACTCTCCTTATCAGTGTTTTTAAAGTACCCCAATCAAACACTGAAAGTCTTCATGCCTATAATTCTCCTTTATTCTTCCTTATTGCAACTATCATATTCGGATGTAAAGTGTATATATTGTAAACTTGTAAACTTATCTGTTGGTTTACTCCTTCACTCCCTGTGCACAGGAATAAAAGTGTCATGAAATTGGAGACCACACCAAAATCTTTCACTGTGGTTTTCTCAAGCAATTGAAGTTAATTTTGGCATATAGTGCCTCTATTTAAAAATGTGAAGATTTATTACTTAATTTGCAATATTTCTTCAATTCGAATGCCTCTTTTTCTACTTATTGAATTATGAATTATTGAATACTTATTAATTACTAAATATTCAAAATATTTTATTTCATGCTTTAAAAATCATTTTATGTGTGTCTATTATACCCCTTTTATAAATAACAACACTGATATTCAAATAGTTAATAACTCTCTGTCAGAGAGCTTACAAGAGATAAAACAAGAATTAAGATGCTGGATTTTGTAACTCAAAAGGCTATGATACCATAAATGAGTTACATATTAATAAAATAATGTTTAATTAATAAAATAATGAATAAAAGTGTCAGAGAACTAACACACATACACATTAACAAAATAATGAATAAAAGTGTCAGAGGACTAACGCACATACACACAAATCATCAGATAAATTCAGAACTATGCAGTCTAAATGTGAGTATAGAATGGGTAAAAGTATCTTGACTGAATACCATTGAAACAATGAAATAGACTAGTATAAAATTACTCTAAAATGTGGCAAGAAGAAAATAAATGGACTAGAGACCTCATGACTTGAAGAATGAGAATGAATTGAGTTTCTGTAGCTTTATTTTTATTCCTCATATATCTCATACTGGGTGCCAGAGAACTCTGCACACTCAGACTGCCAGCAGAGATAAGTAAAAAATAAGACAAAAAGAAAGAAAAGTGTACTCTGTCTGACCAAAGACTGCTAAAGGAGAATCCCAGTAGAGATTTAGTGTGGAGTCCCATGCCCAGTGGGAATGGTGGCCCAATCTGCCTGATGCATCATTGCCAGCAGATCCTGAATGGGCCAAGTTATCCCTTGTTTTACACCCACTGGTAGTAGCAGCTCCTTCTAACTCCAGTGGTGATGTCAATAGATACAGTGAAGGCTGTCAGAACCTACATTATAAACCTAAACATTTTGATAGCCAGTTAAATTAGAAGATTTAAATAGAATCAAGAATGCCTTAACATAATATCAAATATAACCAGAATATAATTGAATATCACTCATCATACCAAGAACCAGAAAAATCTCAATTTAAATGAGAAAAAGACAATACAGTTATGCCAAGGCTGAGATGAAATGGTTTTTAGAGCTATCTGGCAAAGAGTTCATATCAGCCATTATTAAGTAGATTTCTCAAATCGTTACAAATTTCATTAACACAAGTAAAAATAAGAAGCCTCAAAAATAGAAATATAAACTATAAAAAATCCAAATGGACATGGTAAAATAACAAAATGCAATAACAAATATGCACTCCTTGGAATGCATCAATAGTAAAGGTAACAAAAACCAGGATGTTAGGATAGATCATTGGAATTTACCTTATCTGAACAACAGAGATAAAACAGAATCAAAAATAAAAAAGCCTCACGAACACGTGGGATGATAAAAGGATCTCAATTTATGTCATTGAAATATCAGAAGGAAAGGAGAATGAATGAGGTGATTAAAAAGAATTCTAAGAAATAATGAACAAAAATGTCACAAACTTGGCCAAAGATAGAAACCTACAATTTCAAGAAACCATGTGAATACCAAATACGTAACTTCAACGAAATCTATGCCAAGACAGATCATAACTAAATCTCTCAAAACTAAAGACAAGGGAAAAATATTAAAAGCAACCAGAATGACATTCAGAATCTAGGTTTAAGGAAAGATATGTTAGCCTTGACTATGAAAGCATGTTTTATATAAGGAAAATTGACAAATTGGACTTTATTGAAAATAATAAGTTGGCTCCATGAAGAGGATACAAAGGTAAACTATAGACTTGGAAAAAATATTTTAAAATACTTACATGCCAGAGCACTAATATCTAGAATCTATATAGAAGGTTTTAAACTTCAAAAGTTAAAATTAAATAATTAAGTCCGAAAATGGCAGGTAATATTAAACAGATAGTCTAGAATCCTCACCCTCAGTGGGGTAGATAGAGGTTGGGGAGAGATACTTGAACAGCTGCACAAATTCCTGCAGCCTAGGCCACTGAGGAATCATGGATGTTGACAACAGCTGAAAACTGTATGAAGATGATACTACAGCGCCCACCCAGAAATCAAATCCAGTTCACCCCATCTAACCAAAATCCTGTAACACATCTGGAGTTGAAAATCTTTCCCTACAAAAACCACTTTACAAAACTGAAAAAGGCAGTTGTTGTGCCAGATGCACAGATATCAATGCAAGGACACAAGAAACATGAAACAGTAAAAAGAAATGACACAGTAACTGATCACTTGGAAAAGGAAATGTACAAATTGTCTGAAAAAGAAATCAAAATAATGATCTTAAGGAAATTCAGTAAGATACAAAAGAATCCAGATAGAAAATACAATTCAACCAGGAAAAAATTCATAATTTGGATTAGAAATTCAGCAAAAATATAGATATCATAAAAAATCTCAGAAACTTTGAAGCTGAAAACTTCAATAAATAAGATAAATATACAACTGAGAGCTTGAAAAGCAGACGATCAAATGAGAAGAAAGTGCTTATTTAAGAAAGAAATTTATATTTAGAATCAGAATCAAATCACAAAAAAGTGTAAATTTTGAAAAAAAATCAATAAATGCCAACCACATGAGATAATCCGAAAAGCATAGTTTTTTCTTAGCTACTTTCATCACACAACTCTATAGTACCTTTATTCCTTTGTTTTCCTTTTTGTTTGGCTGCACACTCTTTGGTCACCTATTCAAGTGACAATGATTTTATAATATTTCTAATAGCTAAGATAGAGTGATTATTTATTTATATCACTTATTGTTTCTTCTAACTTTTATCTTAGCCTCAGAGGTTATGTGAGCCAGTTTGTTACATGGGTAAATTGTGTGTCACTGGAGTTTGGTGTACAAGTAATTTTCATTACCCAGGTAGTAAGCATAGTACCTGACAGGTGTTTTTTTTAATCCTCACCCTTCTTCCACACTGCACCCTCAAGTAAGTACCAGTGTTTATTGTTTCCCTCTTTGTGTCCATGTGTACTTTTTGTTCTCATCTTTGTGTCCATATATTCTTAATGTTTAGCTCCCACTTATAAGTGAGAACATGTGGTATTTAGTTTTCTGGGACTGCATTAATTTGCTTAGAATAATGGCCTCCAGCTGCATTCATATTGCAGCAGAGGACCTAGTTGCATTCTTTTTTTATGGTGGCATAGTACCCCATGGTGTATATGTACCACATTTTCTTTATTCAGTTCACCCTCGGTGAGCATGTAGTTTGACTTCATATCTTTGTTATTGTGAAAAGTGCTATGATGAACATATGTGTGCATGTGTCTTAAGGGTAGAATAATTTATATTCCTTTGAGTATACATCCAGTAACGGGATTTCTGGGTTGAATTATGATTCTGTTTTAAGTTCTTTGGTAAATCTCCAAACTGCTTTCCACAGTGGCTAAACAAATTTACATTTCCTCCAGCAGTGTATAAGTTTCCTTTTCCCTGCATCCTCACCAGCATTGGTTATTTTTTCACTTTTTAATAATAATCATTCTGACTGATGTGAAATGGCATTTCACTGTGGTTTTGATTTGCATTTATCTAATAATTAGTCATGTTGAGCATTTTTCCTTATGTTTGTTGGCTATTGGTGTGTCTTCTTTTAAAAAATGTTTGTTCATGTGCTTTGTACATTTTTCAATGGGGTTGTTCGTTTTTTGACTTGTTGATTGGTTTAAATTCCTTATAGATTCTAGATATTAGACTTTTGTCAGATGGATACTTTGCAAATATTTTCTTCCATTATGTAAGTTGTGTGTTAACTCTGTTGATAGTTTGTGAGTATTTTGTGATTCCATATATATTTTAAGATTGTATTTGTGTTAAAGACTCCAAGTCTTTAACAACATCCCACCTGTAGTCGTTTGGGGCCCAGGACAGTCAATGTCAGCATCCTTCACAACTCTGAAATTCTAGTATATGTTGTATACATTACATACTTTGTACATTTTTTTTAAATGACAGAAAGCTAGATCCGACAGTGGTAATTCATTGGGACACAACAAATCACCAACTACTTGGGATATAATGGAAACCTTTTATCACCACGTGGATGACAGGAATAGGTGAAACTAATGGTCCTAACACAGGGAAATGATCAATGCTTGAGGTGACAGATACTCCCATTATCCTGATTTGATGATTAAACATTGTATGCTTATATCAAAATGCCACATGTATCCCATAAATATGTACAACTGTTATGTATCTGTAACAATTAAAAATTAAAAAATAAAGATCCTTTAGAAAGCCAGTGTTTATTAGAATACACTTAAATATTTATTTAACAATAAATTAATTATAATTTCCCAATGAAATACAAAATACAAAATTATAAATAATCTATTCAAAATTAAACTTGAAACTTATTTGAGGGGTTGACAACAGGTAAAATAAACTCTTTCCCGATCATAATTCAACTTCCATTTTTGTAATTATTTGTATTTAAATTGCCTGGAGTAGAGGCTTGCATATCATGATAGTGTTGTTTTGTTTCCCTGCACTGATTGGATGCTGCTTATTTAAAGAACTCTGGTAGTGGCACTCAAATAGTTCATAGATTGATAATTTTTCTTGTATATACGACAAGCAACAGGCAGTGATTTCTGTGAACTGCTTATCAACTTATTATAGAAGAAAAGCTTAAATATGCATATATTCATGTGATTCCTCTGTGCATATTTGAATTTCAAAAATTCAAAATTATTCAAACTATTTTATCTTTGTTAGTGTGTGTCATCGGCTACTTAGACCCTTGTGATATGGCCCTGAAGGAAAAATGCTTTTTTATTGATTTACTCACTCACAGAAACTAATGTCATCTCTAACTCTGCTCACTTGCTATTACTGTAAAAGAAGGTCAATAAGCAATATTTGGGATCTTTACTTTCTTTATTAGTGAGTTGAAATATAATCAGTGCAACCAATGTAATTTTCTGTTCCCCAAAATATATAAAAGCTCAAATTTCAAGAAGTATATTTGTCAATAACAATTGATTTAATAGCTCAAATATATACATAATTTAAACAGAAACCAAGTTGTCAAGAGACATATTTACCTTATATGTGTTTGACGTTCTTGTATTTTGACCAATTTACCAATAATAGCATTGCAAATTACCATTATTTTTCAACATAAATAAGAATTTTTGCTGAAAAAAATTGTGGATAATATGAAAATTTAAGTAATTCTCAGTAAAATATATTTTTTAAAGGGCTTGAGGACAAATAATTAACTGAGTAATAATCAGTTTCATTTTCCCTAAAATTTTTAGCAAAATGAATCACAATCTCTCTAGGTTTTTCTCCAGCGTAACTTCCTGTAGCAGGTCACACATGTGGATGCAACAGAGAGCTGGCATATGCTGCTACTACTTTGAGATCCTTGTCACCAAATAACCACTCTGTGAAGGACCTCTTCAAGGAGAACTACAATCCACTGCTCAACGAAATAAAAGAGGACACAAACAAATGGAAAAACTTTCCATGCTCATGGATAGGAAGAATCAATATCATGAAAATGGTCATACTGCCCAAAGTAATTTATGGATTCAATGCTATCCCCATTAAGCTACCACTGACTTTCTTCAGAGAATTGGAAAACACTACTTTAAATTTCATATGGAACCGAAAAAAAGACCGCATAGCCAAGACAATCCTAAGCAAAAAGAATAAAGCTGGAGGCATCATGCTACCTGACTTCAAACTATATTACAAGACTAAAGTAACCAAAAAAGCATGGTACTGGTACCAAAACAGATACATAGACCAATGGAACAGAACAGAGGCCTCAGAAATAATGCCACACATCTACAACCAACTGATCTTTGACAAACCTGACAAAAAACAAGCAATGGGGAAAGGATTCCCTATTTAATAAATGGTGTTGGGAAAACTGGCTAGCCATATGCACCAAGCTAAACCTGGATCCCTTCCTTATACCTTATACAAAAATTAGCGCAAGATGGATTAAAGACTTAAATGTAAGACCTAAAACCATAAAAACTCTAGAAGAAAACCTAGGCAATACCATTGAGGACATAGGCATGGGCAAATATTTCATGGCTAAAACACCAAATGAAATGGCAACAAAAGCCAAAATTGAAAAATGGGATCTAATTAAACTAAAGGGCTTCTGCACAGCAAAAGAAACTATCATCAGAGTGAACAGGCAACCTACAGAATGGGAGAAAATGTTTGTAATCTATCCATCTGACAAAGGGCTAATATCCAGAAGCTACAATGAACTTAAACAAATTTACAAGAAAAAAAAACCCCATCAAAAAGTGAGTGAAGCATATGAACACACAGTTCTCAAAAGAAGACATTTATGCAGCCAACAAACATATGAAAACAATCTCATCATCACTGGTCATTAGAGAAATGCAAATCAAAACCACAATGAGATACCATCTCACGCCAGTTAGAATGGCGATGATTAAAAAGTCAGGAAACAACAGATGCTGGAGAGGATGTGTAGAAATAGGAATGCTTTTACACTGTTGGTGGGAGTATAAATTAGTTCAACTATTGTGGAAGACATTGTGGCGATTCCTCAAGGATCTGGAACTGGAAATACTATTTGACCCAGCAATCCCATTACTGGGTATATGCCCAAAGGATTATAAATCATTCTACTATAAAGACACATGCACATGTATGTTTATTGCAGCACTGTTCACAATAGCAAAGACTTGGAACCAACCCAAATGCCCATCAATAATAGACTAGATAAATGTGGCACATATACACCATGGAATACTATGCAGCCATAAAAAACGATGAGTTTATGTCCTTTGCAGGGACATGGATGAAGCTGGAAGCCATCATTCTCAGCAAACTAACACAAGAACAGAAAACCAAATAGTGCATATTCTCACTCATAAGTGGGAGTTGAACAATGAGAACACATGGACACAGGGAGGGAAACATCACACACCAGGGCCTGTTGGGGGATGGGGCCTAGGGGAGGGATAGAATTAGGAGAAATACCTAATGTAGATGATGGGTTGATGGGTGCAGTAATCCACCATGGCACGTGTATACCTATGTAACAAACTTGCATGTTCTGCACATGTACCCCAGAACGTAAAGTGTAATAATAATAATAATTAAAAATAAAAAACCTTTCTGTGAAGAAGCTGAAATGAGATTGAAGAAACTATTTGGCGAAGACAAGTTCTGTAACAGAAGACCTCTGTATATGATTCCAGCCAATAGAGTTTAATATCTGCATTAAAAGAATTGATAAAATGTACTCAAATCTTCCCCGCCTGATTAGTATGCTGAATTGACATTGATGGGAACCAGATGACTCAACTGAGCAAAGCTTGAGCAATACTAAAATGTGAAACCCTGGCAATACGACTCTGAGATTTTGTCCTATGCACGATTTAACATTTTATCACAATAATAATTTGAGACGCTTTTATAGATTAGTGATTATAATATGATGGAATTTAGCTTTTTGTAACACTGCTTAAAGAGAAAAATTAAAAGGTTTTGTAGATAATTTAATACATTGTCTAATTTTATTAGAAACTTCAGGTGTGTCATGGAAGGAAATCTGTATCTCCTCAAAGTTCATAGGCTGAAGCTTTAATTCCTAGTATTTGAGAGTCTCTGTCTCCTAGTACCTCAGAATGTGACTGTGTTTGGAGATAAGGCCTTTAAAGAGGTGAGTAGGGTGAAGTGAGATAATAGGAGTTGGGTTCTAATCCAACAGGACTCGTGTCCTTAGTAAAAGAGAAGAAACACTAGGAATGCTGGTGCACAGAGGAAAGGCCAAGTGAGGAGAGAGAGAGAAGGCGGCCATCTTCAAGGCAGGGAGAGAGGCCTCAGGAGAAACCAATCTTGCTGGAACATTGATCTTGGACTTCCAGTGTCCAGAACTATGACAAAATAAATTGCTCTTGTTTAAGTCACCCAGTTTGTGATATTTTGTTATGGCAGCCCTAGCAAACCAATGCAAGAGGACTTATGTTTTCCTTAAACTCCTAAAAATTTACTTTGTTTTTAATTTCATTTACTATATGTAAACATGCTTTCAGAATTTCAGACTTCCTCAGAATGTTTAATTCCTTTCCAAAAAACATGTGACTCTTTTAATTATAGTATATTTTTCTATACTTACTGAAGAAATGATTTTATTATTCCCAATTTAGTTTCCACATTTCAAAGCTGGTTATGTATAGCAAGTCATACTTTTATATATAAAAAAATACCTTGCCAGTAACCTTCTCCAAAGTTATCTTCAGGTTTCTTAATGAAAGGGAGGATTCAATTCTTTTCTTTGTTGTGCTTCATAGATTTCAATTAATTGAAATAGTGGCTTTGACAGAAAGACTAACATCTCTCTTTTTTTTTGGTAAAAATGAGTGTAATTTTAAAATACATAAGTGTTAAATATTTTTTTTTTTGTTTTTTTAATTTTTTTTTTTATTATACTCTAAGTTTTAGTGTACATGTGCACATTGTGCAGGTTAGTTACATATGTATACATGTGCCATGCTGGTGCGCTGCACCCACTAACGTGTCATCTAGCATTAGGTATATCTCCCAATGCTATCCCTCCCCCCTCCCCCGACCCCACCACAGTCCCCAGAGTGTGATATTCCCCTTCCTGTGTCCAAGTGATCTCATTGTTCAATTCCCACCTATGAGTGAGAATATGCGGTGTTTGGTTTTTTGTTCTTGCGATAGTTTACTGAGAATGATGGTTTCCAATTTCATCCATGTCCCTACAAAGGACATGAACTCATCATTTTTTATGGCTGCATAGTATTCCATGGTGTATATGTGCCACATTTATTCAACAAGAGGAGCTAACTATCCTAAATATTTATGCACCCAATACAGGAGCACCCAGATTCATAAAGCAAGTCCTGAGTGACCTACAAAGAGACTTAGACTCCCACACATTAATAATGGGAGACTTTAACACCCCACTGTCAACATTAGACAGATCAACGAGACAGAAAGTCAACAAGGATACCCAGGAATTGAACTCAGCTCTGCACCAAGCAGACCTAATAGACATCTACAGAACTCTCCACCCCAAATCAACAGAATATACATTTTTTTCAGCACCACACCACACCTATTCCAAAATTGACCACATAGTTGGAAGTAAAGCTCTCCTCAGCAAATGTAAAAGAACAGAAATTATAACAAACTATCTCTCAGACCACAGTGCAATCAAACTAGAACTCAGGATTAAGAATCTCACTCAAAGCCGCTCAACTACATGGAAACTGAACAACCTGCTCCTGAATGACTACTGGGTACATAACGAAATGAAGGCAGAAATAAAAATGTTCTTTGAAACCAACGAGAACAAAGACACCACATACCAGAATCTCTGGGACGCATTCAAAGCAGTGTGTAGAGGGAAATTTATAGCACTAAATGCCTACAAGAGAAAGCAGGAAAGATCCAAAATTGACACCCTAACATCACAATTAAAAGAACTAGAAAAGCAAGAGCAAACACATTCAAGAGCTAGCAGAAGGCAAGAAATAACTAAAATCAGAGCAGAACTGAAGGAAATAGAGACACAAAAAACCCTTCAAAAAATCAATGAATCCAGGAGCTGGTTTTTTGAAAGGATCAACAAAATTGATAGACCGCTAGCAAGACTAATAAAGAAAAAAAGAGACAAGAATCAAATAGACACAATAAAAAATGATAAAGGGGATATCACCACCGATCCCACAGAAATACAAACTACCATCAGAGAATACTACAAACACCTCTACGCAAATAAACTAGAAAATCTAGAAGAAATGGATACATTCCTCGACACATACACTCTCCCAAGACTAAACCAGGAAGAAGTTGAATCTCTGAATAGACCAATAACAGGCTCTGAAATTGTGGCAATAATCAATAGTTTACCAACCAAAAAGAGTCCAGGACCAGATGGATTCACAGCCGAATTCTACCAGAGGTACAAGGAGGAACTGGTACCATTCCTTCTGAAACTATTCCAATCAATAGAAAAAGAGGGAATCCTCCCTAACTCATTTTATGAGGCCAGCATCATTCTGATACCAAAGCCGGGCAGAGACACAACCAAAAAAGAGAATTTTAGACCGATATCCTTGATGAACATTGATGCAAAAATCCTCAATAAAATACTGGCAAACCGAATCCAGCAGCACATCAAAAAGCTTATCCACCATGATCAAGTGGGCTTCATCCCTGGGATGCAAAGCTGGTTCAATATACGCAAATCAATAAATGTAATCCAGCATATAAACAGAGCCAAAGACAAAAACCACATGATTATCTCAATAGATGCAGAAAAAGCCTTTGACAAAATTCAACAACCCTTCATGCTAAAAACTCTCAATAAATTAGGTATTGATGGGACGTATTTCAAAATAATAAGAGCTATCTATGACAAACCCACAGCCAATATCATACTGAATGGGCAAAAACTGGAAGCATTCCCTTTGAAAACTGGCACAAGACAGGGATGCCCTCTCTCACCGCTCCTATTCAACATAGTGTTGGAAGTTCTGGCCAGGGCAATCAGGCAGGAGAAGGAAATAAAGGGTATTCAATTAGGAAAAGAGGAAGTCAAATTGTCCCTGTTTGCAGACGACATGATTGTTTATCTAGAAAACCCCATCGTCTCAGCCCAAAATCTCCTTAAGCTGATAAGCAACTTCAGCAAAGTCTCAGGATACAAAATCAATGTACAAAAATCACAAGCATTCTTATACACCAACAAGTGTTAAATATTTTAATGTTTAATCTCTTTGAAATTATCATTACCAGGAAGACAATTAAAATAAAGACACCCAAATGTAGAATTATTTTATATTTTGCATCCCTTACTGGAGAGGATTTAAAGAAAGACAGCACAGTCACAAGGCATTACTTCAGAGAATTGATTTTTTTAAAGGCTTTTATATGATAGGCTACAAATTATCTCCTGGCCAGAAAGTGAAAACCAGTCAAGGTTGGTTATTATAGTTTTAATCATAAACCCCTCCAATGTTCAATATTTTGAAATTAGTTGAAAGAATTATTATTATTGTCTTTGAAAATAGCTGTTATTGGAAATATATGTGTATGCATATGTATTATATATGTAATTCTGATGTTTCTGTATCCATTAACCTTATCCTATGCATTTCACTACAAACTTCATATTTGAGCTACTACTCAAAAGTGTGCTTTCTTTTCTTATGAAATTTCTCAGTGAGGCTATGAAGAATGCTGGGACTTTTTATGATGTTGCTGTTGCTGTTAATACTTGTGTCATTTTATTCCTCTAGAAGACTGCAACTGTGTGCCTGTTGAGAGATTTGACTCTGTAATTTCAGCAATCCCTGAAGAATAAAGTAATCTACACTTTGAAGTACAAGTTTTGAAATATTTCTGAGGCCAGTTCTTTCTGTATGGAAAGAATAAACACACCAAATATTCTCCCACTTGGTGAGATAAAAGAGAAATTCAGGCTAAGCACAAGAATATCATCTTGATGTAATAATAGTGATAATTATAATAACATCTTTATCTTGTGTAGTATTTTCTTATTGTAAAAATCATTTCAAATAACTTTAATGATTATTCATAGTGACTTCATCAACATGTTAAATAATACTCTGCAATATTGTAGAAATGGAATATATTTTAGTTTTTTTTGCATTCTTAAAATATCCTTTCATATCTTCATATATTTCAGCCACAGATGTTTCACATCTGCACATATAAATGATAGAGCTACATTTTACTATAATTGTATCTTTTGAGCCCAGTTTCACTCTTGTTGCCCAGGCTGGAGTGCAGTGGCACGATCTCGGCTCACTGCAACCTCCACCTCCCGGGTTCAAGAGATTCTCCTGCCTCAGCCTCCCGAGTAGCTGGGATTACAAGCATGAGCCACCACGCCTGGCCAATTTTTGTATTTTTAGTAGAGACAGGGTTTCACCATGTTGGCCAGGCTGGTCTTGGACTCCTGATCTCAGGTGATCCGCCTGCTTCGGCCTCCCAAAGTGCTGGGATTACAGTGCTGCTATGCTGGGCCGAAAATGAACCCATTTCTAAGAACTACCTTCCTATTTACTTTGATTTAGCTTACTCTTAAAAATGTTTTTATCATATACTCAATAAAACACACACTAGTAAAAATAAAAAGTCAACTTTTTAGAAAATACAAAAGTTAAGTATATTTGATATTCACACTTTTTTCTTACCAAGTAATTTATCTCTTTTATGAATTTCCAAAATCCTATGAGATTTATGATGTTCTAAATTTACCATATAAACAGGATTTTTATCAGTGTTTTGAATATGCCTTAAACATGGTTTATTTCTTTAAGTTTCTAAGTGATAATGTATAAAATGCAAACTAAATCTAAGACAAGAATGATCATATTTTCTAACTGCATGGTTATAAAAACGCAAGAGTTTTATCAAAATCTGATTCAAAGGAACCAATCCCAAGGAAAACCTAAGCAAAGCCAGTAAGCATTTAGAAATTACCTAGTGGATATCCAGCATTGTGCTGAACTTGCTGTTGAATTCAGAAAGAGTGTAGGTGAAGATTCTCCACTTAAACTATTAATAATCTAAGATATATATCTAATTAATTGTCTAGAAGATACATAAAATGATGTATATCAGCATATAATACACTAAATATGTGTATTTTATGTATTAATATATACTCATATTTTATACATTCTTCAGTGTAAAGCAAATGATTTCTTAATTTTCTTTACATGTTTCATCAGAGGTAAAAATAATGACCTTTCCATAAATGCATAAGGAATGAGGTAACTGGAACTGAACAGGTCCTCATGAAATAGTTATCATGTTTGTAAAATGTTTTTGGTATAATTATGGGTACCCATATCACAACTGAACAACTAAATTGCAAGGCCTGAGATTGTGGGGCTATGTTTTAACATCCTCTGTCCTCCATCTTGCGTTGAACCATGCTTTGGTTTTATCAGACATCGACTATGTTTCAGAGAAGGAATAAAAGATAGGAAGAAAAAAAAGAAAAGGCAGAAATGGGAAATGAAGGATGGAAGCAGAGGTCCAGGAAGAAAGGAAGATAATCAAATTGAAGTTTGCAACAGTCAACAAATTAAAACAAAGATGACTGGAATTGAATAGAAATACAGTTGATAAAAAAAGTAAAGATAGAAATGGGGCATGACACTTGATTTGGTTATCCTCTGTCTCTCCATGTCTGCACTCCACTTTATATTTTTTCTCTGCCCTCTACTTTACTCTGGGAGACTGATTCCCACAGATTGCAAGACCTAGGCCCTTGTGCTTTCTGGCTTTCAGTTAAGTGGTATCAATGGGGCGCAAACAAAAGATAGGAAGGCAAGAAGAGATGTATAACTTCCTGCCTTCTCATTATTTCACTGTGGATTGGAAAAAACTTTGTTTTCTCACTTATGGCTTTAGCTTCTCTTAGGTAGCTTTGCCCCTACAATTACAACAATTACTGGTTTCCAACAGCATTGTTCTCTCTCAAATAATCTACAGATCTAGGGCTACTAATGACTCCTTGCTTTTGTTAGTATCTGGAAGCTGTACCATCCCCTCTTAATTTCCTTAATCTTTTCCAGACCTTTGTAAACAGGCCTTTATTATTTTTTTAAATTACCCTTTTATATGTACCATCTCTTTTTCTACCAAAATTATCTGACAATTAGTACTAGGGTGGCCTCAAGAAAAAACCCACAAAACTAGATTATGTAATAAAAATGTTCATCTAATGACTCCTCAAAAAATCTCCATGTTGAAGGAAACGGGATTTAAGAGAATATAGCGTAGAGTGGTGTATCACAATCACACACATTATCACTGACACTGCCATGGGCTTGAATGCAAATGGAGGTCAAGGCATTGGGAGACAAGAATAAATGACACTCAATGGCCATGCTAAAAAGATTGGTATTGATTATGTTTTGCGCTGAATGATGTTGATCGTATTGCAATGATACAATCATTAAGCAATGATAGAAAACTTTGAGCAATGATAGAAAGATCAGTGATAGAAAACTCTGAATTTATATCTCAAGGTACAGGTCAACCTGTATCTGGCTACCTCTTTGGCAGATACAGATTCAGGGCATATATGGCTGAAGATTGATCATAAGAATTGGTTGTAAGAGTTGCAGAGTTGGAAGCAAATAAATACTTCATAAGGCACTGGTTGAGAAGAAATGGGAAAATCTTTCAGGAACAACACATGTAAGGAAATGAGGAGGCACAACAGGCAAAGGGAGAAACCGAAATATGATACATGGCTACAGATGTTTCAGCTGACCTTATGGGGAACTGTGAAGCCAGGATGATCCTTAAGAGAGTTTTTAATTGACAAAAAGGAACCAGGGTTTTTACCCCTCTATCCACGACCCAGTGGATGTAGGCCTTCCCTGAGAGGGATCATTTCTCAGTTAACTTATTATTGCATTAAAAACCATTCCCGAATTTAGAAGCCTAAATAAAAAATAATTATTTTTTCATCATTCTCTGTATTACCTTGTGATTCTTCTTTTGGTCTCACTTGAAATCACTCACGTGGTTGCATTCAGTTGGTCATTTCATTGTGGCCAGAATTCAGCCACATTTCTGCCATTTTCCTCCTCATGTTTAGGTTGAGCCCTAAACAGATTTTTGTGTTTGTTTTTAAACTAAAAGGCCACTTAAAGCCTAGCCTTAGAAATCACTGACTCTCTTCTACCACATACTATTGGTCAAATAAAATCATAGAGTCAGTTCAATTCAAGAGGAGAGGAAATACATTTCAAGAGGAGAGAAAATACATTTTGCAATGAGCAAATTCTCACTGCAAAAGGCAGGCAGGATGGGGAATGCAGTTGCAGCCATCTTTAGAAACAAACCACTGCAGGTTGCAACCTTGTGTGAGGCAGCTCTTTTTGGTTCATAAGAATTCTTGAAGAGATACTCATTAGTGAGCCATGGCAGACAAAGTTTCCTGCATTTGGGTCAGTGAGTGCCTTGATATTGAAAAGATCTAGGCAGTGTACCAGAACTTCCACTACCTTGACTGCACCTCATTTCTTCCAAGTTCTTAACTGGTTGGATCTCAGCAACTCCCAGATGGAAAAGTGCAAAGCATGATCTTCTTGGAAGAGAGTTGACACTCTTACATCTTGACACCATTTTTGGCATAAGTGTGGAGAACATATGGGAATACATTCTGAGGGTGTTAGACCAAAGAAGGCAGAATGTAAGATTTAATATTTCTGGATTTATCACTGTGAACACACGCATAGTGTTAGAAGGTTGACAAGTTAACTTAAAGGATATTAACAGTCTGCTAGGTTATTTAAGTGAAGCCTGCTTGTCAAAACATAGATCGTTAGGTCTCACTTTCAGAATTTCTAACTAATACAACATGGGCCAGAACTTTGGGCCAGGCTTAGGTGGAGCCTCTGCTCAGTGTGTTCAAGGGCTCATCATGTGAGATGTGGTCCTCATTTTGAACTTGGGATGCTTTTTCAAGTCTGTCCTGGTGATTGGAAGACTTTAACTCTTTGAGGTTGTAACACTGAGACCCTCAGTCACTAGATGCTACCTCTCTCTATATATAGTTTTGAACATCATTGTTTGGTTCTCTTCTTTGAGGCTAGAATGAGAATCTCTTTGATGTTTTAATATCTTTTAAGAGCTCACCTTATTAGGCCAGAATTACCCAGGATAATCTTATTTTATATTAACTCATTGTAAATATATTAATTATTAAACTGAGGCAGCCATATCCAATACAAGGACATGTACACCAGGGACTGGGAATCTCGACAATCATCTTAGAATTCTGCACATCAGAGATGGAAACAGAATATTTCCATTTCTACAAGGTTCCCCTTTACACTGGTGCTGTCAGGTTGGATGGCATACCTAGGAAAAAAATCAAACAGAGTAGATGAGTTTTGGATACCATAACTTCCTTGGCATAATGTATAAGAAGGGGTTTGAAGGTTCAAGGAGGTGAGGCTGTTGGAGAAGGTATGTTGTTTATAGCCTTCTCATTGAATACCTACTCATACCTTAATCCATAAAGACCTAGAAGGTTCTCTCTTCACCAAAGAATTTAACAATATTTTTGTAAGGGGCTTGTATATTTGTACAAGAACTTTTGTACTTGAACATTTCTGCTGCAGCTGACCTCTTCACTCCAGAGTTCATAGTTGGAGTGCAAGAATTAGATGTGTGGTAATGCCTAATTGATCACAAAGGCCCTAGGATTGAAGAATAAGGGGTATAATGAGATGACACATGACATATATAAGGAAAACAGTTCTAGGTCAAGTCATAGCGAGTAATCTTGGCCTGTTTCCCAGTTCACAGACACAGACTAATTCAAAAGACAGTACATTAACTGGCTGAGGGATGAATATAAATCCCTTAACAAACGTCCCAAATACATTCTGCAACTTTTCTCCCAAACTTTCCTGCAGAGACTCTTAATAATTTGTGTGGAAATAAAACAGTTCCTCTTCAAAGTTTCCCTTCTTGTTAAAGAATAAATCGTAAGTGTTAGAAATAATAGTTTCTTTTAAAGAATAACTTCCTTCACGCCTCCTTGCTTTTTGCTAATAACTCTTTGTTAAGCCCTATCCTATGTAGCTGTTAGATATAAGAGAATGAGTACATTCTACGTCCTTGTACTTTAACCAAGATATTTGTTCTAGACATGCTCAGGCCTGTCCCAGCTCACAGCATATGCCCCTTCCTTATTTGGAAATGTTATTACTTCTCTAAGTCTTTTCGTAAGCAAATTTCTCTTTTCCTTTGTTCTCCCTTGCCTTTACCTATTTCAGAAAGTTTTAAGTTATTAGCCAGTCGGGTTTAGCTTAGATTGTGCGGTCTGGCTCCAACCAATGGAGACAGGACAAAGTAGCAGGGACAAGCTGCGTAAGAGATAAAAATTGCTTCCCTCCTTTGTTCAGGTGTGCTCTCACCATTGTTCTACCTGTGAGGAGCCCCCTTTCTGCATAAAGTAAAATTGACTTGCTGAGAAAACTTTTTGTCTGAATGCTGATTTTTACTGGCAGTACTGAGGAATAAGCATTTTACTTATAACAATTTCTCAAGGAAAATGTAAACTGGGGAAACGAAAATGCCCAGAGCTTCCACAGACATATAAAATGCTCAATTTAAACCAGTGTTAATAATATGTAAATAAAATGATATTAAAGACATTTAGTGCTTAGGAAGGTTGGGTCATAAATGTAGCTATAGCCCTGGTTACTTTCCTAGTATGTTCAATGTGCATAGGAATCCTGACTTTGATTTTTATCCCAGGCTATACGCATAGTGGGAATGGACACACATTATCTGTAAAACTCTGCTTTTGAGTTCCTGACTCATGAAGACTATTATTCATGAAGGTCCAAGAAGGCCCTAAAACTAATTACCCAACTCTTAACTTGGAAAAACTACACATTTAAAGGAATACCACAACCCAAAGAAATAGAAGAAATTAGTGCTACCATCTAACACTTGAAAAATTCAGGATGGTGACTTTTTTCTACATACCAAGTTAGTGCACCTGGTTGGCTATGTCAAGATGTGGATCAATTTTGGATAAAGTATTAATATTAAGGTTTTGTTGTCAATTGCTGATGCTTTTCCAGATGTGCTATTTTAATTGAAGCGAATCAGTGTCAGCTCTGGCACTTGGCGTATAATTATTGACCTAGAAAATATTTTTTTGGTATTTTCTTCAACTAAGAAAACTAGAACAAATTTGCCTTCATTTCATAGAAATAGCAGAGTGTTTCGGGTTTCTTGTATCAAGAATACAATATTCCTCTTATCTCTCTTGTCATAGTCTGGAGAGATCTTGATGAGCTTGACATCACACAAAGCCTAGTAATGGCTTATATGCTTGGCAGATTAAGCTAACTGGATTGTCGAACAGCATAAAGCAAATGCACAAGAGGTTATAATGACATGTGCGCCAGAGGGTGGGAAATAACATGGAAGTTCAGATATCTGTTAAATCAGTAAATATTCTAGGGTTTCCATGGCCTTTGGCATACCCAGGTCTTTCAAGGAGGAGACAATTTGCTAGACCTTATGCTGTCCACAAAAGGCACAATGATTGATAGTGCCTTTTTGGATTATTGAGGTAATATGAATTATATTTGTATGTGCTGTCACCACATATTTACTGGGTATACCCTACATTTTCCAGTTTTGAATGTGCCTAGTGCTAAGGCATGCTTCATGCCAGGTCCAAGTTGCAGGATCTAGATGCTGCTGCATTAGATATTAGGAACTATCAGAACTATGATATTAGAAGAGTCTGTGTCAAATTGGATCCCTTGATGAAACCTCTCATGAGACCCAGAGCAGAGAAAATTAATAGAGATTTTGGGTAAAAACATTTTTTCATCGACCAATAACTATTTTCTATTTGAGAGAAGGTAGGCTTACTCTTGGAGTTCAGTAAAGAAGGAAGGTCTGACAGTGGCAACCAAGTGACAGTTCTCCTTCAGTTTCCAACATGAACTGGTTGTTATCTGGCACACTAAATCATAAATTAAGCTGTGCTCAGTAATATTCCATTTTAAAATATACCATCTTCACTTAAATCAATAGGCCCTCAAGCATAAGTGATAACATGTAAGCATGCAAAACAGATTCCCATGTAACCTATTTTACAGCCTCTCTGCTTGTCCTCTAGCCAAATCTATGGCCCCAAAGGTTATTCTCCATATTTAGTTAACAGAGAATGAAGCTATACATATCTTCCTGGTATGCTTGGATCCACCAGAAGTGGTCCCTATTAAGGGTAGCCTAAAAACAGCAATAAGAAAAATTTCCAACAGTGGATAGCACTGTTGGAAAACACATTTGATTTTTCAAATTCTGATGGAAAAAGAGACGGCCAGAGATTACCATAAGTTATAATTATTGGATTGGCCAGCTCATCACAGGCTCAGTAAAGGCCCCAAAAGAGCATCCACAAAAAAGGTGTTCTCAATAAACATGGTAATAAGTGAAATCTTCCTGTGGATGAAAATCAGCCACCTTCTTAAATTAACGTGGGCTTGTTCAAAGGGCCCATGAACACAGATGTTAAGGACATCAGATATGAGATACTAGTGGGCTCAACAAATTTTATTTTACATTATCAAGACCAACTGGGTCACTGAACCTGCTGAGGGATCAAAATTTCAAGAGCAAAGGTCAATGTCAATATATGTTTAAATAAATAAATATTTCAGAGTCCAGGAGAAATATGGACATAATTATTGATATATTAAGAATGAGAGCCAAACTACTAACAATAACAAAGACATGGAATCAACCTAGGTACCATTCAATGGTGGATTGGATAAAGAAAATGTGGTACATATACACCATGGAGTACTACACAGCCATAAAAAAATGAAACAATATCCTTTGCAGCAACATGGATGCAGCTGAAGGCCACTATCCTAAGTGCATAAACCCAGGAACATAAAACCAATTACTGCATGTTCTCATTTATAAGTGGGAACTAAACATTGAGTACATGTGGACACAAGGAAAGGAACAATAGACACTGAGGACTACATGAGGATGGAGGCCAGGAGGAGGGCTAGGGATGAAAAACTAACTGTTGGGTACTATGCTCACTACCTGGGTGACAGGATCAATCATATTCCAAAAGTCAATATCACCCAATCTACCCATGTAATAAAGCTGTACATGTACTCTGAATCTAAAATAAAATTTGAAATTACAAAGAAAAACAAAGGGAGAAAAGAATGAGGGCTAAATTGTCTCTTCCTATTTTTAGCTCATCATACCAATGAAATAATAAAGAAGAATGTCATTATGGTAGCCAAGGTAATTGATTTCAATTACCAAAGGCAGTTTTGATTGCTGCTACTGAATGAATGCAATTCAAGAGACATACTGGAGTGCCTCTTAGATTTATCATATTCCATAAAAATAGACAATGGGAAATGAGAAAAAGATGGGAATGCTATTAACTTAGATCAGTTAGTTTGGTTTATCCAATTAGGCTTGAAAAAGAAAGAAAAAAAGAAAACAGCTGAGGTACTAGAAAATGTTTGAAGGAAAATAGATTGGGTGTTATTCAATTCGGCCTTCTTAACATCTACATATGGAGAGATTGTGGCAGCTCTTGTATAATAATTAAATATATGTCATCCTCTCATTTTTCAAATACCTTATGTAAAGAGTGCTAGGAGTACATTTAGTAATTACCATAAGGATTTGTGTATCTTTGGTACTTAAAGTGTTTGTGAGATGTTCAAGCTTACAAAATTACGGTTGGTGATTTAAATTAGAATTGGGTAATTTATTTTACTATTGTGATTTTACTCTGAGCTATATGGGAAAAATGTCTTATTTGTAAAAACTGTAAATTGCTCAAATGAATTGGACTTATAGTAATAATTTTAATATACTTGATTCACAAGGGCTGTTAAGTCATTTGGAATATTTTGCTGCTTAAACTTTAAATGTTGTCCACTTTGGCTTTGAAAAGCTTTAAATGACTGTCAAATAGATTACATTCAAAAGTACTTTTTAAAATGATTAATGAAATTGCATTAACTAAGTCCTAAATGTTTTTGAGAACTTAGTCTGTTCAACTAAAGTTGATAGAACATTAATCAGATTTCCCTAGGAAATGTTCTAGAATTATAAATAGAATATTTTAATTTGTATGTCAAATGAAAATGTTTAAAAATATTTATTGCAATAAATTAACATTGACTTTAAATCTAGGACACTACTGGTGGACTTTTTTGTGTGGAAAATCCCTGGATATTAAGATATAAACATTAATTCTTCAGATACCCATTGTATTTTTTATATGCAGAAAAAAATTAGAAACTCATGACTATATCCTAAAAGACATCGTGATACAAAGTTGACTACAGTTCAACCTTTATGCCACCCAGCCTTCTTGTTCTCTTGACATGTAACCCAGTGTCTTTGACCTTTCTTCAAATGACTTAATCTATCCTTTTATTTAGGTCTCAGCCTAAAAGTCATCTTCTAAGAGAGGCTTTCCCTGAACCCTTGACTGAAATAGTCTCTGTATCATGATGGTTTCCACCTCCATAAGAACACCAAAACCTGGATAATCTTCTCTGTTTGTTTTTTCATTTAGTGTATGTTTCTATCGGAAGATAAATTTTTGTGACAGTTAGGTCCTTGTCTACCTGTTTCAGAGCTATATTTCTAAAAGTTAGCCGTGTGATCTTGGATTATGGTATATTCATAGTTAACACTTGTTAAATGAGGTTAATTTTCCCCTTCCTTTCCCCCTTTATTGGTATCAAGCTTCTGACTCTAAAGTCTGCAATGTCAGCCAGAAAGATATGCTGTGTCAGGTTCTAAGATATAAATATTAGTTGAGGTTATTAAGTAATACAATTTTATAAACCAAGTAGCTCAACTTTAGTTCAAAAAAGTTTTTTAAAGAACCATTCAGGAAATTAGAATATAGATATAAACAAGCTTAACAGTCTCCCAGGCATCATGAAGTTTAAAATCTCTATATTGAACTAATTTCAAACTATTAAGCATCTATCTGTATATACTTTTGTGGGTCTACCAATGCAGTTAATACAAGAATCGTATTATTTAATCTATAAAACGTAGGTAATGAAATAAAACTTTGCTCTGGCACTCATTGTACAATGCATAATGAACTAAGGAGATAGAATTTTTATTCTTCAAAAATGCCATTTAGTTTTTACATGTGCATTGTAACAAAGAAGCTCATGCTCTTTCAATGTTTTTATTCATTTTTTAAATCTTATTTAGTGACAGGCCATGCACAAGTTCCTATCAATAAATGAAATGTAATTGCTTTAATTATGGTCATTTTTAAACTGTCATTTTTTTATTTGAAGGATAATTATCAACAACTGTTAAATAAAGGATTAAAAAATTATATAAAAAACCCTGATTCCTGAAAAAGTACAAAATCCGAGCCAAATATAATTGTCTTTGATGGTAAAACACAGGAAAGCATAAAGAAATAACTTTGATAAGGATCAAGTGCTTTGTCCCTTGTCACTGTTAAGGATCAAGTGTTATGTCCCTTGTCCACTGAAATCCTTACATTGGGAGTTTCTACAAGTGCTTTTCCATATAAACATTGTGAAGTACTTTTACCTCATTCCATAGCATCAACCACTTACATCTCAAATGTTAACATGATGGTTGTGTTTGGTATTGTAAAGACTAAACTATGAATAATAAATAACACTTACAAATAATACATCATTACATAGGAGAATGTTGGAAGTAATGAAGTCAAAGCACTACCCCTTCTTCCCTTATGAATTTTAGCTACTTTGTAAAAGAACATAGGCAGCAAAGTCGGATTTAGTCATAAGATAGAGTCATCCCTCCATTACTCCACAGGTTCCTGGTAAAGTCTGTTGGAGTATAAATTTTAATCCTGAAGAGAAATTGAGGTTACCAATGAGCTAATCCTTCCTACTCTTCTTACCCAATTTATACGTTAGGGTCTGTCCGGGTGAACCCATAGAATTCCTATAGTTTGTGGTTTATATATTTGTAGACTGTTCACATCTTTTGGATTACAAGAGAGGTGTGTGTGTGTATGTGCGTGTATGTGTGTGTGTGTGTGTGTGTGACAGAGAGAGAGAGACAAAGAAAGAAAGAGAGAGAGAGAGAGAGGTGTGTGTCTGATTATATGAGATACGAAGAAATAAAGAAGCAAAGACCAAGTCAGAAAGGTCCTTACCATTTTCCTCTTTCAGTCCCTAAAGAAGGTGGCCTAGTAGCTTTCAAGTGTCCAACTTTTCCAGCAGATATAAAGCATAGGTTTGGTCTTGCTCCAAAATAGCCAACTAGACACCGCCAGAAAGAAAACCTCCCACAGAGAGACAAGGACATCAAGAAGACTGGCACACTCCTAGCAGATCTTCAGAGGGAAGGCCTTGAGAGCAGACAGAGGAAAAACACAGATGCTGGGCTGAAGTGGGAGGAAGCTGGGAATCTCGCACAGGGATATTATGCTACCATGTTCCTGACCCCCAGTGACTCCTGTGGAGGGTGTGAGTTGAACAGGCAAGGCAGAACCTGCTCTCCTCATGGGCCTCTGGAATCCCAGCAGGAGGAAACCCCTCGACCACCATGGACACTTGAGTTTGCAGGGAAAGTTACTTATAGAAGTGGTAGGGGAAGACCATCTGCTGCTGCAGAGCACAGGGGGTTTGGTGCAGGAGTACCTGTAGTGGAGCAGAGCCAGGGATGCACAACCCCCTAAGCTTGACTTGCTCCCATGGACAATTTTAGCCCTAGGAGAACTGTTGGACCTGAACCCTTCAGGGTGGTCTTGCCCATGAGACTGGGCAAGTACAGCCTGAGCACCTCATGGTCTAATGGGCTCTCCTGGGTTCCCAATAAGGTTGGGCCTCCTTGAAGTGTAGTCCCCAATACTTCCTGGAGGCCCATATATAGCTCCTGCATTGGTGGACTGCACATGACTGGCAGAGTGCTCCAGCAGAGATGGCCCTGTGGACCCACACAAGCCTGCCTGTGCCCTGCCCCCACTGCAGCCTTCCCCCGGCACTCTGTCTGCAAACACTTGCCCAACAGCACCCCCTACATTGCTTTGCTGGAGCATGTGTGCATGGGTGCTTGCCTTCCCCACCGGTGCCAATGTGCTGATGTACCATGCTGTGCCACTACGGCTGGCGTGAGTGCATCCCACTACCTCTTCCCCCACCACAGTACCACTGTAGTCAGAGCATTGGCAGGAACAGAGCCCACCAGCTCCACCCCCATCAGTACCCTGCTCCTGCATCAACACTGCCAAAAGCATGAAATTAAGCACAGAAAACAGTGGACCTGACCCCAGCCCTGAGTTGCCACTACTGCCTTCATAAAGGCACACAAAGGATAAACACTGTCTTGAGCCCACAAGTGCCCACCCCCATGCTAACATCCCCAATGGTGTGAACACATGCACTGTAGCTGGCAGGGGCCCCTTCATTCTACTGAGCTCTATTTCCACCACTGCTGCTATGAAGGCCCACATATGGGCTGGCACTCTGGCACCTGCCAGCACCCTGCCTCAGCCATTGAGTGTGCACTCTGCCACACTGCCACTGCCACTGCTGCTGGCATATGTGAATAAGGATGGATCCAACTGCCACTGCCCTACAAAGTGTTTTGGCTGGCACCACCCCTCACAGTGTTGTTACCAAGGGTCTGGGGGCACCTCAGCCCCCTCCAGTACAGCAGGTTCCTAACGTTGAGGAGCCAGTGAATAAAGCCAGGGCCTGATGCCAGTCCCCCAGAGTAAGAGCACATAGTCTAGAGGTCCTGAGATGAACCTTGGATGCCTAAAATTTCCCAGTAATGAAGCCAGTCAACTGGCCACAATCAAACCCCCAAGGTCATCAAATAGGATAAAAGAAAAAAAAAAAGACCAATCCAAGGGACAGCAACTTCAAAAGAATGAAGGAACATCAGCCCACAAAGATCAGAAAGAACCAGCACAAGAACCCTAATAACTCAAAAAGCCAGTGTCTCCTTTCTCCCAAAAGACTGCACCAGTTCTCTAACAAGGGTTCTTAACCAGGGTAGGATGGCTGCAATGACATAAATAGAATTCAGAACACGAAGGGGAAAGAACATCATCAATTTCAGAAGAACATTAAAACCAAATCTAAGGAAGCTAAGAATCACAATAAAACAATAAATGAGTGGACAGACAAGATAACTATTATAGAATAAAACATAACCAACCTGAGAGAGCTGAAAAACACTTTAGAAGAATTTCATAATGCAATCAGAAGTATTAACAACATACTAGAACAAGATGAGCAAAGAATCTCAGAACTTGAAGACTGGCTTTATGAAATAAGACAGACAAGAATAAAGAGAAAAGGATGAAAAGGAACAAACAGAACATCTGAGAAATATGAGATTATGTAAAAAGACTGAATCTATGAGTCATTGGTGTCCCTGAAAGAGATGGGAAGAATGAAAGGAACCTGGAAAACATATTTGAGGATATTATCCATAAGAACTTTTCCAATCTAGCCAGAGAAGACAACACTCAAATTCAGGAAATGCAGAGAACCCCTGAAAAACACTTCACAAGAAGATCATCCCTAAGACACATAATTATCAGATTCTCCAAGGTTAAAATGAATGAAAAAATTTTAAAGGTAATTAGAGAGAAAGGACAGGTTACATACAAAAGGAAGCCCATTAGACTAACTGCACCCCTCTCAGCAGAAACCCTACAAGCCAGAAGAGATTAGGGGTCTATATTCAGCCTACTTAAAGAAAAGAAATTCCAACTAGGAATTTCATATCCAGCCTAATTAAGCTACATAAGTGAAAGAGAAATAAAATTCTATTCAGACAAGCAAATGCTAAGGGAATTTATTACCATAAGATTTGCCTTACAAGAGGTACTTAAGGGAATGCTAAACATGGAAATAAAAGACCATTATCTGTCACCACAAAAACACACTTAAGTAGATAGTACTCTAACATTATAAAGCAACTGTACAATCATGTCCACAAAACAACCAGCTAACAATACAATGACAAGATCAAATTATCACATATAAATATTAATCTTGAATGTAAACAGGCTAAATGCCCCACTTAATGGGCACTGAGGCAAACTGGATAAAGAAGCAAGACCCAATTGTATGCTGTCTTCAAGAGCCATCTCATATGCAATGACACCTATAGGCTCAAAATAAAGGGATGGAGAAAAATGCACCAAGCAACAGAAAACAGAAAAAAGTAGAGGTACTAACTTCAGGTAAAAAGAATTTAAACCACCAAGATAAAAAAAGGCAAAGAAAAGCATTACATAATGGTAATGGTTCAATTTAACAAGAAGACCTAACTGTCGGTATTTAGGATAGTTATCCTAAATACATATGCAGCCAACACAGGAGGATCCGGCTTCATAAAGGAAATTCTTAGAGACCTTCAGCAAGACTGAGACTCCCACACAATAATAGTGGGAGACTTCAACACCCCACTGACAGTATTAGGCAAATCATGGAAGCAGAAAATTAACAAAGGTATTCAGGAGCTGAACTCAACACTGGACCGAATGAATCTGATAGACATCTACAGAACTCTCTACCCGGAACAACAGCGTATACATTCCTCTCATCTGCACATAGCACGTACTCTAAAATTGGCCACACAATCAGACATACAACAATCTTCAGCAAATGAAAAGTATTAGAAATCATACCAACTGCTCTCTCAGACCACAGTGCAATCAACATAGAATTCAAGATGAAGAAATCACTCAAAACAATACAATTATGTGGAAATTAAACAACCTGGTCCTGAATGACTGTTGGGTAAATAATGAAATAAAGGCAAAAACCAAGAAGTCTTTTGAAACTAATGAGAACAAAGATACAACAAACCAGAATCTCTGAGACACAGTCAAGACAGTGTTAAGAGGGAACTTTACAGTACTAAATGCTCACATCAAAAGAAAAAGACAGATCTCAAATAACAACCTAACATCATAAGTAAAAGAACTAGAGAAGAAAGAGAAAACCAACCCCAAATCTAGCAGAAGAAAAGAAAAACAAAATCAGAGCTAATTGAAGGAGACTCAGACATGAAAAACAGCTCAAAAGATCAACAAAACCAGGAGCTGTTTTTTTTTTGAAGTAACAAGATAGACCACTAGCTAGACTCTAACAAAAAAAGAGAGAAGATCCAAATAAACACAATCAGATATGACAACGGGGTTATTACCATTGACCCCACAAAAATGCAAATAACCATTAGAAATTATTATGAACACTTCTATGCACAAACTAGAAAATCTAGAAGAAATGGATTAATTTCTGGACACATACACCCTCCCAAGAGTGAACCAGGACTAAATGGAATCCCTCAAGAGATCACTAACGGTCTTGAAAATTGAATCAAAAATAGATAGCCTAGTGATGAAGAAAAAAAAAGCCCAGGACCAGATGAACGATTCCCAGTCAAATTCCACCATATGTACCAAGAAGAGCTGGCATCATTTCTACTGAAATCATTTCAAAAAATTGAGATGGGTGAACGCCTTCCTAACCCATTTTATAAGGCCAGCATCATCCTGATACCAAAACCTGCCAGAGACACAAGAAAATAAAACTTCAGGCCAATATCTTTGAGGAACATCTAAGCAAAAATCCTCAACAAAATAATAATAAACCAAAACCAGCGGCACATCAAAAAGCTAATCCATCACCATCAAGTAGGCTTTATTCCTAGATGCAAGATTTGTTCAACATATGCAAATAAATAATTGTGATTCATCACATAAACAGAACTAAAGACAAAAACCACATGATTATCTCAATAGATGCAGAAAGGCTTCTGATAAAATTCAACATCCCTTCATATTAAAAACTCTTAACAATCTAGGTATTAAAAGAACATGCAACAAAATAATAAGATCCATCTGTGACAAATCCACAGCCGACATCATACTGAATGGGCAAAAGCTGGAAGCATTCCCATTATAAACCAGCATAAGGCAAGGATGCCCTCTCACACCACTCCTATTCAACATAGTATTGGAAATCCTGGACAGAGCAATCAGACAAGAGAAATAAGTGAAGGCATCCAAATAAGAAGAGAGGAAGTCAAACTATCCGTGTTAGTAGACAGCATGATTCTTTACCTAGAAAACCCCATAGTCTTGGCTCACAAGCTCCTAAAACTGATAAATTCAGCAAGGTTTCAGGATACAAAATCAATGTACAGAAATCACTAGCATTCCCATACCTCAGCAATAGCCAAGTCAAAAGCTAAATCAGGAATGCAAACCCATTCACAATTGTCATGAAAAGAATAAAATACATAGGAATACCAGGGAGGTGAAAGACCTCTACAAGAAGAACTACAAAACTCTGCTCAAAGAAATCAGAGATGACACAAACAAATGGAAAAAATATTCCATGATGATAGGAAAAGAAGAATCATGTTGTTAAAATGGCCACACTGCCCAAAGCAATTTAGAGATTCAATGCTATTCCTATCAAACTGCCAATGACATTCTTCACAGAACTAAAAAAAAAAAAATCTATTTTACAATTCATATGGTACCAAAAAAGAGCCCAAATAGCCTAGGCAATCCTAAGCAAAAAGGACAAAGCTGGAGGCACCATGCTACCCTAATTCAAACTATACTACAGGGCCACTGTAATCAAAACAGTATGGTACTGGTATAAAAACAGACACAAAGACAAATAGAACAGAATAGAGAGCCCAGAAATGAATTTGCATGCCTACAACAAAGAGATCTTTGACAAAGTTGACAAAGATATGCAATGGGGAAAGGACTCCCTATTCAATAAATAGTGCTAGGATAACTGGCTAGCCATATGCAGAAGATTTAAACGGGACCCCATCCTTACACCACATTCAAAAATCAACACAAGATGGATTAAAGGCTTAAATGCAAAACCTAAAACTATGAAAACCCTATAAAAATTTGCCAAAAAAAGAAAATAGGCAATACTATTCTGGACATAGAACCTGCCAAGGATTTCATGACAAAGATGCCATAAGCAATTGCAATGAAAGCAAAAATTAACAAATGGGATCGAATTAAACTAAAGACCATCTTCACAGCAAAGAAACTATCAACAGACTAAGCAGACAGCCTACAGAATGAGAGAAAATATTTGAAAACTATGCATCTGACAAAGGTCTAATATACAGCATGTATAGGGAACTTACACAAATCTACAAGAAAACAAACAAGCAACCTCATTAAAAAGTGGGCAAATGATATGAACTGACGCTTCTCAAAAGAAGACATACACATGGCCAACAACCATATGTAAAAAGGCTCAATATCATTGATCATTAGAAAATCAAAACCACAATGAGATATCATCTCACACCAGTCACAATGACTATTCTTAAGAAGTCAAAAAATAAGAGATGCTAGTGAGGTTGAGGAGAAAAGGGAACACTTATACGCTGTTGGTGGGAGTGTGAATTTGTTCAACCATTGTGGAAAGCAGTGTGGTGGTCCCTCAAAGAACTAAAAACAGAACCTCCATTCGACCCAGCAGGCCCATTACTGGGTATATGCCTAAAGGAATATAAATTGCTCTACCATAAAGACAGATACATCTATATGTTAATTGCAGCACTATTCACAATAGCAAAGACATGGAATCAACCCAAATGCCCCTCAGTAGTAGACTGGATAAAGAAAATGTGGTGCATATACACCACGGAATACTATGGAGCCATGAAAAACAAGATCATGTTCTTTGCAGGATCAGGATGGAGGTGGAGGCCATTATACTTAGCAAACTAATGCAGGAACAGAAAACCAAATACTGCATGTTCTCACTTATCAGTGTAAGCTAAATTACGCGAACACATGGATACAAAGAGGGGAACAACAGACACTGAGTCCCACCAGAGGCTGAAGGATGGGAAAAGGAAGAGGAGCAGAAAAAAACAACTATTGAGTACTATACTTAATACCTGGGAGAAAAATTAATCTGCACATAAAAAGCTCAGGACCAGAAGGCTTCTACTGATGTGTTTTACCAAACATTTAAAGAAGAATTAATGCCCATCCTTCATAAACTCATCCAAAAATAGAAATGTTAGTACACTTCTCAACTCATTCTATGAGGCCCTTATACCAAAATTAGACAAAGATATCACAAAAAAACAAAACTACAAGCCAGTATGACTTATGAAGATAGATTAAAAAATCCTCAGCAGAGTACTAGCAATCCATTTCCAGTAACTATCCCTGAATTTGGACCTCTACTTCACATGCACACAAAATTTAACTCAAAATGAATAAAGACCTAGAATTTAATGCTAAATCTATAAAATTCTTAAATAAAAACTAAGTGCAAAAAAAAGCACAGGTGTGCACAAAGTAACCAGATGAATTACTCCAAGAGATGTCCATAGTATGATTAGAGTCAATTCCATTTATTAGGAATAGAGGAAACACCTTCCATGACTATGATTATGGATATCTGCCTTTTTTTTCTCTGAGGCTAGTTGAAACTGTAAAGTATTTTAAAGTAATATACCTTTTTTATCTTTCAGTACTAAACATAGTGGGACTAAAAATGTCAAAATGCCTTTTTCTTGTTAATGAATATAGGAAGAACAAGAGTGAATGTGTAACTTCTATATTTCTATGTTAAAATATAGTTGATTAATAATTTTCTTGAGAAGAGGATTCATTATAAAATCACTGGATTACTGTCAAAGTCTTTTCTTCAAGTATTTTGTATAGTTGTTTTTATTTCTGTTGTTCTACACTTCCCTCCTTACAAGAACATAGATTTACAACATTAGATTTAAAAAATTTTAAATACAATGGGATATTGAAGCATTATTTGTGTCAAATGCACATCATCTGCTACAAGTCAGTAACATCTCTGTTTATCATGAAAGATTTTGTGGCTTTTAGAAATGTCAGATGTCATCAAAATATATTGCCAGGTAAAAGCTTGAGTGGAGTGGAGAAAACTTTTTGTTGTTTAGGGTTGAAACATTTTTGAGTCTTGCGTATACATTAGGCTATTGTTTTGTCGGTAAGAAAGACTATCAATTAGTAATATTACGTGACTTTCCATATAGGCATGAATTGGCCTCTGCTATACTTCTTAAAATATCTTAACCTAGGGAGAGAGAAAAATGTGACTAATTTCAAAACCATCCTACTGTTAACTTTTCAAGATTTGGAGGCTAGGAAGGTACCCCAAATTCTTTAAGCACTTGACAGAACTTTAATCTTTATCTATAATATTTTTCACTTTAAAGGAGACAAAGAAAATAAGATACAATTATCACAATTTGGAAAGAAGAGGTTTACTCATGGCTTTTCTTAATTTTTGAGTATCTTTAGTTACACAGATGAAGTAAATATTTCTATTTAAGACTCAACCCGGCACCACTGGATATTTTACTGAAATAACGACAATGTAAAACTAAATGGCACTTTAGTCAAACTGCTACACTCTCAAAGGTTAAGTCAGAAAATGATGTAAATTTTTCAATACTCCTGGAGGAGCTGCTGCAAGCTGGAGTCAATAGTGATAAATCTCTGTAAATTTCTGGGCAGGTTGAAGATTTCAGATATTGGAAATTACCACAGGATGAGTTCTTAAGGTCATTTTTTAATTTAACGTTATGTGTTTTTAGTGCTTCATTTTATTCTGTCTGTTTGTACATGAACTATTTTTTTCTTTGCTTACTTTGTGTGTGCAAGTTTTACTTCTGATAAAAAAGCCATAGTGTCAATTTTCAGTTATTATACTGTTTACCTTTACCGCCAATGGAAATATACAAAGACCACCCAGATGAGAAAAACAAGGTCATTTATTCTTTACTTCCTATAGCAAGGGAGTTGGACATTGTCACTCGTGTTTGACAGAGACTCAGAGGCAGGCAGAGGAGTGGGAAAGTTTTATAGTGGAGAAAGGGAAGGGCTTGGGTGTGCCCTGTTGGTCTGGAGAAGCTGCACATGGGATTAATTAGAATCAGAACATCCCATGTGACGGTAAAGGGTGCACGTTTGGCTTTCTCTGGTTGGCCCTATTTGAAAGCAGGGACAAAAATTAAGGAAGCTGTCAGTTACTAATCAATTCCTGGCCTTTTCTGACTGATTGTTACAGAAGTTATTATTCAGCATCCTGGATTTTCATGGAGATAGTATTCTGACTCCCTGCAAGTCTGCCTCAAAGCTGGCTTCATGAGTTCTTTATTGTAGATAAGATCTTGGTTTCTTGGGCAGCTTGCTGAAGGTTGTGGGTCAAAGATCCATTTCTATATATGGTCTGGCCATTGTCTACTTCTATATTCAATCTTTCAACCTTCATGTATTGTTTCCAACCCAAAAGACCTTCTGTTTTCTGATCATGGGTGATTCCTATAGACTCATCTCTACCACTTCCTTTCTTACTCATCTTACCTGAGGTGTGATGGCCTTCCTTACCTTAGGCCTTTACATTTTCTATTTCTTCTTTATGAAATGCTCCGCAGCAAAACATGCACATGGCTCTTTTGCACTCTGTTATCTGGTCTCTGCTCAAATATGACTACTTCAGTAAGATTTTCCTTTATCAGCCTACACAAACTACACCAAATCAAAATCATTCTGCCCAATTTACATATTTCCTCCTTGTATAAATAATCATGACTGTGTTCCAGCTGTTCAATTTTGTTTGTTTATTATTTCTCCCTTACTAGAATGTAAACTACATGGCCTCATGGATACTGCCTGTTTTGTTCACTGCTATATCTCTTCTTCTTTGGACAGTAAATTAAGCAGAGTAATTGGTCATGCATTATCAGTTAAACACAGCTACGTACCTGTGCTCTGTGATTTAATAAATTTAAGCAGTAATTTTTCATCCACCACACGAATTATGAAACCTTACTTCATTGTTTTTCTACTCCCCATTTCCTATATCTTCTCACTATTTTAATTTGTTTTATTATCTTTAGTTTATCAAGACATATTCATTTCAGAATTATCCTTAATTTAATTGTAAAGTCAGAAAAAAGTAAAATATTGCCAACTAAAAACATTCCTGGATTAAAAAAATGAAAAAAACATTTTTTGCCATCTTGTTTAGTTCATGTCTCCCAACATCAAACCACACATTGCTTCCAAATTTGTAACCATTACTCTCTTCTATTGTATATGTTTTCAAATGATTCTATATTAATCATGGTAAATGAATGCTAATTCCTATAACAAGCAAACTTATTAATGGAAGATATCAGGAACTTGATATATTAAAGGTTTATTAAAATTAAAAGTATGATTAAAATTAGTTGTTTCTCAAGAAGTCACTGTTTAGAAATAAATTTCTCTGGAAGTCACCTTTCAGAAAACCAGGAATCCAATTTCCTTTATAATAAGCAATGGAAGATTCAATATCATGGTATCTGCACAAGGAGGAGATTGAAAATGAGCAAGAGCTATGCACTGGTCCATAAGTGGTACCATCAATATGCTCACATTTTTTTTAAGATTTAATGAAGTACACCAAAACTAACATGATGGGAAGTTGCAAAATACAGTCTGTTTATTCAGGCAAAATAAGTAGAAGACAGGGCCTTCTAAGGATAATAGCTGAAGTCAATCAAACAGAAAGCATATAAACAAAAATCACTTCAAAGTAGTTTTTGAAAAAAATCAATAATATTAATAATACTAACTTTAGCCAGATGAAGCAGTAAAATGATAGAAGACACAAATTATTACTATCAGAAAAAAAGTAGATAATACAGCAGATCTTACATGCATTAGAAGTATAAGGGGCTATTATAAACAAATGTTTAACAATAAATCAAAAAATTTAGATGACGTTGGCAAATTCCTTGAAAACCCCAGTATCCAAAAACTAATATAAAATGATGCAGAAAACCTGAATTGCAGTATATATGGAATACCAACCGGTATTTGTATTAAACCCAAGTACTGCCAATTTTAAAGTATCTCTTTAAGAAAACTACAGAGAAATATTTTTCTCCTCTATGATGCCTGAATTATCCTGATGCCAAAATAAGACAAATATATTGAAAGAAAATAAACAGAAGATGAATACATGTCATAAATATCAATGGAAAAATTCTTAACAAACATTAGCAAATAAAATTTAGCAATATATTTAGAATGAATTGTAATGATTTATTAGAGATTATAGCAAGAGTGAAAAATTCTGTATCAAAAAATCAAAAAAATTTGAACATGTGGATATGCACATATAAAGCCTTAGAAAATTTACAAAAAATTTGCTAGAACAAGTGAAGACTTTAGGTTGTGGAATACAAAGTCAATAAACAAAAAAACTTGCATTTCTATAAACTGAAAGATCATAAGAAGATGGAACAAATTACTATTTTTAATAGTTTATAAATACAAAATACTTTGAGCAAGATTTGGACACTGAAAATTTTGAACTAATGCTAATAGAAATTGAAAAAATTAAAAACGAACAGAGATATGTCAGTTCATGGATTCAGAGACAGTATTCATTAAGATGTCAATTACCTGGAAAGTAATCTAGAGATAGAATAAAATTCTAAACAAATTCCCTTATGTTTCTCTTAAATTAATGAGATGTTTCTAAAAGTTATATTAAAATGTAAAATATCTAGAATTATCTAAAGGAATCCTTAAAACTTAAGAATAAATAAATTTAGATGACATACACTACATTATTGCAAGTTTAAATATAATATAAATATAGCATATAAATATAAATACAGCAATCAAGAAAGTGTAATACCAGCCTAAGGATACATACAGATCAGTGAGACAAAATAGAGGATATAGACATAGACCCACAAATGTGTACATGTTGACTTTCAACAAAGATGCCGAGTTAACTCAGTAGGGGAAAGCCTCATCTTATGCACAAATGGTTCTAGTGAAATTGGATAACCATACTAAAAAAAATGAGCCTCAGTCTGTATATCATACCATAAATAATTAAAAATGGAGCAAGAATCATTTAGTAATACAAATCCTAAAACTCTAAAATCTCTAGAAGAAAACAGGATAAAATCTTCACAATAGACCTGATACAGCATAAAAATAACTATATCTTTAAAAAACAGTCAAATGGACTTCATCAAAATTTGAAATTTGAAATGTCAGGGGATGAAATATCTGTACTTCAAAAGGATACATTGTTAAAATTAAAATAAAAGTTATATTTCCGTGTGTGTGTGTGTATGTATTGGTTTGGTTACATGGATGTGTAACTTTGGCAAAATTCATTTAACAGTACTTTGTAAATGGGTGCTTTTATTATATGTAAATTACATACCAATAAGCTTCACTTTAAAAATTAATATGTAAGAATGATGTTTTCAGGCAAGCAAATATGAGAAAATGTGTTGCCAGTTAACCTGTACGAAGTAAATTACTAAAGGTAATTTTATCAAGCAGAAGAAAAATTATCCCGGACCAATTAAAATATTGGAGGAAATGAAGGGAACTGAACAATTTAAAAATGTGGATGTGGAAAAGCAAATAAACACAAATGATACACAATTATAATAATAATGCTTTGGGATTATAAAATATCAAAATATAAAACATTCTGAAAACCAAAAAGCAAAACAGTGGATATGAGGAATTGGTGCTAAAGTGTTCTAAAGTTCTAGCAACATTCAAAAATTAGTAGAAGTTACAGTCCATAAAAGTTTTATTTTATTTATTTTATTTTATTTTATTTTTTATTTTTTTGTTTGAATGGAGTCTCACTGTATTTCCCAGGCTGGAGTACAATGGTGAGATCTCGGCTCACTGCAACCTCTGCCTCCTGGGTTCAAGCAATTTTCCTGCTTCAGCTTCCCAAGTAGCTGGGATTACAGGTGCTTGCCACCATGCTTGGCTATTTTTTTTTTTTTTTTTTTTGTATTTTTAGTAGAGAAGGGGTTTCACCATGTTGGTCAGGCTGGTCTGGAACTCCCGAGCACAGGTGATCCACCCACTTTGGCCTCCCAAAGTGGTGGGATTACAGGTGTGAGCCACCATGTCTGGCCAAAAGTGTTCACTTCTAGAACAGTCTACAATGTTGTAATCATTGGGGTTTTCACTAAAAATAATATGAAAGCAATTAAGAATGTATAATTAGCAAGTGAGTGGATGGGCAAAGGAGAATAATGAAAACTGAAAAAAATCAAGGGAAGATAAGTAAATCTTAAAAAAAAAACCCACATAAAAGCAGTGGGTCAAATAGAAAACAAATAGCTTTATGATATAAACCCAGATATAGTGATGATTAAATTCATGTAAATATACTAAAATGTTTTTACTTGGTGGCACACATGAGGGTACAGAATGGTTGAAAGAAAAAGGGTAAAGAATGTATTTCCTAAAACACTAACCTAAAGGAAGTTTCTGTAGCTATATTCCTTTCAGAAATTAGTGTAGTAATAATGTAGTAGTAGACTACAAGCAAAATAAAATAAAATAAAGCATTATAGGAAATGAAATTTTTTATAATAAAAACAGCTAATCCTAAATATGTATGCTGTCAATAATATATACATTAAAAATAATGTAGAAAGTAGAAATAAGCAAATCCACAATAGTCGGAAAATTTAATATATCTCTCTAATTAGCTGGTAGAACATAGTAAAAGTACCATAAACAAAATAAAAACTCAATAGGAGCATGATACTTATAAAACATAACAGGCAAAAAGCAAACCTTCCTAATATATACAGAGTTCTTACCAATCAATAATGAAAGAACCATTTGCCCAGTGGAAAAAAATGGTCAAAGATATGAACACACAGTTCAGAGTGAAGCAACTACAAACTGCACTCAGAAAAACTCTCAAAATAAACATGTCTAGTGGCAAAGATTTCAGAATATTTATAATACACTACGATGCAAAGGTGTAAAGAGGTGCAAGTTGTCATAAAATGCTGAGGGGGACGTAAATATGTAAAACTCTCAAGGAAAACAAAGTGGTGAATTCTATCAAAATTCTAAATGTACATACTCTTAAATTCTGCTCCTCAGAATTTAGCATACTGATATGTTAGTGCTCTTGAAAAATGATTCATCTGCATACAGGGTTACTTATAACAGCATTGTCTGAAATGCAAAACACTAAAGCTTATCTAAATGATTACCAATGTGAAACTACATATATAATGTTTGCATATATATCATATATAATATACATATACATTTTATATTCATACACTAACAGATTAATTATATATAAATACCTGTAAATATTTATATACACTTATATATAAATATCTAGAAATACCTTACCCAAAATACCTAATAATTATGCCAGAATAAAAGATCTTAGTAATAGGATTAGGAGAGAGATTTTTCATTTGCCTTTTAGGTAATAGGGTGTGAGGGGAACATTTCATTGTTCCCATTTTTACTTGTTGTGAAGGTCAAATAATTTGGATACAAACATTCCAGAGGAAAAAAACTGAGGTGGAACTCATTTCACTGAATTGATTATTCCATTAATGTGCCACGTGTTTAAGTTAAAAAATTGGATTGGAATGAAAAACTGCTTAGTTAATAATATTATTTTACTGAGGCAGTGATATTGTATCTCTTCAAATTCTGTTTCAGAAGAAAAACAGATATAGATGTAGTGCCATCTAAGTCAATCAAAAAATATCTGAAGCTAGGAGCTATCTACACCACGAAATTCTGGCCAATAAATATCTGCATTAAGCAGCTTTATTGAAACAAAAACTGTTTTTTCTAGCCACTCTAATGTCACTCTCATCATCATGTTTGTTTCAGTAGGTTCTAACAAACTATATGTGTTAAGCCCAACCTATTTATGCAATCTGAGCTTCCCACAGGATTCACACTCTCTGCTATCTCATATCCAACCTACCCTATTTATTAAGTCATCAGCATGGATTTTGTAGGCAGTTGAATTTTAAGAATACCTGTTCCAAAGCATTAAGGATAAGAGAGGGATCTCGAAGGAAGTCAATCAGTGTGATGGCTTATAACTCAGTTAATCTTTACATTAATCAAGTTTAAGCCTGAAAACAAGTACTTTAAGCAACTTTATTAAATTAGACTAAAATTACATTTCCTTATGTGTGAACCAATATGTAATTTCTTAGATAGTTTTGAAAATACTTTCTAAACCTAACATTAGAGATTGAAATAGTAATCAGAAATAATTATTTAACTATGCAAAACACAGGCACTGGATACCATATGTATAATACAAAGACAAAGAAGCTGTAAACATGTTTTCAGCAAATAACATAATCTTATGTTTGGTACCTTTAATATGGACAGTTGTCATATAATTAGATAAGAGGAATATTAAATTCCAGTTCCAGAGGGGAAATATACATGCTTAAAAATCAGAAAATGTATAATTAAAAGACTCACTAAAATAACAGAAAAAATGTCAACCATTCCCATACAAATTAACTGAGATTATAACCTGGCAATACTTACTACTGGTTAAAGTGGGAGGAGGTGAATGTGAAAATGGTACTCTTTGTCTCAGTCATCAAAAAGTGATGGGCACAAGGTCCTAAGTCATCTGTTCCCATTGCCGATTCTTTTTCTATTTTACATTGTCTCCTTTCACTCTCCTCATTACTCACTTTGCATCAACCTGCTTGACCTCTGTCTCCTTGAACAGGCACAAATACCTGTAGATCTTTAACTATTCTTCTTTCTTCTGTCTAAATTTATTTGCCCTATGGATTGCTCACCAGATTCATACATGAAGCTCATATTAGAAATAGTTTCCTTAACCATCAAATATTAAAACGCTCACCCATATAAAGTCTGTTCCCATATTTGACATATATTTTTATGTATTTGTTGGTTTGCTTTTTGACTGTCTTCCCCACCTTAATATTCATGAATATCGATGTGTGCATATGTGTGTGTGTGTGTGTGTGTGTGTGTGTGTGTGTGTGTTTTCATTACTGCAGGTTCCAAGAACAATCCGTGGCACAAACTGTTTTGTAAATATATGTTGAATGAATCAATGCTCCCTCAACTTGGCAATCTGTCCTAAAAAGTGATTAAAATGTAGCCAAATATATATTAAAAAAGAATATTCATTGCAATATTTTCAGTCATAATGAATTATTGAAATGACCCAACATCCTATAATGTACAAATTTTTAGTCAACTTTTAACATAGAAACATGAACACATATTATACACAGTGAGGTGTTTTAATAATGTTGGAAAATATGCATCATATAATGTTACCTATATTGTACAAAAGTATGACTGCAATTGCAAAAGTAAACAAGAAAATAAATGGGGAAGAAATCCGTAAAAATTATGAATAGAATCATGGAGAAATTGATGCCAAGTTTTTCTTTAAACTCTTCTAATTAAAAAATGTTTAAAAAGTAATTATTACTAAGCAAATACCATTAATGAAAGTAGTCTGAGGATTAAAAAAATGAGTTTTTTTTGTTTTCTTTTTTTGAGAAAATGAAAATGATCAAGTCACTTGACAAAATCCCTACAAGCTTCAATTTTCTATACCCTTTTGGAATTATTTTATGACCATAGACTTTATTTTTTACGCCAAATGCACAACACATAAATTTGTTCTTTTAGTTATGAGAGAAACAAAGCTCTAAACTGTGGATGGAAGAGCCTAATTCTAGCACCCCCAGTAGAAATAAGAACACTGTCATGCCAAACTTTATCGAGTAATTAAATAGAAGTCTTAGGATCTTTAAATCACTGTATCTCCATGTGTTTGCAGTAGACGTCTAATTCATAAGATGACTTACTAGAAACATTTTCAAAACATCATATACCAAATACTGTTTATGTCTCATGTATGTATGTGCATGTCTCACGTATGAGTGTGCATGTATGTCTCATGTATGCGTGTACACATACACACACAATTACATATCTGAAGTTAAGAAAGTTCTTCCACTTCATTTAAAATGGTGTAACCACTATGGAAAACAGTATGGAGTCCGCTCAAAAAGTTAAAAATAGAACTACCATATAATCCGACAATCTCATTTCTGGGTGTACATAAAAAAATTGAAATCAGAATTTCAAAGAGACATGTTCACTCTCATGTTTGTTGCAGCATTATTCATAGCCAATATATGGAAACAAATCCAATGTGCATTGACAGATTAATGGGTAAAGAAGATGTATATAAATACATTTACATAAATGCAGAGAAATACATGGACTATTATTCAGCCTTTAATAATAGGAAATCCTACCATGTACTACAATATGGACAGACCTGAAAAACTAATGTGTTACATATACTAAGTTAGTAACAGATAAATACTGCATGATTCCACTTATATGAGGTATTAAAAATAATGAAGTAGGAAATAGAATGATGTATGCCAGGATCTGGGGAGAGGGGGAAACAGGGAATTGTTGTTCAGTGGGTATAAAGTTACCATTATACAGGATGGAGAAGTTCTAGAGAGAGGCTGTACAACATAGTGCCTACAGTTAATATGGTATTGTGCGTGTAAACATTTTTGAAGAGAGTAGATCTCTAAATTAAGCCATCCTTGCATTGCTATAAAGAGATACCTGAGACTAGGTAATTTATAAGAAAAGAGGTTTAATTAGATGACAGTTCTGCAGGCTGTACAGGAAGTAGAATGCTTGCATATGCTTCTCAGGGAGGCTCTGGGAGTTTTTACGCAAGGCAGAAGGTGAAGCAGGAACTTGTGCACCACATGGCAAAAGCGGGAACGAGAGAGAGAGAGAGAGAGAGAGAAATTGGTGGAGAGAGGGATCACATACTTTTAAATGATCAGATCTTGTGAGAACCCAGAGAACTCACTTATCACCAAGAAGATGGCCCAAGCCATCTGCCCCCGTGATTCAAAACCTTCCACCAGGCTCCACCTCCGACATGGGGGATTACAATTCAACATGAGATTTGGGCAGGGATAAATACCTAAACTACATCATTCTGCTCCTGGCCCCTCCCAAATCTCCTGTCTTTCTCACATTGCAAAATACAATTATGCCTTCCCAATAGTTTCCCAAATTCCAACTAATTCCAACATTAACTCAGAAGTTCAAAGGCTCATCTGGGAAAAGGCAAGTCCCTTCCACCTAGGAACCTGTAAAAAGAAAACCAAGTTATTTACTTCCAAGATGCAATGGGGATACAACATTGGATAAATATTCTCATTCCAAAAAAAAGAAATCAGCCAAACAAAAGGTACTACAGGTCCCATGCAAGTTCAAAACCCAACAGGCAGTCATTAAATCTTAAAGCTCCAAAATAATTTCCTTTGGCTCCATGTCCCACATCCAGTGTACACTGTCACTAGGGGTGGACTCCCAAGGCTATGGCAGCTCCACCCTTGCGTCTTTGCAGGGTTCAGCATCAATGGCTGCTCTCACAGGTTGTTGAATGCTTACAGCTTGTCCAGGTGCAAGGTGCAAGCTGCCAGTGAATCTATCAGGAGGCCAGTGGCCTCCTTCTCACAGCTCCACTAGGCAAAACCATGTTGGGGCTCTTCATGGGGACTCCAATTCCACATTTTTCCTCTTCACTGCCCTAGTAGAGGTTCTCTGTTAGGGTTCTGCCCTTGCCGCAGGCTTCTGCCTGAGCACCCAGACTTTCCTCTACATCCTCTGAAATTCAGGCAGAGGGCCTCCCAAGCCTCATTCACTTTTGCATTTTGTATGCCTACGAGCTTAACACCACATGGAAGCCACCTCCTTTTTTTTAAAGGAGGAAACTCACATTTACCGAGGCAATCAGTGAGCAGTGTACTACAGCTTTTCCTTCCTGTATATTTTCCATAAAAACTATTTTAATTGCTATTTAATATGGTTTGGATTTGTGGCCATGCCCAAATCTCATGTTGAATTCTAATACCCATAGTTGGAGGAGGGGCCTGATGGGAGGTGTTTGGATCACGGGGAATGAACATCCCCCTTGCTGTTGCTGTGATAGTGAGTGACTTGAGATCTCGTTGCTTAAAAGTGTGTAGCATCTCCTGCTTCTCCCTCTTCCTCTTGCTCCAGCCCTGTAAGAGGTACCACTTTCCTCTTTGCCTTCTGCCATGATTGTAAGTTTCCTAAGATCTCCCCGGCCATGCTTCTTGTGGAGCCATGAGCCAATTAATCCTCTTCTCTTTATAAATGACCCAGTCTCAGGTAATTAATTATAGCAATGTGAGAAGGGACTAATACGTTATTATTTTTGACAGATAAAATTTGCATATATGAATGGAGTACAATGTGATGTTTTGATATATGTAAACAATGGAATAATTAAATCAAATTAATTAACATATCTATCACCTCACTTTAAAACAGACAAGAGAATAATTACTATTACCTGGAATTTTATGATTTTTAAAACTGTTAATTGTTTGTGTAAAGATCTTGGTGCAGTGTCCAAAAGTAGCATTATATATGTTTTCTTCTTAATGTTTATGTTTAACTCAGTCTTTTTACTAAATTGCTTATTCTTTCAGGTTTTTCCTAACTTCTCTTCATCATGGCTAATCATGGCTAATATATAAATTATGATGGTGTTTACTTGTTCTTGGCGTGATGGGGCTCTGGGGTCTATGTTGGTCCTTGCATGTGCACTTCCTCTCATCCTCTGACTTATGGTCAATTGGTCACCTGTGGGCTCACTCATGCAGTTGGTGGCCTCTTGGTACCATATGTATCTCTGAAGCACATCTGCTGTGTGACAGTAGCCTAGGCTGACCTCACTGCAGCCTCTGTCACATTCTTGCCACCCAGTGCCCATCATCCATACTTCCAAAAGGGAGAGAATAAAATTTATTTTATTTTATTTTATTTTATTTTATTTTTTTGAGACGGAGTCTCACTCTGTTGCCCAGGCTGGAGTGCAGTGGTGCGATCTTGCCTCACTGCAAGCTCTGCCTCCCGGGTTCACGCCATTCTTCTACCTCAGCCTCCCAAGTAGCTGGGACTACAGGCACCCGCCACCATGCCCAGCTAATTTTTTGTATTTTTAGTAGAGACAGGGTTTCACCGTGTTAGCCAGGATGGTCTCGATCTCCTGACCTCGTGATCCACCCTCCCAGGCCTCCCAAAGTGCTGGGATTACAGGCGTGAGCCACCACGCCTGGCCTAAAATTTATTTTGAATTTGCTATTCCTTTTACCCACACAATTCAGGAAATACTTGACCACATTTGTGGAGCTCTGGAGCAGGGAGATTGGAACACACATTTCTACCAGTCTTCCTTTACATCCCATAATGTAGTGGTTCAGAAGAGGTTTTTTTCCTTACTTTCTACTCTGTGGCCTCTCCACTTTATCTAAAGCTTAATGGTTGGGATGTGACAGGGTGTGAAGAGAGAGAAGCTGTCCTACTAACAAATATTACACAATAAGAAATAATGATGGACACAATATATCTATTGTTCTTATGTTCATATCATATAAAGCCACTGCTCACTCCTCCTTTACCCTGCCCAGCTGAAGTTGATATGTATCAGCCCTTTTCCACGTCTTAATGAAATTCTCTATTCACACCATGCCTCAGTTTATCCTCCTAACATTGAAAATTTTATGTATAAGTTATATTATGGAAAATAGAACGTCCATTCAAATGTCAGTTATCAATGTTTAAATCAAATGTCTCCCATTTTCAATGAAGATTTTTGTATCTACCTTTTGAAAATAAGGATGTACTTAAAATTCTGGTCAAACAGCAAAATTCACATTTCTGGCTCTGTATTAAATTGCATGTCTCATTAGGCAGTAACTTCCTTGACAGTACTTTTCACCTTAAGTCCTGCATTTTCAGTTCCTTACATAGTCACAGATGCATAGCACATATTTTTAAAATGCCAAATGAATGTTTGTTTAATGAATTGATAGTAGCTAATTCATATTCTTGAATTTAGTAAAAACCTTTTTTCCACAGCAAATAATTGTTGGATGAATAAATTTTGTTAATACATTTAGAGGAATTGTCATTGTGTTCAAAAAATAACCATGGAGAGTGAAAAGGCAGCCACTAGAATTGTTTGGCATTTGTCCCCTGATAAAAAGGGACCAAATCAACAAGTAAACAACTATAATTTGACTGGAGTGACTGAAGATGTATGCTGGAGAGGACCAGGAAAACACAAAAGTTTGTGGAGGTTGTAAGCCCAGAATAGCACTATACAGAAGGGGGCAAGCCATCCTGCCTCTGCCACATTGTTTTCCCCAACAGGATCAGCTCAGAGTCAGGGGAGTCATCTTACAGGATAAAGGTGAGCTGGCGGCCCTGTGAGATCCCCATCACCCCGTAGATGTCAGCAGTTTTTGCTACAGAGGATCCCCTAGTTCTCACAGGTCTTGAATTCAACATGGACAGTTCCTGGGAGTTTGCCAGTTGTTTTGCCTGAGAGAAGTAACTCCCTTGACACACCCACCTCACCCCTCCAACATAAGCTGCTATGGCCCAGTGCCAACTGCAGTAGATTTTGCCCTGGGAGCCAGTACCCACTGATGCCCTCTATCTCTGAGACCCCACTGTCAGCCCAATACATTCATGCAGGTGCCCGCAGCACCAACACCCTGGCTGCCTAGAGCCTAGACATGAAACGAGGACCAAAATCCCAAATCTGAATCCATGAAGAACCTGATTTACCAGGAAAATAGGTGGGTCTGCACAATGGAGAAGGCTTGTGTGACCTCCCGCTCAGCATGTGCCAGCCACTTGAAGGACAGCAAACCCAGAGGTGGCCACCATACCCTCTTTACCCACCTGGTATGCATACTCACACTCAATCCAACATCCAGCCTGACAGCAGCACCTTCTTGGAGAGCCTGCCACACAAGCTGCTGGCTTGCTGCATCCACATGCACCTGGCCTGAAAAACAACCTGGTGCCCCTTCCCCTAGAAAATCTACACCATTGCCGTCATAAACTTCCACAGCTTATGCCACCAAAACAATTGCAGACATTGCAGATCTGGATTACAGCTAAAGCATCTGTATGGAAACCACGTTACCTCATCTACCTAGAATCAAAGCCAATACAACATTCCCAACAATTAACCAAATGGCAGAAGTAGATATTCACATATAAATAACTTTGTAAATGCATTAAATTCTCCAATTAAAGGATACAAATTCACTGCAGAGATTTAAAAAATAAGACTCAACCAAATTCTGTCTACAGGAGACATAATCCATTGTTAAAAAAAATGTAGAGTGAAAATGAAAGGATGAAAAATATATTCCATACAGATGGAAACCACAAGAAAGCAGGAGTAGCCATACTTTGATAAAATATACTAAAATTCAAACAGAATAAAAAGAGAGAAAATTGTAAAAATATATGCATCCAGCCCTGGAAGACTCAAATAGATAAAGCAAATATTTGATATAAAGGAAGAGAAAAATTGCAATCAACACTCCTCTTTCAACAATGGTCAGATCACCTATACAGAAAATCAACAAAAAACCCACTGAATTTGAACTAAACCTTAGACCAGAAGGACCTAGCAGACATTTAGAGAACAATCCATCCAACAGGAGCAGAATACACATTCTTCCTGACTACACATGGAACATTCTCCAGGATACATCATATGTTAGGCCACAACATAAGTCTTAAGAAATTTAACAAAACAGAGATCATATTAAGTGTCTTTTCAGACCACAGTGGTATATAACTAGAAATCAACAATAGGAGAACTTTGGAAAGCTTACGAATACAAGGAAAAGAAAAATATTCTTAAATAAACAATGAATCAATGAAAAGTTAAAAGGGAAATTTAAAAAACTTTTGAGACAAAAGAAAATGGAAACATACCATACCAAATCCTATGGGACACAGCAAAAGCATTTCTAAGAAAGAAGTTTATAATAATATATGCCTACATCAATAAAGAAAAAGCTATCTCATAAATAACCTAATCATGTACCTCAAGGAACAAACTGAACCCCAAATTCTTAGAAAAGGGGAAATAATGCAGCTCATAGAAGAAATGAGTAATGTAAATACTAAAACAATTCAAAAGATCAATAAAACAAAGGGTTGGTCTTTTGGAAAGATAAAATTAACAAACCTTTAGCCAGGCTAAGTGAAAATAAAAAGTCCCACACAAATAAAATCAGAGAAGTAAAAGGAATTATTAAACTGATATCACAGAAATACAAATGATCATGAGACTATTTTAAACAACTCTATATCAACAAATTTGAGAACACAGAAAAAACAGATAAATTCTGGACACATACAACCTATCAAGATTAAATTATGAAGAAACAAAATCTGACCAGAGTAATATAACAAGTGAGAAAATTGAATTAGTAATAAAAAGTATTCTTGGCTGACTCTCTTTTCGGACTCAGCCCGCCTGCACCCAGGTGAAATAAACAGCCATGTTGCTCACACAAAGCCTGTTTGGTGGTCTCTTCACAGGGACACGCATGAAATTTGGTGCCGTGACTCGGATCGGGGGACCTCCCTTGGGAGATCAATCCCCCGTCCTCCTGCTCTTTGCTCCATGAGAAAGATCCACCTACGACCTCAGGTCCTCAGACCGACCAGCCCAAGAAACATCTCACCAATTTCAAATCCGGTAAGTGGCCTCTACTCTTCTCCAACCTCCCTCACTATCCCTCAACCTCTTTCTCCTTTCAATCTTGGCGCCACACTTCAATCTCTCCCTTCTCTTAATTTCAATTCCTTTCATTTTCTGGTAGAGACAAAAGAGACATGTTTTATCCGTGAACCCAAAACTCTGGCGCCGGTCACGGACTGGGAAGGCAGCCTTCCCTTGGTGTTTAATCATTGCAGGGACGCCTCTCTGATTATATACTCACGTTTCAAGGGTGTCAGACCACGCAGGGACGCCTGCCTTGGTCCTTCACCCTCAGCGGCAAGTCCTACTTTCCTGGGGTAGGGGCAAGTACCCCTCAACCCCTTCTCCTTCACCCTCAGCGGCAAGTCCCGCTTTCCTGGGGTAGGGGCAAGTACCCCTCAACCCCTTCTCCTTCATCCTTAGCAGCAAGTCCCGCTTTCCTAGGGGGCAAGAACCCCCCAATCACTTATTTCCACACCCCAACCTCTTATCTCTGTGCCCCAATCCCTTATTTCCGCACCCTGACCTCTTATTTCCATGCCCCAACCCCTTCTCTGCTTTTCTGGAGGGCAAGAACCCCCCACCCCTTCTCTGTGTCACTACTCTTTTCTCTGGGCTTGCCTCCTTCACTATGGGTAAGCTTCCACCTTCCATTCCTCCTTCTTCTCCCTTAGCCTGTGTTCTCAAAAACTTAAAACCTCTTCAACTCACACCTGACCTAAAACCTAAATTCCTTACTTTCTTCTGCAATGCCGCTTGACTCCAATACAAGCTTGACAGTAGTTCCAAATAGCCAGAAAACGGCACTTTCAATTTTTCCATCCTACAAGATCTAAATAATTCTTGTCGTAAAATGGGCAAATGGTCTGAGGTACCTGAAGTCCAGGCATTCCTTTACACATCAGTCCCTTCCTAGTCTCTGTGCCCAGTGCAACTCGTCCCAAATCTTTCTTCTTTCCCTCCCGCCTGTCCCCTCAGTCCCAACCCCAAGTGTCGCTGAGTCTTTCTGATCTTCCTTTTCTACAGACCCATCTGACCTCTCCCCTCCTCGCCAGCCCAAGCTAGGTCCCAATTCTTCCTCAGCCTCTGCTCCTGCACCCTGTAATCTTTTTATCGCCTCCCCTCCTCACACCTGGTCGGGCTTACAGTTTCGTTCCGTGACTAGCCCTCCCCCACCTGCCCAGCAATTTACTCTTAAAAAGGTGGCTGGAGCCAAAGGCATAGTCAAGGTTAATGCTCCTTTTTCTTTATCCCAAATCAGATAGCGTTTAGGCTCTTTTTCATCAAATATAACCCTGAGACGCTTCACAGCCCTAGGCCCTAAAAGGTCAAAAGGCAATATTATTCTCAATATACATTTTATTACCCAATCTGCTCCCGACATTAAATAAAACTCCAAAAATTAAATTCCGGCCCTCAAACCCCACAACAGAATTTAATTAACCTCACCTTCAAGGTGTACAATAATAGAAAAAGTTGCAATTCCTTGCCTCCACTGCGAGACAAACCCCAGCCACATCTCCAGCACACAAGAACTTCCAAACGCCTGAACCGCAGCGGCCAGGCATTCCTCCAGAACCTCCTTCCCCAGGAGCTTGCTACAAGTGCCAGAAATCTGACCACCAGGCCAAGGAATGCATGCAGCCCAGGATTCCTCCTAAGCCGTGTCCCATCTGTGCGGGACCCCACTGGAAATTGGACTGTTCAACTCACCTGGCAGCCACTCCCAGAGCCCCTGGAACTCTGGCCCAAGGCTCTCTGACTGACTCCTTCTCGGCTTAGCGGCTGAAGACTGATGCTGCCCGATCGCCTCGGAAGCCCCGTAGACCATCACGGACGCCGAGCTTCCGGTAACTCTCACAGTGGAAGGTAAGCCCGTCCCCTTCTTAATCAATACGGAGGCTACCCGCTCCACATTACCTTCTTTCCAAGGGCCTGTTTCCCTTGCCTCCATAACTGTGGGTATTGACAGCCAGGCTTCTAAACCTCTTAAAACTCCCCACTCTGGTGCCAACTTGGACAACACTCTTTTATGCACTCTTTTTTAGTTATTCCCACCTGCCCAGTTTCCTTATTAGGCCGAGATATTTTAACCAAATTATCTGCTTCCCTGACTATTCCTGGACTACAGCCGCATCTCATTGCCGACCTTCTCCCCAACTCAAAGCCTCCTTTGCGTCTTCTTCTTATATCCCCCCACCTTAACCCACAAGTATGGGACATCTCTACTCCTTCCGTCACCCTTACCCCGCTCAACGCCAATATCCCATCCCACAGCATGCTTTAAAAGTATTAAAGCCTGTTATCACTCGCCTGCTACAGCATGGGCTTCTAAAACCTATAAACTCTCCTTACAATTCCCCCATTTTACCTGTCCAAAAACCAGATAAGTCTTACAGATTAGTTCAGGATCTGCGTCTTATCAACCAAATTGTTTTGCCTATCCACCCTGTGGTGCCCAACCCGTACACTCTTTTGTCCTCAATACGTTCCTCCACAACTCACTATTCTGTTCTCCATCTTAAAGATGCTTTTTTCACTATTCCCCTGCACCCCTCGTCCCAGCCTCTCTTTGCTTTCACTTAGACTGACCCTGACACCCCATTAGGCTCAGCAAATTACCTGGGCTGTACTGCTGCAAAGCTTCACAGACAGCCCCCATTACTTCAGTCAAGCCCAGATTTCTTCCTCATCTGTTACCTATCTCGGCGTAATTCTCGTAAAAGCACACGTGCTTTCCCTGCCAATCGTGTCCGACTGATCTCTCAAACCCCAGCACCTTCTACAAAACAACAACTCTTTTCCTTCCTAGGCATGGTTAGCGTGGTCGGAATTCTTACACAAGAGCCAGGACCACACCCTGTAGCCTTTTTGTCCAAACAACTTGACCTTACTGTTTTAGCCTAGCCCTCATGTCTGCGTGCAGCAGCTGCTGCTGCTTTAATACTTTTAGAGGCCCTCAAAATCACAAACTTTATCAGTCCTCCAGGCCCAAGTTGACTCTTTAGCTGCAGTTGTCCTCCAAAACCGCCGAGGCCTTGACTTACTTACTGCTGAAAAAGGAGGACTCTGCATATTCTTAAATGAGGAGTGTTGTTTTTACCTAAATCAGTCTGGCCTGGTGTATGACAACATAAAAAAACTCAAGGATAGAGCCCAAAAACTTGCCAACCAAGCAAGTAATTACGCTGAACCCCCTTGGGCACTCTCTAATTGGATGTCCTGGGTCCTCCCAATTCTTAGTCCTTTAATACCCATTTTTCTCCTCCTTTTATTCAGACCTTGTATCTTCCGTTTAGCTTCTCAGTTCATCCAAAACTGTATCCAGGCCATCACCAATCATTCTATATGACAAATGTTTCTTCTAACATCCCCACAATATCATCCCTTACCACAAGACTTCCCTTCAGCTTAATCTCTCCCACTTTATGTTCCCACGCCGCCCTAATCCCACTTGAAGCAGCCCTGAGAAACATCGCCCATTCTCTCTCCATACCACCCCCCAAAAATTTTCGCCGCTCCAACACTTCAACACTATTTTGTTTTATTTGTCTTATTAATATAAGAAGGCAGGAATGTCAGGCCTCTGAGCCCAGGCCAGGCCATCGCATCCCCTGAGACTTGCACGTATACATCCAGATGGCCTGAAGTAACTGAAGATCCATAAAAGAAGTAAAAACAGCCTTAACTGATGACATTCCACCATTGTGATTTGTTCCTGCCCCACCCTAACTGATCAATGTACTTTGTAATATCCCCCACTCTTAAGAAGGTACTTTGTAGTCTCCCCCACCCTTAAGAAGGTTCTTTGTAATTCTCCCCACCCTTGAGAATGTACTTTGTGAGATCCACCCCTGCCCACCAGAGAACAACCCCCTTTGACTGTAATTTTCCATTACCTTCCCAAATCCTATAAAATGGCCCCACCCCATCTCCCTTCGCTGACTCTCTTTTCGGACTCAGTCCGCCTGCACCCAGGTGAAATAAACAGCCATGTTGCTCACAAAAAAAAAAAAAAAAAAAAAAACTATTCTTTCAGAAAAACAAAAAAAAAAGAGCCTAGGATCTGATTATTTCACTCCTGCCTTCTATCATACATTTAAGGAAAACCTAATACCATTCAAACTACTTCAGAAAATTGAAGAGAAGGAGATATTTTCAAACCAATTTTATGACGCCAGCATTACCTTTATTTCAAAATCAGACAGGAACACAACAAAAAAAGGAAACTACTGGCCAATATTTCTGATAAACCTAGATACAAAACATCTCAACAATATACTAGCAAACCAAATAAAACAGCACATTACAAAGATCATTCATTATGATCAAGTGAAATTCATCCCTGAGATGCAAGCATAGTTCAACATGTGCAAATTAATAAACATGTTATACTACATTAACAATAAAAGTCAAACAAATCGTCACTTCAACAGACACAGGAAAAGTATTTGGCAAAATTCAACATTCCTCTGAAAAAATTAGTTATAGAAAGAATGTACCTCAATATAATAAAGACCATGTCTGACAGAACCACAGCTAACATCACACGAAATGAGGAAAAACTGAATTTACCCTAACATCAGGAACAAGACATGTATTCTCATTTTTGCCATTTTTATTCAACACAGTGCTGGAAGTCTTAGCCAGAAAACCTGGACAAGAGAAAGAAATAAAAGGTATCCAAATTGGATAGGAGGAAGTCACAATGTTTCTGTTTGCAGTGACATGATTGCACATACAGACAACTCTAAAGAACAGTTCCCCAAAAGAACTGCTATAACTAATACACAAATTCAGTAAAGAAGCAGAACACAAAATCCGCATGCACAAATTAGTAGCATTAAAAACAACTATTTTTAATTTTTGTGTGTACATAGTAGGTGTATACATTTGTGGTGTACATGAGATGATTTGATACAAGCATGCAATGCATTGTAATCACATCATGAAAATAGGGTATCTATGTCCCAAAGAATTTATCCTTTGTGTTACAAATAATCTAATTATACTATTTTTAGTTACTTTAAACTGAACAATTAAATTATCATTGACTATAGTAGCATTTTTATATCCTCATAGTGAACTATCTGAAAAAATAAAAAAATTCTATATCCAATAGTCACAAAACAAAAAAAGATACCTATGAATAAACATGACCAAGTAGATGAAAGAGATCTACACTAAAAGCCATAAAATATTAAGCGAAAAAAAATTGAAGGAATAAATAAATGAAAAGATAGCCCATTTGCATGGATTGGAAGAATTAATATTGTTAAAATTACCATATTACTAATCTTCAAATTTAATGCAAATCCTATTATAATACCAATGACATTCTTTTAGAAATATAAAAAAATCTTAAAATTCAGTTATAGTAATAAAAGACGCATGATACTGGCATAAAAACGGACACACAGACCAATGGAACAGAATAGAGAGCTTGGAAGTAAATTCATACACCAACAGCCATCTGATATTTGACAAAGGTATCAAGAAAACTCAATGAGGAAAAGACAGTCTTTTCAATAAATGTTGGTACGGAAACTGGATATCTACATGCATAAGAATAAGACTAGACCTCTACCTCTCACCATATACAAAACTAAATTCAAAATGGATTACAGACTTAAATGTAAAACCTGAAACTATGAAACTGCCATAAGTAAACATAGGTGAAATGCTTTATGACATTGGGCTGGGCTAGTGTTTTTAAAATAAGACCTCAAAAGCATAAGCAACAAAAGCAAAAATAGACAAATAGAATTACATCAAACTAAAAAGCGTTCGCATAGCAAAAGAAACAACACATTGAAGAAACAACCTTCAGAATGGGAGAAAACATTCTAAACTATACATCTGGCAAAGGGTTAATATCTAGAATATGTAAGAAACTCAAGCAACTCAGCAGCATAAAACACAAATAACCTGATTTTAAAAATGAGCAAAATACCTTGAGACATTTCTCAGAAGACATACAGTGGCCAACAGGTACATGAATAAATACTCAACATCGCTAGTCAGCAGGGAAATGCAAATCAAAACCACAATAAGATACCACTGAACTCTTTTTTGAATGGCTATTATCAATAAGACAAAAGAAAACAAGTGTTGGTGAGGATGTGGAAAAAAGGGAACACTTAAACACTGTCAGTGACGTCTTAAATTAGTACAGCCACTATGGAAAACTGTATGAAGCTTCCTTAAGTCATTAAAGATAGAACTATAATTTGATCTAGCGATCTCACTACCAGATATATATTTAATGAAATAAAATTACTATATCGATGTTATCTGCACTCCCATGTCTACTGCAGCACTATTTTCAATAGCCCAAGTGTCTTACAACAGATAAATGAATAAAGAACATGTGGTGTGCGTGTGTGTGTATATGTATGTCTCATTTCTTTATATACATATAGTTTGTACACACACACACAATGTGTATGTGTACACTATGTATATGTATACACAATGGTATACTATTTAGCCATAAAAAATGAAATCCTAGAATTTGTGACAACACAGATGTATTTGGAGAATGTTATATTAAGTGAAAAGCCAGACATAGAAACACAAATACTGCAGGATCTCATTCATTGTTTGGAATCTAAAACTCAAAAGAGTTGGTATTATAGAAGTGGATAGCAGAATAGTGGTGGTCATTGGGTGCAAAGTTACAATTAGATAGAATGAACAAGATCTGGTGTTCTACTGCACAGTAATGTGATGATGTTTAGCAGTAAGGTATGAGTATTATAAAGTAGCCAGAAAAGAGGCTTTTAAATGTTCTTACCAGAAATAAATAATAAATGTATGCAGTGATGAATTTACTGACTACTCTGATTTGCTCATCATAGATATGATCAACATAAACATGTTTCCTCAAATTGTATCACATAAATATGTACAATTACGGTGTGTCAATATAAATAAATAAATGATTAAATAAATAAACAGCATCACAGGTCATGATGACATGGATTTGTGTATGAACACATAGTAGAAATTTGGGATTAATAATACTCACATGATTTATTGGAAATAAGCATGTAAAGATGGCGGTATTAGTCAGGGTTCTCTAGCGAGATAAAACTAATAGGATAGACAAATATAAAGGGGAGTTTATTAAGGAGTATTGACTCACATGATTAAATTTGAGGTCCCACAATAGGCTGTCTGCAAGCTGAGGAGTAAGGAAGCCAGTCTGAGTCCTAAAGCTGAAGAACTTGGAGTCCCATGCTCGAGGGCAGGAAGCAGCCAGCACAGGAGAAAGATGTAGGCCAGAAGACTAAACCTGTCTAGTCCTTTCATGTTCTTCTGCCTGCTTTTATTCTGGCTGTGCTGGCAGCTGATTAGATGATGCCCACCCAGATTGAGGGTGGGTCTGCCTTTCCCACTCCACTGACTCAAATGTTAATCTCCTTTGGCAACAAACACCCTCACAGACACTCCCAGGAATAATAATTTGCATCCTTCAATTCAATCCAGCTGACACTCAATATTAGCCATCACAATGCCCTTTCTATTTTTAGAATTTGGGGAACGTAAAATATCAAGCACTGTAGCCCCCTTTTCTTTGGGCTTTACTTATTGCAAAACAGTTCCCATTGCAAATGACACTGATATACAAGTATTTTTATGAGATTCATTTCCTCATACTTGGCAATTATCAATTATCTTTGGAGGATAAAGAAAACACTTATAGCTTGACAAGTCATGTGTACCATTTCAGAAATTTCCCTTAAATTGATAGAACAAGTAAATAACATGTACACCATCAGATTTAAAGTTCTCTGACAAAAAAAAAAAAAATGATGAAAGGAGTTTGCTCCTGTTTCCATATCAAGGATTGTTTTAAAAGTGTTTCTTAAGAAGAATAGAAAAATTTATGGCCTTAAATTTTTAGAATCTTGAGAATTTACTGAGCCTCAGCCATCAGTTTTATATCTTATAGAAGTAGTTGTTCATATTTTTTAAATGGATCAAATCACTTTGAAGAAACTCAAACCATTCTACTGGTGCAACTAAAGCTAACAGCGATGGTCGAGGTCACTGGAAATTGAAAAATGCAAGTCCAAAAGAGGAAACAGTGACAAAAAGCTATCACCTATTTGTGACATTAGAGTGAAGCTGAAAAGGGCATTAAAGGGAAACATATTCTATTGTTATTTTAAAATATATTTAGTATTTTATAATTCCAAATGGATACATATAAAAATACATGTTTTTCAAGCTCAACCACAGCATGGAAAAGATAAATTTAATAGATAAAGTCATCTGATATGTCAGAAACACAAATAGTTTTAGAAAATTGAAGGAGTAGCAAAATAAAGACCCATAATAGAAGGGCATCCATGAAGTATATGATATGGAGAGAAATCCATTCCACTGACTTTCCAGTTTTGTTCTTTATCAGGCTTATCCTCAGGCTTACCTTGGTATAATACAGTATATCTTTCTCAGTATAGCCCATAGTTAAGAATACAAAGAGGTAAATCAGAAGCTGTAAAAACATACTGTGTTGGTACAAAGGGAGAGATGTCAGTAATTTCATCACCTAACATAAAGGATAAAAGGTGCTTACATCCTGATAAAAGACAAATATTTAGGGAACTGAAATTGTCCATTTCAAACCATTAGATCTGAAACCAGTTTACTTATAAACTTTACCTATAAATTTTGTGTCAGTATGGCTAGAACAACACACAAAACCTAGTGTGTGGTCTGTCAGCCAATATACTATGATTTAGGAAATGTAAAGAGAGAAAAATGATCTATTGACAAAAGTATATCACTATATACACAGACAAATTTGTATAATTACAATGCAAATTTTATGCTTTTATTTATTTGCCTAAGCAACAGATTTTCTCTCACTCACTAAGTGTACTTTCCTTTAGACATCTTATATATTTTGTCATGAAAGGGTGATAATATAAAAATGCAATGCCGCTAGTAATTTATTCAAATGGTAGACCATTTATTTTAGGTTTGTCTGAACATTTTAACCTATCTTTTTCTTAATACAACATAATATTGAATATATTATATAAGAATACACTACTGGCTGGGTGTGGTGTCTCACGACTGTAATCCAAACACTTTGGGAGGCCAACGTGGGCCAATCAAAAGGTCAGGAGTTCGAGACCAGCCTGGCCAACATGCTGAAACCACATCTTTACTAAAAATACAAAAAATTGGCTGGGCATGGTGGCGGGTGCCTATAATCCCAGCTAGCCGGGAGGCTGAGGCAGGAGAATTGTTTGAACTCGGGAGGCAGAGGTTGTGGTGAGCCAAGATTGTGCCACTGTACTCCAGTCTGGGCAACAGTGCGAGACTCTGTCTCCCCTGCCAAAAAAAAAAAAAAAGAATACACCATTAATAGTAATATATATTGGCAAAATTAGTTTATGCACACCTCTATAACATTTTCCGTGTGTGTCTGTGTATGTGTGTGTGTGTGTGTTAGTGAGTGAGTCAGAGAGAGAGAGGTATACTAATGTTTTCATGTCTTAATGGTTTGTGGCATAATATGTTATATTCAAGAAATGCAACAGACAAGTAAATGACTAAAGAAGCATCTGGCACTACTAAAATACCTTGGAAATAATAATAATTTCTTCATTTGGGAAAGTAATTTTAAGCTCATTTATGTTTATATATTTTGTATATATACATATATATAGTGATAACGTAATACTAACTATGAGAAATTTTAAGATGTAGCTGACCAGGCTTATTCACCATTTAGTTCTATGTGTGTGCATTTGCATCATACCAGTGCAATGATAGAGCATAGGTTATGTAATAAGACTCTGGAGTTCCAGTGTGAACTTTGCCATACGTTACCTGTGTGGAGTGAATTACCAAATCTCTCTGTGCCATAGTTTTCTTATCTATAAATTGGGTTAATAACAGTGTCTGTCTCCCAGGGTTGCTGTGAGGATGAAATGAGTTGATATATGAAATGTGCTTAGATGATTGGTGCATATGTTCTATTAGCTATAGTAGTAATGATAAAAATAATTACATGTAATATATTAATTTTAATGATAGTTATTATTGATTTTGTTTAAAAGATAAGCTGATTGATAATTTATTTTATCATTAAATATATATAATTGCTGTGGAAGAACCAACTAAAGTTTTCTAATAGTAAGCACATATGGAATTCCATAGGAACAGTTTTTTTATTCAAAATGTCATATTCATTTGCTTATTTGCCATCTTCTTTTCTCACTTGAAACTTTATGATGACATTATCTCCAGGTCACTAAAGTATATAGTAGAATATATTTAGTTACCCTGTTCCTTTTCTTGGTCTTTCTCCATAAATGAGGTTATCTACAACTGTAGCCTTCATTACCATCTATAGTTTGATCATTTCCAGAACTACAAATGCAGCTAAGAATATGACTGGATAGATAGATAGATAGATAGATAGATAGATAGATAGATAGATAGATAGATAGATAGATAGACACATACGTACATACATACTACATAGGTGATAGATAGATAGATTTATAGATAGATGGCTAGATGATTTTGAAAGTATCTTTAAGCTAATATGTCCCAAATTGAACTGATCATCTTCCACTCACAATGTGCTCTTCCTATTTGACCACAGGTGTAAACGGCATCATGTTTCTGCCCTGTCCTGGAACTCAGTCAGTATTTTTGCCTACTCATCTCTCTTGTGGTTCATGTCCCTCATCAGGTCCTCCTGGCTCTGCCTCCTGAAGAAGTTTCAATTATCCCCCTTCCCTCTACACTGATGTTGCTGTAAGTTAGGGGATGTTCACCTCCCACCTGCCTTGCTAAAGAATCTTATAACTATTTTTCTTCCATTTATAAGATTAAAAACTACTCATAGATCTGTGTTTTCTTCAATATAATAATGACTTTAAAAATACTGAGTAATTATAATGTGATAGGCACCTTTAAATTACTTTACATATCTTTTTAATTATCAGGAAAAATCTGATGAGAAAGATAATGATTGTTTTATCAATTTATCGTGAAGGAAACTGAGAAAGAAAATTTAAGTAATAGCACTATTTCACCTAGTTAGAAGGTGCTAGGCCAAATAAAAATTGCCTAATCATACTTAGAAGGCCATTATTTATGCCCTTGATTCACTTCAATGTGTTGCTCAGCTAATGTGCTTGCCTCTGGCAAGCCTCTCTTGTCCGCCCAACACTGGGCTAAATCTCATAGAATTCTCAACTTCAGAAAACACAGTATTCATTCAAATTTTTAGAATACTCATAGCTATTAATTCCATATCTACTTGTCTCCCTATTACTATAGGCTTTGTGAGAGAGAGGACTGGGCATCTGTGTTCATGTTTATCATTGCATGTGTCTGTCACATGTCAGGGAGGTCAATTAACAATTTTTATTAAAATAGTGAACCACTTGAGGTTACCCATGTCTCTTCATGGTGGTTTACCAAATTTCTAGCATACTTTTCTATAAGCATAACACCTATGTCATTTAAAAACTGAGCTATTAAAACATAGTAATTGTACGCACACTTGGGAGGTGTGGGTGAATGGAATGAGGAAACAATGATCTAACATAAAAGGGTTCTGAGTCTCTTTGTATAGATTTCAGGGGGATGACCGCTTATCACAGGCCTGAGATTAATTCATGGGCATAATCTGTTGTTACCTTCAGTTTCTCCTTCAGGCTTTTGTTGTTATCAGGCCAGATTTCTGTATTTGAAAACAGGTATCTTTGCTTTGCAATAGCTTTCTCTTTTTACCTATTCAGAATTGTTTAGCCCTTAAGCAAACTTTCACACACTTATTTTATTGCCATATCTGAAAAGGGAAATGGCTCTCTCTGTTATTCCTGGGTGTTAACCTTTTCAGAATAAAATTGTTAGTTGTGAAGATTTTACACATGTATCTTGATTTGTTAATGATGGTTTCATGCAACATGCTCTGTGGGTTAAAATGTATATATGTGTGAGAGTAATACATGACATATTGGAAGAAGTCTATGCTATTTATACTGAGAGAAAGGAAAAAAAGCATATAAAGCTAATTTGTGTCAAGTGCTGGATATCAGCCGATGTGTTTTCATTTGCCCTTTAGAAAACCCTGTATTGCAGGTAAGAAAATTGTGACTTAGACAGGAGGTGCTTTATGTAAGACCATGCATGCAGGCAGTAAGAAAAATTTTAATGTTCAACACATAGTGATAATATATGCTATGAAGAACTGCAATTATATGTAAGGTCTAATGTTCACACTCAAAGACATAAACATTAGTTGAGAAGAAAAATGATATTCATTAAAATCAAAGGCAGCAATCAGAAGAGGTAAATTACAAAGGTTATAGAAGGGAGTGTCTTAGTCCATTAGTACAGCTATAACAAAATACTTGTAACTGGGTTCTTTATACAAAACAGAGATTTATTTCTCAGTTCTGTAGGCTTGGAAGTTCAAGATCAAGGTGCCAGCAGGTGATGTTTGGTAATGGCTTGGTTTCCGTTTCCAAGATGGGACCTTGTTGCTGCATCTTCTGGATGGGAGGAACTCTGTGTTCTCACATGACAGAAGGGCAAAAAGGGGTGAATACTGTGTGAAGCCTTATTTTTTTTTTTAGCTTTTAAGTTCAGTAGTACATGTGCGGGTTTGTTACGTAAGCAAACCTGTATTGTGGGGGTTGGTTGTATAGATGATTTCATCACCCAGGTATCAAGCCTAGTATCCATTAGTTATTTTTTTCTGATCCTCTCCCTCATCCCATCTTCTACCTTTTGAAAAGCCCCAGTATGTATGGTTCACCTCTCTCTCTCCATGTGTTCTCATCATTTGGCACATACTTATAAGTGAGAACATGCAGTATTTGGTTTTCTGTTCTTGCATTAGTTTGCTAAGGATGATGGCCTACAGTTCCAACCATGTTCCTGCAAAGGACATGATCTCATTCTTTTTTATGGCTCCACAGTATTCTGTGGCATACTTGTACCACATTTTCTTTATCCACTTTACCATTGTTGGGCATTTAGGTTGATTCCATATCTTTGCTATTGTGAATAGTGATGAACATATGCATACATGTGTCTTTATAATAGAATTATTTATATTCCTTGCACCATTGGTGGAAGAGTAAATTAGTTCAGCCATTGTGAAAGATAGTGTGGTGAGTCCTCAAAACCTAAAGACAGAACTAACATTTGACCCAGCAATCCCATCACTGGGTATTGTAGTTCCCATAATCCTTATGTGTTGAGGGAGGGACCCAGTGGGAGGTAATCGAATCATGAGGGCAGTTACCTTCCTGCTGTTCTAGTAATAGTGAGTGAGTTCTCACAGGATTTGATGGTTTTGTAAGGGAATTTCCCCCACTTCACTCTGCACTTCTCCCTCCTACTACCATGTGAAGAAGGACATGTTTGCTTCCCCTTCCACCATGATTGTAACTTTCCTGAGGTCTCCCCAGCCATGCTGAACTGTGAATCAATTAAACCTATTTCCTTTATAACTTACCGAGTCTTGGGTATGTCTTTATTAACAGCATGACAATGGACTAATAAAGGTTGTTTTTTCTTGTAAATTTGTTTAAATTCCTTATAGATGCTGGATATTAGACCTTTGTCAGATGCATAGTTTGCAAAATTTTTCTCCCATTTTGTAAAATGTCTTTTTATTCTGTTGATAGTTTCTTTTCTGTGTAGAAGCTCTTTCATTCAACTAGATCCCATTTGTCAATTTTTGCTTTCACTGCAGTTGCTTTTGGCATCTTTGTTATGAAATTTTTGCCATGCCTATGTCCTGAGTGGTATTGCCTGATTGTCTTCCAGGGTTTTTGTAGTTTTGGGTTTTGTATTTAAGTCTTCAATCTTGAGTTAATTTTTGTATATGGTGTAAGGAAAAGGTCCAGTTTAAATCTGCATAAGACTAGCCAGTTATCCCAAGAACATTTATTAAATAGGGAATTCTTCCCTCATTGCTTGTTTTTGTCAGGTTTGTCAAAGATCAGGTAGTAATAGGTGTGCAGCCTTATTTCTGAGTTCTCTATTCTGTTCCACTGGTCTATGTGTCTGTTTTGTACCAGCACTGTGGTGTTTTGGTTACTGTAGCCCCATGCTATAGTTCGAAGTCAGGTAGCGTGATGCCTCCAGCTTTGTTCTTTTTGTTTAGGATTGCCTTGCCTATTTGGGCTCTTTTTTGGTTCCATATGAATTTTAAAATAGTTTTCTCTAGTTCTGTGAAGAATGTCATTAATAGTTTCATAGGAATAACATTAAATCTCTAAATTGTTTCAGGCAGTGTGGCCATTTTCATGATATTAATTCTTCCTATCCATTAGAATGGAATGTTTTTCTATTTGTTATTGTCATCTCTGATTTCTTTGAGCAGCGATTTGTAGTTCTCCTTGAAGAAATCATTCACCTTCCTTGTTAGCTATATTCCTAGGTAATTTATACTATTTTTGGCAATTGTGAATGGTAGTTTGTTCTTGATTTTACTCTCAGATTAACTGTTCTGTAGAAATGCTTGTGATTTTTGCACATTGATTTTGTATCTTGAGACTTGCTGAAATTATCAGCTTAACAAGCTTTTGGGCTGAGACTATGGGGTTTTCTAGATATTGGATCATGTCATCTGCAAACAGGGGTAGTTTGACTTCCTCTCTTCCCATTTGGATGCACTTTATTTCTTTGTCTTGCCTAATTGCCCTAGCCAGAACTTCCAATGTTATGTTGAATAGGAGTGGTGAGAGAGGGCGTCTTTGTCTTGTGATGGTTTTCAAGGGAAATGCTTCCAGCTTTTGCCCATTCAGTATGATGTTGGCTGTGGGTTTTTTACAGATGGTTGTTATAATTTTGATGGATGTTCCTTCAATACCTTGTTTACTGAGAGTTTTTAAGATGAATGGATGTTGAATTTATCAAAAGCCCTTTTCTGTATCTATTGATATAATCCTATGGTTTTTGTCTTTAATTCTGTTTGTGTGATGAACCATTTGGTATGCTGAATGAAACTTGCATCCCAGGGATGAAGCCTACTTGATTGTGGTGAATAAGCTTTTTGATGTGCTGTTAGGTTTAGTTTGTCAGTATTTTGTTGAGGATTTTCACATCGACATTCATCAAAAATATTGGTCTGAAGTGTTCTATTTTTTGTTGTATCTTTGCCAGGTTTGGGGATTAGGATGATCCTGGTCTCATAGAATGAGTTAGGGAGGAGTCCCTTTTTTGCAATTTTTTTGGAATAGTTTCAGTAGAAATGATACCAGCTCTTCTTTGTATTTCTGGTAGAATTCAGCTGTGAATCCATGTGATGCTGGGCTTTCTTTGGTTTGTAGGCTATTTATTACTGCCTCAATAACAAAACTTGTTGTTGATCTGTTTAGGGACCCAATTTCTTTCTACTTCAGTCTTGGGAGGGTGTATTTGTACAGGAATTTATCCATTTTTCTAGCTTTTCTAGTTTATGTGCATAAAGGTGTTCATAATCTCTGATGATTGTCTGTTTTTCTGTGGGAGGGTAATATCTGCCTTGTTGTTTCTGATTGTGTTTATTTGAACCTTCTCTCTTTTCTTCTTTATTTGTCTAACTAGTGGTCTATCTTATTAACATTTTTCAAAAAAACAGCTCCTAGATTTGTTGATCTTTTGAATTTTTTTTTCTACCTTTATCTCCTTTAGTTCAGCTCTGATTTTGTTTATTTCCTATCTTATGCTAGCTTTGGGATTTGTTTACTCTTGGTTCTCTAGTTCTTTTAGTTGTAAAGTTGCGTGATTAAGTTCAGATTTTTCTGATTTTTTAATGTGTCATTTAGTGCTATAAATTTCCTTCTTAACACTACCTTAGCTGTGTCCCAGGGATTCTGGTACATTGTATCTTTGTTAGTTTCAAAGAACTTCTTGATTTCTGCCTCAATTTCATTATTTACCCAAAAGTCATTCAAAAACAGGTTATTCAATTTCCATGTAATTGTATGATTTTGAGTGAATTTTTTAGTCTTGATTTCAAACTTGTCTGTATTGTGGTCTGAGAGAGTGTTTCTTATTATTTCTGTTCTTTTGCATTTGCTGCAGAGTGTTTTAGCTTCAATTATATGATGGATTTTGGAATAAAGGCCATGTAGTGATCAGAATAATATATGTTTTGTTGTTTTTTGAGTGGCGAATTCTGTAGATATCCATAAGATCAATTTGATTCAATGCTGAGTTCAGGTCCTGAATATCTTTGTTAATTGGCTGTCTCAATAATCTGCCTAATATTGTTAGTGGGATGTTAAAGTCTCCTATTATTACTATGAGGGAATCTAAATCTCTTTGACGGTCTCTATAAACTTCCTTTATAAATCTGCATGCACCTGTATTGGGTGCATATAAATTTAAGACAGATCTTCTTGTAGAAGTAAACCCTTTACCATTATGTAATGGCTTTTTTTTTGTTGAAGCCTCCTTTATAAAATCCTAAATTCCACTCACTAAGGCTCTGCCTTCATAACTTAATCACCTTCTAAAGATCCTGCCTCTTAATACTGTCATATTGACTTTAAATTTCAACACATGATATTTGGAAAGAATATTATTCAAACCATAGCGAAAGAGAACTTTAAATGTAGGTAGTGAGGAAACTCCTTTTCAAAAACAATAGCGCCTGAAGTATTCTTAGTTGAAAACAATCAATGAGTAGATTGTGATTACTTATCTTTATTTTAAGAAAGGCTTGTAGTGGGACTCTAGGAAGCATGCTTGGAAGTTTGAGGTTTTCTTAACTGGACAGTATTTTTTTTCCTTCAGCTTTTATTTTAAGTTCCTGGGTACATGTGAAGTACGTGCAGGTTCATTATGTAGGTAAATGTGTGCCAAGATGGTTTGCTGCAAAGATCAGCCCATTGCCTAGGTATTAAGCCCAGCATCCATTAACTATTCTTCCTGATGCTCTCCCTCCTCCCTCCCACCTCCCTTCAACAGGCCTCAGTGTGTGTTGCTCCCCAAAATTTTTCTACTTGTTATCATTGTTCAGCTCACACTTATAAGTGAGAACATGCAGTTTTTGGTTTTCTGTTCCTGTATTAGTTAGCTGAGGATAACAGCTTCCATCTCTATCCATGTCCCTGCAAAGAACATGATCTTCCTCCTTTTTATGTCTGCATAGTATTCCATGATGTACATGTACTACATTTTCTTTACCCAGTCTATTATTGATGGGCATTTGGGTTGATTACATGTCTTTGCGATTGTGAATAGTGGGGCAGTGAACAAACACGTTCATGGATCTTTATAACAGAATTATTTATATTCCTTTGGGTATATACCCAGTAATGAGTTTGCTGGGTAAAATGGTATTTCTGATTCTAGATCTTTGAGGAATTGTCACACTGTCTTCCACAGTAGTTGAACTAAATTACACTCCTACCAGAAATGTAAAAGCATTCCTTTTTCTCTGCAAATTCACCAGCATCTGTTGTTTCTTGACTTTTTCATAATCGTCATTCAAACTGGAGTGAGATGACATCTCATTGTGGTTTTGATTTGCATTTCTCTAATGATCAGTGATGTTGAGCTTTTTTTTTTTTTATGTTTGCTGGTTGCATGAACGTCTTCTTTTGAGAAGGGTCTATTCATGTCCTTTGCCCATTTTTTAATGGAGTTGTTTTGTTCTTGTAAATTTGTTTAAGTTCCTCGTAGCCTCTGGATATTAGACCTTTGTCAGATAGATAGATTGCAAAAATGTTCTCCCAATCTATAGGTTGTCTGTTCAATCAGATGATAGTTTATTTTGCTGTGAAGAAGATTTTCAGTTTAATTAGATGCCATTTGTCAATTTTGGCTTTCAGTGTTTTCATCATGAAATCTTTGACTGTGCCTATGTCCTGAAAGGTATTGCCTAGATTTTATTCTAGGGTTTTTATAGTTTGGGTTTTTACATTTAAGTCTTGAATCTATCTTGAGTTAACTTTTTTATAAGGTGTAAAGAAGGGGTCCAGCTTCAGTTTTCTACATATGGCTAGCCAGTTCTCCCAGCACCATTTATTAAATATGGAATTCTTTCTCCATTGCTTGTTTTTGTCAGGTTTGTAAAAGATCAAATGGTTGTAGGTTTGCAGTCTTAACTCTGAATTCTCTATGCTGTTGCATTTGTCTATGTGTCTGTATTTGTACCACTACCATGCTGTTTGGGTTATGGTAGCTTTGTAGTATAGTTTGAAGCCAGATAGCCTAATGTCTCCAGTTTTGTTCTTTTTGCTCAGCATTGTCTTGGCTAGACAAGCTTTTTTTCCCCATATGAATTTAAAAATAGTTTTTTTCTAATTCTGTGAAAAATATAAGTGGTAGTTTAACAGAAATAGCATTGAATCTATAAATTGCTTTAGGGAGTATGGCTAATTTCATGATACTGATTCCTCCTATTCATGAGCGTGGAATGTTTTTCCATTGTTTGTGTCCTCTCTGATTTCCTTCAGTAGTGCTTTGTAGTTCTCCTTGAAGATGTCCATTAATTCCCTTGTTAGCTGTATTCCTAAGTATTTTATTCTCTTTTTAGAAATTGTGAATGGGGGTTCATTCATGATTTGGCTTACTGCTTGCCTGATGTTGGTGTATAGAAATGCTAGCAATTTTGCACATGTATTTTGTACCCTGAGATTTTGTTGAAGTTGCTTATCAGCTTAAGAAGCTTTGAGCATGAGAAACTTTGGGGTTTTCTAGATATAGGATTTGCCACCTGCAAAATAAACAAACAAAAAAAATGATTTCCTCTCTTCCTATTTGAATACCCTTTATTTCTTTCTCTTGAGTGATTGCCCTGGCCAGAACCTCCAATATTATGTTAAAAAAGAGGGGTGACAGAGGGCATCCTTGTCTTGTGCTGGTTTTCAAAGGGAATATTTCCAGCTTTTGCCCATTCAGTGTGATACTAGCTATGGGTTTATCATATATGAATCTTATTTTGAGGTACATTCCTTCGATATCTAGTTTATTGAGAATTTTTAGCATGAAGGGATATTGAATTGTATCAAAAGTCTTTTCTGCATCTATTGAGATAATAATGTGGTTTTTGTCTTACATTCAATTAATGTGTTGAATTACATATACTGATTTGCATATGTTGAACCAACTTTGAATCCTTGGGATGAATCCAATTTGATGTTGTTGGATAAGCTTTTTGATGGGTGCTAGATTCTGTTTGCCAGTGTTTTAATGAGGATTTTTGCATCAGTGTTCTTCAGGGATATTGGCCTGAACTGTTCTTTTTTGTTGTTGTATTTCTGCCAGATTTTGGTGTCAGAATGATGGTGGCCTCATAAGATAAGGTAGGAACGAGTCCCTCCTATTCCACTGTTTGGAATAGTTTCAGAAAAAAATGGTACCAGCTCTTCTTTATATCTCTGGTGGAATTCAGCTGTAAATCCATCTGGTCCTGGGCTTTTGTTTTTTTGTGATTGGTAGGTGATATGGGTTTAGCTGTGTCCCCACCCAAAATCTCATCTTGAATTGTAGTTCCCATTATACCCACTTGTTGTAGGAGGAACCTGGTGGGAAGTTATTGAATCATGGAGGTGGTTTTCCCCATGCTGTTCTCATGATACTGAGTGAGTTCTCACAAGATGTGATGATTTCATAAGCATCTGGCATTTCCCCTGCTTGCACTTCTCCCTCCTGCCACCTTGTGAAGAAGGTGGCTGCTTCCCCTTGCCTTCCACCTTGATTGTACATTTTCTGAGGCTTCCCCAGCAATGCAGAACTGTGGGTCAATTAACCTATTTTCTTTACAAATTACCCAGTCTCAGGTATTTCTTCATAGCAGCATGAGAACAGACTAATACAGCAGGTTATTTATTACTGCCTCAATTTCAGAACTTCTTATTGGTCTACTCAAGGATTCAGTTTCTTCCTGGTTCAATCTTTGGAGGGAATATGAGTCCAGGAATTTATCCATTTCTTCTAGATTTTCTAGTTTATGTGCATAGGAGTTTTTATAATATTCTCTGATGGTTTTTTTTTTATTTTTGTGGGGTCAGTGGTGATATCTTCCATATAATGTCTGATTGCATCTATTTGATTTTCTCTCTTCTCATATTAGTCTAGCTAGCAGTGTACTTTATTATTTGTTTTAAAAAAACTCAGCTCCTTGATTTATTGATTTTTGAACGGTTTTTGTGTCGGTATCTCTATCACTTCTGCTCTGATCTTGGTTATTTCTTGTCTTTTGCTAGCTTTGGGTTTTGTTTGCTCTTGGTTCTCTAGTTCCTGTAGTTATAATGTTAGGTGGTTAAGTTTAGGTCTCCCTAATTTTTTGACGTGGGCATTAAGTGGTTAAATTTCCCTCTTAATACTGCTTTAGCTGTGTTGCAGAGATTCTGGTACATTGTCTGTTCTCATTCGTTTCAAAGGACTTTTTTATTTCTACTTTAATTTGATTATTTATGGAGGCATCATTCAGGGACAGGCTGTTAAATTTTCATGTATTTGTGTGTTTTGAGAGAGTTTCTTAATCTTTAGTTCTAATTTAATTGTGCTTTGTTTGTTTTGATTTCAGTACTTTTGCATTTGCTGAGGAGTGTTTTACTTCCTACTATGCAATCAATTTTAGAGTAAGTGCCATGTGGTGATGAGAAGAATGTATATTCTGTCGTTTTTGGGTGGAGTGTTCTGTAGATATGTAACAGGTCCACTTGATCCAGAGCTGAGTTCAAGTCCTGAATATCTTTGTTAATTTTCTGTCTCAATAATCTACCTAATATTGGCAGTGGGGTGTTAAAGTCCCCCATTATTATTGTGTGGAAGTCTAAGTCTATTTGTAGGTATCTAAGAACTTGCTTTGTGAATCTGGGTGCTCCTGTATTGGGTGCATATATATTTAAAATAGTTAGCTTTTTTGTTGTCATTGAATTAAACCCTTTTCCAGTATGTAACGGCCTTCTTTGTCTTTTTAAATCTTTGTTGGTTTAAAGTCTGTTTTGTCAGAAACTAGGATTGTAACCCCTGGTTCTTTTATGTTTGCCTTTTGCTTGGTAACTTTTCCTCCATCCCTTTATTTTGAGCCTATGTGTATTTTTGCACATGAGATGGGTCTCTTGAAGACAGCATACCATTGAGTCTTGACTCTTTATTCACCTTACCATTCTGTGTCTTTTAATTGGGGCTCTTGGCCCATTAACTTTTAAGGTTTATTTTGTTATGTGTGAATTTGATCCTGTCATCATGATGTTAGCTGGTCATTTTTCACACTTGTTTATTTGGTTGCTTTATGGTATCACTGGTCTGTGTACTTCAGTGTGTTTTTGCTGAGGCTAGTAACAGCTTTTTCTTTCCATATTTAGTGCTTCCTTCAGGATCTCTTTCAAGGCAGGCCTTGTGGTGAAGAATTTCCTCAGCATTTGCTTGTCTTAAAAATATCTTCTTCCTCCTTCAATTATGATGCCTAGTTTGGCCAGATATGAAGTCCTGGGTTGGAAGTTCTTTTTTTAAAAGAATGTTGAATATTGTTCTTCAATCTCTTCTGCCTTGCAGGGTTTCTGGTGAGAGATCCACTATTAGTCTGAGGGGCTCCCCTTTGTAGGTTACCTGGTCTTTCTCTCTGGCTGCCCTTAACATTTTTCCTTTCAATTTCACTTTGGATAATTTGATGATAATATGTCTTGGGGTTGATCTGCTCATGGAGTATCTTACTGGAGTTTTCTGAATTTCCTGAATTTGAATGTTGGCCTGTCTTGCTAGGTTGTGAAATTTTTCTTGATAATATCCTGAAATACATTTTCCAACTTGGTTTTATTCTTGTCTCTTTCAGGTACTCCAATTAGTAAGAGGTTCAGTCAGATATAAAAAATATGTGTTCTTTTTTTTCTATCACATTGTCAGGCTGCTTCCACATTCTCAGGTATCTTACAGCAATGTCTCACTACCTTGGTACCAATTTATTGTTTTAATCCATCTCACACTGCTATAAAGAAATACCTGAGACTGGGTAACTTATAAAGAAAAGAGGTTTAATTGATTCACAGTTCAGCATGGCTGAGGAGGCCTCAGGAAACTTACAATCATGGTGGAAGGCATGTCTTCACAGGGCGGCAGGACAGAGAATGAGTGCAAGTAGGGGAAATGTCAGATACTTATAAAACCATCAGATCTTGTGAGACTCACTCATTACTATGAGAACAGCATGGGGGAAATCATTCCCATGATCCAAGTATCTCTACCTGGTCCTGCCCTTGACATGTGGAGATTATTATAATTTAAGGTGAGATTATGGTGAGGACACGGAGCCAATCCATATCAAGCAGGCACCTTCTTTACAGGTGGCAGGAAGAAGAAGTGCAGACAGGTCAGAAGAACCTCTTATAAAACCATCAGATCTTGTGAGAACTCACTCACTGTTATGAGAACAGCATGGGGAAAGCTGTCTCCAAGATTCAATTACCTACACCTGGTTCCCCCTTGACAAATGGGGATCATGCAGATTAAAATTCAAGGTGATAGTTGGGTGGGGACAAAAAGCCAAGTCATATCACCCCTAAAAAAGTAACTTGCTAAAAGGACCCTTTAAAAATTATGTCATATAACCCTGTGGGACACTAGCTAGTTTTGTATCCAACCTAGAAAATTTATCCTAAGATTTATTTTTTAACTTGTATGTGCACGTGCACACACATATACATTTGCCTGAGAATCATGATTTTGAGCATTTCCAAATTATAATTTAACATGAAGTATGGCTGTTTACAATAATATTAAGTGAAAGAAAGCAGAAGGAAAGAAATCTAAGAAGCTAGAAGAAAATTTAGTGATTATTAGTTTATAAGTGTGGGGACCAAGCTTATGAGAGATTAGATAAAGGAAAACTACATACTGAAATCAGTCTCTTGTATTCCAGAGAAGAATCTCATTTAACAGTTAGTTTCACAGCTTAACTGTTAAGTTCCTGGGCCTATAACGTTCATTTTTTTATCTTTCCTCTCTGTTCTCCACATTGCCAGCAGGATTCTGACTGTGGGTACCAATGGTAGGAAACTGCAGGATTGGGAGAGATAATGGGAAATATGCCTCTTTCTTTTCTAATGAACTCTTTGACCTTTCTGATTGCAAGTGTAGATTTTCCCTGGGGATTGCACCTCCAACTCCAACTGAACCACTGCCTCTGTCTCTCTGGCCTAAGTGTAAAAGAGGCTCTTTTTTTTTTTTTCTCCTAGTGTCTAGGATGCTTCATTGTCTCCTTAGATCTCCAACTATTTTATTAGCTTTGCAAATAATCACCTGCATGAATTTACCATGATTGTAAACAATACTCAAGTGGGGTAATTTTCTTATTGGACATTAATGGTCTATTTGATTTCCATTTTATTGAGTAAAGTCAGATTTTTTTTCAGGGTTATTCCAACCAACAAATCTATTGTTGAATTTTGATTGGCCTTAAATATTAAATGAGAAACCAGTGAACATATTTGATTTTACTGGGGCTTGAGAGTGTTAGAACAGATGACAATATGCAGAAACTTACAGAATAATGAGATCAAATATTGGAATTAACAGACCTGGGATAAAGGAGTTGGCAAAGAAAAGGGAAAGTAATTAAAATGACAACAGGTGAGGTAAAAAGGGGATTTTTGTAGGCAAATAGAATTTGATGCAAAATTCTGACTAATTAAATCCTTGCAAGTATAAACATATTAATTAAACTTGTACACAAACAATTTATTTATTTGCTGTGTAGAACTAGTACTACCTAAATTCTAGTTTTTTAAAAAATTAATATTATTTGTAATGCACATAGTACAGCTTTTGATACATGGTGTAGGCCAAAATTTTGGGTTAGTATGGTGGTTAGTACTGCTGCCACTACAACAAATGCTACTGTTATGTGTAATGCGAAATATATTTTGTAGAAGAATCAGTAGTTTTGATAACTAAATATATAGGAGAAAAATGAGAGAAAAGAGTCAAATAGTTTCTTGAAAAAGTTAAACCAACTTTATTGGGTTAATCATGGAGCTGATTTTAGAAATAGGGAAACCACAAGCAAATAAAGAACATATACTTTTATCTGGTAAAACATGATGTGACTTAAAAAACTATGTCTTCATTATTATAGCTTCTAGGATATCACAATTGAAATACAAAGGGGAGGAGTGTATGTTTATTATATTTCCTGTCTTATTTCTCCTCCAAATCTTTTGGTCAACTAGTTACTTCTGAATAACCAGTGTGTCAGAAAGATTGTAGTGCAGTTTAAGTAGCATCACAAAACTAAAAGCTGGTAAGGGGAGAATAATTAATGTAATAAAAGATGTGAAATTATATCATATAAACAAAAGTTGAAGAATACAGGAGACATCCAGAATATAAATCTAGACCAGAATTTCTCAAATTCAGCATTTTTGACATTATGGGCTAAATAAACTTTATTTGGGGGTTGGAGGTAGCTTTCCTGTGCACTACCGGATGTGTAGCAGCATTCCTGGACTCTACCTACTAGATGCCAGTAGTAACACCCTCCTTCTTCAGTGTGACAAGAAAATATTAGACATGTTGTTACCTATGCCATAGGTGTCAGAATTGCCTCTAGTTGAAAACCACTGGTTATGTTGACATTTTAAATATATTTTTCTTAATATGTATTTTTCTCGCTAAGAATCTCATGTTTTAGAAGCAGCCACTATTTCTTCTGAAAACTGTTCCTTCTTCTCCCTCCACCATCTCCATTCGCTTCTCCAACTATGGAGTCCTGAGGGACTTGAAATTTTTAATATATTATATCTTATTCTTCTCACTTGATTGGTTCAGATATGTACATCTGATCCAAACTGGACCAATCCTAACTTTTTTTTCCTTCTGGATCCAGTTGACTTTTCTGAAGGTTAGCATTTTATTTAAAATAAACTAATAAGATAGTCAGGAGTTTTAAACTTAGCATGAATAAATAAAAAAAAAAAAGTCCAGGGCTTCTTAGGAGGTGAGAGTAGAGTGATGTCTGTACCTTACCATAAATTGTTATTTAAACTGAAGCTAGGTCTCTTATTTCTTCTATCTCATAATAATTAAAATATGCTATTATTTTGTCATAAGATGTCCTATATAAGCTGCCAGTGAAAAGACTCATATTGAATAACTTATGACACTACAATCTTATTCTAAAACATGGTATTTAATTCTGAGTCATCGCTGTAATAAGGCAAGTTTGGTTCCATAACTGAAAAGGTACTTACATATGATTTCTAAAGATGGGGTTATCTGGACATATCATTCTAATAGCAGCCAGGAATGTTGGCCAACATTCTTAATGTAGATACCATGTTGTAAATCCGATGAGATTAACAAGTTTGGTACCATAAGCATGTGGTAGCCTAAAGACAAAGGTCATCCTGAGAATTTTTAAATTATTGTTGAAATGCATGTCACATTTTTTTTGAAAGGTGACTTCTGATGTCTGATGGTTGTCAAAGTAAAAATTGGGCTGGATAAACTTAAACAAGTGATATGGTTAGGCTTTGTGTCCCTACCCAAATCTCATCTTGAATTGTAGTTTCCATAATCCCCACATGTGGGAGGAACCTGGTGGAGATAATTGAATCATGGGGGCCGTTTCTCCCCTCCTGTTCTCGTGATAGTGAATAGGTCTGATGAGATCTGATGTTTTTATAAAGGGCAGTTCCCCTGCACACACTCTCTTGCCTGTCACTATGTAAGATATGCCTTTGTTCCTCCTTCACCTTCCACCATAATTGTGAGGTCTCCCTAGCCATGTTGAACTGTGAGTTTATTAAACCTCTTTTTCTTTTTAAATTACTCAGTCTCAGGTATGTCTTTATTAACAGCAAAAGAACAGACAAATACAACAGGCAAGGAAGACTTTATACAAGACTACTGCAACAGGGGAGACAGACTAAACTGAACTCTGCTGAAACAAAAGAAGTCTCTGTGTGAGCTTGCAGAAGAGTACTGAAAGACATCAAGGGGTAGGTTGATCAATGAGATGTCTGGCATGTTGAGTTATTTCCAAATTTGTAAAGGTTTTTCCATGTGATTAGGCCATCTATACTTGCTTACTAGTGCCCATCAAAGTGGAAAAGTGCCTACCTTCCCATAGAGACTGGAAGATAGACATGCTACCTTTCTCGATGATTGCATTTCAAACGGATGGCTCTGAAATTCTTGAGAAAGATATTGCTGAGTTGTAAAACTGGCAAGAGGCTTTTAAGGAGATTTATATGCATCTAAATTGGGCAGAGAAAGAATTTGCAATTACAAGTATTTGTAAATCCTCTAAGAAAAAGGAGATCAGGAGCCTATAGTCATCAAGAAAACTGTCTGAATTAAGTCAACATAAAGAAAATATTATGGCAATCTTATTCATGACTTTGGGAAACAAAAAAAGGAATCCCAAGTTTCAACTGGTTATT